>NC_000001.11:585988-1291585 GCF_000001405.40 Homo sapiens | reverse complement strand
TGGGGCCCAGCCCAGCTCTCTTCGGCTGAGACTCCCGCCAGAACCCCTGGAAGCATCACCCGTGGGAGATGAGGCCCGCTGGGCTCCGGGTCATCTGACGTGCCGCCTGCAGGCGGGGGCATCTGACTGGCCTCTGGCTTGATGCTGGACGCCCCTGAGGCAGGGCTGGCTCTGGGCCAGGAGAACCACGCCCTGCGGAGCCGGCGGCCGCCTAGCACCAGGGTGAGGGCAGAAGCATCGAGCAGCAGCTCCAGGAGCTCCAGGAGGGAGAGGACGGAGGCCCCAAACCACAGGCTGCAGAGGCTGCCCATGGCCGAGAGCAGCTGCGGCACCTGCGGGTGGGGTGCGGGTGTGAGGGGCGGGCCCAGGCCCCCGTGCCCCTTCTGTGCAGGGCCAGCCACTGTCGCTGCCCCCGCTCTAGCCCAGGCAGGGGGCCAAGGCTCACCGAGTACACGGGCGCCTCCTCCACTGAGCGGTAGTTGAGCTCCTGGTAGACGATGTTGATTTTGGCCAGGCTGCTCCTGGGGCAGGATAGAGGCATGAGGGCGCTGGCCCAGACCTTCATGATGGGGAGGGGGGCTTTGAGGGGAGAGGGGCTGTGATGCCTCTCTGGAGGGGGAGGGTGCACCCACCTCTGTCTGTGGCTCTGATGCGGCAGCCCCTGTTCACCTAGCGTGGCCAGAGTCCATCCCTGCAGACGGAAGGTTTGCTGTGGCCACGGCTCCCCCATGCCCCCGGCCATCCTGGGTACCACGGGCGGATGTGGGGGCAGAGACCACGGGGCATAGGCTGGGTCAGTTCCGGCCCTGCCCTTGTCTTGGGTGGGCTCTGTGGGACCTGTGGGGTCTGCCTGGCTGTCCACACCCCCACCCCACCACTTTGGGGACTCACAGCTGACTTGGCGGAAGGCCACCTGGAGGTCCCAGTGGAGAGCTTGAATGCAGACTCCCTGGAAGAGACAGCCGGGTGTCACCTGCCACGCTACCTGGGGCAATGATCCCTGGCCGCGACCCCAACACCCCCGTCTCACCTGCAGGGCCTGGGGCAGCGGGAGGTACAGGGGAGCCGGTGGGTCTCCAGGTCCTGGTAGAGGCGGTAGAAGCAGTGTCCTTGGGGAGGGGTCAGAGGCATGTGTGAGGCTCGCTGTGACCCCCCGGCTAATGGCTGACAGAGTGGGAGGCAGCGAGCAGGACTCACCCCAGGCAGGGTGCCGGGCAGAGCTGCAGTACTCAGCCCCCGCCGGCAGAGGGTGGAGGTAGTAGCCACAGGAGCAGGTCTCCACCATCAGCTGCTGGAAGCAGGACACCAGGCAGGCCTGGGGACAGGGGGGATGAGCAGGGACATGGGATGGAGCGGAGACATGGGGGACGGGGCAGAGACACGGGACGGAGCAGGGACACGGGACGGAGCAGGGACACGGGACGGAGCAGAGACACGGGACGGAGCAGAGACACGGGGGACGGAGCAGAGACACGGGACGGAGCAGAGACACGGGACGGAGCAGAGACACGGGACGGAGCAGAGACACGGGACGGAGCAGGGACACGGGACGGAGCAGAGACACGGGACGGAGCAGGGACACGGGACGGAGCAGGGACACGGGACGGAGCAGACACGGGGGACGGAGCAGAGACACGGGACGGAGCAGAGACACGGGGGACGGGGCAGAGACACGGGACGGAGCAGAGACACGGGACGGAGCAGAGACACGGGACGGAGCAGAGACTCGGGGGACGGACACGGGACGGGGCAGAGACACGGGGGACGGAGCAGAGACACGGGACGGAGCAGGGACACGGGGGACGGAGCAGAGACACGGGACGGAGCAGAGACACGGGGGACGGAGCAGAGACACGGGGGACGGAGCAGGGACACGGGACGGAGCAGAGACACGGGACGGAGCAGAGACTCGGGGGACGGAGCAGGGACACGGGACGGAGCAGAGACACGGGACGGAGCAGAGACACGGGACGGAGCAGAGACACGGGACGGAGCAGAGACACGGGACGGAGCAGGGACACGGGACGGAGCAGGGACACGGGACGGAGCAGGGACACGGGACGGAGCAGACACGGGGGACGGAGCAGAGACACGGGACGGAGCAGAGACACGGGGGACGGGGCAGAGACACGGGACGGAGCAGAGACACGGGGGACGGAGCAGAGACACGGGACGGAGCAGAGACACGGGGGACGGAGCAGAGACACGGGACGGAGCAGAGACACGGGGGACGGAGCAGAGACACGGGGGACGGAGCAGGGACACGGGACGGGGCAGAGACACGGGACGGGGCAGGGACACGGGACGGAGCAGGGACACGGGGGACGGAGCAGAGACACGGGACGGAGCAGAGACACGGGGGACGGAGCAGAGACACGGGACGGAGCAGAGACACGGGGGACGGAGCAGAGACACGGGGGACGGAGCAGGGACACGGGACGGGGCAGAGACACGGGACGGAGCAGGGACACGGGACGGAGCAGGGACACGGGGGACGGAGCAGAGACTCGGGGGACGGAGCAGAGACACGGGACGGAGCAGAGACTCGGGGGACGGAGCAGGGACACGGGACGGAGCAGAGACACGGGACGGAGCAGAGACACGGGACGGAGCAGAGACACGGGACGGAGCAGAGACTCGGGGGACGGAACAGGGACACGGGGGACGGAGCAGAGACACGGGACGGAGCAGGGACACGGGACGGAGCAGAGACACGGGACGGAGCAGAGACACGGGACGGAGCAGAGACACGGGACGGAGCAGAGACTCGGGGGACGGAACAGGGACACGGGGGACGGAGCAGAGACACGGGACGGAGCAGGGACACGGGACGGAGCAGAGACACGGGACGGAGCAGAGACACGGGACGGAGCAGAGACTCGGGGGACGGAGCAGGGACACGGGACGGAGCAGAGACACGGGACGGAGCAGAGACACGGGACGGGGCAGAGACACGGGGGACGGAGCAGAGACACGGGGGACGGAGCAGAGACACGGGACGGAGCAGAGACACGGGGGACGGAGCAGAGACACGGGGGACGGAGCAGAGACACGGGACGGAGCAGGGACACGGGACGGGGCAGAGACACGGGACGGAGCAGAGACACGGGACGGAGCAGAGACACGGGGGACGGAGCAGAGACACGGGACGGAGCAGGGACACGGGACGGAGCAGGGACACGGGACGGAGCAGGGACACGGGACGGAGCAGGGACACGGGACGGAGCAGAGACACGGGGGACGGGGCAGAGACACGGGACGGAGCAGGGACACGGGACGGAGCAGACACGGGACGGAGCAGAGACTCGGGGGACGGAGCAGAGACACGGGACGGAGCAGAGACACGGGACGGAGCAGAGACACGGGACGGAGCAGAGACACAGGGAATGGAGCGGGGACACGGGGGATGGAGTGCGGGCCTCCACGGGGACTGCCCCGTTCCCAGGCCCTCTAGTACTCTCCCAGACCCCTCCCCCGTTCCACCCGCCCACACCCCCTGGCCAGCCCAGCCTCACCTGCCCCCGCACCCCCTGCCAGCCCAGCCTCACCTGCCTGGTGTAGGAGGTGTTGTGTAGCAGCTCCACCTCCACGCCTTCCCCGCCGGCGGTGCAGTGGCCGTAGGGGCTCCCGAGCCGGTGCACCTCGTCCTGGGAGGGGACGCTTCAGTTCCATGGGCCCTGCCCTCACCCCCCAAAGCCCAGGTTGGGCAGGAGGCCTGGGCCGGAGGTTGGCTGCAGAGGCCAGCTCACCTCTCGGATGCTGATGGTGGCCTCCGTCCCTGGCCGGACGCTGAAGCTGTGGTGCCCCAGGAAGGGCGTGTGGTTACGGCCGTGAACCATGACCCTGATGCCGGCCAGCGTGGACAGCAGAGGGAGGTGAGGCTGCTGCTCAACCCTGAGGACCAGGCCGACTCCTGGGAGGCCAAGGGCTGGTGTGAGGCCACCTGACCTGCACCCCTGCCCCCGCACCGGCCAGGGGCTGGCACCCACCGTGGGTGATGCCGGGGCGCTGAGCTGTCCAGACGCCATCGACCGTGTAGCAGCTGCCGTAGGTGGGGTGGTGGAAGGTCCGGAACTGTCTGGAATGAGAAGCCAAGCTCAGACCTTGAATGTCGGCTGCCCGCGCCCGTCACGCTGGCCTGAGGGGCCATGGCCTGCCCTGTGTCTGCGGAAAGTTCCTCCGGCCAGCCTTGGGTGGCTCCCAGCATACAGCCAGAGGGACCCCAGGGGTGCGGCCACGCTCTGTGGGGTGGGACGGAAGGAGTGGCCCCCGCCCGCCACACTCACCGGGCCTGGCAGTCCAGGCCATCGTAACTGCAGGAGAGGACGAAGTGGCCGTCCTGGCTCCCGTGGCTGTCCTCCCATGCCGCGGGCAGCAGGGCCAGGATATCCACATAGTGGAAGTGGTACCAGTCCTGGACAGCCGCCACGCCTGACGTGTAGCCTCGGTAAAAGCAGTCGCCGCCCGTGCTGTTGCACTGGGAGAGGGGAGGGAGGGTCAGCTCTGTGGCTACAGCCCAGGCCCCGCTCCCCACTCGAGGTACCAGCAGCGCAGGGCCGTGCTCCCAGCTCAAGGCCCTGATGGCTGCAGGCCCCGGCTGGGACACTCACCAGTCTGAACCCCACTCTGACCCGGCTGCCCGAGTGGCTCAGCCTCTGCAGACGGATCTCCCGGTCCAGGTGGAAGGGGGGCTCGTGGCGGGGGACAGTGGCGGAGAGGGCGGCTCTGCCTTTGCTGAGGTTGACGTTGTACAGGGAGTCAATGTTCTCCCTGGCAAACTCGTCCAGCAGCTCCAGATGGCGGAGGACCGGACTCGGCCTGGGACGCAGGGCCCTGGAGTCAGAGTTGCCGGCCCGGGGCCTCACACTGGCCCCAGCATCCCAGTGTGTGCTGTCGGGACAGCAGTGCCTCCCCTACTCGGGACGCCCAGTGGGGTGAGCTGGACCCAGAGCTGGAGTTGGAGGCCGTGGCTGCCGGTGAGGTCGGCCCCGGAGCCCAGCCCGCTCGCAGCCCCTCCCACCTTCCCTCCTTCTGGAAAGCCTCGCCCACCCCCACCTCTCCTCCCAGGCTCCCGAGGGCCCTGGTGTCCCTCCAGGGGGCAGTGACCACACTGAGCCCCCTCCTTGGCAGTCCGAGAGGTCCGGGCTGGGCACCGAGGTTTGGGAGGTCACAGTGACCAGGAGGGTGGCATTGACCACACAGAGCCCCCTCCTCGGCTACAGGGGCCAGTGGGGCTTCGGTTAGAGACGGTCACAGGGGCAAGGAGCTGGGGCGGCCACCCCTCCCGCCGACAGCCCTGGCCCTCACCGACGTGGGTTCCCGTCACACAGGGTGACCAGCGGGAGCAGCTTGCGCTCCGAGTGCACAGAGACGGCCATGAGGACCGGGCGGTGCCAGTGACGCTCAAAGAGGAGCCCCAGCTGCCAGCAGAGCGCGACCAGGGCTCCCAGGGACAGCAGCCCCCAGGACGTCGTCTTGAGGCGGTTCCCGCGGGAGCAGACCAGGCGGATGGCGCCGTGGATGGTGGCATTGGTGCAGAAGAAGGTGAGCAGCTCCCGGAACGAGGCGGGCAGCTCCACCAGCCCCTCCTGGTGCCCCTCCTTGGGTGGTGGTGGTGGTGCTGATGGTGGCCCCGGCCTGGGGGGCGTCTGGGCTGCAGCCTGTGTGCAGAGTGGCCTCAGCAGGGCCCGGCCTGCACCCACTCAGGCCTCCCTACCCTGGGCCTGTCATGTCTGTCAGCCACCAGTGCCCCGCCCTACCTGCTCGGTCGCTCGGACAAGCCCCTCCCAGGGTGCTCTGACACTGCGCCCTTCTCCCCGGATACACCCGTCCCTGACACGTCTCAGTGTAGCCTTGGAGCTGAGTTTGAGTTTGGGCTGCTGGGGCAGCAGGACTCAGAGAACAGGGTGCTCAGGCCCTACCTGGCCCTGTTTGCAGGCAGCGTTGTGCTGAGTGGGTCTGTGCTGCCATCCCTTCAGGTGGCAGGGCCTCTGGGGAGCCACAGGCCCAGGCGATCTACCCAAAGGCAAGTACGGTAGCGTGTCCATGCGCCCCGCGTGGGGTCTGGGGCTCAGGGGAAGACTTGCCCTTCTTGCCCCTGATGGCTGCACCCACCCCAGCCCCCAGTGTGGCCTGCTGAGGACCGACTGTGCCAGGCCCATCCAGCCAAGTCCAGGAAGCGTCTGGCCTGGACACCGCTCGGCACTGTGGCTCGGGGTGGCCCCATTGAGCTGAGTACCGGGGCCAGCTGCGGAGACACAAGGGCCCCAGGAAGCCCAGCCACTGCCTGCCCAGTCCCGCGCTGGAGGCTCTGGAGTCCTGGGACAGGCCTAGCTCTGGTCTGCGAGGCTGTCCCGCTGCCCAAGCCTGCTCCGAGGTACTCTGGGGAGGTGCTAGAGCGAGCCAGAAGCTTCGGGGCCTGGGGACACCAGGTGGGGACGGCTCCCCTCGGGTGTGTGGGCCGCACAGGCCTCCAGGCAGCCTGGCCAGGAGCTCCACCACTGGGCACATGGCTCTGCTCACCCTGCGTCCCCAAGGCCATCTGAGCAGGGAGGCTAAGAGGCTCGGAAGGGTCTTTGTGACTCCAGTCCCCACTCCTCGTCTCCACCTGGCGCATAGACAGGGCAGCACCATCCCCCTAGTGGGGGCTGCCAGGCCAGCAGAAGCGGGAGCTGTGGATTGGGGTCTGGAGGGCCAGTCAGGGTCCCCAGGGCTTCTGAGTGAGGCAGGGCCTGGACCCCTGGTCAGAGAGGAGCCGGACCCCACCCTGCATGTGCGCGTGTGTGTGAGACAGGACTACACTGGCCTCTCCACCCTGTCTGGATCTGCGTCGTGCCATGTGGCCAACCCACGGGATGCACAGCGCCTGGACACGCAGTATCTGCAGTGTTCTCCCGGGGTCTGTCCAGCACACGCTATGCACCCCCAATGGTCCAGCACACACTGTGCACCCCCAGTGGTCCAGCACACGCTCGGCACCCCCCGTGGTCCAGCACACGCTCGGCACCCCCCGTGGTCCAGCACACGCTGTGCACCCCCCGTGGTCCAGCACACGCTCGGCACCCCCAGTGGTCCAGCACACACTATGTACCCGCAATGGGACACAGCCTTCTTCAGGATAAGGAGGCACTCAGGGATGACCTGCCCCATTGCCACCATGCAATCCTGTTCCTGATGGCACACGGGGCCAGGCATCGGAAAGAGACCCCCCAACCCAGCCCCTGGTACCTCAAGGTGGGAGCCCCCCCGCCAGCCCCACCCCCCCACCCCTACCCCCCACCCCAATCCCCCCACGGTACCTCGAGGCGGGTCCCCCCAACCCCAACCACCACCTTGGTACCTTGAGGTGGGGCCCCCCAACCCCAACCCCCTCATCCAACCCCCCCAACCCCCTCACCCAACCCCCCCAACCCCCCCACCCCCCTCACTCAACCCCCCCCCCGACCCCACCCCCCTCACCCAACCCCCCCACCCCCCTCACCCCCCCCCACGGTACCTGGAGGTGAGAGCCCCCCCGTGTGGCTGCTTCCATTCTCCCGTCCATGCTTCGGTGCTCAGCCATTGCGGGGGCAGCTGGCAGCTCTGAAGCAGGATGGAGCCTCTGGCCTCCTATTTAAAACAGGCTGGCTGGGCGTGGGACTGTGCTGCAGGCGAGGGAGGACCCAGCCAGGGCAGCCACACCTGCCCCGGACCCAAAAGGGGAATTCCTGGGGGACAGAGATGCCCATCCCTCTGCAGGTGAAATCTTTCCCATCCTGAGCCCTGCAGGGGAGGCCTGGGGTCCTGACCCTGGCTGAGAGTAAGGGGCTGCAGCCTGTGGAGGGAGGGGGAGGACAGTGTTGGGCTGAGACCTCCTTGGAAGCCCCATCTTTCTTTCTTTCTTTTCTTGAGATGGAGTCTCACTCTTGTTGCCCAGGTTGGAGTGCAATGGCACGATCTAGGCTCACTGCAAGCTCCACCTCCCGAGTTGAAGCAATTCTCCTGCTTCAGCCTCCTGAGTAGCTGGGATTACGGGCACCTGCCACCATCCCAGGCTAATTTTGTATTTTTAGTAGAGATGGGGTTTCTCCATGCTGCTCAGGCTGGTCTCAAACTCCCAACCTCAGGTGATCCGCCCGCCTTAGCCTCCCGAAGTGCTAGGATTACAGGCGTGAGCCACCGTGCCCGGCCCAGAAGCCCCATCTTTCTCTGCCAGCTCCTGGAACTCAGATCCGGGGCCGTGGTGGGCTCCCAGCACTCCCTCCCTTCCCTGGCTGACAGACACTGGGTGGGGACCTCAGCTCCCAGATCCAGTGTCTCTCGGGACCAGCCGCCCAGCCATTGGGACAGGTGCTAATGTGGGAACACCAAGGGTCTGGGTGTGGAGAAGGCACCTGCTCCCCCGAGTAGGCACAGGGGCTCGCCCTCCCTGCTGGACACTATAGCTGCCACCAACCACACCACACACTAAGATGACGCGCCACACACTAAGACTTTCAGTCCACACCCACACCACACACACCAAGATGCTGGCACACATGGAAGTGACTCACGACCACCAGGCGCGGTGGCTCACGCCTGTAATCTCAGCACTTTGGGAGGCCGAGGCGGGCGGATCACAAGGTCAGGAGTTTGAGACCATCCTGCCTAACACGGTGAAACCCCGTCTCTACTAAAAATACAAAAAATTAGGTGGGCGCGGTGGCAGGCACCTGTAGTCCCAGCTACTGGGGAGGCTGAGGCAGGAGAATGGTGTGAACCCAGGAGGCGGAGCTTGCAGTGAGCCGAGATCGTGCCACTGCACTCCAGCCTGGGCGACAGAGCAAGACTCCGTCTCAAAAAAAAAAAAAAGAAAGTGATTCACAACACACTAAGACCCCACACATGCTAAGACCACACACGTATGCTAATACCTCACACACGCTACGACCTCACACACACTAAGACCACACACGCTAAGACCTCACACATGCTAAGACCACATGCTACTGTCAGGGTCCAAATCACAGTCTCCCAGGCTGGCGTCTTCAGCCCCAGTGCGGTTGTGTGGAAGGCAGGTGTCCCTGTCCCCCAGGACCACCCCATCCCTGTCTACTGTGGGACCCTAGATATCCAGGTGGCCTCACTGTCCCAAATGACCAGACCCGAGCCGGGCCCAGGTTGGAAGGGTAGGCTCTGTGTTCCTGACATCCTGCCCCAAGTGGTGCTGGGTCCCTGGGCTTGGCTGGGGGAGCCCAGCCCCACAGGGTCCAGCAGCAGAGCCATGGCTCTGAGGAGGGTGAGGTCACCTGCCTGCCGGCTCTGGAAGGAAGCAGCTGCCACCGGTGACGTCCTGGAGAGGAAAGCCATGCTGGAGTCACCCAGGCCTGTGTGAATCACAGCTTCGTCACTGGCTGTGTGGCCTTCCCGAGTTACTCAACCTCTCTGAGCTGATTTCCTTGAGTGCCAGATGGGGCTGGGGTGCCTCTCCAAGCTCGCGGCAGGGGGCTTGCTGATGTCACAGAGACCCCACAGGTCAGCGGCAGGGCCCCCGGACACAGCACAGGCCTGGGGCTTCTCCCCCACCACATCTGGGCAGCTTTGTGCGTGGGCCGCACCTGCCGAGGAGACAGGGCACACATGGCCCGGGCGGCTACTTGGCAGGCGGGGACAAGGTCCTAGGTGCTTGCCAGAGATTGTGGCTGGAAGCAGCCTGTGCCTCCCTGTGTCCCCGGGAGTGGCCTGGCAGACAGCCCAGCCTTGGTGCAGGGTGCAGAGAGAGAAAGAGCCCAGGTCCGGCCAGTGGGGCCCGGTCCAGCCAAAGGGCAGCTTGCAGGAGCAAGGCCCCCGGCTTCCTGTAGGAGGGGGAGCCCTGGCCGGGGGCAGAGCACCCCTTCCATGACCCGTATGCCCTGCAGGGCCTCAGTCAGAGCACATCTCGGCTGGATCACGCAGCTCCCGGCTCCACCCCCCTCCCCTCCTCCCGGGCAAGGCCTCTAAGGGCTGAGGTTCAGTCACCTGTCCCACACCCCTGTATCGGGCCAGAGAGTAGGCAGAGGGGGTAGCCACAGAGCACATGTCCAGCACTGGTGAATCCACATGGTCCTCCCCCTCTTCTGGGCCATCCCCTCGCTGGCCCGGTGCAGGGGGTGGGGTGGGGCGAACCCAGCTCCCGGCATGTGGGGGTCCTGTGGTCACTGCACCATGACCAGGTGAGCCTGAATGAGAGAAGGGACGGGCAGGCATCCCTGGCTCCCTTTGGGCCCATGCCTCTGCTCTCTCCCAGGAAAGACGGCCAGGCCCCATTGACCGAGCATGGCTGTGAGCTCACCTCCTTGGGCCGCTGAGGTGGCCGGGCCACAGGTAACGAGGGAGCGGTGTTGTCTTCTGTGACAGCACTGCCCTGGAGATGGCAGGCGCCTGGCATCTGTGGGACCCCAGCCAGGACCTCCTATCCCAGAGCCCCGTTTCCTCCCCTGGGGTGAGCGTCCCCCACTCAGGGTCACTCTGAGTCAGCCCTGGGACGGTTCTGGTGCAATAGACAGGCAGCCCAAGGTCGGGATTCCCGTGGGCATGGGCAGGCCAGGGGTGGCCTGGGGTCCCTCTGGGGTCCTGCACCCAGGCAGGTGAACAGCCTCCCAGGCAGAGCCCCCTCGGCCCCGGGCATCAACTGCACTGTCCAGTGGAGCCTCCGCAGAACAGGCACTAAGGTGGCACCAAGGTGCCCCCGGCTGCTGGCCTGGGTGGGTGCTGAGGGTGGGAGTGTGGAGCTTGGGGTCTGGCCGGTGTCCCCTGCTGGGAGGAGTAAGGTGCGTGTGGGCTGCCTTCTAGGTTCCCTCATAAACCAAAAATAAAATTATAAGCCCTGAACTGTCTGGATGGACCCCTGGTCTTAGCCATGGGCATTCCAAAGTTAACCTGAAAAACTAGCTCAGCTGTGATGGGAAGGGAGTCGGACGCACCTCATGCCTCCTCCCTGCTGGAATTCAGGCACAGCATCAGCATCACCTCAGGCCTTGAGTCTGATGAGAAGCATTTATAGTTGATTCTCTCTGAGGCTTGTGACCTGGTGGCTTCATCTGCGATAAGACCTTCATCTGCACAACGCCATACTGTAACCAGACATTCCCTTCTACTGATAACAACTCTTTTTTTTTTTTATTTATTGAGATGGAGTCTCGCTGTCGCCCAGGCTGGAGGGCAGTGGCGCGATCTCGGCTCACTGCAGGCTCCGCCCCCCGGGTTCACGCCATTCTCCTGCCTCAGCCTCCTGAGTACCTGGGACTACAGGCGCCCGCCACCACGTCTGGCTAATTTTCTGTATTTTTAGTAGAGACGGGGTTTCACCGTGTTAGCCAGGATGGTCTCGATCTCCTGACCTCGTGATCCGCCCACCTCGGCCTCCCAAAGTGCTGGGATTACAGGCATAAGCCACTGCGCCCAGCCTAATTTTTGTATATTTTTTTAGTAGAGATGGGGTTTCACCATATTGGCCAGGCTGGTCTTGATCTCTTGACCTGGTGATCCGCCTGCCTCGGCCTCCCAAAGTGCTGAGATTACGGGTGTGAACCACTGCGCCCGGCCACCTTTTTCTTAAGACAAGGAGAACGACTCCCTTTTGGGTACCCCATTTGGTTTCTAGCTCGGACGTGCGTTCCTAAGGGTCTTCTCTGTTGCTTTTTCTCCCAAAATTAAGCCCAACTGGCTTGTGCGTGCATTTGCATGAGGAACTGAATTGTTCTTTGCATAGATAAATGAGAGACTGAGTTTTCTCAGCTCCAGAAAGAAAGGCATTTTGCTCCTCCCAGCTGAAAGGCGCCCCTGGGTGACTGTGAGCCAAGTGGGAGTATCTCGTGGGCTGATCCCCCACGACGTGCAGCAGCCCCACAGGGAACCCCCCAACACAATTAGTTTAAAAAGGTTTGTCTGCTGGGTGCAGTGGCTCACGCCTGTAATCCCAGCACTTTGGGAGGCCGAGGCGGGTGGATCACGAGGTCAGGTGATCGAGACCATCCTGGCTAACACGGTGAAACCTCGTCTCTGCTAAAAACACAAAAAATTAGCCGGGCATTGTGGCGGGAGCCTGTAGTCCCAGCTACTTGGGAGGCTGAGGCGGGAGAATGGCGTGAACCCGGGAGGCAGAGCTTGCAGTGAGCCGAGATCGTGCCACTGCACTCCAGCCTGGGCGACAGAGCGAGACTCCGTCTCAAAAAAAAAAAAAAAAAAAAGGTTTGTCCAGGAAATGCACATAGGAGCTGGTCACTCTGTGTTTTGAGTCCTCTCGGAGGTGTTGGACTTCTAGAGAGAGAAACAGAGACACGTAAGAGGGCGAAGATGCCTCAGTGGTGACACACTGGGGAGTCCCGCCCACGACCCGTCCACGACCGGCACACTCAACCTGCTCCACGGAACCCCATTCCACAGCTCGGTTCCTCTGCGCCCCACCTGCTCCACGGAACCCCAGTTCCTCCATACTCAACCTGCTCCACGGAACCCCAGGCCACAGCTCAGTTCCTCCGCGCCCCACCTGCTCCATGGAACCCCAGGCCACAGCTCGGTTCCTTTCAAGAAAAAAAAAAGTGGGAAATAAATAATGTAAGCCTCAGCAAAGACAAGAGGGCGACCTCCTTCCAGGCACCCCGCTGGTTTCAGGCGCCTCTACCTGCAAGTGTTGGTATAAAACTGAACATGTCGCGGGCATGCTGGGTTTCCTAGTGCCCCAGCTGGTTCCATATTATGGTCTTTTGGGGCACATTTTAAACTGATGGGCAAATTCCATCCAGGAAAAATTCAGAGCCCAAAGGTCAGCCTGCAACTACAGAACCATAGAGTTCCTGGCCAGGCGCAGTGGCTCACGCCTGTAATCCCAGCACTTTTGGAGGCCAAGGCGGGCGGATCACCTGAGGTCAGGAGTTCGAGACCAGCCTGACCGACAGAGTGAAACCCCATCACTACTAAAAATACAAAAATGAGCCGAGCGTGGTGGCATGCACCTGTAATCCCAGCTACTTGGGAGGCTTAGGCAGGAGAATAGCTTGAATCTAGAAGGCGGAGGTTGCAGTGAGCTGAGATCGTGCCATTGCACCCCAGCCAGGGCTGCAAGAACAAAACTCTGTTTCAAAAAAAAAAAAAAAAAAGAACTATAGAGTTCCTAAGTTCTCTATCTCTCTGTTTCCTTTGCTGCCTGCCTTAAAGCTGCTGTTACACTTTTTGTTTTTTTTAGGTAGAGTCTCACTGTGTTGCCCAGGCTAGAGTGCAGGGGTGCGATCTCGGCGCACTGCAAACTCTGCCTCCTGGGTTCAAACGATTCTCCTGCCTCAGCCTTCCAAGTAGCCAGGATTACAGGTGTGCGCCACCACGCCTGGCTAGTTTTTGTAAATTTAGTAGAGACGTGGTTTCACCATGTTGGCCAGGCTGGTCTTGAACTCCTGGCCTGAGGCAATCCACTCACCTTGGCCTCCCAAAGTGCTGGGATTACAGTTGTGAGCCACCGTGCCTGACCAGCTGTTACTTTTCTACTGAGATGACATCCACAGTTTGCATCTAGATGTTTCTTTCTGTTATTGTTTTTCTAACTAGTGACTTTGTGTTGATATGTCATGGTTAGAGGTGTAAAGCAAAAGCTGTAGGGTTTTTGGATGAGTGTATATGTGTGTTTAGATGTGTTTATGTGTACGTGCGTGGATTCTGATACATGTTTTGTGGCCACAAGGTATCAAAGTGGCTTAAGGAGTATGCATACATTTAGTACATAATAACAAATTTCATGTGACTTAAGTAAAAAATTTTTTTTTTTTTGAGACGGAGTCTCGCTCTGTCCCCCAGGCTGGAGTGCGGTGGTGCGATCTGGGCTCACTGCAAGCTCTGCCTTCTGGGTTCAGGCCATTCTCCTGCCTCAGCCTCCCGAGTAGCTGGGACTACAGGCGCCCGCTACCACGCCCGGCTAATTTTTTGTATATTTTAGTAGAGACGGGGTTTCACCATGTTAGCCAGGACGGTCTCCATCTCCTGACCTCGTGATGTACCTGCCTCGGCCTCCCAAAGTGCTGGGATTACAGGCGTGAGCCACCGTGCCCGGCCAAAAGTATTGGTAAAGTAATATAAGGAGTGTCTTAAAAACTGTCAGCATACATTTTTGTTTGCATTTATTGATTTATAAGGGGTCAAAACTTGGCATAAGCATTGTAAAACTCTAAACCCAGCTGAAGGCCAGGCATGGGGACTCACACCTGTAATCCCAGAACTTTGGGAGGCCGAGGCAGGTAGATCACCTGAGATCAGGAATTGGAGACCAGCCTGGCCAACATGGCAAAACCCCGTCTCTACTGAAAAATACAAAAATTAGCCAGGTGTGGTAGCACATGCCTGTAATCCCAGCTACTTGGGAAGCTGAGGCCGGAGAATCACTTGGACCTGGGAGGGGGAGGTTGCAGTGAGCCGAGATTGCACCATCGCACTCCAGCCTGGGCGACAGAGTGAGACTCCATCTAAAAAAAAAAAAATTATAGGAAAACGTTCTTTCTACAAAAATTCTTATTATAAGGTAAATAATTTTGTCTAATTCAAAGCTTATTTAAAGTTTATGTATAAAATGAGTTAAAAAGAACAAGGAAATAAGAGAGACCAAGGAAAGTTATAGATATAAAGAGGTCTTTTTGTTAAGTAAGGTTAAAAAAAATAATTTTATATGAGAAAGAATCTTGTATGGTAAATTTTTGTCCTTAAATAAATGACTGGTTGTTTAAAAAAAGGGATGTTCAGCACAAACTAGAAAGTCCACATGTCGTGAACGGTCTGTGTAAGCTGCAATACCTTTGGTAAAAAAGGAATTTATAAAAATGTTACATGATAGATCGGGTGTGGTGGCTCATGCCTGCAATCCCAACACTTTGGGAGGCCAAGGAGGGCGGATCACTTGAGGTCAGGAGTTCAAGACCAGCCTGGCCAACATGGTGAAACCCTGTCTCTACAAAAATATAAAAATTAGCCAGGCATGGTGGTGCATGCCTGTAGTTCCAGCTGCTCAGGAGGCTGGGGCAGGAGACTCAATGGAACCTGGGAGGCGGAGGTTGCAGTGAGCCGAGATCATGCCACTGTACTCCAGCCTGGGCGACAGAGTGAGACTCCAACTTTAAAAAAAAAAATTGTTTTAAGAGGTAATGAATGCTGGTCCATGTCCATTCCTATCTGGCCTACAAAATTTAATGGGCTGTAAATCTTTTAACTGTAAGTCCCTGGGTCATAGGGAGTCAAACTGAGGGACAGGATTGACTGAGGGTGGGCAGCCACACTCGCCCAGCAACGCTGAGACACAATAAAGATTTGGTGGACATGGATGTTGCCTCTGGCAAATCTTGGCCAGAAGGGGGTGAATGTAAACCAAAAATTAAATTCTAAGGCCCCCCCAGCCGTCCAAATGGACCCTTCCTCTCAGCCAAGGGCGTTCCAGTGTTAACCTGGGAACTTGTTCAGGCCATGGCGGGAAGGGGTCGTGGGTCATGCCTCCTCCCTTTTGAAATTCAGGAAAAGCTGACTAGCATTAACATCAACACAGGCCTTAAGTCTGATAGGAAACATTAACAATCTATTCTCTCTGAAGCCGGCAACCCGAGGCTTCAGCTGCGTGGAAAACCACAACCCCTTACTGCAACCCAGACATTCCTTTCTATTGATAATAACTCTTTCAACCACTGTCGGTCAGGATCATTTTGAATCTGCCTATAACATAGAGGTCTCCCCACACCACCCCAATTTATCCTGCTCTTTCAGATTGAACCCGTGTAAATAAATCATGTCTCCCTAAAATGTATAAAAGCGAGCTGTGCCACATGCACCTTGGGCACCTCCCGAGATGTCATGGGTGTGTCCTTAACCTTGGCAAAACAAACTTTCTAAAGGGACTGAGACCTTCCTCAGTTTGCACCCTCCAGGCTGGGTTCTCTGTCCCTCAAGCATCCCCTGGCCAGACAATCCCTGCTGTTCAGAGGCAGCCAAGGCTTTCTGGTCCAACCCTGGGGGCTGGAGGAGGTGGGGGCAGGAGGTGGTAACTGGGTTGGGGGATGTTTTCTTGGTTGCCAAAGCAGAGGGTGCCCCCCGCTGCTCAAGATGCTGAGGGTGGTCCCTGTTGTCCTATTCCTGAAGCTGCCAGAGGAAGTCCCTCCGGAGGGCTGGCCCACAGCAGAAGGGCTGCTCCTGCCCTCAGAGGGCAATCTCAGGGTTGAGAAGGTTACAGCCACCATCTGCCACCAACCTAGCTGCTTGTGCCGATCCCACTGGCCAAGGCCATCGGCTCTATGGCTAGAGGCCTGGGCAGCCTGTGTCCTGCTTACCAGAAGGCCACAGATGCGGGTGGGTGGGGTGGTGGGGTCTTGGCAAGACGTGCTGGCCACACCTGTCCGGGGCACCTTCTCCCTGGGGTGTGACTCAGCCATGCTCCTGAGCAGGGGCCTCTGAGTTGAGCCTCGCTGCAGTCTTCCCAGCTGCAGGGCCCCCACAGGTGTGCTGTCATCGCACACTACTGAGGGACAGACAAGGCAGAGCGGGCCTCCATCTGCCGCGGGCCACAGCCGTGAGTGTGCATGCGAGTGGATGTGCTGGTGCCTGTATCTGCGGCCGGTGTGGCTTCCCTCACATAACTTTCCATGCTGTGAAAACAGTTTGGCCTGCCCTGCATGGGAACGGCAGAGGCCTGAGAGGAGGCAGAGGAAGGAGGCTGGATGCTGAGATGTTCTCCGAAGGTGGAGCCGGTGACGGCAGTAATGGAGGCAGGCTGGATTCCCACGGGCTGAGGCTGCGTGGACACTCCTCCTGGCTTCTGCCCCACGGCCTGCAGCAACGTCTCAGACCCACCAAGGTGTCCCAGAGGGCCAGAGTCAGGGCTGAGCATGGACACAGCCTGCCCTCTGCCCGTAGCCACAGCGGGACTGACCCTCAATATTCAGCCACCTTGCTGACCTGTGGTTGTTCCTGAGAGGCAGTCAGGGTTGGGGCAAAGGAGAGGGCCACAGGCAGCCAGGTGGCGAGGTCCACCTCCTGATCCCCCACCAGGGGACCACCCTCAGCTCCCCGCTGTCCTCAGCGGCCTCTCAGGGAGGCGGTGGGCTGCGCGCCTGCCCCCAGCGTCCCACCCCAGCGCCCCGCCACCTACCGCTCTCTCCCAATGTGTCTGGGGTCAGAGAGAGGTGGAGAGGACGCAGCGCCCCGCGCTTTCTGCAGTCTGTCCAAGGGGAGGTCAGGGGCATCCCGGGGCTGGGCAGGCACCTGCAGGGGAGGGTGCTGCGGCGCGGACGTGGGTTGCAAAGAGATGCCACGCGTGTCACTCTCGGGTCCCTGAACGAGAGAGCTCTGAGCTCCCTGGAGCCCAACCCTCCACTGAGCCTCCAGGGGCCCGGGACGCTCCATGCCCGGGCCGCGCCGCGCCTCCCCTAAGGGCCGGGTGGGGCGTGGGAGCGGAGGACAAGGCGGGAGCCGGGAGGCGGGAGGGTCGGGGTTCTTTCTCCACCGGGGTCGCCCTCAGCCGGGCCTGCCGCCCTGGGCCGTGGCACATGGGGAGGGAAGCGCGCGGCTTCGGGGTCTGGGGCTCTCGCGCCCACTAACGGTGCCCGGAGCCGCCCGCCAGTGCGCAAGCGCCGCCCCGCCCCCCGCCCCATCCCCCACCCCGGGGTCGACGGCGACAGAGAGTCGTGGGCGCGGTCCGCCAGTCTGCCTAGAGCGGCCAGCCCTCCCCCTCCCTCCTCACCGCCCCGGACCGCGCACCGGAAGCAGAAGCTAGGCTGGTTCCGCCCCGCGAGCGGCCATCTTGGAGGCTGAGGCGGCGGCGGCGGCGCTGCGGCGGGTTCGGTGGGCCCAATCCCGGGGCGGTGCGGCTGTTTCGGGCGCGGGCCCCGCTTTTCCGCACCCTGCTCCGGCCTCGACTACGGCGAGCCTGAGCGCGGCGGCGGCCCACGCGCAGCGACAGGGAGAGGTGAGCGCGCTCGCAGGCCTGCGCCGGGTCCTCGGGCCCGCTCGTCCCCCCTGCCGGAGCCGGCCACAGCGGCGGCCCGGGGCTGCTGGGGACCCTGCGCGACGCTTCTCCGTTCGCGCCCGCCGCCCGCGGGGCCCCGGCCCGAGCCTGCCTGCGCGGAACCCGAGGTCGGTTACGGCGGGCTCCCGGAGCTCCGGGTCAGGGTCATGTCGGGGACTTGACCACTCGGCCGGGTTTCCCGTCAGCTGGGACACTTGCAGCTGCCCCAGGACGGGCAGCCTCGATCCTGGTTCGTCAGTGGATCACGGGAGTCTGTGTCGGGGGAGGGCTGCCGTCGAGCCCGCCGTCGCCTCGCCCCTGAACTGTTAGACTCCAGACTGCCCCGTAAACCCCGAGAGAAACGAGCGTGCCCGGGACTGTGCTTAGGGCCAGCGTTTCTGGGAAACCCGGGCGGTGACAGTGGGAGACCACCGCCGGCCGGCGAGTGAGACACGAGCCCGGAACAAGTCTCTAAGCGGCGCCGGGCCTCGCCATCCACACCTGCCAGTTCCCTGCATCCTTTCAGCCCCTGGCCAGGTGTCACCTCCTGGCGTCCTTTTCAGTGCCTGCCACTTAGTGCGTGTGTATTTAACTCTAGTCCGGTTGCCATCCTCTTGCCAGACCCAGATAGGAAGCGGCTGAAAGGTCGGGCCTCAGCCCGGTGGGAGGTGGGCAGCGAAGAGTGTACAGCGGGCTTGGCTGGGGCAGGTCGGTGGCCCCGCGCCCTGCTCCAGGGGAACCAGACTGTGTAATCTGGCTTCCGAAGAAAGGATCGTGAGTATCTCGCTTAGTCTAGCACCTGAGCCTAGGGCGTGGTTGGGTCTGGGTGCCCGGAACTTGCAGTCCGTCATCTGCACGGCCTGGCACCGCTGACCTCCTTAGCAGTTCCACTCTCGGCAGGGATGTGCGTGAGTGACAGGCAGGTGAGCCAGGCAGGTAGGTGAGTGCTTGAGTGACAGGCAGGTGAGCCAGGCAGGTAGGTGCGTGGATGAGTGACAGGCAGGTGACCCAGGCAGGTGCATGTGTGAGTCGCAGGTGAGTGTCCCATTTCCATCGGCCCGGGCTTCCGTCCAGCCTCCGGAGCAGTCTGGTGGAGAAGGCAGAGACTTCCCTGGCAGTCCTGGACCTGGGTGTGCCATGCGCCTGGCCGATGGGTCAGGCCAAGGTTTCCTGCCACATCCCCTAAGCAGGAAAGAGCTGTCCAGACAAAGAGGGACGGGTGAGGGACGCTGGGCAGCCACTGCCTCAGCACCTGGGCACAGCTGCCCTCGGTGATTCACGCTGCTTTAATGCAGTTTCTGTGTGTGAACATTTTTTTTTCCTGTGCCTTTTTGTTTTAAAATCGCCAACTCTTTCTCTCAGCAGGATGATATGCTTGGTGTCCTTTGTCTGTGGGGATGTTTGAAGGGAACCCGAGGCACATATGCTTCAAACTCTGTTCTCACAGTTTGCTTCCTTTGTGGAATTTTTTTTTTTTGATACAGGGTCTCTGTTGGCCCAGCTAGAGTGCAGTGACATGATCTCAGTTCACTACAGCCTCCGGCTCCCGAGTTCAAGTAATTCTCCCACCTCAGCCTCCAGAGTAGCTGGGATTGCAGGTGCCCACCACCACACCCGGCTAATTTTTTTTTTTTTTTTTTTTTTTTTTTTTTGAGACGGAGTTTCGCTCTTGTTGCCCAGGCTGGAGTGCAATGGCTTGATCTTGGCCCACCACAGCCTCCACCTCCTGGATTCAAGTGATTCTCCTGCCTCAGTCACCCGAGTAGCTGGGATTACAGGCACATGCCACCATGCCTGATTAATTTTGTATTTTTAGTAGAGACGGGGTTTTACCATGTTGGTCAGGCTGGTCTCGAACCCCCGATCTCAGGTAATCTGCCTGCCTGGGCCTCCCAAAGTGTTGGGATTACAGGTGTGAGCCACCACGCCCAGCCCCTTTGTGAATTTTTGTTTTCCTTGTCCTTCCTGCTGTCATATTGGGATGAGAAGAATTGGGGGAAATAGCCCCCTGGCCTCCTGGGGGACGTGAGAATGCTGTTCTGTGTGAAGCTCAGGAAGAGTGGCTGGGGAAACAGCAGTTGAATCGTGAACATGATTTTAAAAGCCTCTCCAAGCAGGTATGGGAGAGAAGCTTGTTTGTGACTCATTGGATGGAATCTATTTTATTTTTGCGCGGCTGTCCATGAACTTTCGTTAAACCTGCGGCCTGGCCACTTAGCTAAGCCCAGACCCACCTGCACTTGAATTGTCCAGTGAATTATTTTGTATATGGCAGAGTGTTAGCTTCAGGGTGAGTGTCGAAAGGACAGCCTGTGTGGCGGTGCTGCTTGGGGTCATCACTGTGGCCATCACCAGGTGTTGGCCTGAGGGGAGATCCCTGGCCCATTGGCTTCTTTAGCCAGGAGCTGGGGATGCCACTGTGTGGAAGCACTTCCTTCCCAGGCAGGACTGTAACCCCATCCCTGGTGGGGGCCCTCCTGGGGAGGCACTCCTTAGGCAGAGGAACCCGCTGGGGCCCAGAAGGGCCCTGCGTTGTGTGTGGGGTCACATGGAGGCCAGTGATGTGTGACAGAGTGGGAGGCATTTGGCAGGGAAATCAGGGAGGCCTCTGAAGGCGGTGGCTCTGGCTATGCCGGGAAGGGCCTGGGGAGTTTCCAGTACAGGCTAGGCTGGGAAGCAGCTGTGAGAAGGAGTGTGTCGGTCAGGACTTTGGAGTGGGACCTGGGCCGTGCTGGGTCTTGGGAGTTGGGAACGAGGAGGGCTGGCTGGGGCTGCTCTGTCTTGGGAGCTGGGAATGAGGAGGGCTGGCTGGGGCTGCCTCTGTCAAGGGGCTGGCAGGCAAGAGGACGTGTTGATGTTTATTTGCTTGGCTGTGGAGTATCCTGAAGGGTGGATGGGGGAGTGGGTGATCGGAACAGTATGTTGACTTATGGGTACAGGAGGGCCTTGAAATGGGAAGAGACTAGAAGCTCAGACCTTCTGGACCCACGGGGGGAGTTGGGAGGCTCCTGTGGTGTTGATGGGAGAAGTGATGACATTTTGCGTTAGAGAAGATAATGAGAGTGGGAAGGCTGTGGTGAACAAGGATTGCAAGAGTCAGGGACCCCAGAACAAGAAGCAGGGTTGGGGGTGGTGCTGAGGCCACACATTTGGGAGCACGCGTTGGGTGCCCTGGCTGAGCTCTGCACTCCAGGCCCTGGGTGTGTGGGGTGAGCAGCCAAGCCCTGGCCATTGACATCCTCAGGTTGGGAGCAGACACTAAACAGGCTGCTGGTGGTGGTTCTCTGAGGAGGAATAAACCGGTTAGAGAGGCCAAGTCTGTAGATCTCTTGCAGGTGGAGACTGAAAGGAGGTGGAATGTGTGGCTGTCTACAGGTGTATGAGTTGGTTCTCATGCTGCTATAAAGATGTACCCGAGACTCAGTAATTTATAAAGAAAAGGGGTTTAATGGACTCACAGTTCCGTGTGGCCAGGGAGGCCTCAGGAAACTTACAATCATGGCGGAAGGGGAAGAGGCATGTCTCACATGGCAGCAGGCTAGAGAGAGCGGGCAAGAGCAGGGAACACTGCCTTATAAACCATCAGATCTCCTGAGAACTCGCTTTCACTGGAACGGCTTGGGGAAACTGCTCCCATGATCCAGTCACCTCCCACAAGGTCCCTCCCTCAACATGGGGGATTATGGGGATTACAAGTCAATATAAGATTTGGGTGGGGACATAGCCAAAGCATATCAGCAAGGAAACTGGGTAGAGTAGACTTCCGGTTTGTGGGAACTGGGAGGTCAGGATGGAGATCACTGGTCACTGTCCGTTATCGATGGCCACTGATGTCCACAGACGTTATTAAATCGTGTGGCCATGGCTGGGCGCGGGGACTCACGCCTGTAATCCCAGCACTTTGGGAGGCCGAGGTGGGCAGATTACCTGAGGTCAGGAGTTCGAGACCAGCCTGACCAACATGGTGAAACCCCGTCTCTACTAAAAATACAAAAAAAATTTGCTTGGCATGGTGGCAGGCACCTGTAATCCCAGCTACTTGAGTGGCTGAGGCAGGAGAATCACTTGAACCCAGGAGGCAGAGGTTGCAGTGAGCGGAGATCACACCACTGCACTCCAACCTGGGCAACGAACAGTGAGATTCTATCTCAAAAAAAAAAAAAAAATAAGGTTTGAGTTGGAGCTAGTCTGATGCAGCAGGGAGCCCTGTTTTCATCACCACCCCTCTCCCCAGTCTCAGGTGTGGCTGAGGGGCCTTGGGGTCCCTGATCCAGCCTCCTCTCTTGCATGATGATCACCACCCCTCTCCCCAGTCTCGGGTGTGGCTGAGGGGCTTTGGGGTCCCTGATCCAGCCTCCTCTCTTGCATGATGATCACCACCCCTCTCCCCAGTCTCGGGTGTGGCTGAGGGGCCTTGGGGTCCCTGATCCAGCCTCCTCTCTTGCATGATGATCACCACCCCTCTCCCCAGTCTCGGGTGTGGCTGAGGGGCCTTGGGGTCCCTGATCCAGCCTCCTCTCTTGCATGGTGCCTCGCGCCCCATGCTCGGCCTTCAGTGCTGTCTTGAACGTCCCAATGGAGCCACCAGAGTGACTTTCCTAACAGAAGATATGATCTGCCTTGAGGCTTGGACCCCAAACCCCTGTGGGGCCCGGGTTACCGTGGCTCCTGCCTGTGATTCCAGCACTTCCGGAGGCTGAGGCCTGAGAATCAGTTGAGGCCAGGAGTTTGAGACCACCTTGGGCAACATAGTGAGATCCCAGCTCTACAAAAAAAAAAAAATTAGCTAGGCGTGGTGGCATGCGTCT
The DNA here is from genome assembly GCF_000001405.40 of Homo sapiens. NCBI lineage: Eukaryota > Metazoa > Chordata > Mammalia > Primates > Hominidae > Homo > Homo sapiens. The sequence goes on along the minus strand of NC_000001.11, from coordinate 1,268,818 downwards.
GTAGTCTCAGCTACTCAGGAGGCTGAGGTGGGAGGATTGCTTGAGCCGAGGTGGTCAAGGCCACAGTGACTCCAGCCTGGGCGACAGAGCAAGACCCTGTCTCACGAAAAATAAGTAAATAAACTCTTATGCCCTGGCCCTGCCTCCCTGGCCAGTCTTATCCCTGCCCTCACTGTGCTTGGGCCCTTGCACACTGCACTTTCTCAGGTGTGGCCTGTTCACCTGTGGCCCCTTCTACCAGGAAGACAGCTGCTCTGCCCAGTGAGTGCCTTGGAGTCTCCAGAGTCCTCGTCCCTCCAGCCGCAGAGGCTCCCCCGTTCTGCGGCTCGTTTTGCTTGTGGCTAGTGGTAAATGCTGGGCAGCGGGCTTCCGGGTGCGGTGAAGGGGCCGGCGGTGGTGCCTGCCCACTTCTATGGTGTGGATTCTCCATCAGTGCGGGGTCCTTGAGCTGAGTTGGAAGGTGCGAGTAGCTGCCCTCAGGAGCTGGTCTGAGGCTGTGGCCCGAATACCCCCTCAAGCCCTGTAAATGTATCCCTGCGTGAGTTTTTGGAGGACAGGAACGAGGCTTTGGGTTTCTCCTCGTCTTTGTACCTGAGCTGTACGTCGTGTCAATGAAGGTGGTGGCGGGACAGACGGGAAGAGAGAAGCCGCAGGGCCTCTGGGTGTCTGGGCGGGTGGCAAGCGAGGGTGACCTGTGAGCTGTGACTCTGGGTGACCGGGCCCTGAATGAATGGCGGGCTGCAGAGGCGGGAGTGGGGCTGCGCCAGGGGAGAGAGCTGTGGCCGGCGCTGCTTCTCGTCGTCAGTGTAGACGTTGCTTTTAACAGATGAGCAGCACCAGCAGTAAGAGGGCTCCGACCACGGCAACCCAGAGGCTGAAGCAGGACTACCTTCGCATTAAGAAAGACCCGGTGCCTTACATCTGTGCCGAGCCCCTCCCTTCGAATATTCTCGAGTGGTAAGGCTCCGCGCCACTGATCGCCCTGCGCTGACTGTCGCTGCCACGCAGGCCTCTGCCGGCCCCTGCTGGGCGAGCCTGGTGCCCCAGTCATGGCATTGGCAAGGTGCTCCTGCACCCTCCCCCGGGGTGAGTGGGGTGCCCAGGGGCCTGTGGACACTCTCTGGTCTTTTCCCAATGGACGCATGCCGGGGACATCACAGAGCCATGCTTGACTCAGGCTGGGGCTGGAGAGAATCTCCGGTGTGGGGCCCTTGAGGGGGGCGGGGTCCAGGTTGACTCAGGTTGGGGCTGGAGAGAGTCTCTGGTGTGGGGTCCTTAGGGGAGGGGTCCAGGTATGCAGGGTTCACAGCTGTTGCTGGTGTGCACTCTAGGCACTTAGAGGAGAAACTGCCTTTCTAGACTCTGCTCTTTGCTTCTGGATATGGGAATTAGCCTGTTTTGGCTTGGAGTATTTGACAGGACTAGGGTCCGACACTCCTGTCCCTGGCACTGGCTTGGGCCAGGTGCCCCGACCCTCAGGCTGACAACGAGAGGACCTGTGCCTCATAAGCATTCACCTCATGGTGACTCTCCCCCTTGCTGAAGTATAGAGTGTGAGAGTGCATACTGCTCTGTCGAAACACTGCCATTACAGGTCTGCTAGTAATTTGGTAAGAAATAAAGTGTGAGAGGCCGGGCATGGTGGCTCACACCTGTAATCCCAGCACTTTGGGAGGCTCAGGCGGGCGGATCACCTGAGGTCAGGAGTTCGAGACCAGCCTGGTCAACATGGTGAAACCCTGTCTCTACTAAAAATACAAATATTAGCTGGGCATGATGGCGCACACCTGTAGTCCCAGCTACTCGGGAAGCCGAGGCAGGAGAATCGCTTGAACCCGGGAGGCGGAGCTTGCAGTGAGCTGAGATCACACCACTGCACTCCAACCTGGGCAACAAGAGCGAAACTCTGTCTCAAAATAAAATAAAATAAAATAAAATGTAAGGATGTTTTATATTTTGATCTTTTAAAAAAAAATTACTTATTATTATTTTTTGAGACAGTCTTGCACTGTCACCCAGACTGGAGTGCAGTGGCACAATCTCGGCTCACTGCAAGCTCTGCCTGCCGGGTTCATGCCATTCTCTGGCCTCAGTTTCCCAAGTAGCTGGGACTACAGGCGCCTGCCACCATGCCCGGCTAATTTTTTGTTTTTGTATTTTTAGTAGAGACGGGGTTTCACCGTGTTAGCCAGGATGGTCTTGATCTCCTGACCTCGTGATCCGCCCGCCTTGGCCTCCCAGAATGCTGGGATTACAGGCGTGAGCCACCACGCCCGGCCTTATTTATTTTTTTGAGACAGAGTCTTGCTCTGTCGCCCAGGCTGGAGTGCAATGGCGTGATCTCGGCTCACTGTGACCTCCGCCTCCCTGGTTCAAGCAATTCTCCTGCCTTAGAGATGGGGTTTCACCATATTGGTCAGGCTGGTCTCGAACTCCTTATCTCAGGTGATCTGCCTGCCTCAGCCTCCCAAAGTGCTGGGATTACAGGCTTGAGCCACCATGCCTGGCCTAATTTTTTTTAATTCCAGAGAAAAGATATTTCAGTGAGTTGAAAGGAAATGTGTTTCGGCTTGGTCAGGGGTCCACCTTCTCTGGCTCACAGAGGAGGCCCAGCCCAGGCAGGCGGAGGATACCCAGGGTGAGGCGGAGCCCCTTGGCCACCAGAGTGCTCTCTGCCCCCAGTGTTGAAAATCACATGTGGCCCCAGGACATCGCTGGCAGGTGAGAGGGACAAGTTCCACGGTAGCCGCCTCCTCGCTGGTTGCGAGGACGTCTTCATTGTGTGGGGAAATCCCTCCCCACAAATCTGTGGGTCAGGCGTCCCCAAGTCCCGGTGCAGGTTCGATGATTCACAAAGAATACTCACCATTAAAATTACGGAGAGAAGTCCAGGCACAGTGGCTCATGCCTGTAATCCCAGCACTTTGGGAGGCCGAGGTGGGTGGATCACAAGGTCAGGAGATTGAGACCAGCCTGGCCAACATGGTGGAACCCTGTCTCTACTGAAAATACAGAAATTAGCCCGGTATGGTGGCGCACGCCTGTAATCTCAGCTACTTGCTACTTGGGAGGGTGAGGCAGGAGAATCGCTTGAACCCGGGAAGCGGAGGTTGCAGTGAGCTGAGATCGCACCACTGTACTCCAGCCTGGCGACAGAGTGAGACTCCACCACACACACACACACACACACACACACACACACACACACACACACAATGGAGAGAAAACACACACACACACACACACACACACACGAGAGAAAACTGCAGTCAGCCAGCGGAAGAGGCATGTGGGGCAAAGTCTCTGTGCTCCATTCCCAGCAGCAGGCTTGGGTTTGGACGGCATGTGTGGAATGTTGAGCAGAGAAACTCATTGGAAACTAAAACATTAGGGGAAGGCCCAGGGACTTTATGGGGCTGGTCCTAGGCACCCTCTGCCTGGCACCTGCCAAAATACCAAAATACCAGACTTCCAGGAGAGCAGGGGCTCAGCGTAGCCCATGTTGCCTGTACTGTTGAGGCATTAAGGACAGCAGCGTCAGTGCGAGAGCCCCTGGCAGGTCCTCGGCAGGTGTCTCTCCCTTCCCCGAGAGAAGACTGCTTTCCCAGAAAAGGCCTGTGGGGTGCGCTATGGGCCACGTGGATCCCATCTTCTCTCAGCCGCCCCAAGGCTGCTGGGCTCTGTCTCAGGAAGAGGATGACTTCTTCATTTCTTCCCAGTTTTCGCAGGTTGGGCACAGTAACAACGTAAGGCCACATTCCTGGGTGCATCGCGTGCTGAGCTCAGAGCCACTGGGTTCCTGGGTCAATGACACATGATAATGGCATTTTTTGAGTAAAACATACCAGCTGGCTCTGCTGATACATCATCCCATTAGTATACATTACTATACGTCATCCCATTAGTAGTTTCTTTTGAGTACTATTTCTGTCACTCAGGCTGGAGTGCAGCGGTGTGACCTCGGCTCACTGCAACCTCCGTCTTCCAGGTTCAAGCGATTCTCCTGGCTCAGCCTCCTGAGTAGCTGGGATTACAGGTGTGTGCCACCATGGCTGGCTAATTTTTGTATTTTTAATAGAGACAGGGTTTCACCGTGTTGCCCAGGCTGGTGTTGAACTCCTGACCTCAGGCAATCCACCTGCCTCAGCCTCCCAAAGTGCTGGGATTACAGGTGTGAGCCACCGCACCTGGCCTAATTTTTGTATTTTTAGTAGAGACGGAGTTTCGCCATGTTGACCAGGCTGGTCTCGAATTCCTGACTTCAGGTGATCTACCCACCTTGGCCTCCCAGAGTGCTGGGATCACGGGCATGAGCCACCGAGCCCAGCCCCCATTAGTTTTAAAGTGATGGCACACATGTCCTGGGGCAGAGCAAGGGGAAAGATGATGGCCGGTGTTGGCCGGTGTTGGCAGTTGAAGCCATGTCTGGTTTCTGGCATTTCTAGCTGGTTTTACTTTCTTCTCTGTGCTCTTCTGTTTCGTTTGGGAATCTGTAAAGCCCAGACACTTCTTTACGTAAAGCAGAAGCCTTATTTATTTGTGTGGAGGAGTGTTTAGTCGATTTGCTGCTGCCCCTGGTCTGAGGGTGAGCTCTGTGTGGGGACTGTGGCTTTGGACACAATCACGGCAGTTCCTGTTCCTTCTGCTCCAGGACAGCTGCTCAAGTCACTTATGGTTTTTCCAGGAGCACGAGAAAGGGCTGGGGGTACCGAGCCGGCCCCGCATCACTAGCTGTGTTCTGTTTAGCCTGCATGTGTGATATCAAAAAACACATTATATATAAGTACATTTAAGAATATACATTTCAAAGTACATCGTTTTTTCTTTGGAGATAGGGTCTCACTCTGTTGCCCAAATGGGATGTGGTGGCACAATCATAGCTCACTGCAGCCTTAAACTCCTGGGCTCAAGTGATCCTCCCGCCTCAGCCTCCTGAGTAGGCGGGCTGCAGGCATGCACTACCACACCCGGCTAACTTTTTTTTTTTAAATAAAGGTGGGGTCTTGCTATGTTGCCTAGGCTGGTGTCAAGCTCCTGGGCTCAAGCGATCTTCCACCGTGCCCTCCCAAAGTGCTGGGATTACAGTCTTCAAGTACATCTTAGTAATGTACTGTGAAATTAAAATTTATTTAAGATTTCAGTTATTATTAAGATGAGCTTCGTGCATGTTATATTGTCGAAACAAAGGTACTTTATGGTAAACTTATAAAGTATAGTCTCTAAGATCCTGTTACAAGAGACTAAAAGCACCCACGGTAGAAGAGACGGGGGTTTTGAAGCCGTGTGGCTGTGTGACATTTCACCTTCATTTGTTCACTGCCTGAATGTGAATGTAATTTTGGCTGGGTTCTATAAACCCCAGGCTTGGAATGATTCAGATTTTGGAGAATTTGCTGTCCTCAAATCCCAAGTAATTTTCTTCTCTCCCTTAGGCACTATGTCGTCCGAGGCCCAGAGATGACCCCTTATGAAGGTAAGGATTCTGTGCTTAGGAGAAGAACACCAGGCGGTTTTTATATTCTCAGTCAGCCTTGCCTGTTCAACATCTTTTATTTGCAAACAGCAGCCTTTCTACTTTGGATGTGTGCTAGTTAAATTGGCTTAGTTGGAACTCCTCCTCGTCTGCTTCTCCACACGCTGGAAGTGTTTGCTCTGCTGATGTGTCTCAGCCTGCAGGGCCGCCTGTAGCGTCTGTGTTCACCAGCCTCTGACACCATAGGGCCATAGCTGAGAAAACCAGACCGGGGTAAACACTGAAGCTGGCCTGTTCTACTATTTCTTAAGACCCAGTGCATATCATCAAAGGAAAGGCACATATATTCAGTTATTCAGTGTGCCTTCTGTGCTGGGCGCCCCCAGGGTTTCGCAATCCCCAGGACGGTCTCTGAGCTAAGTGGAAGTACCCCTGTGTGGTGGCACCTGGGGCTTCGGTAGGCTGCAGGACCTGTCCAGCACCTCAGCCCTTCATCGACTACCAAGGCTGATCCAGCAGCCTGACCCCTCCAGGTCAGCAGACACCACCTAGAGACCTAGTGTCATTTATAGAGAAGATGCTGGAGCTGTCAGTAAGTTTCTGGGGCCTTTGGCGGAGGCTGGCGCCAGCCTCGATCTGGACCAGGTCAGTAGTCAGTGTGCCCGTGAATACTGTCCCGCCGGCAAGCACAAGGCAGAGCAGGGCCAGGTCAGCAGTTGCTGTCCAGCCACAGGGCCCCGGCTTCAGGTGGCTGGAGCAGCAGGCTCTGTTTGCCTGTGTGTGGAGGCTTTGGATGAGATTTCACTAGAAGAGAGTGCTGCTGCTAGAAGAAGGTTTGCAACCCCTGCTTTGGACTGTCGGGAGGGTTGTGGGTGGGTAAGAATGAAAAAGGCTCTCCTGAAGGCATTTTGGCCGAGTTAACACAGCCACACCTGTGGACTCTCCTTTGGCCCAGGAATCCCAGTTCTGGATCATCTGCAACTAGGGCAGCCAGAGTGCGGGAGTACATCTGTAGGGTGGGCCCTCCATCATCGTGTCATTGCCCATGACCAGCGTTGGGGATGCCAGCAGGCCGTGGTGAGATAAGGCCCGGGAGCAGGTGTCCAGGGCGTGTTAAAGTACTTGTTACGATGCGTGTGTGTGCCTTCAGCTGATCTGAAGAATATATACCACCGAGTGAGTAGTGGTCGGCCGGGCGCGGTGGCTCACGCCTGTAATTCCAGCACTTTGGGAGGCTGAGGTGGGCGGATCATCTGAGGTCAGGAGTTCGAGACCAGCCTGACCAACACGGAGAAACCCCATCTCTACTAAAAATACAAAATTAGCCGGGTGTGGTAGTGCATGCCTATAATCCCAGCTACTCGGGAGGCTGAGGCAGGAGAATCACTTGAACCCGGGAGGCGGAGGTTGCAGTGAGCCGAGGTCGTGCCGTTGTATTCCAGCCTGGGTGACAAGAGTGAAACTCGTCAGGAGATCCAGACCATCCTTGCTAATACGGTGAAACCTTGTCTCTACTAAAAAAATACAAAAAATTAGCTGGGCGTGGTGGTGGGGCCCTGTAGTCCCAGCTACTCAGGAGGCTGAGGCAGGAGAATCGCTTGAACCCAGGAGGCGGAGCTTGCAGTGAGCCGAGATCGCTGCACTCCACCCTGGGTGACAAGATCAAAACTCCATCTCAAAAAAAAAAAAAAAAACCAAAATGGGTGGTGGTCTTTGACAAGCAAAATTATGCCAGCTTTACATTTTTTTTGTTTGTTTTGTGGTTTTAGTTTTTTAAAAATAAATAGTGAATATTAATTCTGTATCCACACCCAGTCTCCCTCAACTTCACCAGCTAGGTCAGTTGCTGGTGGAGATGAGCTGCTCCCCCAACAGGGCTGGACACAGTTGGGAGAAGAGGGGGCAGCCCCTGGGTGTGGTGCGGCCGTTGCCAGCCCCAACCCTGTCACTTGTGCTTTTATCTTGGTCCCCTCCCATCGCTTCCGTTGTTCCCCACAACCGTGTGTGGCTCTGTGCTGGTCCTGGGTCTCAGGAAAGCCTCCCTTCAGAGAGAGAATGTGTGTTCCTACTGCCCCTCCCATTTCCCTCTATGGCACTGCTGCTCCCGTCCCCGCGGACCTCCCCCTCACTGGGGGATGCCTTTTGCTCTCTGCAGCCCTGCCCTCTGCTCTCCTTCAGGGTCTCCAGGGAACCCCTCCGAATTGCCACTTGCCGAGGGGCTGTTCTCAGTCCTCAGTTTCTTAGCCTCTGGTATCTGATGCTGCTGACGACAGCTTCCTTCCTGACTTCGGGATTTCTGACCCCTTTTCCTGCCTGTGCATTAGCTGCGTCCCCTCCGTGCACTGGGTTCCGTGGCTGTTCTGCCCCTGGTGCTGCCCAGGCGTGCCCACTCTGACAGTTCAGAGCTGGCTTCCTACAAATGTTGCTAAATCATTCCCCTTGAGTGAATCTGTAGATTTCACACAGTCCTAACAAAATCTCAGTTTTTTATACTACACAAGCTACATGCAAAGGCAAAGGACCTAGAACAGTTAAAACCATTTTTCTAAAGAATGAAGTGGAGTCTGTGGTTTCAAGACTTACCCCAGTGATGAGGGTCAGGCAGTGGTAGAGGAGGGACAGGCCATGGGGCAGAGTAGCCAGCTAGGCCTTTGCCTCAGGCTTTTCAGCAGATGGCCTGGGGTGTGGGGATGTTCAAGCTGCCAGGGACCCACTTCAGGACAAGTGGGTGCTTCCTGATTTTCATCTGGTGCTGTGAACGTCTGTGTGTGTGTGGCTCTTGGTGCCTTTGTCTTGGGTTTCTCTGGCGGGTGACAAGCAGTGGGATAGCCGTCTGGGGCTTCCCGATAGGTGTGCGCGCAGTGAGGCAGCAGGGCGCCCGTCTCCCATCCCGACAGGTGTGCGCACGCAGTGAGGCAGCAGGGTGTCCATCTCCCAGCACCCTCTGCGCTCAACTGGCTGTTTCCTGCCGTGTAAGTCACTCTTGCCCATTAGCACCGAGCTAAACATCGTTCCAGCCTCGCTTTGGCTGTTCCCGCTTCCTCTTTTAAGCAAGCCTGTTTCTTTCACTCACTTTCCAGTTTGGCCTTTCCTTATGATCTCTTGTGTCTTCTGGGTGTCATTCCTGGGCTTCGCCTCTCCCTGGTGGATGTGGCCGCACGCCAGGATGGGTGACAGTGGCACTTGCTCATGCCGTCCCTCCACTGTTGACTCCACCCCTGTTCCTGCGTGTCCTCGAATGCCAGCCCTGAGCAGAGTGCAGAGAGGAAGCTGCAGCGTCCCCCTGCTTGGCCATGTGTGTCTTCAGGGGAGGCAGACAGTGAAGCCGTGTTTTCATTTAGGATCTATGGGAGGGAGAGCAGCCCCTAGTGATCAAGAGAGAGACACGAGGGAAACACGTGCGGGAGGCCACACATGCAGGGAGGCCAGGGAAAGTGGAGAGAGACTGGAACCCCCAGGCCGACCCTTTATTGGGTCCAGGGCGTTCTGCACACAGGTTTCCCTTGGGGAGTTTTAACTGGTGGGTTTAATACAAGCGGGCACGAGCCCCGTGGGGCCACGCTGTGACTGTGGGGGACTCCGTGGTGTGGCTGCACAGTCCATGTGGGGCGTGGGGTCCGTGGGGACATGGGGGGTGGTCACCAGGGGACAGTGCGTAGGGCGGGCGTCTGGGTGGATCAGCTCGAGGAAGGGGGATGTGAACTGAAAATTGTTGCGGGTGGCAGCCCCGCTTCTGGTCAGAGAAAGTCCAGCCTAGATTCAGAGTGGATGCCGAGGCGGCCTAAGATGATGAGCGTTCCTGCAAGATGTAAAGCACTCGAGGGGCAGGGGTGCTGCATCCTACACAGGGTGGGTCTAGAGCAGAAGAGCCCGTGGCGATTTGGGGACTCGCATTGGGGCAGGGCTGTGCACAGGGAGCCCAAGGGAGGACAGAGGCCAGTGCTCCTCAAACCTGATGGCATGCACACGCATACACACGCATGCACGTGTCCTGATGGCACGCACACACATGCCCACGCCCATGCGTCCTGATGGCACGCACGTGCACACGCGTCCTGATGGCATGCACATACACATGCACACACACGTGTCCTGATGGCATGCAGACACGCACATACATGCGTCCTGATGGCATACACACACACATGCACACAAGTGCGTCCTGATGGCATGCACACACTCAGACACGCACACACGCGTCCTGATGGCATGCACACACGTGCGTCCTGATGGCATGCACACACATGCACACACGTGCGTCCTGATGGCATGCACACACACATGCACACACGTGCGTCCTGATGGCATGCACACACTCAGACACGCACACACGCGTCCTGATGGCATGCACACACACGTCAACGCATGCAGGTGTGGCCAGGGAGTCCTGGCTTGTGCACTTGTGGTCCTCTGGTTGGGGTTGGCCCCAAGCTCTGAATTTCCAACCAACTCCAGGTGCAGCCTGGGCAGCCAGCGTGTGGGCCTCGGGCTGGGGCGGGGCTGCCATGAGGCAGCTCATAGAGGGCCTGGGAGCAGGGCCAGGGGAAGCCACACAGGGTGTGCGGCTCTAGATTGATTTGAAGGTGGGGCCAACAGGATTTGCTCATGGAGTGGGTGTGATACCAGGAGGATGGAGTTGCCAAGTTGCCATTTGGTGGAAGTGGCCGGATTTCTGTCCTGGATGGGGGCGTCTGGGCGCTGTGCTGTGGACGGTCAGTGTAGTGGCCTGGAGTGTGCACAGGGCCCGTGGGTGCAGGGTGGGGGAAGTGGCTGAGCAGCCATTGCAGGGCTCCTGATGGGAGGCCGTGAAACTAGGGCGACCCCAGGAGGATGCCAGGACTGAGAGGAGAGCACCCTGTGCTTGGGTGGGCGAAGAGGGGCTGGCTGGAGTGGGAAGAGGGGGTGGGGAGTGGAGGAGCTAGACCAGGGTGGGGCTTTGGAGAGGCGGAGCCAGGAGTGGCCCCTTATAAGGCTATGCCGTTGGGTGGTCAGAAACCAGTGGTATGGCTGGGGGAGGTGGCTCACGCCTATAATCCCAGCACCTTGGGAGGCCGAGGCGGGCGGATCATGAGGTCAGGAGATAGAGACCATCCTGGCTAACACGGTGAAACCCCGTCTCTACTAAAATTAAAAAAAAAATTAGCTGGGTGTGGTGGCGCGCGCCTATAGTCCCAACTACTCAGGAGGCTGAGGCAGAATAATCACTTGAACCTGGGAGGCAGAGGTTGCAGTGAGCCAGGATCGAGCCACTGCACTCCAGCCTGGGCGACAGAGCAAGATTCTGTCTCAAAAAAAAAACAAAACAAAACAAAAAAAAGTGGGAACGTGTGGGTGACCCTGAGGTCGATCTTCAGGTCAGGTTTGGTAGAGCAGGGAGAAAGCCTGGTCAGGTGGATTTGAGAGCTTGGGAGGGGAGGACGTGTGAAGAGCCATGAATGAGGCCCGAATCCAGGGGATCAGGTCAGGGCAGGGGGCATTTGGCAGAACTTGGAGGGGTGTGTGGTGGAGAGTGGTGTGTTTGAGGTGCGTTTTGCTGGCCTTTGGGTGCAGTTGGGTCGGGGAAGCAAACGGTGCTGGAGAGTCGCTGGGTCTGGACCTGAGTCCTGAGAGGGGCGGCCTCAGCTGGGCCTGGAGCTCCTGCTGTGCTGGGGGTGTTGCAAGGAGGCCCTGCATGCCTCTTCCGACCCCTCTGCTCCTGGTGGGGGTGTGTGTGGACACTCCAGGGAGAGGGGTGTGCAGTAGCTGTGGTTGTCTCGAGCTCCCGGGGCAGTGGGGGTCTGGGTCCAGTCGGGTGGTGGGTACAGGTGGGGTGGGGAGGGGCATTGGGTCTGGGTGGTCATGACAGTGGGTGGTAGTGGAGAGCAAGGTCAGTGGGGGACTGAGCCTGGGAGCCGGCTGGGGACGGAGAGTGCAATGAGGACTCGGGAGCCGAGCTGAGGGGGGGGGGGGGGGTGGCGTGGGGGGATGGGGACGAGGTCTCCAGGAGCCCCTGCTGTGGCGGACGACAAGGCCCTTTCTGTTTTGTTTCCATGTAGGTGGCTATTATCATGGAAAACTAATTTTTCCCAGAGAATTTCCTTTCAAACCTCCCAGTATCTATATGATCACTCCCAACGGGAGGTTTAAGTGCAACACCAGGTAAGGTGCCTGGAGGGGCCGCGGAGGCTTTCTGGCTGCGGTGGGGAGTGTGCACTGACGGGGCCCCCGTTTTGCAGGCTGTGTCTTTCTATCACGGATTTCCACCCGGACACGTGGAACCCGGCCTGGTCTGTCTCCACCATCCTGACTGGGCTCCTGAGCTTCATGGTGGAGAAGGGCCCCACCCTGGGCAGTATAGAGACGTCGGACTTCACGGTAAGTTTTAGAGCCTCTCCCTGGTGGGCCGTCAGCCTTGTGTCTGGGGGGCTGTTCTCTGTTCCTGAGTTGCAGCTGCCTTTTTTTTTTTTTTTTTTTTTTTCTTGAGACGGAGTCTCGCTGTGTCTCCAGGCTGGAGTGCAGTGGCGCAATCTCGGCTCACTGCAAGCTCCGCCCCCCGGGGTTCACGCCATTCTCCTGTCTCAGCCTCCCAAGTAGCTGGGACTACAGGCGCCCGCCACCACGCCCGGCTAATTTTTTTTTTTGTATTTTTAGTAGAGACGGGGTTTCACCGTGTTAACCAGGATGTCTTGATTTCCTGACCTCGTGATCCGCCCGCCTGGGCCTCCCAAAGTGCTGGGATTACAGGCGTGAGCCACCGCGCCCGGCCGCAGCTGCCTTTCTTCTCAGTAGGCGGGGCTGGGTGGAGTTCCCACCTTGTCCCAGGCACTGTCGTGGAGACTGCTTTGCTCTGTGGCCTCGTGTTCCCCGCTGCCTCTCGGTCTTGCTTTTATCCACATCCAGCCTCATCCACACCCGCCAGGGGCTCCTCCTTGGGATCTTGGGGTGGGCCAAGGCGGTACCAGTTGCACAGACGGCCCGGGCCTTGTCAGCGGGGAGCCCGGTGCTTTGGTGGCTTGTTTTTCCCTGTCTTTAATAGGAATCAAGTGTGATATCATGAATTGATGGGGGGAAGATTAAGAAGGCTTTGTAAGACTATAAGTTAGTTTGCTGTGAAGAGTGTGCTTATTAAATGCTTTCTGCAACACGAAGACTGCAGCCCTTGACTTTGAAATCATCTGTTTTTAGAATCTTGAAAGAATTGAAATTAGTTTTCTGGCTGATTCCCTTCCCTTCCTTCCTAGAAAAGACAACTGGCAGTGCAGAGTTTAGCATTTAATTTGAAAGATAAAGTCTTTTGTGAATTATTTCCTGAAGTCGTGGAGGTAAGAAAGACGGAAGTGGGTTTCGCCTTCCCCTGCGTTAAAACACTTGAGTTTCACCTCTTTCCAAAGAGTAAAATCTGTGTCCTGAAGCTGCAGACCTCCCCAGGGGATGGCTCCTCTCCCCCAGGAGCCCCGAGGCAGGGGAGGCAGAAAGCCTGGGCTCTGGGGGGTGGCCTGCGGACAGCTGTGCTGGTGGGCCGGGGGCTGGGCCTGTCCCACAGGGGCGTGGAGCTCGTGGTTCTGAGCAGCCAGCTGGGTGGTGTCTGGGGATAGCTGGGAGGCACAGCGGCTGCCATGTGGGACTGGGACTGGAGTGCTCCCTGGTCTTGGCCTCTGTGGCTCAGCCTTGCTCTGGTCTGCCTGAGTGCAGGGGCCAAGGGGCACAGGGCCAGTGAGGCCGGCCACGCTCGGGCCCTCACCTGTGAGATGGGGTCGGAATTTGACACAGCCTAGGGCTTGGTTCTTGGTGGTGGACCGTGGACTCCTGAGAACGGGAGTGCTGGTCCTGAAAGGCGCTGGTTGGAGACCAGCTGCTTTTCTCGCTGTTTTTCTCTTAGGAGATTAAACAAAAACAGAAAGCACAAGACGAACTCAGTAGCAGACCCCAGACTCTCCCCTTGCCAGACGTGGTTCCAGACGGGGAGACGCACCTCGTCCAGAACGGGATTCAGCTGCTCAACGGGCATGCGCCGGGGGCCGTCCCAAACCTCGCAGGGCTCCAGCAGGCCAACCGGCACCACGGACTCCTGGGTGGCGCCCTGGCGAACTTGTTTGTGATAGTTGGGTTTGCAGCCTTTGCTTACACGGTCAAGTACGTGCTGAGGAGCATCGCGCAGGAGTGAGGCCCAGGCGCCGAGACCCAAGGCGCCACTGAGGGCACCGCGCACCAGAGCGTGACCTCGGCAGGCTGGACACACTGCCCAGCACAGGCAGACCCACCAGGCTCCTAGGTTTAGCTTTTAAAAACCTGAAAGGGGAAGCAAAAACCAAAATGTGTGACTGGGCTTTGGAGGAGACTGGAGCCTCAGCCCTGTCCTGGCCACGGGCCGCTGGGGCTGGTGTGGGTGGGCCTTGTGTGCTGGATTTGTAGCTTATCTTCCGTGTTGTCTTTGGACCTGTTTTAGTAAACCCGTTTTTCATTTTATTAGATGTGGTCACTTAGAAATGCAAACTTGCTGCCGACCGCGGGCTGCTCCTGCGTTCTTGGAGCTCCTGGCGCGTTTCTCGGAGCTCCCGGCTCCTCAGCGGGTGGGAACCTCGGGGCCCAGGGGTGGAGCTGGCGTCCGCGGGTGCTGGTCTGGCCTGGCCGTGTGGTGATGAGGCTTAGCGGGGCCAGTGACGGCCGTGGCTCAGGATCCATAAGTCGGGGTTTGGTCTCAGCATTTACAAATGTGTTTACAGTCAGAATGAAACACATTCCTTCTAGAAAGTGCTTGGGGGTTTTTGCTGCCCTGGAAGCCAGGAGCCTGCTCACTCCAACCACAAGTCGCCCTTGACTGCGGCGGCCGCGAGCGGGGCGGGGGCTGCCGGTGCCCTCCGCAGGCCGGGCCTCCTGGGCGCCCCTCGGTGCTGCAGGCTGGGGGGCCTTGGGTACCTGCAGAGCCTTTTCTCTGAATTCCTTATGTCCGGTGGGCCAGAAGCCCGTCCTCCTATGCTGGTGGAAGGCGGAGGACCGGAGTCCCTGCAGAAGGCCCCGTGCACTCGGGGGCCTCCCTCACATCCCGTGCCCCCTGCGCTGGCCTTCACAGTAGGTAATGGCTCCGGCCCGGGTGTTCGCTGTCCACGGAACATGGCAGAGGGGCACCCCGGCCCGGAAAGACGCCAGAGCCAGCAGGGGCTGTTTCGGGCCGCGTGGCTCCCCGGGTCTCGGCCGTCTCCCCTCTTCTGCGTCTGTTCCGTGACTTCGCCTGGGTGGGATGTACCGCAGGTGCATCGCGTCGAGGTGGGGCACGGCCGCCGGCAAGAAACCCACCCTGTCCGGAGGCGGGCGTGAGACAAGCCCAGCCCGCACGCGCTCATCTTTCTTCGTTTTTTGATCAGTTTATTCAGAATTGCTCTATAATTTACCAATTGTATGTATTTAACCTATTCTTGTGGAAAAAAAAGGTCTTTCATTATATCTTTATTTCTGAATTTCATGCTGCTTGTGTCTGTGTGGGCCGGGATGTGTGTCCATCTCTGTGCTCAGGGCTGGGGTGGCCCGTGACCAGGGGGTCACACCTGCTGGCCTGGGGTGGTGTGGCAGCTGCAGGGCAGGTGGGTCCCCACAGGGAATCGCGTCGCTGGAGCCATGGTGTAGAGCCCTCTGCAGGGCTCTCTCCCCATCCCGTACTGGATGCCAGCCCTGCCCTGATCTCCGCTTCTGTGACCGCCAGCATCACTTCCAAAGCCCGGTGTCTCCCGAGGCTCATGGGAGGGGGAATGCTAACGAATAGAGTGTTTACTCAACACGCTACTGCCGGGTGCAGTGGCTGCCGCCTATAATCCCAGCACTTTGGGAGGCTGAGGGGTGGATCTCTTGAACCCAGCCTGGGCAATGTAGTGAGACCCCATCTCACAAAAAATACAAAACACTACCTGGTGTGGTGATGTGCACCTTTGGTCCCAGCTACTCAGGAGGCTGAGGTGGGAGGATTGCCTGAGCCCGGCAGGTGGAGGCTACAGTGAGCCATGATGGAGCCACCGCAATCCAGCCTGGGCAGCGAAGCCAGACCCTGTCTCAAATGTCGTCTAGATGTGAAATCTCAACTTTGTTTTTTTGTTTTTTGGAGACAAAGTCTTGCTCTGTTGTTGCCCAGTGTGGAGTGCAATGGTGCTATCATGGCTCCCTGTAACTGCAGGGTCCAGCCCTACTGGGCCTGTGGGTTCTTCTTGTGTACGGAGAGATGTGAGATCATAGAAATAAAGACACAAGACAGGGATAGAAGAAAAGACAGCTGGGCCCGGGGGACCACTACCACCTAGATGTGGAGGCCGGTAGTGGCCCCGAATGCCTGGCTGCGCTGTTATTTATTGGATACAAGGCAAGGGGGCAGGGTAAGGAGCGTGAGCCATCTCTAATGATAGGTAAGGTCACGTGTGTCTCGTGTCCACTGGACAGGGGGCCCTTCCCTGTTTGGCAGCCGAGGCGGAGAGAGAGAGAGGACAGCTTACACCATTCTTTCTTCTATGTATTTCAAAGACTTTTAGTACTTTCACTCATTGTGCTACTGCTATCTAGAAGGCGGAGCCCGGTGTACAGGGCGGACCACGAAAGCAGACCAGGAGTGTGACCGCTGAAGCACAGCATCACGGGGAGACGGGCCTCTGGATGGCTGCGGGTGGGCCTGACTGATGTCGCCTTGCACAAGAGATGGTGGAGCAGAGTCTTCTCTAACTCCCCCGGGGAAAAGGAGACTCCCTTTCCCCGTCTGCTAAGTAACTGGTGCCTTGCCAGGCGCTAGCGCTACCGCTAGACCAGGGACCCCTCTGGTGGCCCTGTCCGGGCGTGACAGAGGGCTCACACTCTTGTCTCCTGGTCACTTCTCACTATGTCCCCTCAGCTCCTATCTCTGTATGGCCTGGTTTTTCCTAGGTTATAGTTGTAGAACAGAGATTATTATAATATTGGAATGAAGAGTAATGCTAGAAACTAATGATTAAGAATATTCATATATCATCACATCTATAATCTATTTCTAGTGTAACTATTCTTATTGTGTATATTTTCTTTATTACACTGGAACAGCTCATGCCCTCGGTCTCTTGCCTCGGCACCTGGGTGGCTTGCCGCCCACATGTAACGGTGACCTCCTGGGCTCAAGGGATCCTCCAAACTCAGCCCCCTACATATCTGGGACCGCAAGTGTGCGCCACCATGCCTGGCTAATTTTTGTATTTTTTGTAGAGATGGAGTTTCGTCATGTTGCGCAGGCTGGTCTTGAACTCCTGAGCTCAAGGGATCCACCTGCCTCGGCCTCCCAAAGTGTTAGGATCACAGGCGTGAGCCACCGCGCCCGACTAAAATCTCAACTTTTTTTTTTTTTTTGAGACGGAGTCTTGCTCTGTCGCCCAGGCTGGAGTACAGTGGCGTGATCTCTGCTCACTGTGACCTCTGCCTCCTGGGTTCAAGTGATTCTCCTGCCTCAGCCTCCCAAGTAGCTGGGATTACAGGTGCCTGCCACCACACCCAGCTAATTTTAAGTAGAGACGGGGTTTCACCATATTGGCCAGGCTGGTCTGAAACTCCTGACCTCGTGATCTGCTTGCCTCAGCCTCCCAAAGTGCTGGGATTACAGGCGTGAGCCACCACGCCCAACTGAAATCTCAACTTTTAGCGATCATCGGTCAAGCAGTGAAGGTGGTGCCCGTGGCATGTTGTCCGCACTGGCCCAAAATAAAAAATGATGTTTGGGCCGGGCGTGGTGGCTCACTCCTGTAATCCCAGCGCTTTGGGAGGCTGAGGTGGGCAGATTACCTGAGGTCAGGAGTTCGAGACCAGCCTGGCCAACATGGTGAAACCCTGTCTCTACTGAAAATACAAAATTAGCCGGGCATGGTGGCATGTGCTTGTAATCCCAGCTACTCAGGAGGCTGAGGCAGGAGAATCACTCGAGTCCAGGAGGTGGAGGTTGCAGTGAGCCAAGATCGTGCCACTGCTCTCCAGCCTGGCTGACAGAGTGAGACTCTGTCTAAAAAAAAAAAAAAAATGATGTTTGGCCTGTTGGGCCGGGCACGTCTGACCCTCTGTCCCCGTCTCCCTTAGAGGAATCGTGGGCCCCTCTGTTCTTGTGTTGTCACCGGTGGAGGCCGTCCTTGACTTCCCCCTGGGAGCACGGTGTGTCCCCTCGCCATGCAGAGCACACTGTGAAGTCTTTTAATGAGGAGAGAAAAGCCCCTTAAAAGTTGATATTCTGCAGACAGGTGAGCACGTGGCCTCGTGGTCACAGGAAAGAAGAGGCGTTTCCTGTGTTCTGGCAACCTCGAGCTTCTCTGTGAGCGCATGCCCAGGCCTGCCTGAGTGCTGATGAACCAGCCGGCACAGCAGAGCACTCCGGGTCTGAGGGAGCTGCTCTCCCTGCAGCAGGCGGCTGGGCAGGGCACCGTGGTCCTTTGCCATTTTTCCAGGGCCGGGGGGTGTCAGGGTGTCTGCGTTGGGGGGTGCAGGGGGTGAGCAGAGCCAGCAGCTGCACCTGAGCCTCCCCTTGTGAGCAGCTCGTGGCTGTGGCCCAGGGTACCCTGGATCCTTGGTGGGTGACCCAGAGGGTGGGGTCCTCTTGGTCGTCTTCTAGAGGGAGCATGGGGGCTGAGTGTTCCTGCCTGGGTGCCAGGCTCAGCTCATTTTAAAGGTGCCTGGGGTTGGGAACACGAAGCCACATCCTTCCCAGTTAGGCCCAGCCTCCCAGGGTGAGGGCAGCAAGTCACCCAGGTGCCGAGGGAAGAGACCGAGGGCACAAGCTGTCCCAGTGTAACAAAATATATAAAATAAGAGTTATACTTGGTATAGACCATATGTGTCACTAATCATTAGTTTGTAGTAATTATTCTTTATTCCAATATTATAATAATCCTCGCTCTATAATCATAATCTAGGAAAAACCAGGCCATACCGAGATAGGAGCTGAGGGGACATGGTGAGAAGTGACCAGAAGACAAGAGTGCGAGCCTTCCGTTACGCCCGGACAGGGCCACCAGAGGGCTCCTTGGTCTAGCAGTAACGCCAGCGCCTGGGAAGGCACCCGTGACCTAAGCAGACCGTGGTCTAGCGGTAGCGTCAGTGTCAAGGGAAAACACCCGCTACTTAGCAGACTGGGAAGGGGAGTCTCCCTTTCCCCGGGGGAGTTTAGAGAAGACTCTACTCCTCCACCTCTTGTGGAGGGTCAGGCCCACCCACAGTTATCCGAAGGCCTAACCGTCTCCCTATGATGCTGTGCTTCAGCGGTCACACTCCTAGTCCGCCTTCACGTTCCATCCTGTACACCTGGCTTTGCCTTTTAGATAACAGTAGCAAAATTAGTGAAAGTACTAAAAGTCTCTGATAAGCAGAAATAATGGCGTAAGCTGTCTCTCTCTCTCCCTGGCCCCTGCCTTGGCTGCCAAACAGGGAAGGGCCCCCGTCCAGTGGACACGTGACCCACGTGACTTTACCTATCACTGGAGATGGCTCACGCTCCTTATCCTGCCCCTTTGTCTTGTATCCAATAAATAACAGCGCAGCCTGGCATTCGGGGCCACTACCGGTCTCCACATCTTGGTGGTAGTGGTCCCCCGGGCCCAGCTGTCTTTTTTATTTCTTTGTGTTGTATCTTTATTTCTACGATCTCTCATCTCCGCACACGGGGAGAAAAACCCACAAACCCTGTAGGGCTGCCCTCTACACCAGGGCTGCCCGTTTTCCTGCCTGTAGGGCAGAGGGGGAGGCCCAGCCTCCCTCGGTCTAGCCTCCCAGGGCTGCCCGTGTCCCGGCCTGTAGGGCGGAGTGGGAGGCCCAGCCTCCCTCGGTCCAGCCTCCCAGGGCTGCCCGTGTCCCGGCCTGTAGGGCGGAGTGGGAGGCCCAGCCTCCCTCGGTCCAGCCTCCCAGGGCTGCCCGTGTCCCGGCCTGTAGGGCGGAGTGGGAGGCCCAGCCTCCCTCGGTCCAGCCTCCCAGGGCTGCCCGTGTCCCGGCCTGTAGGGCGGAGTGGGAGGCCCAGCCTCCCTCGGTCCAGCCTCCCAGGGCTGCCCGTGTCCCGGCCTGTAGGGCGGAGTGGGAGGCCCAGCCTCCCTCGGTCCAGCCTCCCAGGGCTGCCCGTGTCCCGGCCTGTAGGGCGGAGTGGGAGGCCCAGCCTCCCTCGGTCCAGCCTCCCAGGGCTGCCCGTGTCCCGGCCTGTAGGGCGGAGTGGGAGGCCCAGCCTCCCTCGGTCCAGCCTCCCAGGGCTGCCCGTGTCCCGGCCTGTAGGGCGGAGTGGGAGGCCCAGCCTCCCTCGGTCCAGCCTCCCAGGGCTGCCCGTGTCCCGGCCTGTAGGGCGGAGTGGGAGGCCCAGCCTCCCTCGCTCCAGCCTCCCAGGGCTGCCCGTGTCCCGGCCTGTAGGGCGGAGTGGGAGGCCCAGCCTCCCTCGCTCCAGCCTCCCAGGGCTGCCCGTGTCCCGGCCTGTAGGGCGGAGTGGGAGGCCCAGCCTCCCTCGCTCCAGCCTCCCAGGGCTGCCCGTTTTCCTGCCTGTAGGGTAGAGTGGGAAGTCCAGCCTCCCTCGGTCCAGCCTCCCAGGGCTGCCCGTTTTCCTGCCTGTAGGGCAGAGTGGGAGGCCCAGCCTCCCTCGGTCTAGCCTCCCAGGGCTGCCCGTGTCCCGGCCTGTAGGGCGGAGTGGGAGGCCCAGCCTCCCTTGCTCCAGCCTCCCAGGGCTGCCTGTGTCCCGGCCTGTAGGGCAGAGTGGGAGGCCCAGCCTCCCTCGGTCCAGCCTCCCAGGGCTGCCTGTTTTCCTGCCTGTAGGGTAGATTGGGAAGTCCAGCCTCCCTTGGTCCAGCCTCCCAGGGCTGCCCGTTTTCCTGCCTGTAGGGCAGAGTGGGAGGCCCAGCCTCCCTCGGTCTAGCCTCCCAGGGCTGCCTGTGTCCCGGCCTATAGGGCAGAGTGGGAGGCCCAGCCTCCCTCGGTCCAGCCTCCCAGGGCTGCCTGTTTTCCTGCCTGTAGGGTAGAGTGGGAAGTCCAGCCTCCCTTGGTCCAGCCTCCCAGGGCTGCCCGTTTTCCTGCCTGTAGGGCAGAGGGGGAGGCCCAGCCTCCCTCGGTACAGCCTCCCAGGGCTGCCTGTGTCCCGGCCTGTAGGGTAGATGGGAGGCCCAGCCTCCCTCGGTCTAGCCTCCCAGGGCTGCCCGTGTCCTGGCCTGTAGGGTGGAGTGGGAGGCCCAGCCTCCCTCGGTCCAGCCTCCCAGGGCTGCCCATTTTCCTGCGTGTAGGCCTGAGTGGGAAGTCCAGCCTCCCTCAGTCCAGCCTCCCAGGGCTGCCCACTTTCCTGCCTGTAGGTCAGAGTTGGAGATCCAGCCTGTTCTGTCTAGAGTCACAGGGGAGCTCATTGCCAGTGGGTGACAGAGAAAATTTGGATGCCCTGCCTGTGAGGAGGGGTCTGGTAGCCCTGGGCGGGGGGTCTCCTTGGCCAGGGCACCTGCCCACCCCTCCCTTTGCCCCAAGCCTGGATTGAGGGGTGTTGGGGCTGCCTTTCCCGACCCATGCTAGATGCAGGCCACATCCAGGGCTCACCTGCGGGGGTCCAGCAGGGCTGGTACTGTGTGGGCGCTGTGCCGTGTCCCCAGGGTCCTCCACCACCTTCACGAGCGGACACGGGGCCGGGAGGCTTCCACAGTGCTCTCTGGAGATGCCAGTCAGTGCCTGAGAGCCCGGAGGGCGAGGGGGCAGCCGGGGTCCCTGGTGGGTTCCCAAGCGTCATCCCCATCCCAGCCTGGTCTCCCGTGGCTCTGCCTGTGGATGTGGCCTGGGGCTGGGGTTGACGCTGGGGTCTCGGCGTGGCTACCTTCGTGTCTGGCAAGAGGGGAGGGTCTGGAGTGTTCCGAGCTGTCCATCAGGGCCGGCATGTTGACCTTGGGCCACTGTTAGCCTCGGCCAGGACCAGCGGCTGGAGGGTCTTCCAGCCCCACCTGGCCACCCCATTCCTCCAGCCACTGAGCCCAAGGGGCCTGTCGCCATGATCTGGCCTCACCTTTCCCCCGAGTGGGGCCCCAGCGAGGCCGGCCAGCACCCCCAGGACCCTGGGCCGGGGCCGTGAGTCAGGGCGGGGCACCCGGGGGAGCCTGGGTGAGGAGGTCGTGGGAAGGGGCTGGGGCTTTGGCTGGCTGGTAGCTGCCCTCCGGTGGCTGGCTGCAGAGGCTGCTGTGAGGGGAGCCAGGTTGAGTTCAGCTGGCAGGGAGGGCGAGGAGGTAGGCTGCTGTCTTCACGGTTCCCAGAATGAGGTGGACCTTTGGGGAAGCAATGGGGGCAGGGTGGGGTCTGGGGACGGGAGGCAAGAAGCAGCGGCCGGGGTCAGTGGGGGTCTCCGCCCCGTCTCCGTCCCTGGCCGTCGGGGCGCCCGGGCGGCTGGCTG
Source organism: Homo sapiens (assembly GCF_000001405.40). Taxonomy (NCBI): domain Eukaryota; kingdom Metazoa; phylum Chordata; class Mammalia; order Primates; family Hominidae; genus Homo; species Homo sapiens. Next base: position 1,247,003 of record NC_000001.11, on the reverse strand, counting down.
ATCGTCCGAGTGTGAGCCCCCACCCTGGAGCCTGCGAGGTCTGGGGAGGAGGAGGCGAGGGGAGGATTTACTGGGCGGCGGAGTGAGGAGGCCAGAGAGGACGGGGGCTGGGAGCGGGGGCTGGAGCGGGACCCCGGGGGGACCTGAGCGCCGTCGCGCCGCCGTTCCGGGCAGGTCCGCGCAGACATGCAGCGGCGGAGGCCGGGCGCGCCCCTGGGCCTCGCCCCCGCGCGGGGGCTCTGAGCGCCGGCCGTCCCCATGACTGCGCCCTGGCGCCGAGACTCGCCGCGCTGAGCCGCCTCGGGACGGAGCCATGCGGCGCTGGGCCTGGGCCGCGGTCGTGGTCCTCCTCGGGCCGCAGCTCGTGCTCCTCGGGGGCGTCGGGGCCCGGCGGGAGGCACAGAGGACGCAGCAGCCTGGCCAGCGCGCAGATCCCCCCAACGCCACCGCCAGCGCGTCCTCCCGCGAGGGGCTGCCCGAGGCCCCCAAGGTACGCGGCCGGGACGCACGTGGGCCCTCGCGGGGCAGCTTCGGAGCTGGGGCTCTGGGGCGTCCTCCCCCAGCAGGCTCTGTCCCTGCCGGCTCTGCCTCCGGGTCGCCCTTTTCGAGGCCTCGGCCACGGTCCCGCCTTGAGAATCTGCTGCAGCCCAGCCAGGCCGGCCTCTGGGAAGCCCTCTCCTCCTCTGCAGCGGAGACCTGGCCCCCAGCTGGCCTGGGGTGGGTGGGTGAAGGGGGCTTCCCGCGGTTGGGGGCCGCAGTTAACCCTTTGAAGCGTGGGCCTGCCGCGCTCTGAGGAACCTGTTGCTATTAGGTTAATTGCTGATTTGGGGGCGGGGGTGGGGTGGTTCCGGCTGCTTGCTGGATGGTTCACCAGACCCCTTGGGAGTCCAGCGCCCCATGACTCCTGCGGCTGGAGACGCCATGGCGAGCCTGTCCCTTGTGCTTTCTGGGGGTCCTGTGTAGCTAGCACCCCCTCTTGCGGGTTAAGTCCTGGGGCCCCAGTCAGGCCGGGCGTCCTCACAAAGACAGAAGGCCCCAAGCCCACCTCAACCCTGGGCTTCCTCTCTCCTGCTCAGGGTCTCTCCAGGGGTCTTGGAGGGCAGGTCTTGCTGCCGCCGTCGTGGGCCCCAGGACTGGGAGGGGAGCCGCAGTTGCCAGAGCAGCCCCCATCCCCGGCCCTCACACCTTTGATGCTGGTCTCCCTCCTCCCGAGGGCGTCTCTGCTGCAGCCAGCCCGGCTGCCTCTCAGCCCACGCGGCCCCGCTGGAGCCCGAGGTCCCGTTTCCCAGATGGGAAGGCTGAGGAGGGTTGAGGCCGCGGCTCTGCCAGCTCAGGAAGAGTGGGCTGGTTCCCGGCGCTAGGGCCAGGCTGGCAGTGCTGGCAGGGGCGGGGCAGTGGGGGGGTCTTCAGCAGTCCGGGCCAGTCCCCCTGGAAGGGAGGGGGCACCCCACTGCCCAGGGCCACTCCTCCAGAGACCCTGCAGGGTGGCGGGCCTCCCTCAAAGGGTGCCGGCTGGAGGGCTGTGAGGTGTGTGCTCAGGCTGGCCCTCCAGGCTTCCAGGGTTGGGCGGTTCTCCTGCAGCCTGCTCTCTGTTGCCTCTGGCTCTCAGCCCCCAGATAGGCTGAGGTACAGGCCCCTCCAGGGCGCCGGGTCCCTTCAGCACATTGCGGTGGTGGTCAACAGGACAGCAAGCGGATAGCGGATGCCTGAGGAGTGGGGGAGGAATGGGGGGAGGAGAGGGTAGGGTGGGGGGAGGAGGGGAGAGGTGTGGGGGAGGAGGGGAGAAGAGTGCGGGGAGGAGGGGGAAGAGTGGGGGGAGGAGGGTGAAAAGTGGGGGAGGAGGGGGAGTGGGGGAGGAGGGAGATGAGTGGGGGAAGGAGTGGGATGAGGAGTGGGGGGAAGGAGTGGGATGAGGAGTAGGGGGAGGAGGGGGGAGTGGGGGAGGAGGGGGATGAGGAGTGGGGGGAGGAGGGGGAGGAGTGGGAGAGGAGGGCAGAGGAGTGGGGGAGGAGGGAGATGAGTGGGGGAAGGAGTGGGGGAGGAGGGGAGAGGAATGGGGAGGAGTGGGGGGAAGAGGGGGAAGAGGAGGAGGAGGGGGAGGTGGGAAAGGAGGGGAGAGGAGGGAGATGAGTGGGGGAAGGAGTGGGATGAGGAGTGGGGGGAGGAGGGAGATGAGTGGGGGAAGGAGTGGGATGAGGAGTGGGGGAGGAGGGAGATGAGTGGGGGAAGGAGTGGGATGAGGAGTGGGGGGAGGAGGGGGAGGAGTGGGGGAGGAGTGAGGGGCTCAGGGCATCAGGCTCTGGCTGTGTCCACAGAAGCCCCGCATGCCTGCCCTGCTGGTGGCATTGGGACGTCAGGGTTCTGACTCCCCCAAGGGCGGCCGTGGGTCCTTCTCCTGGCCGGCGATGCCTTCCCTGGTTCTGCCCTGAGTGCTCCCCGCTGCCCTGGGGTCCCAGCTCTCTGCAGGGTGCAGCCTCAGTGCGCTAGCCCCGTCCCGTCCCTTCAGCCATCCCAGGCCTCAGGACCTGAGTTCTCCGACGCCCACATGACATGGCTGAACTTTGTCCGGCGGCCGGACGACGGCGCCTTAAGGAAGCGGTGCGGAAGCAGGGACAAGAAGCCGGTGAGCCCCGCCCGGGCTGCTGCAGGGTCTGAGCCCCGGACAGGGTGTGGTGGTAGCTCCCACCGGGTCCCACTGGGCCCCTCACCTGCTTCTCTCTCCCCCCAGCGGGATCTCTTCGGTCCCCCAGGACCTCCAGGTGCAGAAGTGACCGCGGAGACTCTGCTTCACGAGTTTCAGGAGCTGCTGAAAGGTCAGCCGCCCTGCACTGCCCAGAGACCAGACGTGCCTGGGCCCTGTGCTGACCCTGCTGGCCGCCTGTGCCCTCCTCCCCACAGAGGCCACGGAGCGCCGGTTCTCAGGGCTTCTGGACCCGCTGCTGCCCCAGGGGGCGGGCCTGCGGCTGGTGGGCGAGGCCTTTCACTGCCGGCTGCAGGGTCCCCGCCGGGTGGACAAGCGGACGCTGGTGGAGCTGCATGGTTTCCAGGCTGTGAGTGGAGCCGGGAGCTTAGAGCGGGGTGTTGGGTGGGGCCCCACAGGCAAGACGGGACCACACACACCGCCTGACACTCATGGGGCAGCATGTGGGTTGGGGGCTGGGGGCGGGGCTCGGAGGGCGAGGGGCTGCCTCGGGTCAGGGTTGGGAGGCCCTGGGGGCCCAGATCACACTTTATGCCCAGACGGAGCGTGGGTCCCCGGTAGCCGGGAGGCAGGGAGACCCTCCTGGGTGTGGACTCGAGGGTCAGTCCTGCTGGTGCCCACAGTGAGCGTGAGGGTCCCGGGAGAGCTGCTCCGAGTGAGGGGCTGTCGGTTGCAGGCACCTTCCCCAGGCGGGGTCTGTGGGGTGGGGGCCAGGCCCTGCGCTGGCCGCTCACCCACTGCCCCTCACAGCCTGCTGCCCAAGGTGCCTTCCTGCGAGGCTCCGGTCTGAGCCTGGCCTCGGGTCGGTTCACGGCCCCCGTGTCCGGCATCTTCCAGTTCTCTGCCAGTCTGCACGTGGGTGAGCCGGATGGGGCAGTGCCGTGTGCTGTGACGGGGCTGGGGCTGAGCTTTCTGGGGGCGCCTGGCATCGCCGGCCCCGGGTGCGGGTCCTGTTAGGGACCTATCCCCTGCCCCATGGGGGGCCTTGGACTGGGCATGGGGTCCCTGCTGCACGCCTGGCCTCAGGCGCCCCCTCCCCAGCCCCAGCAGCCACTCCTGGGCCTGTCCTGGGATGTGTGCCCTGAAGCCCCTCCCCACCAGCCCCCACCCCGCCCCCCATGCACCACCCTCCCCAGGGCTCTCTCCGCAGACCACAGTGAGCTGCAGGGCAAGGCCCGGCTGCGGGCCCGGGACGTGGTGTGTGTTCTCATCTGTATTGAGTCCCTGTGCCAGCGCCACACGTGAGTGACCTCAGCCCCCGCTCCAGGCGGCAGCCCCCGGACCACCCTTGGAGGGGCTCACAGGCCACAGGGGTCTCTGGGCACTGGAGCAGGTCTTGGCCCCCTGGACCTGCAACGCCTCCCTCTTGCCCTGTGGGGCTGTGTTCAGGTGCCTGGAGGCCGTCTCAGGCCTGGAGAGCAACAGCAGGGTCTTCACGCTACAGGTGCAGGGGCTGCTGCAGCTGCAGGTGAGTCCGGGCCGGGTGTGAGCGGGAGGGCTCGGGTGCACTCGGGCTGGGCCGGGTGTGAGCTCGGTGCACTCAGGGCGCAGACCTCTGGGGCCTCGGCACCTCCTAGCGCAGGGCAGGTGGGCAGACGTTGGCCACCGAGTGGCTGGGCTGTGGCTGCGGTTGTGACGTCCCCGTGCTTCTTACAGGCTGGACAGTACGCTTCTGTGTTTGTGGACAATGGCTCCGGGGCCGTCCTCACCATCCAGGCGGGCTCCAGCTTCTCCGGGCTGCTCCTGGGCACGTGAGGGCGCCCAGGGGGGCTGGCGAGGAGCTGCCGCCGGATCCCGGGGACCCTCCTACTGATGCCCGTGGTCACCACAATAAAGAGCCCTCCACCCTCCCCACTGCCTTCGAGTGCTGCCTGGATGTTTCACTGGGGGTGGAAGCCAGGCTGCCGAGGTCGGCGGGAGATGGGTGGGGGCAGAAGGGTGCTGTTCACAGGGGAGCCCGGTAGCTTGGGGTATGGGCCGTAGAGCCTCCCTCGGGGCCGACTTACCTGGCCCGGGATTATGGTGATGGCAAGAGGCTGGGCGCTGCCCTGGTAGCCCCTGCAGGGGCCACGTCGACCCTGAGGACAAGGACCACTGTCCGTGCCGGCCCCACTCAGCTCTGCCCACGGCCTGTCCAGCCTTGGGGGAGCAGCAGGCCGTGGGGCACTGGAAGCCCCAGAGGTTGGAGAGCAGCACTGTTCTGGGCCCTCGGGAGGCCTGCGTCCTGTGGGGGGCTCTGTGCAGGGCAAGAGGACGTGCATGCCACACACGGGACCGCGTGCTTGCATGTGCTGGCCGCCGCAGGCGTGTGGAGCTGAAAGGCACCCCTGCGGGCTCAGGTGCGCCCAGACCGTGCCGTGCCCGGGGCACCCAGGTGGAGCAGGGCTGGAACCAGCAGGCTTCTCCTCGCCTGCTCTCGGTATGGCCGCACTCTAATGACCAGGGCCTCTCGGGGGCCTTAGGGGCCAGAACTGCCCCATGGAGGGTGGGGTGGGCCCCATATGTGACCATCATGCTGCTGCTCCCTGGCAGGTCCTGTGGATTTGGGCCCCACCCCCACCCCATTTTGGCTCTGGCAAACCCACACCAAAGAGTGTAAACTGGCCTCAGGACGTCCAGGCCTCTGCTGAGCTGCGGAGATGCCATCTCTGGTTGGCATCCAGAGCCCTTAGTCGCTGGTGGGGTTGGGGAGGTTGGAAGAGGCCAGAGCCCACGGCTGTTACCCCTCCCCTGGGACCTGGAGCTGCCGGGGCTGGCACAGAAGGGGCCCTCCCCAAGGCTTGCTGGGCAGTGAGGCGGGACAGCCCAGCCCTGCGACGAGGTGTGTGGGCAGGCGCCAATCGGCACGAGGTGGGCTTGGGTGGTGACCCGTCCCCACCTCTCTCCCTGGGCCCCCCAGAGTGGCGTCAGGGGCTGGGGCTGTCTGGAGGGGCCTCTGCTTCACTTGCCAAGGCTGTGGCCCCGGCTTAGGGGCTCCTCTCTGCCCTCAGCACCCCTTCTGTGGGCACGGCCTGCCCCCTGGGGCCTGGATCTGGAACGGGGGGTCTCCCTTCTGCAGCCCCTGCCCTGCTTGGCCACAGCACTCAAGAGTGCTCCCTTCCAGAGAGTCGGGCAGCTGTGCATCTGTACAGGGGGAACCAAGGTTGTGCCGGGCCCTCCTGGAGCTGGGTCAGCGGGGACAGCAGTGTGGGGGCCCTGAGGAGGCAGAGGCAGGAGCGTGGCCTGCACCTTCCTGGTTGGCGTGAGCCCTGGGCTGCGGACTCCCCTGTTTGCTTCCAGTTTTCAGTGGCTCCTCCCCAAACTGACGGGCCAACCCTGGGCAAGAACGGGCTGGGGGCAGGCACCCAGGATCAGGCAGCACCCAGCCAGGCCTTTCTGAACACCGCCTGGGGCCTCACCATCCGGGAATGGGGGCCCTCTAGGTTCTTCAGCAGCAGCCAGTCCCCCACCCTACCCAGTCCCGGAGGTAGGAGCTGTGATGACAGATGGACATGCCAGAAATGGGACCCAGGGCCGCGTAGAGCAAGATGGTGATGAGAGACAAAGAGACGTGGAGTGGTGGGGCGGGGGGCCGGGGCTGAATGAGTTGGGGGCCAGGGCCCGGGTGAATGGGGGCGGCGGGGGCTGGGGCAGGGACCACGGCCGGGGTGAATGAGGTGGGGGATGGGGGCTGGTCGGGGGTGGCTGGGGGCTGGCATGGGGGCCAGGGTGAATGGGGGGGGCTGGGGCCAGGGTGAATGGGGGGCGTGGGGATGTCCTGGTGCTGGCACCACCTCCCTGGCCTCTGCCTCCTGGTTTCTGCCCCAGTGGGAGGTGATCAGCCACTTAGCCGCAATTCCCCTGGAATGTGCCATCTCTAGCCCCCTCTGGGCACCCAGGAGCAAAGGAATGGACAGGTCGGGGTGGGGTGGGCGGCCTCACAGGAGGGTCCAGGCTCCCAGCCCACCCAGCCAAGGCTCCATCCTCTGGCCCAGCCCAGCTGCACCCCTTCATTCTCTCTCAGCCTCACCTCCTGGGCTGGACCCACACTGCAATGTTTGCCATAGAAGGGACCCTGGACTCTTGACGAGGGTGGGAGATGCCTGTCACTCACCCAGCCGGAGCGTGGGGTCCCCGGGGCAGGTGCAGGCCAGCCAGAGCTGCTGTTGCTTGGGGTCTGGGCTGGCTGGGGGACCTGGGGAGCCCAGGGAAACGGATCTCTTCAGGCCTGTGCCCCCCGGTTTGGGAGCTGGGGTATTGAGTGTCCCAAGCGTCTGGCAGCTTCGTGGACCCTGGCAGGAGCAAAGCCAGAGCAGCCGGCTACGTGCCGGACGGCCTCAACCCGACCCCTGACCCCTGACCCTTGACCCCATGCCCTGAGCGGCAGGGAGCTGCCGGCTTCTCCGTGACCTCCACCAGGGCTGACTTCCCAGAACCGCAGGCCGACCCTGCTGCCTGGCCGGGGCTGGGGGCATCGGACACTCCTGCCGTGGGCTCCCTGCCATCCTGGGAGGGGCCATGCCCGGTGCGGGGACACTCCCCCCACCAACCCTCCAGCTCGTCTGCTCACAGGACCAGCCCTTCCCTAGAGTCCCAGCGCTGGACCTGCCTGACCCACCCTGCCCCGGGGCTGCCTCGGCTGGGTCGGAGCCAGTATTCCCAGCCCTGGTGCTGTCCTGGTCTTGAATGGACAGAAATGCGGACGGGAGCTCAGGGCAGCCAGGAAGTCCTCTTGGGGCCAGGTGCGGCAGCCACCCTGAGGGGGCAGCAGGAGCCAGGGGAGGCAGGGCTGGGGGCTCCTGGCTGTGAGGAGGAGGCTGGGCCCCGCTCCGGCCCCGCCTGTCAGGTGTGGACACCATTGCCCATCCGTCCCCGGTGCCTCAAGGGCCCCACTGTTGGGGTACGTAGGAGATGCGGCTGCCCTGGCCTGGCCCCTGGGGGCGCCTGGGTGTGGACCCTGGGGCTGCAGCCAGGACAGGCAGGCGCTGGAGGCCCAGCTTTGGCATCTTGTCTTCGCATCCTTCTCCCCGCCTCTGTCACCCCTGCCGCCCCTGCCGCCCTGCAGCTGGGAGGGTGTCTGCTCCAAAGGCCCCTCGGACTGCCTGCCAGCCTCTCTGGAGTAAGCCCAGGGCGTTCCTGGGGCCTGTCCCAGACCCCAGACCACACCACACCTGGTGACCACTGTCATCTGGGCCTTGGAACAAGAATGGCCTGGGGGCATGTAGGGGCTGTGTAGGGTCCAAACAGACCTGCCTGCCCTGCTTTGTAAAAATCTATGTACCCAGGTGCCCCGTGTTGACCCCGGGTTGACAGTTGTGTGTCCCTGCGACTGGTGCGTGTGTGCCCACGTGTCTGCACATCTGTGTGGGTCTCTGCCCTGGGACTGGGACTCTCTACAGAGCCAGCAGCACGGCCCCCTTGAGAACAAACCCAGAACAGCCGTCCAGGACCCCGGGCCCGAGCGCTTGGCTGGCCACTCAGTGCCTGGAGCGGGCGTGGCCGGGGTCCCTGGCGTCCGGGAGGCCACATAGCTTCGGTCCTGCCAGGGACAGCAGAGGGGCCCATGGAGCTGTGACGGCTGCTTCGGCATGTGGGGCTCCCTGAACTGCGTGAAGGGGTCCAGGGACGGGGCTCCCACCCTCAGCTGGGGGCTGCTCAGCGCGCTGTCCCAAGGGGAAGCTCTTTCCTGCCTGCAGAGCGCTGCCCTGGGATCTGCTGTGCTCCGACGCCGCTGGGAGCTGGAGCTGGGGGCAGAGCTCGGCGCCGCGTCCTGGGGCCGTCGCTCACGGGCTGGGCTTGGCCAGTCTGTGCTTGGACTCCCAGTTCAGGTCACTCTGAGCTATGGTGACCTCAGGGCCTGTCCCCCAGGGGTCTCCCTCAGCCTGACCCTGACCCAGGAATGGCAGCGTGTCTGGTTGCGGGAACACGCCCTGGCCCTGCCTGTGCCTGCCGAGCCACCGGCGTGTCTGTCCGCCTGCGCATCTGACTGCTGTACAGGTGGGCCTGGCACCAGAGGCCTGGGGACAAAGGGTCTTTGTTTGGGAGGCTGGGGGCAGCCCCTGCTCTGGGCCAGTGACTCACGGGTGCCCGGGCGTGATGATATCTGTGTTGCGACAGCCAGGTGTCATGCGTGTGACCCAGCCCAGCAGGGCCTCCTGCCCACCCCGCCCGCGCCCACGGCCCTCACTTGGGGGTGACGAGAAGCGTGACAGGTGGGGGCTGGGCAAACCCCGTCTCCGCAGGGAAGCGTCTCCAGACCCCTTGGGCCCCCAGCCCGCACGCCCGGGCCTCTCCCTGCCACACAGGAGTGTGCAAAACACATCTCTGCAGCAGGAGGCACCACGGCCGGACTCAGGCCCTCGGGACGGGTGCTTTTTAGGCTGAGTTCAGCTGTTCCTGGGTCGGAAGGTCTGGGTGAGGCGGTTGAGGGTGAGGCACCGTGACCGTCGCCCCGGCGGGGACTTGGGCCTGGCTCTGCCCATCCCTCACTCTCTCTCCGGTCTGAGGTGGGCGGTGGCGGGTGCGGGGCCCCTGGGGGAGGCTGGGGCCGCTGAGACCTTCGGATGCCACCGGAGGGAGGGCCTGGGGCTTGGGTTTCCTTCTGCTCCAGTCACCGGGCTGGGTCCGGCCCTGGGTCAGCGGGGAGGGGAGCTGGACTGCGGCCCTCCTGGGCTCCTGTCCTGCCTGCCCGGCCGGCCCTGGAAGATCTGCGGCCACCTGTGTTTACTCTGGAGGATGCAGCTGAGGAGGTCCTGGCAGGGCCACACTCGTAACCCCTGGCTTCTCAGCTGTGGGCGCGGTCTTGCACCCTGGCTAGCTGAGTTGAGGGGACTTTGCGGCATCTGTGGCCCCGACCAGGGCAGAGTACCCGAGCCCCAGCCCAAGGAGAGGCCTCGCTGGGCAACGCGACCAGGACAGAGGCCGAGGCTGGATGGGTGGGGAGCGCCTGGGGCCTTCCAGATCCTCCTTCCTGCCCCTCCCGCCTCCACCTCCCTTCAGCCCCTTGGCTGCAGCCAGCTCTCCTGGGATCACTCATCCACTGTCTACCTCCACTGGGAACCTCGGTGAGGGAGGCTCAGATCCTTGGGGAGGGAGGAGGGGGTGGGCCCCAGAGAGACCTTCCGAGGAGGACAGGGTGGGGCCAGATCTTGGTTCTTCTCCTCGGGTGGTTCTGACCTGGCCAGCGTGGTGCAGTGTGGCCATCAGGGCAGGGCTAGCGGCACCAGCATCTAGCAGGGAGGGTGCGGAGGGCAGGGAGGCCAGAGAAGGAGGGGCTGTGAGTGCTGGGGGTGGGGACCCACCCTGGCCCTGAGGGAAAGGAGTGTGTACACCCACAGAGGCCAACTTGATGGGGTGGCCTGGGTTTCAGCTCCCAAGGCTGTGGGAAGGTCCTCTGGGTGGGGGCTGGGAGGAGACCTCAAGGGGAGGCCCAGGGGTTTGGGCTGTGCCCCCTCAAAAGCCTCCTCTTTGAGGACCCCAGAGATTGGCCAGGCCTGTGGGATGGACACAGAGGTCTTTCCCCTCAGCCCACAGTGGGAGAGGGAGACGCCAGCTCACCTCAGAGTAGGAAACCAGGAAAAAGCGCCAAGCCCTTCCCAGGCCCCTGAAACCAGGGAGCAGGCCCCACACAGCCAGTCCAAGGAGCTGGAAACTTCTGACAGGCTGCTGTGGGCCCAGGAAGCAGGGCCTTGCGCGAACAAGGGGCCTCCTCTCTCCTCCCGGCCCCGCTCTGGGTGCGGAGGGCCTGGCACGCACCTGTCTCTGGCCACCTGCTCCCGAGGACTCCCCAAGCCGTCTGGGCCGCTGGGGCTTCCATTCCTGCAACGTCAGCTGGTCTCACAGTGCCACAGCTGGGGAGCCTGGGGCCGGTGGGGCCACAGGAGGGCCGTGACCCCCTTAGACCTGAGGACTCTGAGCTGGGACAGTCAGCCAGGGAGAGGGTGGAAGAGTCTGGGGTGACCCAGGCCGCGGGGGCAGCCCTGCTGCAGGCTGGACTGATGGAGGCCTGCCGGGAACAGGGTGTGTGCTGAGCCCTGCGGGGAGGAGATCTGGGCCCAGTCAGTGCTGGGCGTCTGTGATGCCACAAGGTTGCAGGAGCCCCTGCCTGCGTCTGCACCGAAGAGCGCCGGGCACAGGGAACTGGGCTGGCATCCTGGGGCTGCTGGACGGGGCGTCTTCCCTCGCAGCCCTGGAGGCCACGCTCCTGACTCTGGGTAGAGCCCTTCCTTGCCTGGTGGGGTGGGGGTGGAGGGTCCTCAATCCTTGGCCTGCAGAGGCATCGCCTGGGTGTCAGTCTCTAGCCACACAGTGGCTTTTTCCCAGGTCTTTTCTGGTAAGGACACCAGTTCCGTGGGAGTAAGGCCACCTCAGGACCTTGCCTTAACGCAATTCCACCTGCAGAGACCCGACTTCCAGACAAGGTCAGTTTGTAGCTGCTGGGTTAGGGCTTGGAATATCTTTTAGGGGGCACAGTTCAGTCCCGTAACAGGAGCCTTGACAGCCAGGATCCCAGCCAGACACAGGTGGGCAGGTGGGAACCTGGAGGCCTCAGGGGCGGGGGTGCCTCCGGATGCAGGTAGCACTTTGCATCTTGGGGGTGACCAACCAGGCCACAGGCCCGGCGGGTACCCAGGGCTGGCCCAGAGAGCTGGAGCCAACGTCAGGTGCCTGCATGCCAGCCTCAGGGGGCAGAGAGGCAGGACCATAGTCCCCAGGAAGAGGGCAGAAGGGGGTGCTCTCCTCCTGGGGGATCCTGAAGGGACCAGAGCCCATCCTCTTGGCTTGACCTGCATTCCCTGCCGGCCCTGTGCCTCCTGGGGGCTGTGTGCGTGTGGCTGCGCCGTGCCCGTCCAGCCCTGACACTGTCCCCTCCATGGTAGGTTCTCGGGGCCACTAGAGGAGAAACATCCGTGTGGCTGAGGAAGAGTTGGCTGTTTTGTATCCCAAGTTCCCACATGGAAATGAATTCGGTGACCCCCCATCTCCCGAGGGCCTCCTGGTTTGGCCCTGGTCTCCGGGAACCGAGTACCTGGGTGGGTGGGGAGCTGTACAAGCTAAGACCAGGGAAGGACGCCTGGGGGACGGATGCCACGGCCCGTGCACGGTCGATTGGAGCCGCAGGGCAGGGAGGATCTACAGGGCAAGTTCCAGGTGAGACCAGAGAGAGCTGCAGCTGCCCCGGCTCTGGAAGCCCCCAGCCCTCCCGAGGCCCAGCCTTCAGCCCACGTATCCTCTGAACCCGTTCACCACGGTACGGCTGGGGAGGGTCAGCCTGGGGCAGGCTTTGTTCTGATATGAAATTTAATGTCTTAGGCTGAAAAACACTAAATTTCCATTTTTTTGTAGGTCAGAAGTGGTTGCAAACTGGATTTTTAGACTCTTCCTGTTGGGGGTCTCGGACATTTGCTCTTTTCCACAGCGGCCAATTCTTCAGAGCCACAAAGAACTGGGCGACGCAGGCCAGAGGTGTGGGAGTCCAGCCCTTGGTTCGAATCCCGCTCTCCACTGTCCATGGGGTTCTCAGCAAGCCCTCTGGCCTCTCCAAGCACACGCAGGGTTCCTCAAGCAATTCCAAACTCCAGAGAAGACATCCCAGGTAAAATCGGATGGCAGGGACCTGGGACACCGCTGTGACGGGCAGCCCCTGGGCTCGAGTCCACAACTCCCACGGGAGGGCAGGGCCCCATCCTGCTCACACCGGGGTCCCCAGCCCTCGATCCTCACGAGTCCTCGTCCAAGAACAAACTGTGCACACACGGGCGGTCAGTCCTGGATTCAAGGTGGCCCATCGGAGCTCGAACTCAACGGCCTGACCTAGGGACGCCTCCAGTCCCACCCCTACCTTTTGGAGGTGGGAGAATCACCGTGCAGGTCACTGACCCACTGACCACAGATCACCACTCTCTCCCGCCCCCGTTTCTTCCTCCTGAGACCACTGCTGCCTTCAAACGCAAGTAACCCAAACCTGCTCCCAAACCCATGGCAAGACTGACCCGGAGCCTAACCCAGCCCTGCCCCGAGCCTGACCCTGATGCTCGAGACTAGACCCCAGACTGGACCCGGTCCCAAAGTGGGACAACAAAGACCACAGCGGGGACCACCCAGGTCCCCCAGAGAGAAAACCCGCGTCGGACTCCAGGGAGCTCATGGTAACCCCTTGTCCTGGGGCAGCTTCATTTTACTTTGGCAAGGACCGCAGTGTTCGCTTTTCTCATTAAACGAGGGGCTTTCAAGGATGTGTTAAAGTACGTGAGAGACGGGCCTGGTGCCGGCTGGTCCTGTTTTCTTAAGGCGGAAGTTGGGGAACCGCGTCAGCACTCCGGGGTTCGGATTCCTGGAACCTGGGGCAGAGTCTGAAATAAAGCAGCACCGGCCCTGTGTGGCGCGGACCCATGGGAAGCCTTGAAAGGAAAGTCTCTTCAGAAAGAAACAATGGGTTCAGTGACTTGTACACTGAAAAGATAGATGGCCAGTTTTAAAGTTCTCCTGCGTTTAAACACGGGCAGCAGCGGGGTTGACGGTACAGGCACCAAGTTCTGACATAAAAGTCTTTCCTTAAATCATGTAAAAAAACCGAGACGTGCGCACTGCCAACTTACACTCATCGACACAAACTTACAATATTTATAAATAAGTCGCAAGCAAACACTGAGTTACATTTACCACGAAGTCACTGGACAGAGACCAAAATCCCATGAAAGCGGATTGATGTGAAACCACGTTAGATCTGAGACGCAGACGTGAGAAACGCCACTGATAAGAGACACGGAAGATCGGAGCCCAGCCCCGTGAGCCGGTCGGGGACAGCACGGGGGTCAGCGTGCGGCCGGGCCCGGCTCAGGCTCGCTGAGGTCCAGGAACGGGCACCTCCACCTGGACACGGCGCGCTGCCCCGGCAACCCCCAGGGGTCTCCCAAACGCAGACCGGGACGCAGCGACCACAAGCGTGGCTGCGGGACGGGGGCCTTGGGGCCCGGGCGTAGTGCGCCCGCTCGGCACCTGCCCCAAGGCGCCGCCGGGTGAAGCAGGTGTCCCGGAGGGCCGGGCCGCGGCGGCTCAGGGGATGCCCTCCCTTCTCTGGCAGCACTGCGAGGGCGGCGCGGACCAGTCGTACACGTAGGACAGGCGCAGCTGCACCTCGCGCTTGCACAGGCGGCCCTCGCGCGCCAGCGTCGCGTGCTTCTCCAGCATGTCCTCCAGGCTCTGCTTGTGCGTCACCAGGTACTGGTTGCTGCAGCCGCGGGACCGGTATTCGGTGTCGAAGCGCGGGTCGTGCTCCCGCTGGACGTCCACCGGCGCCAGCCAGGCGCCCAGAGACACGTCCTCGCTGTGCCAGGCGCGCAGGTAGTCGCGGCTGAGGCGCAGGTAGTGCACCAGGTCGGCCGAGAGCACGTAGCCGCCGCCCAGCGCGTAGGGCAGGTAGTAGTCGCAGAGTTGCCAGGCGGCCTCGCGCCAGCGCCCCCCCGGCTTGACGCGGCCGCGGCCCGAGAAGAAGCCCCAGTAGAGGCGGCGGCGGCGCGCGGGCTCGCGGGCGCGCAGCTCGGCCAGCAGCGCGTCCAGCCGCGCGAAGGAGTCGTCGTCCGCCTTGAGCACGAACTCGAAGGCCACGTGCTCGTCCAGCCAGGCCAGCATGGCCAGCACCTTGGCCGTGAGGTTTTCGTAGGCGTCGCGCAGCGCGGGCAGCAGCAGCAGGTCCCCGTGCCGCGCCTGCTCCCGCTCCAGGGCGCGCCGCTCCTCGGCGCCCAGGCCGGCCGTGCCCACGGCAAAGCGCGCCCACACGTCGCCCGGGGCCCCGCGCCGCGCAAGCCACGTGCTGCGGATCACGCTGCGGCGCTCGGCGGCGCGGGGCGCGCTGGCCACCAGCACTGCCAGGAAGGCGGCGGCGCGCGCGGGCGCGGGGGGAGGCGGGCTGCGGCCCGACATCGCCCTGGGGTCCCCGGGCTCGGCCGCGCAGCGCGCCAGGTAGAGCAGCGCCGCCCCGCACAGCGCCAGCGTGCCCAGGCCTAGCGCCGCCCGCCGCCGCCACGCCCGCCGCAGCAGCTTCATGGCGCCCGCGCCGGGCCGGCGGCCCAGGCCGGACTCGCGAGTGCGCAGGCGCCGCCGGCTCGGGGCGGTGCGCGTGCGCACGGCGCTCCTGGGAGCGCGCCGGGGCCTTCCGCAGACGCCGAGCCCCGGGGCGCTCGGAGGCCGGCGGCCAATCGGCGGCCGTCACGTGGCCTCGGGCACCCTTGTCATTGGTCAACCTCGGAGCGGCCCCGCGACCGCTTCCGCCCGGAGGAGAGATGGTGGCGCCGGCGTCCCCTCCGTGAGGTCGCGCCCGTTCGCACCGCCCCCGCCCGCAAGAAAGATGGCAGTGGCCTGATCCGGGCCCGTTGGCGGCGTCACTGACGCTTCGCTCCGGTCCTCGGATCCCGAGCGCGGGGAGGCAGACCGGTGAGTGAGGGGCCCGGGACGGCCGCTGCAGGCCGCGGGGCCAAGTGTACGCCGGCCGGACGGCGAGGGCGGGTCTGGAGGCCGCCGCCGCCTCCCGCCTTGGGCTGGGGCATCGTCCGTCCGCTCGGCCTTGAGCCCTGGCGAGACTCCGCCGCCACCGGGGCTCCCGGGGTTCCCGGGGGCAGGGACAGGCCGACGACGCTGGCCTCCCCGGCCGCCGGCACGTCTGGTCTCCTACTGGCCAAAACCTACGAATGCCACCGGGAAACGGAGGCCCAAGGGGTCTGGTTGGACTCGCGTTTATCGGCGAGGCGACCTTGGACAAGCTGCCCCGCTTCCCTGCGCCTGCGCTTCCGCTTCTGAACCGCGTGGACCCTCATCCCCAGTTAGTAGGATTTGGAGATGTGAAGTCGGCTGTGTGGAGCCCTTGATGTCTGGCTCAGAGGCGGTGTTATGAACCCTGTTGAGCTTTTAGAATCTAACCGTGTGTGTTGTTAACTGCCAGAAATAGCCTCGTTCCACCAGAGCTGAAGCCCAGGGATGGCAAAGAAATAGCGTCTCTGCCTAAGCTGTTTCCCACGTCCGTTTTGCAAGGGTGTGTTGATTCCTTGCTGGGAACTGAGCTGCTAGGGGATGGCGAAGTCGAAACCCCATTCCGGTGGGACCGGCCCGCTCCGCTGTGCTGCGAACCTGGCACACCGTGATGAATAGATACTCTGAAGCCAGGAGAGGAAGCGCCACTTGATGGACTCCTGATATTTATAGTTACTTTTGGGTTACTTTTTATTCCCCCTTTTTCGAGACAGGGTCTTATCTTTTTGTTTTTGTTTTTTAAAGAGACGCAGTCTCACTGTGTTGCCCAGGCTGGTCTCACGATCCTCCTGCCTCAAGTAAACCGTGTAACTCATCAAGATATGTAGAATCAAGAACTAGCTTTATTTTCTCTAGGAACAAAGTACAGTCTCTTTGCACACAGCGTGTGTTTTACGACTGTAGTTAGTGGAGTCAGCACCAGGAGGAGGTGTCTTGGTTCTTATCCAGGACTCTCCCCTGGTCAGGCGATCTGGGACGACAGGAATAGAATTATGCCACCACTAGGGAAGGGAAAAGCCCTCAGCCATGTTCAGAAAATCAGGCCGGGTGCATGGCTCACGCCTATAGTCCCAGCACTTTGGGAGGCCGAGGCAGGAGGATCACTTCAGGTCAGGAGTTAGAGACCAGCCTGGCCAACATGGCAAAACCCCATCTCTACTAAAAATACAGATTAGTGGAGAGTGGAGGTGGGTGCCTGTAATCCCAGCTAACTGGGAGGCCGAGGCAGGAGAATCACTTGAACCTGGGAGGTGGAGGTTGCAGTGAGCCGAGACTGCACCACTGCACTCCAGCCTGGGCGACAGAGTGAGACTCTGTCTCAGAAAAAAAAAAAAAATCAGACATGAGCCCCTCACCCAGGGTTTCCTTCCTTGGGGGAACTCAGGCTTGTACCCCTCTTGGTTTGTGGCAGACTGCACTGACTTCAGGACCACTTTCATGGCGGCCCCACTGGTGTTTCTCGATACCTGGAGGCAGCATTTTTTCGTTTAATATTACCCAGGGTAGCATTCGTTGAGCGCCTACTGTGTGCAGGCAGAGTGGCAGGTGCCAGAACAGTGAAGCTGAATAAGACGGCCACAGAACAGGAGTCTCAGTCCATGTGTGTTGAGGGAACAGCTGTGACATGGCGGGGCCTCAGCGGCACCCGAAAGGACCCGCAGGTGTTTGCCGGAGGGGCAGACTGTGAAAGGAGTAGGCTCGTGGGTGAGAAGGACCCCGAGTTCCCTTTGGGATACATGAGGCATGAGGCCCTGTGAGCCCCTGCTTCCCACCAGGACTGGCCACGCCTCGGACGGCAGGACAGACTTCTGGGCTCCTCGGCCTTGGCGTTCGCTCGCGAGTGTGGGCAAGGGCACATGTGTGTAATACGTGCATGCGTGAGTGTGGATGTGTGTGTGCACATCTGTGTGTGGGGGTTGTGTGTTTGTTTGCTGGGACCAGGCCCTGACGCCCTCTGCACTTAGGGTTGGCTGTCTTCGCAAAGCCTGGTCAGTCGGGGGGAGAGGGGGAGCCTCCTGTTTCTTAGTGAGAAGCTGAGGCCGGGGAGGCCACATGACTTAGCTAAGGTCATAGATCTCAAGAATGTTCAAGTCAGGGTCTGGAGAGTGACCCTAACCCCATGGGTCAGTGGCATGATGCCAGGAGGGACAGAGCCGGGCCCCACAGGAAAGCTGTGCTGCAGGTGTTGGGCGATGGGGACAGGTTAGCCCCTGGAGGTGCTGACAGCTCGAGAGAGAGATGGAAAGACGGAGAGACAGGGCTGAAAACTCAGTGTCTGTAAAAAAAAGACCGGGCACAGTGGCTCACGCCTGTAATCCCAGCACGTTGGGAGACTGAGGCAAGAGGATCGCTTGAAGCCAGGAGTTTGAGACCAGCCTGAGCAATACAGCGAGACCCGTCTCTACAAAGAGTAAAATAAAAATAAATTACTGGGCGTGGGGGTGCACGCCTGTGGTCGCAGCTGCTCCGGTGGCTGAGGCGAGAGCATCACCTGAGCCCAGAGCATCACCTGAGCCCAGGAGTTCGTGGTCACGGTGAGCTGTGGTCACCGCTGTACTCCAGCCTGGGTGACAGAGCAAGACCCTGTTTCTAAAAATAAAGAAAAAAACACCACGTGTGGTCCGGAGAAAACAAATGCCACGTGTGGTCCAGAGAAAACAAATGCCACGTGTGGCCCGGAGAAAACAATGCCACGTGTGGTCTGGAGAAGGCAGTGCCACGTGTGGTCTGGAGAAGGCGATGCCACATGTCTGGATCCTGTGAATCGAGGATATGTTTCATGTTGCAGGATAGACGTGCTTGGGGAAGTCTTTGCTGAGTCTTGCTAATGATGTGTCTGTGTCTCTCTGCAGACTGTGAGCTGCTTGTCCCCATCCTGCGGCCGTCCTGGGGACACAGAGCCCTCCGTGGTGCCCGGGGATTGGATTGGAGCCAGGACCTCACTTCCTCCTCTGCCCCTGCCCCTGCCCCTCCCAGCACCTGGCCCACACCCTGCAGCCCGCCCCATGGTCTGGCCCTGGGTGGCGATGGCGTCCAGGTGGGGTCCCCTCATTGGCCTGGCTCCGTGCTGCCTCTGGCTCCTGGGGGCAGTCCTTCTGATGGACGCGTCTGCACGGCCTGCCAACCACTCGTCCACTCGAGAGAGAGTAGCCAACAGGGAGGAGAATGAGATCCTGCCCCCAGACCACCTGAACGGGGTGAAGCTGGAGATGGACGGGCACCTCAATCGCGGCTTCCACCAGGAGGTCTTCCTAGGCAAGGACCTGGGTGGCTTTGATGAGGACGCGGAGCCGCGGCGGAGCCGGAGGAAGCTGATGGTCATCTTTTCCAAGTAGGTGCCGCCATGTGCCCAGACTGGGGGGCTGTCCGCGTGCGCTCGCCTGTGTGTTCCTATCCTGGCTTTGCGCGGTGGGGGGCGCCGGGCCCTGTGTCGGGACCTGCCGGGCTGGGAAGACGTGCCGGTGATGAGCGCCACTTCCAGCCTGCTGTGTTTGCGCGGAGGCCTGCGCTGGCAGCCCAGAGCCGCTCCTTGAATGCCCTGGGTCCGCCGGGGGCTCAGAGGGCCAGAGTGGGCCTGTGTGGCCGTCCCTAGGACAGCCTGGAGGAGCCCACGCGGCACTGCAGTGGTCAGCGTCCTCCATGCTGAGGGGCAGACGCCGGCCACGGGCAGCCTCCGCAGGCTGCAGCCCCAGTTGGACGAGGCCTGGCTGAGGAGTGAGGGGCTGCCACAGGTGGCTGGAGAGCTGGTACAGGGTGCTCTGGGCTCCTCCTGACACGCCCTCTACCCTGTGTGTTTGGGGTCCCTGTCACACACGGGCCGCGTATCACACGCAGGCTGGGGGTGTGTGGGGTTGGCTTGTTTTGCTGGCCTGGTCGGGAGCAGAGCTGTGCTGTCAGTGGCCCATCCTTGGCCGTCACTGCCCCCACCCTGCTGAGTCCCGAGACCCTCTTGCTGCCTCTGTGCCTAGTGCCGAGCTTTCTCCCCCGACCCCATCCCTGAGTCTCGAGAGCCTGTTGTGAGGGGTCCAAGATGGGTCAACCTGACCACTCACCCACAAGGAGCCAGGTCCTGCACGGGCGCCTTACTCCTTACGGCACGGCCGGGGTGCCCTGCGGTGTGGCCCTGGAACCTACTTGCACTCAGCGCTGGCCTCACCCCTGGAGGCAGAGCAGGGTCAGGGCGTGCCCGTGAGTCCCCCAGGCCAGCCAGGGTGCCGGGCAGGGAGCCGAGGTGCAGGTGAGAGAACACCCTGGGCCTCCTGGGACCTGCGAGACCTGGGCACAAGGAGGCAGCCCCCGCCGCAGGGCCTGGCCACGAGCTCACCTTCCCGCAGGGCCTGGCCACGAGCTCGCCTTCCCGCAGGGCCTGGCCACGAGCTCGCCTTCCCGCCGGGCCTGGCCACGAGCTCGCCTTCCCGCCGGGCCTGGCCACGAGCTCGCCTTCCCGCCGGGCCTGGCCACGAGCTCGCCTTCCCGCAGGGCCTGGCCACGAGCTCGCCTTCCCGCCGGGCCTGGTGCTCCAGGACCAGTGCAGAGGGGCAGGTGGCAAAGCTGGTGAGCAAGGGGATTGGGCAGGGCTGGGGTCCTGGGGTGCAGGAGCAGGTAGGAAAGGTGTGAGGACTGGTCTGGCTGTGCCACGGCCCTTGGGCTGAGGGCCAGGCGGGAGGGCCCTGAGGATCCAGGCTTTCGGGCGGAGCACAGGTGAGCTGGTGGGACGGAGGCACGGTGCCAGCTGGAGGACCTGGGCACCAGGTGTGGTGTCCCCTTGCACCTCTCCTCAGATGGTACGGTTCGGGGGTCCTTGCGTGGCCTGAGTTCACTTGGTGGTGAGCTGACCAACCCACGAAGAGGCTGCTGGTGCCCCTGGGGCCTGTCAGGTTCACCACCCCTGAGCTCACGAAGGCCTGGCTCGCGGCATCACAGGGGAAGGGTCCCCGTCCCTGCTCAGCCGGTGCTGGGGGTGGGCTGCACGCCTGGGCGAGGGGAGTTGAGGCTTCTGCTCGGTGCGTCTCCAGCTGGACCGGGGTTTCTTTTTGGTGCCTGTAACGAAACCCCAAGCTGTCTCGTTTGAGGAGGTGGGCATGGGGAGTGGGAAGTAACAGCAGGTCTCCGGGTCTCCCTGACTCCTGCGCCGAGCGGCGACAGCGGCCGCTGTGGGTGTTTAGACTTCCCTTCCCACACGCGGGTCCCTTCTCGCCCTTCTCCTGCGTAGGGCCCCGTCCCTCCAGGACCCACGTTCACTCAGCTGTCCTGTCTCCTCTGTCTCCTCTGGGCTGGAACGGTGTCTCAGACTCTCCCGTTTTTGTGAGGACGTAACAGTTCTGAGAAGGGCTGGGTAGGAGGTTTTAGGCTGTCCCTCAGTTTGGGCTTGTGGGATGTGTTTTCTCCTGACCGTACAGGGTTGAGGGTTTCTGGAAAGAGCCCCCAGAGGGGAGGTGCCATGTTTCCTCCTGACCGTACAGGGTTGAGGGTTTCTGGAAAGAGCATCCAGAGGGGAGGTGCCCTGTCCTAGGGGCTTTTGAGCTTCACTTCCTTCCCGCTTCCCTGCACCACGAGATGCTCCAGGCTTTCCTTCCCGCTTCCTGGCACGGTGAGATGCTCTGGGCTCGCCTCCGTGCCACCTGCCCCAGTGCAATAGCTGCCGCCTTTCCAGGAAGCCCTGTCTCCCGTGGCTGGAGCTGGAAGCCAGGGTCTGGGCACTGGGCGTCTTGCCCTTGTTCTCTCAGGAGCCAGAACTTGATAACATGCGTGTGTGCACCAGCCCAGTCACATCTGTGTTCTGCCAGCCCTGTTCACGTGTGTGTGCTGTGTACACGTGGGTACCGGCCTGTGCACTTGCGTGTGTGCGTGCCAGCTCCATGTACGTGCACCGCCCTGCAGCCGTGTCTTCAGGCACCTGAGTTTGGATGAGTGACTCCTTGCCGACATCTTGACTGGAATCCTGCGCCATGTGGTTTCTTTCCACCTTTTTGCTTTTTGCTCTGCCTCGTGTGTGTCTGTGTCTGTGGAGTGTGTAGAGCGTGTGGAGTGTGTGGCCCGTGTCTGTGGCATGTGGAGTGTGTGGCCCGTGTCTGTGGCGTGTGGAGCGTGTGGCCTGTGTCTGTGGCGCGTGTGGAGCGTGACCGGAGCATTCGAGGATGCACGTGTCCACGTGAGACCCACCAGGTGCCCCACCTGCCACATGGCCACCCGGGTGGCCCCGTCCCCAGCCGGTGTGTTTTGGGGACTGTGGAGCTGAGGGTGCCTCCCAGGCCCGTCCACCTCTGGGCTGCTGCGGCTGCTGAGGGAGGGGCGCGTGTGAGCGGCAGCCTGGCCTTCTTCCATGAGGATCTCTGCCCAGTGCTTCTGAGCCGTGCCTGCGGTGTGTGCACCCTCGAAGCTTGCCTGGCCCAGGTCCCAGAGGCCACACCTGCCTGACGAGGGCCTGCTTGCCACCTCATAACGTGGCCGCGGCTGCCCCTGAGCGGAGCATAGAGGCAAGGGGCCAGGGCACCCTACTCTCGGGGATGCCTCCGGCAAACGCACCAGCCGGGGTCTCAAGACCTCGCACCTCTGGAAGCCCTGCCTCCCAGTGCTGTTGCCCTGGGGGTTAAGTTTCCAACAGGTGAGCTCAGGACACGGGCGGCTGCAGCAGGGGTAGGAGCCTGTGGCTTCCACAAAGACATAATGGTGAAGCCGAGCTCTGAAGCTGGGACGGGAGTGACCTGTCCTGGGGCCTGTGGCCTCCTGACCTGGCCTGCGCTGGCCCCGTGTCCCCAGTCTGTGTCCCTATCCCCCAAGTCTGTGGTCTCTTCCATCCTTGCACACAATGTTAAGTCCCCACACGGTCTTCTTCCTAAATCTCACAACTTAAATTTATATGAAGGATTTTGTTTTGTCTTGTTTTGAGTCAGGGTCTCGGTATGCCGCCCAGGCTGGAGTGCAGTGGTGTGATCACAGTTCACTGCAACCTTCGCATTCCAGGTTCGGGAGGCCTCCCACCTCAGCCTCTTGAGTAGCTGAAACCACAGGTGCACGCCACCGCGCCTGGCGAATTTTCGTAATTGTTTTTGTAGAGGTGGGGTCTCCCTATGTTGCCCAAGCTGGTCTTGAACTTCTGGGCTTAAGTGATCCACCTGTCTTAGCCTCCCAAAGGGCTGGGATTATAGGTGTGGCCACTGCGTCCTGCCTATATGAAGGTTTTTGTGTAGCCATACCTGAAGCATCGAAAATAAAACATGGGCCGGGCCCAGTGGCCACACCTGTAATCCTAGCACGTTGGGAGGCTGAGGTGGGTGGATCATTTGAGGTCAGGAGTTTGAGACTAGCCTGCCCAACATGGTGAAACCGTATTTCTGTTAAAAATACAAAAATTAGCCAGGCGTGGTGGTGCACCCCTGTAATCCCAGCTACTCGGGAGGCTGAGGCAGTAGAATCGCTTGAACCCGGGAGGCGGAGGTTGCAGTGAGCAAAGATTGCGCCACCACACTCCAGCCTGGGTGACAGAGTGAGACTCCATCTCAAAAAATAAAATAAAACGTGAAGAGTGTGACTTTTGGAAGCTGTGGTTGGAGAGTGGGGTCTGGTGGTGATTCTGTGTGACAGAGGGGGAGGGTCCATGTGTTTCCCCGGGGAGGGGACCGTGGCATCCACCTTCCCCAGTGTCTCTGGCGTGGCCCGGCACCCCACAAGCCCCACGTCCCGGACGCTTTTCGCGTTGCCTGGTGGAGCCTGTCGCTGTTGGTGGCAGGTTCACGCAGCCATGGAGTCCTGGGCCGGCGGCATCCGTCTGGCTGTTCGGGGTCCTGGGGGCCCAGTCTGACGGCCACCTGCCCATTTGCTGTCTTGCAGGGTGGATGTGAACACTGACCGGAAGATCAGTGCCAAGGAGATGCAGCGCTGGATCATGGAGAAGACGGCCGAGCACTTCCAGGAGGCCATGGAGGAGAGCAAGACACACTTCCGCGCCGTGGACCCTGACGGGGACGGTACTGTGGCTGGGCCGGGGTGGGTGGGGCGGTGGGCGGGGCGGGCAGGGCCATGGGCCTTGCCTGGTGCCTGGAGGGCAGACAGGCCCTGTCTGAGGGACGGGCGGTGGGGAAGTGTCAGCCGGAGACCCCGAGGTGTGGTGGGGTGCACGGAAGCTGGGTTCATGATGCCAGAATCCTGGTGACAGAGGTGTGTGTGCCAAGCACTGGGCGTGGCCCATGGAGGGCGCCTCTTATGTCTTCGGGGCCTTCATCTGGTGGTGTCTATGCCTCTTGGTGGCCCCGAGGCACAGACGTTGCCGGCTGGCCTCACAGGTGAGGAAACGGGTGTGGGGTGCTGGCCGGGGCCCTGGGGCTCCAGACGCTGGCATCCTGCCGCTTCCAGCCTGGGCAGCAGAGCAAGACCCCATCTCAGTTGAGAAGGAAGTTCAGCTCAGTATCAGAGGCCCTGACAGGTGTGATCTGCTCTTCCAGGTCACGTGTCTTGGGACGAGTATAAGGTGAAGTTTTTGGCGAGTAAAGGCCATAGCGAGAAGGAGGTTGCCGACGCCATCAGGCTCAACGAGGAACTCAAAGTGGATGAGGAAAGTGAGTGCTCAGCCAGGCTCCCGCCACCGGTCTCAGGCATCCTGTGTGTGCGCGCGTGTGTTGTGTGTACATGAGTGTGCCGTGTGTGTCGTGTATGAGTGTGCCGTGCGTGTGCTCGTGAGTACGTGTGTGCGTGCCGTGTGTACGAGTGTGCTGTGCGCGTGCTCGTGAGTACGTGTGTGCATGTTGTGTGTACGTGTGCTGTGTGTGTGCTCGTGAGTACATGTGTATGCGTGTCGTGTGTACGAGTGCACTGTGCATGTGCTTGTACGTGTGTGCGTGTCGTGTGTACGAGTGCGCTGTGCGTGTGCTTGTGAGTACA
The DNA here is from genome assembly GCF_000001405.40 of Homo sapiens. Taxonomy (NCBI): domain Eukaryota; kingdom Metazoa; phylum Chordata; class Mammalia; order Primates; family Hominidae; genus Homo; species Homo sapiens. The sequence goes on along the minus strand of NC_000001.11, from coordinate 1,222,921 downwards.
TCCAGGTAGCTGTTCATGTAGGCTCGTGAGTACATGCAGGTGAGTGCGCCCTCACACCCGCTGTGTGCACACGTGTTCGTCTTAACAGCATGGCCCAACCTGGTTGGTGGTGGCTGTCAGGAGGGAAGTGGGTGAAGCCGTTGCTGACCTAGGCGCCGCCCAGGAGTCCGGTGGGGAGCGTGTGAGCTGTGCCTGGGCAGCTTTCAGCTCTGCTGGTCACGGCACCTTCACGGCCGTTACTCAGTTAGGTCCTGCAGAGAATCTGAGGCTGTGAGTCTGGGTTGGGGCCTGCCCCGTACTCTGAAGGCCACGTGAGGCAGAGTTTCCTGGGGAGAGGGCACAGCCTGTGCCTGAGGGCCTGGCCCTGAGGCCTGGGTCTGCTGGAGACATCTGTGTGGCCGTCAGGTGGTCACCAGAGAGCGGTCAGGTCCCAGGGAGAGGCTCTTCCTTGGGTCTGGGGTGTGGCCGTTGGCCAGCAGGGCAGCCTCAGCCCTGGGCGGGTCCAAGCTGGTGCCTCTGCGTGAAGAGGGTGGGGCCGGGTGGGGCCCGGCACCCGGGCTAAGGCCAGGTGAGGGGAGAGCCGGGCCACCCTGCACGGGGCCAGGTCTGGGAGAGCCGTCCAGGCAGAAGCCCCTGCTGGCCCAGTTGTGAGGCACAGCTGAGCGGGTACCGTGGCGTTGCTGCCACCCTGGGGCTCCGTGTGCCCTTCCCGGTCATGCCCGTGGTCTGGTTTGGGGCTTTGAGGAGAACGTGCAGAGTCGCCTGCTCCGTCGCTGCCCGGCATCCTGGGGTGGGTTCTCTGCTGCCCTGCAGGGCGCCCGTGTCGCCCACGGGACTGGTCACGTGATACGGGGCTGCTCCTGGCAGGCTGGGTGTATCTTACACCTTTATTTTTTGTGCCTGCTTAACTTATCAGTAACACACATTTCCTCACCAGAGTCTCAAGGCAAACCACCTCTTCTTTCTTTTTTCATGAGACGGTCTCACTCTGCTACCCAGCCTGCAGTGCAGTGGTGCAGTCTCGGCTCCCTGCAGCTGTACCTTCCAGGGCTCAGGCGATCCTCCTACCTCAGAAGCTGGGACCACAGGCACCATCACCGCGCCTGGCTAATTTTTGTATTTTTTGTACGGATAGATTCTGCCGTGTTGGCCGGGTTGGTCTCAAACTCTTGGACTTAAGTCATCCGCCTACTGCAGTCTCCCAAAGTGCTGGGATTATAGGCGTGAGCCACTGCGCCTAGTCTTAGCCTCTTTCTTTTTTTAATTTTTAATTTTTAATTGTTTAAGAGTGAGGGCCTCACTGTTGCCCAGGCTGGAGTGCAGTGGTGCGATCTCAGCTCACCTGTAGCCTCCACATCCTGGGCTCAATCTATCCTCCTTGGAGGACAGAAAAATAAAGGTGTAAGATACGTTCCTGCCAGGAACGGCCCATATCATGTGACCAGCCCCCATGGGGGCGGCCTCCTGAGTGACTGGGACCACCAGTGTGTGCCACCATGCCCAGCTGATTCAAAAACATATATTTTGTAGACACAAGGTCTCCCCATGTTGCCTAGGTAGGTCTCAAACTCTTGGATTTCAGAGGGTTCAAGTGACCCGCTCGGCCTCCCCCCGTCCTGGGGTTGCAGGCGCGAGTGACCCGCCTGCCTTGGCCTCTCCCCATCCTGGGGTTGCAGGCATGAGCCCCTGTGCCTGGCCTTGACCTTCTAGAATGACGCGGAGACTTTTGAGCCTGTTGGCTCTGCCTGCTCTTTTCCCAGTTCACGTACTCTTATCTGGAGTTTGGTCCTGTCCGTTCTAAATCCTGCAAATTGGACATTAAAAAAACTAAAAGTAAGAGGATCTCCCTGTGTTGCCCAGGCTGGTCTCAAAGTCCTGGGCTAAAGGGATCTGCCTGCCGCAGCCTCCCAGCATGCCGGGATTACAGGCACAAGCCCCAGTGCCCGGCCAAATTGGACGTTATTACTTCCTTTCCAAAAGAGTGGTTTACATTTTCCTCCCCACACACGGTTCGTGCCTCCACCCCGGTCCCGCGTTCCCTGCTGTCCTGACTGCGTCTTTAAGCTTCATCCCGTTGGTCCGGCCTGTTGGCGATGTGCTTGGGGCAGGAGGCCTTGCCCGTGCCCGCCCCCCAACTCTGATTGTGTCTGTCTTTCCTTGGTGCCACTTTATTTGGGTCTTTTCTGCCCAGGACATGGCCCACCTGGACCTAGAGCTCTGTGACATTTCTGTGAAGCCTCCGTCTACCTTTGGGACTCAGCAGAGGTGTGTTTAGAATTCACTCTGCGTTTTGGGGGTCCCCATGCATGCTGAGGTGCTGTTCCCTGCCCACCCGTGTCCGATCCGTCTTGGCCTCCCCGACCTCAGGGTGCCTAGGACCCCCCGACCTCTTTGGGTATTTGGTTTCTGGCTCAGGAAGAGCAGCTGCCGGGTCCTGGAGGAGGGGCCTGGGAAGCGCTGGCAGGCGTCACTCCTGCGACCTCCCACCCCTCCCTGCATGGCTCCTGCGAGGGTCACCGCGTGAGTCCGGGGGCTGCTGTCCTCGCGCCTCAGACCTGATTCTGGGGACCGCGGTGAAGGCGTGGCAGGCGGGCATCACTCCCTTCCCCCGCCTCCATCGCTGCCTCTCTCTGGGTCTGCGTCCTCTTCTCACAGGGACAGCAGTCGTTGACTCTCCCTGATCCAGGAGGGTCTCTCCAGATCCTTCCCTAACAGCAGAGGCCCGGCTCGTGGGGAGGGACTGGGACTCAAGGCTTCTTCACCAGCCTGAGGTTGGTGCTGGGGCTCGGCGGCGGCTGTGAGAATCCTGTGCTGGAGAAAGCGTCTCTCGGCCGGCCTGTCTGGGGCGTCTGTGCCTCTCCTGGATGGGTCTCAGTTTGGCCCCGTCCATCCATCCCAGGAGCTGCGGTGGAGCAGACAGGGAGGGGTGCCCCAGGAACCACAGCCCCGTCACTCCTGTCTTCCTTTAAGTGAACCGGTCGTGTAGATGGAGGTTGTTCAGAAAGGGATAAGATGGGACGGCAGCTGGGCCTCATCCCGCAGTGAGCGCGACGCAGAGGCTGCCGGGCTTGTGGCAGGGGCTTCGGCCAGGGCAGAGTCGGGCCTCACGTGCAGGGGGCTGAGTGTGGGCCTCAACACTGGACTTGGCCACTGACTGCAGTGAGCCCCAAGATGGGGCAGGAGGTGGTGTTTCTGTCCTGGAGACCCAGGGTGGCTTGGGTCCTTGGGATGTGTGGGGACCTCGGGGTGAGGGCCCGTTGGGGCCGGGTGGGCACGGCAGGAGAGCGGGGGCCACACACCCAGAGGCAGTGCCGTGTCCCGGCTGGGAGGGTTCCTGGGAAGCTCTGCTCAGCCCCAGTCTCAGTCATTTCTAGAAACTGTGTTTTCCTCCCTGTGACGTCACACGTGAAGGAAACGGAAAAGGGCAGTGAGTCCTTCGCCCCGCGGCGCCGTGCGCACGTCAGCCTTCAGGGTGATTCCGCTCCTCCAGAGGGGCAGGCGCGGGTGTGGGGGGTGGGGCCCAGGCCCATCCTGAGGGGTCCCAGGCATGAGGGGCTCTGAGCTGTGTCCTGGGGTGGTCTGGGCCATGGGGAGGTTCTGGATCATGTCTTGAGAGGTCTGGGCTGTGTGGGGGGTCCAGGCCATGTCCTGGGGGTCTGGGCTGTGTCTGTGGGGAGTCAGGGCCATCCATGTATTGGGGGTCTGGGGCAGGGGGGGGTCCAGGCTGTCTTGGGGAGTCCGGGCTGTGTGGAGGGGTCCAAGCTATGCCTTTGGGGATCAGGCCTGTGGGAGGCTCTGGGTTATGTCTTGGCGGGGGTCCAGGCTGTGTCTTAGGGGCTGGGCCATGTTCTGGGGACGTGTGAATCCTGGAGGGTGGGGCCCCGGTCTCGCGGGTGGCTGTGTCCCTCGAGTTCAGGCAGCACCTCTCGGAACTTTCTGGATTTGCGTGCTGGCGTCTGTCGGCCTCGATACCCACAGGCTGCGCCCCTCTCAGCACAGGAAGTCCTGGAGAACCTGAAGGACCGCTGGTACCAGGCGGACAGCCCCCCTGCAGACCTGCTGCTGACGGAGGAGGAGTTCCTGTCGTTCCTCCACCCCGAGCACAGCCGGGGAATGCTCAGGTTCATGGTGAAGGAGATCGTCCGGGACCTGGGTGAGGCTGGGTCCAGCCTGGCCGGCACGCCAGGACCCAGGACCGACTGGCAGGGGCCGGGCATCGTCGGGAGGTCGGGGCAGGTCCTGCGGGAGCCCCAGCCTGGGTGTGGGCTGACCCATTCCCGTCTCGCAGACCAGGACGGTGACAAGCAGCTCTCTGTGCCCGAGTTCATCTCCCTGCCCGTGGGCACCGTGGAGAACCAGCAGGGCCAGGACATTGACGACAACTGGGTGAAAGACAGAAAAAAGGAGTTTGAGGAGCTCATTGACTCCAACCACGACGGCATCGTGACCGCCGAGGAGCTGGAGGTGAGCCCTGGCGCAGCCGTGTCCCGGAGCCGGCCCTGCGAGGTGCTGTGGCGGGAGGGGCTGGTGGATCTGGGCCTGAGGCAGGAAGCTGTGCTGGTGTCTGGCCTGAGACTCCATCTGGGCTGGTCACTGGGGCGTTTGCTCAGCGGTGTCCACCAGGCTGCATGGCCGTTGTTGGCGTTTAGGTTCAGACGGATCAGAGACAGGCGAGCCTGGCCGGGCTCCATCCTCAGCCCCTTGCGGAGGCGTCAGGGTTCTCACAGCCCCTTTTTAACGGGACCACAAGGGGAAGCTCATGCTGGGCCCAGCATGGAGGCAGGTCCAAGGCCCAGCAGGTGCAGGTGGGCGGGGCGGCCTGTGCCACATGGCTGGAATTTACCACCTTCCTCTGAAGCGTTTTCACTGGTATCATGTGTAGGCTTGTTTTTCTCCCACTGCTGAGTGAGTCATCTTGTTTTTATGTAGAATCCTGTGATTCCTGGCGACAGCCAGTGGGCCCGGCCCAGGTTAGGGATCCTTCAGAACTGGGGTCCAGGCCTGTGTAGCCCCTGTGCCCCGTTACCCCTGCTGGCCCCGGGCAGGCCTTCCGGGGCCCCCGGCTTCTCCCTGCCCTGTGTTTTCATTTGTGCCGCCTCCCTTCGGGAACCTTCCAGAACGTGCCCACACTCCCGCTGCAGCCAATAGGCACCTTAAATAGCCACTTCGTGCGGCTGGCCGCGGAGCTCGGAGGGGGAAAGGCGACGCTGACCTGTGCCCCGCTCGCCCGCAGAGCTACATGGACCCCATGAACGAGTACAACGCGCTGAACGAGGCCAAGCAGATGATCGCCGTCGCCGACGAGAACCAGAACCACCACCTGGAGCCCGAGGAGGTGCTCAAGTACAGCGAGTTCTTCACGGGCAGCAAGCTGGTGGACTACGCGCGCAGCGTGCACGAGGAGTTTTGAGCGCCCGGCCGCGCCCCGCGCCGCCCCCCACGCACCACCGGGGCGGCCTCGCGGGTGACTCCGGGCTCCGTGGCTGTCCCGGACCCCACCTCTTCCCTGCCGCCCGCCACCGGCCGACCGACCGCGGCTGCCCCAGTTGATGAGCGGCGTGTCCCCTCTGCAGCGCGCACCCCGGCGGGGCTTTGGCTGTGACGCGGTCGGGGCGCGGGGCTGGGCTGTGGCCCCGCGGCGCCGCCTCCTCCCTGGTCCCTCGAAATCGTGGCATCTCACTTCTGAGAACGAAATCTCGCTTCAGTCACTCTGCCGAAGGCGCTGACGGCATCGCGGCCGGAACCTCTGGGCCCGGCCCCTCCCAGGGCCGCCGCTCCGTGGGAAAAAACAGCTCCTCCATTTCCTTGAAAACTGAACGATTATTAAAAATAGATTAAACTTCGCTGGAAATGAGTAGCCAGGAAGTTCAGGGGAGGGTGCCGGGTCCTTCCCGGGCCTGGCGTGTCGGAGCCACCCAGGTCCCGCAGCTGCCGCTGAGAAAATGCAAATATTTGTTGTGACAAGAATCACATACATTTACTTTAAATATAGTTGCCTTTTTTGGTCAGCTTCATTCTTTGGGCGTGAAACAAAACACAACAGCAGCGTGCTAGGTTTGTGGTTACAGTTTCCACTGGAGCGCTGGAGGCTGGTGCTGGGTCACGTGGAGGGTTGGAGGTCATGGCCGGTTCGAGGTGATTCTCCTGGCAGGTGGCAACGGGCAGGGGCTCTGGGAGGACGGAGGGCAGCGCTGCGTTTGTGAGTAGGGGTCAGGGGGCAGCAGACGTGCCCACTGAGTTTGGGGTTTGGACATTTAAGGCAGGAGACAGAGCCGCCTGGGGGTTTTGGGTGGAGGATGGCAAGGTCTTTGGGTGCAGTGGGGCAGGCCTAGCCCCAGATGGGGCAGAGAATGGGGTGTGTTAGGACGGCTGGTGGGGGTCCTGCTCTGTGGCGTGTGGGGGCCCAGGCTGTGTCCTGGCTCTCCCAGTGGGAGCTCAGGGAAGCCGGGAGTGTGTCCTCTTCAGTCTGCCCTGTGGTGCCCATGTGACCGGCCTCTGCCCTGAGCCCACCTGCCCAGGGGCCCCTGTGGGGCCGAGAGGGCGGGTTGGCACCTGGGCTGGTTCCCAGGCAAACGAGATTCACAGAGCCACGGCCAGCGCAGGTGGTGGGAGGATGGTCCCACGCCCTGCTCTAAGGGGCTGTAATTCCCTGGAGCCAACCTTCGGTGGCCTGGACTCTGTCTTTCCCCATCCGTGGCCCCAGGCCACAGCCAGGGACCATCATAGCTGCAGCAGCATTCGACGCCCTGTGCTGAGGGCCGTGCACCCAGAGGTGGGAGGTGTGAGCTGAGGCCATGCTGTGCTGGACATGAAGGCGGGGGGACAGCTGGGTATGTGGTGGCACCTGGCCCTTCAGAGGCCCCAGCCAGCTCCAGTCTGGTACTGGAGGAGCAGTGGCCACTCATGGGCTGCCCTGTGCCGCCCGCGACACTACTGTGTGGAGCGGGGAGCCCAGCTCCTGGGGATGTGGTTCGAGCTGCAGGCTGCCTTACAGACCTTGGGGGTCCTGAGCTCTGGGTCAGTGTCCAGCCTCCTGTGGCCACGCCACACCCGGTTCCATGGACACAGCAGGGCTTTCTTGGACCTGTGACCTTAAGCCCAGGACAAGGAGACCTGAGCTTCCTGGGCAGCTTCAAGCAGGAGGGGCCGTGCCCCATCCTGGGGCCATTGCAGTTGCCAGCAATATGCTGGGGGTGCCCTCTCCATGGTGCACGGGCCCCACTCACTGCACCTGTGGGCAGATGTGGCCACTTAGGCCCCAGGAGAGCAGTGTTGCCCACCAAGACCCCCAGTTCACCTGAACCTCCAAGGAACCAATTGCAAATGTAAGCTTTTTCTCACTGTCAGTGGGAAACCCTTGTGAACGCTGGGTGGAACCTTCCACAAAATGCCAGAACTTTCCTCCTCTGCCCACCTGGGTTGGGGTGTGCACATGCAGGTACACACACTGTCTGGGATGCTCTGAGCCCTTCCAGGGTCCTCTCTACTTGTGGGGACGTGGGGAGGGTGACCAACTTAGGGACCCTCAGTCCGAGGGCGGGTGGCCTCTCCCTCCACTCCCTCCCTCTCCAGGGCCAGCGGGCTCCACGGCTGGGAATTTCCCCACGGGTGGGCCGAGGACAGGCAGCTGTTTCCTGTGCTCCTGGGAGGAGGGGATTTCCAGCCCCTTCCCTGCTGCTCTGTTCCTAGAGGCCCCTCTCCACTTGCAACTTCAAAAATGAACTTTTGGATAATCACAGGCTGGTCACAGTTATTTGAAAGGTGCAGAAAGGGCCCAGGGAGCCCCCAGCCCCGCACCTGCTCCCCAGCTCTCCGGGCAGTTCGCATCCTCTGGGCAAACCTGGAACCTGAGAACTGTTTGCATAGAAGGTGGAAACCTGCCTGCGTGCCCGTGTGCGCCAGGCCATCCAGGACCCACCCTCACCACCTCCTCAGAGGCCTGTCTCCAAACACTGCCACATGGGGGTTAGGGCTTCCACGCAGGAATTTAAGGGGCACAGTTCAGCCATAGACACCTGCCGTGCTCAGGCACACTCAGCGTGGGCTGTGGTCACGGGTGTCTTTTTTTTTTTTTTTGAGATGAGTCTCGCCCTGTCGCCCAGGCTGGAGTGCAGTGGCGCCACCTCTGCTTTGCAACTTCTGTCTCCTGGGTTCGAGTGATTCTGCTACCTCAGCCTCCTGACTAGCTGGGATTACCGGCGCCCGCCACCACGCCCGAATAATTTTTGTAGTTTTAGTAGAGACGGGATTTCGCCATGTTAGCCAGACTGGTCTTGAACTCCTGACCTCAGGTGATCCACCCGCCTTGGCCTCCCAAAGTGCTGGGATTACAGGCGGGAGCCACCGTGCCTGGCCATGGGTGTCTGTCTTACCATGGCTGTGGTCACTGCTGCTCAGAGCTAGTCTTGGGCATACAAGGGGGACCATGCTTCAGCAGTGCCACAGCCCTGAAGGTCCAGACTGAGGAGTTGCCTCTCCTGACTCAGTGCTGCCTCAGTTTACCCACGTGCTCCATGGACCTTTTTGCTGAGGGTCGAGCCGCAGGCCAGGCCCTACTGTGCCCTGGGGTCTGAACACGGTGGTCTTGGGCAGAAGAGGTCAGAAGGCAGAATAAGCCAATGCTGGGGGTGCCCAGACCCCGCCTTTGTGCCCAGCCCACAGCCAGGGTCCCCGGCCTGCCACCTTCCTCCTCCCGCCTCCTCTGCCCTCCTCCCCTCTCCCCTCCCCTCCTCCACAGTCCTTATAGCCACACCCCGCAAGGAAAACCCAGACTCTGGCGACAGCAGAGACGAGGATGTGCGTGGGGGCTCGGCGGCTGGGCCGCGGGCCGTGTGCGGCTCTGCTCCTCCTGGGCCTGGGGCTGAGCACCGTGACGGGGCTCCACTGTGTCGGGGACACCTACCCCAGCAACGACCGGTGCTGCCACGAGTGCAGGCCAGGTGAGGCCTCAGGAGGGGTCGCCACGCACGGGCACTCCAGGGACTGGGGGCTGGGGCAGGGATGGGCCAGCCAGGAGGCTGGTCCTGGGGAGGGGGCGGGTGAGGGGCCGGCCAAGCCTGGCAGAGGAGCCGCCTGGGGGGGTCCACGGGCGCAAGCCTGGGGCCTGACCGCTGCCTGACGCCGGCCTCTGCTGCAGGCAACGGGATGGTGAGCCGCTGCAGCCGCTCCCAGAACACGGTGTGCCGTCCGTGCGGGCCGGGCTTCTACAACGACGTGGTCAGCTCCAAGCCGTGCAAGCCCTGCACGTGGTGTAACCTCAGTGAGCTCCCACCTGGCCCCACAGCCCCACCCAGCACAGGGGGCGGCAGCCTGGCACCCACATTCCCACGCAGCAGCATGGGGCTCCCACAGCCGCAGAAACGAACCTCAAACCACAGCGGGGTCTGCTCCGCCACAGGGGTCCTTCGAGGAGCTGAGGCGTCTCCCAGGGGCACCCCCTCTCCCTCCGGGGGCCCAGACTCGGCCCAGGCCACGTGGAGTCGGGGAGACCACGCTGGCCATGTGGCCTGGCCTTGCTGGCCTGAGCAGTGAGGCTGGGGGGTTGGGCCATGGAGACCCTGCCGCAGGCGGGGCTGGCGGCTGGAGGCGGTGGAGGGGTAGGGAAGGGTGGCTGGGGCTGCCACGGAACCAGCCCCAGGTTGTGGCCAGGAAGGGAGGGCCCAGGAGCCTCGGGGGCTGCAGGGGCTCCAAGTCTCAGGGGAGGCCGCAGACCCCTGCCCACGGCCCTCTGTGTGGTGGGGAGGCCAACCTGTCCTCCAGTGCCCACGCTTCCTGAGGACCCTGTCCACAGCCCCCACCTGACCACCCCCCCATCCGGCCCCTGCTCAGGAAGTGGGAGTGAGCGGAAGCAGCTGTGCACGGCCACACAGGACACAGTCTGCCGCTGCCGGGCGGGCACCCAGCCCCTGGACAGCTACAAGCCTGGAGTTGGTGAGCTCGGTGGCTGCGGCCGGCGGTTGGGGGTGTGCATAGCGGCTGTCTGTGACGCAGATGGGCCGTGGGCCGCAGGGACCTGGCCCCACCGGTGCCTCCTCTGGCATCCTCAAGACCGAGCTCCCGGGTCAGGGCCCACGGGTGGGATGTGGGCAGGGAGGGCTTCCAGAGGCCAAACCCACCACCCAGCCATGGGGGGCAAGTGCCTGCCCCACAGGCTCTGCCCCATGTCCCCAGCACCCGGGGCCTGTGGGCAGCCCCTGACCACCCTATCTTTGTTGCAGACTGTGCCCCCTGCCCTCCAGGGCACTTCTCCCCAGGCGACAACCAGGCCTGCAAGCCCTGGACCAAGTGAGGGGCCTGGCCAGGGGCTGGGAGGGGCTGGGGGGGGGTTGGGGTGGTTAGGAGGGCGGAGGAGCTGGGGAGCTGGGAGGGGCTGGGGGGGCAGGTGGGGTGGGGGCAGTTTTGGGGGAAGGGGAGGTGCTGGTGGCCCTGGGGGCCTGGCTATGTGGCTGGACCTGGTTGGGGAGCAGGAAGCTGCTGCCTGGGGGCAGCCTTTCCCTGTGGGTGGAGCTGGGTGTGTGGGACCCTCACCCTCCGCAGCTGGGAGGCCCTGGGGGCACAGGACAGGGAGGTGCTGGTGGGGGGTGTAGATGTGGGAGAAGGGTGTGTGGCCTTGGAGGCCCCTGTGGGGGGCACGTGGGGCTGGGCAGCGTCCTTGGCTGTCACTGGCCTGGTGTCTGTGGTAGATGCTGCCTGTGGCTGGCCAGCGTGGACCCTGTTATCCCCACCGCATCTCCCGGGTCCCAGGGGGTTTCTGGCCTGAGCAACACCTCCTGTTCCCCAACAGCTGCACCTTGGCTGGGAAGCACACCCTGCAGCCGGCCAGCAATAGCTCGGACGCAATCTGTGAGGACAGGGACCCCCCAGCCACGCAGCCCCAGGAGACCCAGGGCCCCCCGGCCAGGCCCATCACTGTCCAGCCCACTGAAGCCTGGCCCAGAACCTCACAGGGACCCTCCACCCGGCCCGTGGAGGTCCCCGGGGGTAAGGGCGCCTGGCCCAGCCCAGCGGGGCCCCCAACCCGAATAGGAGAAGGGGAGGGCGGCATGGGGGCCCCTCCTGTGGACCCCACCCAGCAGACCCCTTCCTGCAGGCCGTGCGGTTGCCGCCATCCTGGGCCTGGGCCTGGTGCTGGGGCTGCTGGGCCCCCTGGCCATCCTGCTGGCCCTGTACCTGCTCCGGAGGGACCAGAGGCTGCCCCCCGATGCCCACAAGCCCCCTGGTGAGTGCCTCATGGCCCTGCCGCACTGCTCCTGGCGGGTGAGGCCCACCCACCAATCTCTCCTTTTTTCCTCCCCAGGGGGAGGCAGTTTCCGGACCCCCATCCAAGAGGAGCAGGCCGACGCCCACTCCACCCTGGCCAAGATCTGACCTGGGCCCACCAAGGTGGACGCTGGGCCCCGCCAGGCTGGAGCCCGGAGGGTCTGCTGGGCGAGCAGGGCAGGTGCAGGCCGCCTGCCCCGCCACGCTCCTGGGCCAACTCTGCACCGTTCTAGGTGCCGATGGCTGCCTCCGGCTCTCTGCTTACGTATGCCATGCATACCTCCTGCCCCGCGGGACCACAATAAAAACCTTGGCAGACGGGAGTCTCCGACCGGCACTGTGGGCTGCACACCTGTGGCATGGAGGCTTGGGCCGTGCCCGCCTCTGACTGGAGAGGGGTCTTGGGAGGCTTGGGCCGTGCCCGCCTCTGGCTGGACAGGGGTCTTGGGAGGCTTGGGCCGTGCCCGCCTCTGGCTGGAGAGGGGTCTTGGGAGACTTGGGCCGTGCCAACCTGTGGCTGGAAAGGGGTCTTGGGAGACTTGGGCCGTGCCAACCTGTGGCTGGAGAGGGGTCTTGGGAGACTTGGGCTGTGCCAACCTGTGGCTGGAGAGGGGTCTTGGGCCAGGGTGGAGGTGAGGGTAGCGGGGTCAAGTGGGACCCTGGAGGTTGGTCCCTGGGTGCGAGTTCCAGATTGAGTGGGGAGCGGGGGGAGAGACTGGGAAAGCTCAGGCCCAAGGCTGCCTGGGGTGGAGGTTCCTGGCCAGGCGCTGACAAGGGCAGCTGGCCCCTGAGCCCCGGGTTGCCCAAGGAGCTTGGGAGTGGCTGACCCCCGGGGCTCTGTGTCCTTGGAGGAGGAGTGTAGAGACCTGCCCCTCTTCCCCTCCACACCTACGCCCACCCCTTGCTGCACCTGGAAGGGGGTCCCAGGGCCCCTGAGCACCCCGAGGAGTCCCTGCAAAGGGCCCACACGGCCCCTATGTCCCTGCCATAGGTGTCCAGGGGGACAGTCACCTTGGAAACCACAGTTTCTGCTTGAGCCAACTTTCTGTCCACCCTGGGCCCCGGCCGTCCCACTCCTGCGCACTTAAGAGTCCTGGGATCTGAATGAGAATGACCACAGCGACTTCATGTAACGTGGCCCCACAGTGGAGAAACCCAGGCATCCGCCAGCAGCGTGGATGCGCGAGTGCTGGCGTGTTCAGATGAGCTCCCAGCTCCTCGGCCCACACCACAGGTGTCCACAGACGCTCCCAAGGCCCTGGGGCCGTCCCCGGCCGTGCGGGAATCTTCTCAAGCTGGTGTCTGGGAGTGGGGTATCCTTCGAGCAGCACAGAGCCTGCTCCCGAGCGCCAGTCACGCCCGAGGCCACAGCTCGGGAACAAGGCGGGAGCAGCCCTGCAGGCTTCCCGCAGGGAAGACACCCCGGGCGTCTAAGCGACATCTGTGTCCCTCGGGAGGCGGAGGTGCCTGTTCGCCTCCATGGTGTCAGGGGCTGAAGAGAAACACTCCCGAGGGCTAAGACGTCTCACTGCACTTGTTTTTTCTTTCTTTTTTTTTTTTTGCCGGAGTCTTGCTGTGTCACCCAGGCTGGAGTGCAGTGGTGTGATCTCAGCTCACCAACCTCTGCCTCCCGGGTTCACGCCATTCTCCTGCCTCAGCCTCCCAAGTAGCTGGGACTACAGGCGCCCAGCACCACACCCGGCTAATTTTTGTATTTTATTAGAGACAGGGTTTCACCATGTTGGCTAAGCTGGTCTTGAACTCCTGACCTCAGGTGATCCACCTGCCTCGGTGCCCTGGAGTACTGCGATTCCAGGTGTGAGCCACCACGCCTGGCCCTCACTGCACTCATGAGCAAGAAACACACAGCCGAGGCCGGTCACGGTGGCTCACGCCTAGAATCCTAGCACTTTGGGAGGCTGAGGCCAGACGATCGTCTGAGCTCAGGAGTTTGAGACCCGCCTGGGTAACATGGCAAGACCCTTTTCTATGAAAAATAGAAAAAATCAGCCGGGTGTGGTGGTGCATGCCTGTGGTCCCGGCTACTTGGGAGGCCGAGGTGGGAGGATCACTTGAGCCCAAGAGATGGAGGCTGCAGTGAGACGTGACTGGAAAAAAAAAAAGAAATTTAAAAAAATTACTTAAGAAGAAACACATGAAGCCTCATGGAAGGTTTTGCTGAGGGCCTGGCACAGCCTGGACACTCCGGCTACCGTGGCTGGTGTGGCCCAGCCCCGCAGCTGCACCCGCTGCCCCACACAGCGTCCCTGGGCCAGCCTTCCCTCTCCCTGCGTCCTCCAACAGCGCACGCTGCCCACGGCTGTCCAGGCCTCCTGTGCCTGGCGGATGGCTCCCCCCTGCCGGTGTCGTGGAAGTGGGGAACCGGCCCCGGGGGTGCACAGTGGGAGCGCCACGCGCCACTCACAACAGCCCAAGGTGCCGGGACCACAGGTGGCTGTAAGGAAGACGCCCATCTCTGGCCTCGGGCTGCCCTGGACCCCTCCTGCCTCTGCAGCTGGTTTTCTCCCCTGGGTCTCTCTCTCCTCAAACCTCTGTCTTCCACCCACTCTCTGCTAACCACAAGCCTCCCCCCCCGCAGCATAGGGAAGTCAGAGGCCGTCCTGTCCCCCATCCAGCACCTTCACCGAGTTCCCCGGGTTCCTGCACACGGTTCAGCCTGCAGGCCCTGCACAGGGTTGGGGCCGCGCCTCTGAGAGCCCCCCGCCCCCCGCCCCGTGGGGCAGGCGAGGCCAGACCTCCAGGCAGGATGGCGGGTGGGTGGGGGAAGGGGTCAGGTGGCCGGGACTGGAGCGGCCAGATCCTGTGGGGCCCGCAGGTCGACGGCTATGGGAAAGGGGCCTCCTCCCCAAACCTGGCGCCCATACCCATCGCTTCCTGTCTCCTCCCCTCTGGGCACAGCACCCCCCAGGCCCCGTGGGACTTATTCCCCAGCAGGACCCCTTGCCGCACCCCCAGATGGACACGGGGCCACCTCCTCTTGGTCTCCATGCTCACCCTCCCCGCCCCCTCGCCTGACGCCATCTCTGCTGGCAACTCCTGTGCCATCTGTGCCGAAGGCCCTGCCTGAACTCTGGCTCAGTGCCCATCTGCACCCTCCCCGTGGGGCCTCACAGCTGCCCTTCTGGACGTACGCAAGGGCTGTCCCTCGCCCGGCCCGTGGGCTGCTCTGCTGTGTGAATGCCCCGTCATTTGTGTCACCGGTGAGCTGCTCAATAAGATGAACAAGTCACCTCCAGCCTCGCAGCCCAAGGATAGGAGTCACGGGGAGCCGGGGAGGGGCCTTCTGCGGCGAGAGGGATGGGAGGGTGGACGTCACACCCCTGCAGCCCCTCCGGGGACCACCCTGTGTGGCAAGCTGCTCTCCGGCTGTTCAAAGTGTCAGCTGCGCCACGGGGCGGGGGGGAGGGGCTCCTCTGCCCGCTGGCCGCCTCCCACTTGGCCCCATAAACTGCTCGCTCCTCTAACTCTGTCCCTGCCTCTAGATGGATGACTCACACCGTGTGGTCTGATGAGCATTCTTTATTTTTTGTGATGGAGTCTCGCTCTGTCACCCAGGCTGGAGTGCAATGGTGCCATCTTGGTTCGCCGCAACCTCTGCCTCCCAGGTTCAAGCAATTCTCCTGCCTCAGCCTCCCGAGTAGCTGGGATTACAGGCGTGCGCCACCACGCCTGGCTAATTTTTTTTGTATTTTTAGTAGAGACGGGCTTTCTCCATGTGGGTCAGGCTGGTCTCGAACCCCTGACCTCAGGTGATCCGAGGCCCACCTCGGCCTCCCAAAATGCTGGGATTACGGGCGTGAGCCACTGATGGCGCCTCTTTCTATCCAGGGGCCCAGACCCCCTCCCAGCCTCGGGGCTGAAGATCTCCAGGCCTCTCAAAGGCCCCCAGGCCCAGCTGGCCCCACCCCTTTCCTTCCGAGCGTCGGGGCGGCCTGGAGCTGCAGAGACCCCTTCCTTCTCTGCAGTGTCTGAGGGCTGCCTCTCCAAGGCAGGCTCCTACATCTTGGATTTGAGAACTCCGGGGTGTCACAAACAGCTAATTCCTGTCATTTACCTTGGAAAAGGAGGAACCGCCTTACGGGGTGAGGCGGTGGCTGCAGGTCTCAAAAGGGTGTTGAACCACATCCACGCTCACGTTCCCGAGAGCCCCCACCCCCAGCATTCATGGGGGTCTCCACCTGTGCTGGACGGCGCAGAAGCAGGGCTGGGCAATCCAGGGAGGCTTCCTGGTGGAGGCAGGGTCCCAGAACCCCTCGGTGCCCACAGGGGAAACTGAGGCTCAGAAAGACATAGGACAGTCTCCCAAGAGCTCTGCGAGGGGCTCCTCCTCAACTCCCTCCGGGACCTGGATCTGTCTGGTGTGACGGATGAAGGTGGCTCTGAGAGACCGGGCCCTGGGTGCCCGCGGGGGCGGCTGACACTGTCCCGAGGAGGCGCCAGCACCCTCTCGTCTCCCCACCAGCTCCTCCTGGTGCCCCTCCCAAGCCCCGGGGAACTTCCCAGGTTGGCCTGAGGGGGGTCCTGGAGAGCTGCAAGCAAGGGGGAGGGGAGCCCACAGGCCTGCAGCCCATGGTGAGTTTCACACCTGAAGCCAGCCAGGTGGGGTGTGCTGAGCCGAGGGGTCCCTGTCCCCATTCTGTGGGGTTCCCCAGCACGGGGCTCCATGGTTGAGGCTCTCTGGGGGTGGCCAGAATTTGTGGAGACCTCTCGGGGACTCGCAGATACCACCCGGAGGCAGTGGGATGGAGGAGTGATTGGCTGACCCCCGCCCTCCAAGGGGCCCCCATGGGACAAGGTGCTATAAACGCCGCCCCCTGCACTGGGGACACCAATGTGGCCGCAGACTTTGCATAGAAAACCTTTCTGATCCCCGCCAGCCTGGTTTCCCCGCCCCTGCCGGCGACCTGCGGGGGACCGGGCTGTGTCCGCAGTGTCTACACCCCCTCCTCACACGCACTTCACCTGGGTCGGGATTCTCAGGTCATGAACGGTCCCAGCCACCTCCGGGCAGGGCGGGTGAGGACGGGGACGGGGCGTGTCCAACTGGCTGTGGGCTCTTGAAACCCGAGCATGGCACAGCACGGGGCGATGGGCGCGTTTCGGGCCCTGTGCGGCCTGGCGCTGCTGTGCGCGCTCAGCCTGGGTCAGCGCCCCACCGGGGGTCCCGGGTGCGGCCCTGGGCGCCTCCTGCTTGGGACGGGAACGGACGCGCGCTGCTGCCGGGTTCACACGACGCGCTGCTGCCGCGATTACCCGGGTAAGTAAACCGCGTTTACTTAACGCGGACCGGCCAAGGCGTCCCGCGGAAGCCGGGATGGGTGGGCGCCCCCCTTCCCGTGCTCAGACCGGCGTTGCTGAGGTCTAAGGAGGGTGGGCACAGAGCCGCCAGCAGCGGGAGCCTTCCGGAGGGAGGCAGGATCCCAGAGGGAGGCGGAGGTGTGCCAGCTCCAGCCAGTGGCCCCGGCCGGGAGCAGGGGTGAGCCAGGTGGGAGCGCCCTCAAGAGGGGTCTGGGGTCTGGAGGTGGAGGACGGCTGTTCCAGGTCCTGCTGGGCGGGTCGTGAGCCCTTGGCCATCGCCCAGCCCCCTCCTGCCCAGTTGAGGGCCCCCCTGCACCACCGTCTGGCCTGCTGCCTGCCTCTGACCTGCACCTGGGGATGAGGGTTCAGCTGACACGGCTGGTCTGGAGAGGAAGCTGGCAGGGAAGTCACCCCAGAGCTTCTTCCTCCAGGGCCTGTGGGTTGGGAAGGGAGGCTCTGTCCGGAGGCCCAGTGTGGCTGGTGGTGGGGACAGCAGCGCCCAGACACCAGGCAGGCGGCCTCTGAGGTGTCGACGGGCCTCCAGGGGACTGTGCACTGTTGGGGGCCACCCCTGGGTCCTGCAGGGGCAGCTCCTGGTTGCATATGGAGTTAGCACCTGGGCAGGGGCAGCTGTGGGGCGCAAAGGGGGAGTAGCCAGGCCACATGGCCCCAGGAGAAAGAGACAGCTGGATAAACCCAGGGTCCAGACTCCCAGCCAGGAGCCCTCTGCTCCCTGGAGCCAACTGTGGGTGGAGAACGGACAACCTCACTCCCCTGGAGGGCCGAGGGGAGGCCTGGGGAGGAGGGGGCCTCAGCCCAGCTGCTGGGGGGCTGGCCTGTCTCCTGCCCAGGCGAGGAGTGCTGTTCCGAGTGGGACTGCATGTGTGTCCAGCCTGAATTCCACTGCGGAGACCCTTGCTGCACGACCTGCCGGCACCACCCTTGTCCCCCAGGCCAGGGGGTACAGTCCCAGGGTAAGTCCTGGAGGTGCCTCTGGGAGTCCACACAGGCCAGGGGTTCCACTAGGGCCCGAGGCAGAGCTCGTGGGCACAGGTGTCCGGCGAGGACATGTGGTGTGTGGGGTCCGGAGTCCTGTGAGGCCGGGCAGGCCAGGCCATGCTCAGGCACCACAGGCCATGAAGCTCTGGGGGTGTCCTGTCCCTGCTTTCTCAGCCTGGGCTTCTCCATCCAGCACGAGGGCTGTGAGAACCCTGCGGGGAGGTGGGGGCGGGTTCCAGGAGCTGTCTGGCTCTCAGGCCCGGGACACCCATCCTGTCTGTCCTCACCACATACTGAAAGAGCCTGCCCTGTGCCCCCCGGAGTCCTGTCTGGGGCCTGGGGCTGCACCCTGTTCTGGAAGGAGCAGCTCAAGTCCTCTTAGCGGCTTGTTTACCTGACAGGAGAGGTCAGGCTGGGCACATGAGAGCTGGGAGAAGGTACAACTGGGGAGGTTGTGTCAGGTTGGACGGGGCAGGGTCTGGGGTCAACTGGGACCCAGCCTCACTCTCTCTGGGACCCTCACTGTTCTCCACCCTCTGTTCTACTGGGTCCTGCCTGGCTTCTGCCCACCCTCAGCCCCCAATGGGCAGGCCTTTCCCCTCCCTGGCAGGCCCACTGCACTCTGCGCACCTCCCCCAGGTGCCCTCACTGGGCCCCACCCCAGACGCCCCACCTGGGACGGGCAGACATGGGCCCCAGTCCTGGGCCATGAAGAACTCTGTTGAATGGATGATGGGGGGGGCATTCTACTCAGCACCCAGACCCCAGATGGACCCCTGCACTGGCCTGACGCCCTCCTCATCCATCCCAGCAACTCCACCAGCCTCCCTCCCTCCCTCCCCCCACACCCCACACCAGGGAAATTCAGTTTTGGCTTCCAGTGTATCGACTGTGCCTCGGGGACCTTCTCCGGGGGCCACGAAGGCCACTGCAAACCTTGGACAGAGTGAGTCCTGGGTGGGCCCTGCCGGTGGCCGGGTGGTCCAGGCCCACTCTGAGGAAGGGTCCTCTCCTGTCCCTTGCCCCAGACAGCACGGAGGGCAGCAGCCGGGGGCTGATCGGAGGCCGTGTCCGGGGGCTGATAGGAGGCCGCGTCCATGTATTCCAGCTGCACCCAGTTCGGGTTTCTCACTGTGTTCCCTGGGAACAAGACCCACAACGCTGTGTGCGTCCCAGGGTCCCCGCCGGCAGAGCCGCTTGGGTGGCTGACCGTCGTCCTCCTGGCCGTGGCCGCCTGCGTCCTCCTCCTGACCTCGGCCCAGCTTGGACTGCACATCTGGCAGCTGAGGAGTCAGTGCATGTGGCCCCGAGGTCTGTCACAGCCTGGTGCGGGGAGGTGGGAGCATGGCTGCCTGCTGACCGTGGCCCCCCTGCAGAGACCCAGCTGCTGCTGGAGGTGCCGCCGTCGACCGAAGACGCCAGAAGCTGCCAGTTCCCCGAGGAAGAGCGGGGCGAGCGATCGGCAGAGGAGAAGGGGCGGCTGGGAGACCTGTGGGTGTGAGCCTGGCCGTCCTCCGGGGCCACCGACCGCAGCCAGCCCCTCCCCAGGAGCTCCCCAGGCCGCAGGGGCTCTGCGTTCTGCTCTGGGCCGGGCCCTGCTCCCCTGGCAGCAGAAGTGGGTGCAGGAAGGTGGCAGTGACCAGCGCCCTGGACCATGCAGTTCGGCGGCCGCGGCTGGGCCCTGCAGGAGGGAGAGAGAGACACAGTCATGGCCCCCTTCCTCCCTTGCTGGCCCTGATGGGGTGGGGTCTTAGGACGGGAGGCTGTGTCCGTGGGTGTGCAGTGCCCAGCACGGGACCCGGCTGCAGGGGACCTTCAATAAACACTTGTCCAGTGACCTGAGTGGATGCATGCTGGGTGCTGGGGGAGGACGGGGCACCCGGGGCTGGGCTTTGGGGCACCGTGCTCATGCCTGGCCGTGGTCCCCTCCACAGGGGGCAAAGCGGAGGGCAGCCAGGGCCCATTCTGGGAACTCCTGGCTGGGTGGGGGTGGGGCCCGAGGAGGGGCCATTCCAGTCCTGGGCCCAGCGCTCCTCAGGGATACAGGCTCAGCGGCTTCCCCCGTTCTGGGGCTCTTCTCTGGTGCCCCTGGGTCTCTGGTTTCTGGCCACACAGCCTGCCGGCCCCCGGGTGCCATCCAGCACTTTCTGGTGCTGGGCGGCCCCGTCTCCAGGCCAGCCCTCTCTCCTCACCATCCCACCCTCGGCCCGCCCAGCCTCCCACTCCAGGCTCCAGGTGAGATCTGATACAGGCTCCCTCAGCTGCCGGGGAGTGGCGGGCAGGCTGGTGCAGGCGTCTCAGCAGCACCCTGGAGGCACAGCACACCTGGCCCCCAGCTCAGCTCCCAGTGGGGCGGTGGGCCCAGCTCACAGTAGGTGGACGGGGCAGAGGGGACGTCTGCTCCCCTCCCCCCCCAACATGGGACCTGGAGTGTGGAGAGCCCAAGGGTGGCACAGGGACACTGGGGAAGGTGCTCAGCCCTGGAGGCAGGACCCGGCCCTTCGGCGTCGTGGAGTACTGGGCTCGGGGCTGGGTACTGGGCTTGGGGATGGGTACTGGGCTGGAGGCTGGGTACTGGGCTCGGGGATGGGTACTGGGCTGGAGGCTGGGTACTGGGCTAGAGGCTGGGTACTGGGCTCGGGGCTGGGTACTGGGCTGGAGGCTGGGTACTGGGCTCGGGGATGGGTACTGGGCTGGAGGCTGGGTACTGGGCTCGGGGATGGGTACTGGGCTGGAGGCTGGGTACTGGGCTCGGGGATGGGTACTGGGCTGGAGGCTGGGTGCTGGGCTCGGGGCTGGGTACTGGGCTCGGGGCTGGGTACTGGGCTCGGGGCTGGGTACTGGGCTGGGGGCTGGGTACTGGGCTCGGGGCTGGGTACTGGGCTGGAGGCTGGGTACTGGGCTGGAGGCTGGGTACTGGGCTGGGGGCTGGGTACTGGGCTCGGGGCTGGGTACTGGGCTGGAGGCTGGGTACTGGGCTCGGGGCTGGGTACTGGGCTGGAGGCTGGGTACTGGGCTGGGGGCTGGGTACTGGGCTCGGGGCTGGGTACTGGGCTGGGGGCTGGGTACTGGGCTGGAGGCTGGGTACTGGGCTCGGGGCTGGGTACTGGGCTGGAGGCTGGGTACTGGGCTCGGGGCTGGGTACTGGGCTGGAGGCTGGGTACTGGGCTCGGGGCTGGGTACTGGGCTGGAGGCTGGGTACTGGGCTCGGGGCTGGGTACTGGGCTGGAGGCTGGGTACTGGGCTCGGGGCTGGGTACTGGGCTGGAGGCTGGGTACTGGGCTCGGGGCTGGGTACTGGGCTGGAGGCTGGGTACTGGGCTCGGGGCTGGGTACTGGGCTGGAGGCTGGGTACTGGGCTCGGGGCTGGGTACTGGGCTGGAGGCTGGGTACTGGGCTCGGGGCTGGGTACTGGGCTGGAGGCTGGGTACTGGGCTCGGGGCTGGGTACTGGGCTGGAGGCTGGGTACTGGGCTCGGGGCTGGGTACTGGGCTGGAGGCTGGGTACTGGGCTCGGGGCTGGGTACTGGGCTGGAGGCTGGGTACTGGGCTCGGGGCTGGGTACTGGCTCGGCGCGCTCCTCCCGTGTGAGCCCCGGGGAGGCTGAGCGGTCGGGCCCTGCCCCGCGCACTCCTGCCTGCAGCCCGGATCCTCCCCGCCTGGCCCCGGCTCTCCCCACGCGCCCCCCACACCGGGGCTGTCCCGCACCGGCCCCAGAAAACACCGGCGGCCCGCGTAGCGCGGGTCCCGCGGGGCTGACTCAGCGCGGAAACTCCTCGTGGGCGGCCTCGCGTGGGCCTCGGCGCGGAAACGTCAGCGCGGGGGCGGCCGGGCTGACGCACAGCGGACGGGCGGGGGATTCCGCGGGCGGCGGAGCGGGCTCTGGGCGGGGTCTCCGGAGTCTCCGGCTCCTCCCGGGCCCGCCCCGCGCGCTTTACCTGGAGCGCGACCCTCCGGGCCTGGCGGGGGCCCCAGCGTGCGTCGCGGAGCCCGGGGGAGGCGGGCGGGTTCTCGCGCGTGGGGGCGGGGGCGCCTCCAGGGGTCTCAGTGGGGGAGGCCGAGGCCAGCGCGAACCCGCCATGGAGGGGGGGGTCCCAAGGGCGCGGAGGGTCGGGCGGGGCCGGGTGCGGAGAAGGGGCCGGGGTCGCGGCGGAGAGGCCGCCGCCCCCTCCCACTCGGGGCGCAGTGGTCTCGGCTCCACGGGGAGGGGCCCCTCTCTGCTCCCCCTGGAAGCCCGAGCCACTCGCACAGGGCGGCCTCCATCTGCCCGGAAAACCGCAGCCGCCCCAACCTCCCGCTGGGGTCGGACTTTTGAGAAAAGGGCCGGAGGCCACCTCTGTTCCCAGAAGCGCTTCCGGCCGCTGCGGAGCCTCCCCTCCCAGCCAGCCCCCTCCCCACCCTCCACTGAGATCTGGACTTGGCCCTGCGGGAACCCCCCGCAGCTGACAGAGACACCTATGGCGGGGGCCCCTTCGCAGACAGAGCTGGACACAGCCTTTCCCAGCGCCAGGACAGGTGGGGAGGTCCTTGAGGGACAGGTGGTCCCCGGCTGCCCCAGCTGCTGGGATCTGTGCCCGCTGACCAGGACCTGGGTCATCACTGCTGTCCCCTCCGATGCTGGGCTGAGCTCTGAGGACAGGACAGGAGAGGGCTAGCTCCTCTCGGCCAGTGACCCTCATGGGAGGCGGTGGCGCCTGGCGTTGGGGAGGAAGCAGACCCCCGCCTCTCACAAATCTCATCTTCCTGGAAACCAGGAATTGGGGGTCTTTCCGGAGTTGGTAATTCAGTTGTCCTGGTCCCCGTCTTAAAGACACACTCAGGGGAGACGGGCTGGAGGGGGCGGGGGCACAGGGGGCCCCATGGACACGCAGGCCTCGAGTCCTCCGGGGTCCGAGGTCTCTTTAGCTGAAACAGACACGCAGGCCCACTGGCCCTCAGCAGACCCCAGGCCCCCGCTGCTGGTGAGAGTGTGCTGGCCAGGCCCCACGATGGAGGCTGTGGGGATGGAGGGTGTGTGGCTGTACCTGGGTCCGAGTGGGGGGCAGCTTAATCCCCCACACCTTCCCCTTGAGTCCGCTACCTGGCAGCAGGACCCAGGACTCACCTGTGGAAGAGAGAGGGGGAGAGGGAGGTGGGGGGGTCAGCTGTCAGGAACCTCCACCTTGGGTCCCAGGCTCCAGCTTGGCGCCGTCTCCAGGAAGCGCCCTGACCCTGCCTGAACTTCTCGTGTCCCCGAGGAGTTCTGATGCCTTTCCTGTGGCCCCTGGCTGGTCACTTCACTTGAATATTGGGGAGCACCTTGTACTGCCAGATACTCAGGCACCCACAGTCCCCCTCTCCCTGGTGGTCCATGCTGTTGTGACCTCGCAGACGGGTGCTTACGGGCTGGGCGGCGGGGATGTGGCCGTTGTTCCTGGGTTCTCTGGAAACCTTGTTTATTCATTGACTTTTGGGCTCTTTGGGGCACCAAGGACTCCTGAACAGTATCTGGGTCCTCAGCTTAGGTCTTCAGGGGGCCCTGGGTTGCAGGGGGTGGGGCTCGGTCACGCCAGGGCAGGCCACTGCCAGCGTGCACCCTCCTCATGGGTTCTGGCGGTGACACATCCAGTCAGGGCCCAGGGGCGGCAAAGGTTCCATTGTCCCCTCGGGCTCAGGTGACCTCTGCTGACGTCGTGGGGCCCCTGAGCCTGGGGGTGTAACCACACGCGCCACAGGGAGGGGAGCTGGACGGTTCCAATGTCACCAGGGGATGTAGTCCTGACCTGGGATCATGGCGCGACACAGCACCAGGCATGTGGGGCAGAGCCGAGGGCAGAGGCCGGAGGGCACAGGGGCCCCAGGGGCATCAGGGTAGCAAGAGCAGAGGGAGGACCCTGAGGTGATGTGGCCATTAGCGGCCTTGGAAGCCGTCAGGCAGTGTGGCCCTGACCCCTAAGAGCAGGTGTGGATTAACCAAGTCCTGGGTGCTTGGCCAGCCATGGAGGCTTCACCCCTCCCAGGCCCCTCCTGCTTCACCCCTCCCTGGCCTCAGTGGGCTGCAGAACAGGCCGCTGCTGCCCTTGGCCCCCAGAGGGTCCAACAGACCTGCTGGGAGGGGACTGGGGACCCCATCACAATGACAGGTGTGTTCCCAGCCCCTCACCTGGGAACCCCCACTCCAGGCCCCAGCGAAAGGACCATGTTGGTGGGGGCTGCCCCTGGCCTGGGGTGGTTCCTCACTGGCTCTGAGACCTGGGGCCTCCTTTGGCCTCTGTGGTCCCCAGTTCCCTCTGTCCTGCCTTCTCCTCTTCCTGGCGCCCTGGCTGTGCCCCACCTGCTGTGCTGGCCAGAGACCACAGCCGACGGTGCCTTCTAGCAGTGCCGGGGCTGCCGAGTCCCAGGGAATGGAGCTGCTGTCCCTGTGGAGCGCAGGGTGGCCACGTGGCCAAAGCAGATTCTGCTGGCCCCTCAGTCCCCCGTGGCTGCGGAGCAGGGCAGGAGGAGGGACCGGCGACTTGGCCGTGACCGTGTGGAGTCGGAGGCAGGGCATGTGGGGGGTGGGCCTGGGGGCGGGGCCCCCCGATCCTCAGGTCTCGACTTGGGGGGCACAGACACCTTGAGCCAGCCATTGGGAAGAGGCCCATACACTTTAGCTCTCTGGGTGGGAGATGAGTGAGGGGGTGGGTAGTGTGGACGCCTCAGAGGCCCCGGGACGCCAGAGCTCTCCTCGCAAACCCCCAGACCCATGGGGAACAGAACCATCAGCGGCTACACAGGGCTGACCAGGGCCTGGCCAGTGTGGGCTTAGCATGTCTTCTGTGGGACCCTCTTGTTGGGGCTAGCTGCCCTGTGCCCCTCACCCCTGGCTAAGTCCTGGGGCCACTGCAGGAAGGTTGGGGGCTCAGGGAGCTGGAGCGCCAGGCTTGGGGCTTAAAGGCCCAGGAAGGTTCTGTGCCAGGCAGGCTGGGGCGAGCTCTGTGGGTGCCCACGGCAGCAATCCTGGGCTCAAGGGGCTCCTCCTTTGGAGCTCCAGAGGGGTTCAGACCCTTCCTGGGGATGACAGGCAATGGTGGATCACCGGCCAGGCCATGGGGGCCGTGGGGTCACAGGGCGGCAGGAGGGCCCAGGTGCTGAGGGGCACAGGGTGGTGGGCGGGAGCCCAGGATGGGGCAGCCCGGGAGGGAGTATAGACCAGCCGTGGGGAACCCCCTCCCTCAGAACAGCCCCCCAGGACTGGGCCCAGCCGCGGAGACCCCCTCCCTCAGCACAGTCTCCCCAGGGACAGGGCCCAGCCATGGACTGGGGGCTAGTGGGGGCCTGGGGAAGTCCCAGGGGAGCATCTTTCAGGCCAGTGCTGGTGTGGTGGGGGTGACCCCGGTGGGCATGGGCTCAGGGGCGCTGAGGTGGCAGGACTCTGCTGCAGAGACTGTGTTTGTAGCAAAGTGGGCTTTATAGGTCCCTGAGGGCAGGCAGCACGGCTGGGGCGCGGGGCGCGGGGCGCTGGGCGCGGGTGGCTGCCCCTAGGGCCTCGCGTTCTCAGGCTCCTCGCGTTCCTCCTTGGCTGTCCCCGGGGAAGGCTCTTGCGCCGGGTGCCTGTTGCCTGTGCCCGACTGCTCCGTGCCCGGGGCCTGGGGCTCCCCATCGTGGGCGCTGTCCAGGTCGGGGCCGGGTGGCCGGGGACGCTGCGGCACCAAGGGAGGTGGCGCAGGCCTGCGGGCGCCCGGCTGGTCTGGGGCATGCGGCATGGGTGGCCCGGAGGACTTGGCCTGGCGGGTGGGCAGGGGCGGCCAGCGGCGGAGGCTGCACGAGCCCCCCAGGTGCGGCCGCGGGTCGGCCTCACCGTTGTGCAGGAGCACGAAGCGGCGCTGGGACAGCAGAGGCAACATCTTCTGGCCGCGCAGGCTCTTCCGGAAGGTCTCGAGCACCAGGTCTGGTGCGGGTGGGGGAGAGAGGGTGAGTGGGGGGCAGAGGCTGGGGCTGGAGGGGGTGGGGAGGGTGTGAGGGGTGGGACCCAGGTGAGCTGAGGTGTGGGGAAGGTTGGGGCAGGGGGCGGCGCTGCCACACAGGCCCTCGGGAGGTGGAAGAGCCCCATCTGTGGGGGTCTGAACTTGGGAAGAGGGCAGGTAGGCATTCAAGACTGGGCAGGTTGTGGGGGTGTGGGGTGGGGGCTTGGAGGCTCACCCAGGGTCTCGATGACCACACCTGGGATGACCTCCTTCAGGACCTCGCAGTTGGTGTGCAGGGCTGGGTTAGAATTCATCTCCAGCAGCCATACCTGCCCCAGACGCCAGTCAGTCCCTCCTCACCCCGAGCCCACTGGGCCAGCAGGAGGCAGAGGCCCTGGTCCTCATTCAGACAGATGGCTCTGGGAGATTGCTTCCTTCCTATAGCCTTGCTCCCCTGTTTGTCCACTGAAGCTCTGAGGGTCTGAAGCTCTGGCCTGAGGGGGCTGCTCTGAGGAGGGGGTGCAGTTCCATCCTAGCTGCACAGGGGGTGAGCCTCATGGATACACCCATCCCCAGGGCTGCATGCAGGCAGGGTGGGGGCTGACTGCAGATTCTGCCTGGGGCCTGCCAGTGTGGTCAGGGTGTACAGATGGCCCCTGCCTCCTTGCATCTGTCTACTGTGCCCCCCGCCGCCCAGGACAGCACCTTGAAGTTGTCATCAATCAGGAAGTCACAGCCAATGAGGTCAAAGTAACCCAGCTTGCAGTCCAGCTTGGGCTTGGCGGCCAGAAAGCAGTGGGCCATGATCTGCTGCATCCGCTTCTGCAGGGAGGCAGGGAGGCATCCTGGCTGCGGCCCGTAGGCCCTGATCACACCCCAGGTCTGAACAGCCACAGCCACATCCCTCACCTGCACTCCCATCTGAACCCGCACCTGTACAGCCACACCTGCCCACACGTTCGTGCACTCAGCCTCACAGGTTCACAGCCAGAAACTCACTCAACAAACTCGTGCAGCTCCTGTCCTGTGTCAGGCACTGGAGATACGAGAGTGAGGAAAACTCACAGGAAATCTCTGCCCTTGAGCAGAAGAGACGGATAGCAAATGGGATACGTAAAATCTCGAATCTTGGTAAGAACTGTGAATTATGTTGTATTTTAACGTGCTCTGGTTTCATCCTCTGCTCCCCAGCTCAATGGTTGCCTCAAAAAACCAACAGCATGCATCCCCAGAACTGGAGATAGCAAAATAGACCTCATTTATAAAAAAAAATTGTCATTATTTGTTTTCTTATGTCTAGTAGTTCCTTGGAAGATCCCATTTGAAAGGACTAACAGAAAGTGTGAGGGCCAGGCACGTGGCTCACACCTGTAGTCCCAGCAGTTTGGGAGGCTGAGGCAGGAGGATTGCTTGAGCTCAGGAGTTTGAGACCAGCCTGGCCAACATGGTGAGACCCCATCTCTACTAGAAATACACAAGTTGGTCGGGCGCGTGGCTCACACCTGTAGTCCCAGCACTTTGGGAGGCTGAGGCAGGAGGATCGCTTGAGCTCAGGAGTCTGAGATCAGCCTGGGCAATATAGGGAGACCTTGTCTCTACCAAAAAATTAGCAAAATTAGCTAAGCGTGGTGGTGTATGCCTGTAGTCCCACCTACTTGGGAGGCTGAGGTGGGAGGACTGCTTGAGCCCAAGAGGCAGAGGCTGTGGTAAGCTGAGATTGTGCCACTGCACTCTAGCCTGGGTGACACAGTGAGACTGTCTAAAAAAAAGAAGTATGGGCCGGGCACAGTGGCTCACGTCTGTAATCCCAGCACTTTGGGAAGCTGAGGTGGGTGGATCACCTGAGGTCAGGAGTTCGAGACAAGCCTTGCCAACATGGTGAAACCCTGCCTCTACTAAAACTAAAAAAAAAAAAAAAAAAGTATGACGATGATGTCTTATCAAATAATAGAGAATACTGGTGAAGAGAGAAAAATTATAAAAGAGAATCAAATAGAAATTCTGAAGTTGAAAAGTAGAACAAAAGTAGAACAAATAAAACATGCACTAGAAGTGCTCAACAGCAGATTTGAATTGTTTGCAGATAGGCCAATTGAGATTATTTAGTCTGAGGAACAGAAAGAAAAAGGA
Organism: Homo sapiens; assembly: GCF_000001405.40. Classification (NCBI taxonomy): domain Eukaryota; kingdom Metazoa; phylum Chordata; class Mammalia; order Primates; family Hominidae; genus Homo; species Homo sapiens. Next base: position 1,195,291 of record NC_000001.11, on the reverse strand, counting down.
GGCCGGGTGCAGTGGCTTCACACCTGTAATCCCAGCACTTTGGGAGGCCAAGGCAGGGGGATCGCTTGAGGTCAGGAGTTTGAGACCAGCCTGGCCAACATTGTGAAACCTCGTCTCTACTAAATATACAAAAATTAGCCAGATGTGATGGTGCGTGCCTGTAGTCCCAGCTACTTGGGAGGCTGGTAGGCCGGAGGATTGCTTGAGCCCAGAAGGAGGAGGCTGCAGTGAGCTGAGATTGCACCACTGCACTCCATCTTGGGTGACAGAAACCCTGTCTCAAAACAAAAAATGAAAGAGAGAGAGAGAGGGAAGAAAAATAAAGCCTCAGAGACTTGTGGGTGGGACACTGTCAAATGGACCAACATATGCATAATGGGAGTCCCAGAAGGAGAGAAGAGAAAGGAGCAGAAACAATATTTGAAAAAATAATGGCAGAAAACTTCCCAGTTTAATGAAAAACAACCTACACATTCAAGAAGCTCAATGAACTCAAAGTAGGATAAACTCAGAGATCCACCACCTCATCAGCAAACTTCCAAAAGACAGAGAACGTCGAAATCAGCAGGAGAGAAGCCGCTCGTTATGTATGAGGCATCCACAGAAAGATGAACAGCCAGTTTCTCATTAGAGGTCGTGAGGTGGGCAGGCAGTGGGATGGCACAAATTCCCAAAAGTAAAAATACTGTTGACCAAAAATTCTACATCTAGCAAAAGCTGCTTCAAAAATGAAGGGGAGATTAAGACATTCCCAGATAAACAAAGGTAGACCCGCCCTACCGTCCTTCAGGCTGAAATGAAAAGACACTAGACAGTAACTGGAACTCACAGGAGGAAATAAAGAGCCCCAGAAAAGGTCATTGTGTAATTAAATATAAGAGACAGCATACATGTATTTTTTTGTATGTGATTGTTTTGTCCTAAAAGACAACTGTATACAACAATAATTATGAATCCATGTTGATGGACACAAATATACTGAGCTGTAATTTGTGACAACAGCATGAGAGGGGTGGGGCTGTGTAGGAGGAGTGTTTTTGTATACTTTTAGGAGCAGTGTGTTTTTGTATGCTTTTGAAATTAACTTGGTATTAATAAAAAACTGAATTGTTTATTTTAAAACATTTTTTATTTTAGAAACAGGGTCTTGTTCTGTCACCTAGGCTGGGGTAATGTGGTTTGATTGTGGCTCACTGCAGCCTTGACCTCCTGGGCTCAAGTGATCCTCCCATCTCAGCCCCCTAAATAGCTAGGAGGACTACAGGTGCACACTCCCATGCTGAGCTAATTTTGTTTTTTAGAGATGGGGTCTCACTATGTTGCCCAGGCTGCTTTCAAATGCCTGGCCTCATATGATCTTCTTGCCTCAGCCTCCCAAAGCACTGGGATTACAGGCATAAGCCACCACACTCACCCTAATTGTAGTAAATTAAGATACAATATTAATGGTAATCCTCAGGACAACCACTAAAATAACTCAAAAACATATAGTAAAATAAATGACAAGGTAATTAAAATGCTACACTAAGCCAGGCGTGGTGGCTCACGCCTGTAATCCCAGCACCCTGGGAAGCTGAGGCGGGTAGATCACCTGAGGTCAGCAGTTTGAGATCAGCCTGGCCAACATAGTGAAACCCCGTCTCTACTAAAAATACAAAAAATTAGCCGGGTGTGGTGGCATGCGCCTGTAATCCCAGCTACTAGGGAGGCTGAGGCAGGAGAATCGCTTGAATCCGGGAGGCGGGGGCTGCAGTGAGCCGAGATCACGCCACTGCACTCCAGCCTGGGCAACAAGAGCGAAACTCCGTTTCAAAAAAAAAAAGCTACACTAGAAAATATCTCTCTAAAACAATAGGAGGCAGTAATGGAGAAACTGAGGAACAAAAAAAGACAGACATAGAAAACAAATAACAAAATAGCATATGTAAATCCTACCTTATCAGTAATTATTATTATTATTATTTTTTGAGACGGAGTCTCGCTCTGTCACCCAGGCTGGAGTGCAATGGCGCAATCTTGGCTCACTGCAAGCTCCGCCTCCTGGGTTCACGCCATTCTCCTGCCTCAGCCTCCCGAGCAGCTGGGACTACAGTTGCTCACCACCACGCCTGGCTAATGTTTTGTATTTTTAGTAGAGACGGGGTTTCACCGTGTTAGCCAGGATGGTCTCAATCCCTGACCTTGTGATCCACCTGCCTTGGCCTCCCAAAGGGCTGGCATTACAGGCGTGAGCCACCGTGCCCGGCCCTTTATCAGTAATTATATTAAATGTAAGTGAATTAAACTTTCCAATTAATAGACATTGACGGAGTTTCTTAAAAAAACATGATATACCATCTACAAAAGATACTTTAGTTTCAGAGACAAAAATAGGTGGAAAGTAAAGGGATGGAAAAAGATGTACCACACACGGTAACCAAAGTAGAACTGGAGTGTCTACACTCATACCAACTGGAGTGTCTACACTCATACCAACTGGAGTGTCTACACTCATACCAACTGGAGTGTCTACACTGATATGAACAACTGGAGTGTCTACACTCATACCAACTGGAGTGTCTACACTGATATCAACTGGAGTGTCTACACTCATACCAACTGGAGTGTTTACACTGATACGAACTGGAGTGTCTACACTCATACCAACTGGAGTGTCTACACTCATACCAACTGGAGTGTCTACACTGATATCAATTGGAGTGTCTACACTGATATCAACTGGATTGTCTACACTCATACCAACTGGAGTGTCTACACTCATACCAACTGGAGTGTCTACACTGATATCAACTGGAGTGTCTACACTGATACGAACTGGAGTGTCTACACTCATACCAACTGGAGTGTCTACACTCATACCAACTGGAGTGTCTACATTCATATCAACTGGAGTGTCTACACTTATACCAACTGGAGTGTCTACACTCATATCACAGAAAATAGACTTTACACAAAAATTATTACTGCAGATTAAAGGAAAATTTTTATAACGATAAACCAAGAAGATCTAATAATCATAAACATACACACACCCAACAACAGAGCCTCGAAATATACAAAAAACTGACAGATCTGAAGGGAGAAGTAGACAACTGAATATCCCGCTTTCAATACAGAGACAGAAGATTAACGAGTAAATAGAAGACTCGAACAACATTATAAACCAAACAGACCTAACAGACATGTTGGGAGCAGGCCCCCCCCCAAAATCTGGCCATAAACTGGCCCCAAGACTGGCCATAAACAAATCTCTGCAGCACTGTGACATGTTCACAATGGCCCTAACGCCCACGCTGGGAGGTTGTGGGTTGACGGGAATGAGGGCAAGGAACACCTGGCCCGCCCAGGGCGGAAAACCGCTGAAAGGCGTTCTTAAGCCACAAACAATAGCAGGAGCGATCTGTGTCTTAAGGGCGTGTTCCTGATGCAGTTAACTAGCCCAACCTATTCCTTTAATTTGGCCCATCCCTTCGTTTCCCGTAAGGGATACTTTTAGTTAACTGAATATCTATAGAAACAATGCTATGACTGGTTTGCTGTTACTAAATATGTGGGTAAATCTCTGTTCAGGGCTGTCAGCTCTGAAGGTTGTGAGGCCCCTGATTTCCCACTTCACACCTCTGTATTTCTCTGTGTGTGTCTTTAATTCCTCTAGCGCCGCCGGGTTAGGGTCTCCCCGACCGAGCTGGTCTCGGCACAGACATCTACAGAACACTACACCCAAAAACAGGATACACCTCCTTCTCCAGTGCACATGGATATTCTCCAGGATAGACCATATGCTGGGACATAAACAAGTTTCAAGTGTTTTTTGTTTTTGTTTTTTAATGATCCACTTAATGAATAGTAAGTTTGTTGTTTTTTTAAAGATGGGGTTTTGCTGTGTTGCCCAGGCTGGACTCAAACTCCTGGGCTTAAGCAATGTTTCCATCTCAGCCTCCTGAGTAGCTGGAATTACAGGTATGTGCCAACACACCAGCTCCAATAATTTTTCAATAATTTTTAAAGGGTTGAAATTATAAAGTATGTTCTCTGACACAATGGAATGAAATTAGAAGTCAATAACAGAAGGAAAATTGGAAAAATCACAAATATGTGGAAATTAAATAACAGGCCCTTAAGCAACCAATGGGTCAAAGAAAAGCTTACAAAGGAAATTTAAAATACTTTGCAGCTGAGCATCATGGCTCACGCCTATAATCCCAGCACTTTGGCAGGCGGATCACCTGAGGTCAGGAGTTCAAGACCAGCCTGGCCAACATGGTGAAACCCCCATCTCTACTAATAATACAAACAAAATTAGCCAGGCGTGGTGGCAGGTGCCTGTAATCCCAGCTACTCGGGAGGCTGAGGCAGGAGAATCGCTTGAACCCGGGAGGCAGAGGCTGCAGTGAGCTGAGATTGCGCCATTACACTCCAGCCTAGGTGACAAGAGCGAAACTCCATCTCAAATAAAATAAAAAATAAAAATAAAAATACTTTGAGACAAATGAAAATGAAGACAACACGCAAAATCTTATGGATGCAGCAAAAGTGGTGGTCAGAGGAAAATGTATAGCACTAAGCACCTACCTTAAGCAAGAAGAAAAAACTGAAATCATAACCTAACTTTTGACCTTAAGAAATTAGAAAAAGAGAGTTTGAGACCAGCCTTGCCAGCATGGTGAAACCCCATCTCCATTAGAAATACAAAAAAATTAGCTGGGAGTGGTGGCACGTGCCCTTAGTCCCAGCTACTCGGGAAGCTGAGGCAGGAGAATCATTTGAACCCGGGAGGCAGAGGTTGCAGTGAGCTGAAATCGTGCCACTGCACTCCAGCTTGGGCGACAGAGCAAGACTCCATCTCAAAAAAAAAAAAAATTAGTAAAAGAAGAGCAAACTAAACCCAAGGCAAGTAGTAAGAAGGAAATAATAAAGATAGAGTGGAAATAAATGGAATAGAAAACAGTAGAGAAAATCAGTGAAACCAGGAGTTGGTTCATTGAAAAGATCAACAAAATTGATAAGGACTTAGAGAAACTGACCAAAAAGAAAAAAAAAAAAAGGAGAGAAGAATCAAATTACTAAAATCAGGGGAGAAAGACTTTATATTGATTAAAAGGATGACAAGGGAATACTTTGTACACTAAACAAATTAGATAACCTAGAAGAAATGGACAAATTCTTTTTTTTTTTTTTTTGAGACGGGGTCTCGCTCTGTCCCCCAGGCTGGAGTGCAGTGGTGCGATCTCGGCTCACTGCAAGCTCCGCCTCCCGGGTTCACGCGATTCTCCTGCCTCAGCCTCCCGAGTAGCTGGGACTACAGGTGCCCGCCACCACGCCCAGCTAATTTTTTGTATTTTTAGTAGAGACGGGGTTTCACCGTGTTACCCGGGATGGTCTCGATCTCCTGACCTCATGATCCACCTTCCTCGGCCTCCCAAAGTGCTGGGATTATAGGCATGAGCCACCGTGCCTGGTGAAATGGACAAATTCTTAGCAAAATAAAGCAGACTAAAGATTAGAAAATCTGGATGGACCTATAACAAGTAAAGATTGCAGCAGTATTAGTAATAATAATAATAAACTTTCCCACAGAGGAAAACCCAGGTGGCTTTACTGGTGAATTATTTCAAACAAAGAATTAACAGCAATCCTTCACAAAGACTCCAAAAATAAAAGAGGAAAGAATGCATCCTAACATGCTATGAGGCCAGGGTTACCTTAATACCACCCAGGCAAAGACATTCGAGAAAAGAACACTACAGACCAGTATTGCTTATAAGCACAGACACAAAAATCCTCATTAAAATATTAGCAAACCAAATCCAACAGCATATTTAAATTTAAATGGTTCTATACCATCATCAAGCGGGGTTTGTCATATGAAAGTTAATCAGTGCGATACAACACATTAATAGAATGAAGGGGAAATAAGACACACTCATCTCAGTGGAGACAGAAAAAGCATTTGACAGATTTCAACATCCTTCTAGGATATTAACAAAAAACACTTAACCAATTAGGAACAGAAGGGAACTTCCTCAACCTGACGAGGGCATTTATGAGAAACCCACGGCCTTCCTCCTCAGATCAGGAACAAACAAGGATGACTGCTTTTGCTACTTCTATTCAACATTGTTCTGGAAGTAGCCGGCAATATGTAAGAAAAGAAATAAAATGCATATAAATTTGAAAGGAAGAGGTAAAGCTGTTTCTATTCCAGATGACATGATCCTTATATAAAAATCTTGAAGAGTGCACACACACACGGAGCTAATAAGTGAATTCAGGAAAGTTGAAGGATACAAGATCAACACACAAAAATCAGTTTTATTTTTATACACTAGCAATGGACAATCCAAAAAGGAAATTTAAAAAATAATTCTATTCACAAGTGTCAAAATAATAAAATACCTAGAATAATATTTACCGTAGGTGACAGACTTGTATGCTGAAAACTAGAAAACATTGCTGAAAGAAATGGAAGAAGACCTAGAAAAATGGAAAGACATCCTATATTCATGGATCGGAAGACTAAATATTGTTAAGATGCCACTGCTACGTGACTTACAGATTCAATGCAATGCCTATTAAAATTTCGATGAGGCTGGGTGTGGTGGCTCACACCTGTAATCCCAGCACTTTGAGATGCTGAGGTGGGCAGATCGCCTGAGGTCAGGAGTTCGAGATCAGCCTGGCCAACACAGTGAAACCTGGTCTCTGCTAAAAATACAAAAATTAGCCGAGCGTGGTGGTGGGTGCCTGTAATCCCAGCTACTAGGGAGGCTGAGGCAGGAGAATCGCTTGAACCTGGGAGGCGAGGCTGCAGTGAGCTGAGATTGCCCCACTGCACTCCAGCCTGGGCAACAGAATGAGACTCTGTCTCAAAAAAAAAAAAAAAAAATTTCATTGGACTTTTTCCCCAGAAATGGAAAAGCCAATCTTAAAATTCATATGGAATTGTGGAATTGTAAGGGGCCCCTGAATAGCCAAAATAATCTTGAAAAAGAACAATATTGAAAGACTCACATATCCCAATTTCAGGACTTACTACAAAGCTACAGCAATCAAAACCATGTGGTACTGGCATAAAGACAGACATATACACTAATGGAATGGAACTGAGAGTCCAAAAATAAACACTTGCAGCTCTGGTCAATTGGTTTTTGATACTATGCCAGGACCATTCCATGGGGGAAAGAATAGTCTCTTCAACAAATGGTGCTGGGATAACTGGATAGCCACATGCAAGAGAATGCTGTTGGATCCCTAACTCACACCATACACAAAAATTAACTGAAAATGGATCCAAGACCTAAATATAAGAGCTAAAACTATACCATTTTAGAAAGAAACATAAGTGTAATTTTCACTCTGCTGGATTTGGCAATTTTTTTTTTTTTTTGAGATGGAGTCTTGCTCCATCACCCAGGTTGGAGTGCAGCAGTGCGATCTCCACTCACTGCAACCTCTGCCTCCCGGGTTCAAGTGATTCGCTTGCCTCAGCATCTTGAGTAGCTGGGACTACAGGTGCACGCCACCACACCCAGCTAATTTTTGTATTTTTAGTAGAGATGGGGTTTCTCCACATTGGCCAGGCTGGTCTCAAACTCCTGACCTCAGGTGATCCACCTTCCTCAGCCTCCCAAAGTGCAATGGATTTTTATTTTTTTGTTTTTTGAGATGGAGTCTTGCTCTGTTGCCCAGGCTAGAGTGCAGTGGCACGATCTTGGCTCACAGCTACCTCCACCTCCCGGGTTCAAGCAATTCTTCTTTCTCAGCCTCCCAAGTAGCTGGGACTACAAGCACCCACCACCACGCCTGGCTAATTTTCATATTTTTAGTAGAGATGGGGTTTCACCATATTGGTCAGGCTGGTCTTGAACTCCTGACCTCAGGTGATCTAACAACCATGGCCTCCCAAAGTGCTGGGATTACAGGCGTGAGTCACCGCACCTGGCACAATGGATTTTTAGATATGATACTAAAAGCATGAGTAACCAAAGGAAAAAAATGGATAAACTGGATTTCATCAAAACTAAAAGCTTTTGTGGTCAAAGGACATTATCAAGAAAGTGAAAAGACAGCCACAATATTCCAGAAAAATATTGGCAAATCATATGTCTGATAAAGGCCTAGTGTTTAGAATATGTAAAGAACTTTTGGCCGGGCGCGGTGGCTCACACCTATAATCCCAGCACTTTGGGAGGCCGAGGCGGGCAGATCACGAGGTCAGGAGATCGAGACCATCCTGGCTAACACGGTGAAACCCTGTCTCTACTAAAAATACAAAGAATTAGCCGGGCGTGGTGGCGGGCGCCTGTAGTCCCAGCTACTCGGGAGGCTGAGGCAGGAGAATGGCGTGAACCCGGGAGGCGGAGCTTGCAGTGAGCCGAGAATCACATCACTGCACTCCAGCCTGGACGACAGAGCGAGCCTCTGTCTCAAAAAAAAAAAAACAAAAAACAAACAAAAAAAACTTTCACAACTGGATGGTAAAGAACAGCCACAGCGTTTGAATAGACATTTCTCTAAAGAATATACATAGCTGGCCAGTGAACACATGAAGTTATTTGTCATTAGCAAAATGGAAATCAAACCCACAATGAGATATCCCTGCACACCGACCAGATGGTGATTCTTTAATAAAGAAAGGAAAATAACAAGTGTTGGCGAGATCTGGAGAAACTGGAAAAGTGATTCCTGGTTCCTCAGAAAGTTAAGTGTGTCACCCTGTGACCCACGACTCCATTCCTGGGTATTTTCCCAGGAGCACTGAAAATATATATTCATACAAACATTTTTGTGTGAATATTTATAGCAACATTATTCATAACAGCTCAATAATAAAACTGTGTCCACCAGCTGATGGCAAAATATGGTCCATCCATATGACGGAACGTTGTATGAAAGGGATACATGGCTGGGTGCAGTGGCTCACGCCTGTAATCCCAGCACTTTGGGAGGCTGAGGCGGGCGGGTCACCTGAGGTCAGGAGTTTGAGACCAGCCTGGCCAACACGGCAAAACCCCATCTCTACTAAAAATACAAAAATTAGCCGCGCGTGGTGGCGGGCACTTGTAGTTGCAGCTACTTGGGAGGCTGAGGCAGGAGAATTGCTTGAACCCAGGAGGTGGAGGTTGCAGTGAGCTGAGATTGTGCCACTGTACTCCAGCCTGGGCAACAGAGTGAGACTCTGTCTCAAAAAAAAAAAAAAGAAAAGAAAAGGATACGTGAACTACGTGGATGAACCCTGAAAACACCACGGTAAGAGAAAGGAGACAGGAGAGAGAGAGAAGGTCCATCAGCGGTGACCAGGAATGGCCGGCAATGTAGCTGTGATGGCTCGTTAGTAGTGTTTCTTTTTTGAGGTGATGAAATGTTCTGGAATTGGTGGTGATAATTGCACAACTTTTGAAATACTAAAAGCCACTGAACTGCACACTTTAAGATCGTGAATTTTATGTTCTGTGAATTATCGCAATTAAGAGAGAGTTTGGGAGATGTGAGGAAAGTAACTGGAGGCTCCTCTGAGCGCTGCCGTCCCAGCCACAGTGACACACGCCTGTGGGTGAGGAAGGACCATCCCTGGCTGCTGCTTCCGGGGCCTGGCCGGGGTGACCAAGACAGATAAAAGTCCTTCGGCCAAGCCCCGTTTTTATCCCAGTTTCACACCGCGCTGCTCAAGGGCCTTTGCTGCTAGGGCTGTTTGAAGTACCCCACAGGTACCCCCACAGAAAGGAACCCTGCAAAATTAGGACACTCCACCGCACATGGCCCTTAGCTAGGGAGAGTCCGGGCCTGCACGGGCAGCTGCTGCTGCTCCAGGACACCTGGCCCGGGGGCTGCTGTTGGCCCTGCCTGCCAAGTGGAGGATCTGAAAGGAACAAAGACTCTTCACATGGTGGCTGTCACTGAAGCCGAGCTGTCCCCTGACCCTACGGCGAGGCTGCCCGCGGGACTCGTGCCGACAGACCCCCGACTGGGCTTTCCGTCCGGGCCTTTGCTGGCTGCTGGGGACAGGCACTGCCAGCTAAGTGAGCAGAGACGCTGGAAGGGTTTGGTTCCACACGGTCAGGTCACACTTCAGCGCAGCCGCCCACGCACGCCACGGACATCTGTGTGCCTGGTGCCCAGCCTGACCACACACCCCCGCCCCGAGGGATCTCACTCCCAGACTGGAGGGCACAGTGGACGCACCTTGAGGGTGGTGAAGACCCAGTCCTTGGCGAGGCCCCGGGCCTTCCAGAACGTGTCACTGATGTAGCGGTTGAGGTGTTCCATGCTCCACACCGTGTGCTCCTTCAGCAGCATGTACAGAGGGCTCTTCTTCTGCATGAACTGGGGGCACACGGTGCCTGGAGACTGGCTCCCAGACTGTCCGGAGGGCCTGTCCTCACGGGGGTCCCCAAGAGAACATCCCCCTAACCTAGAAGGCTTCTGCATGAACTGGGGGCACACGGTGCCTGGAGACTGGCTCCCAGACTGTCCGGAGGGCCTGTCCTCACGGGGGTCCCCAAGAGAACATCCCCCTAACCTAGAAGGCTTCTGCATGAACTGGGGGCACACGGTGCCTGGAGACTGGCTCCCAGACTGTCCGGAGGGCCTGTCCTCACGGGGGTCCCCAAGAGAACATCCCCCTAACCTAGAAGGCCTGTTCTCTGGGGGTCCCTGAGACAGCCGCCCCTAACCTTGCTCCCCCGGCCCCACCCTGACCTGCCTGCAAAGACCCTCCCACAAAAACCTTCATCCGCTGAGACCCCCCTTCAGCCGTGAGGACCCCACAGATCTTCTCAGAAGGTCCCTACCCTGGACTCTCCCATGAAGACCCGTCCCCAGAAATCTCTGCCCACAGGGCCCCTCCTCTGACAGCCTCAGAATCCCCTCGGTTCCGACGCCCACCCGCACCCCATCCTCAGAAAACTCAGCTGCGGCTTGGGAGCCAGGCTGCACGCTGAGGGCTACAGGGCTCTGAGCCCTTTCACCAGCTAACGGGGTCCCTGCCACGCCCTTCTTCTGACGTGGCCAAAAGCGGGAGGTGAGAGGCAGTGCTCACTGCCAGCGGGGGCAGCCCAGGCTACTTCCAGGCCTGAGACACCTCCCGGCCTGGGCCACCTCCTTCTGTAGCTGCACCCCCTCTGCACCCCCTAGCAGTGAGAACCTCCTTCTAATCTCATCCCAAGGCTGCAGGGAGGGCCCTCACCCATGGCAGACTCACCTGGTTGGTCAAGTGGCCGCCGAGGTCGCTGGAATGGGGGTCGTAAAGGCTAAGGGTGAGGCGAGCATAGCCGTGGCCAAAGAAGATCATGTAGGGTGTGGTGCAGGCAATGAGCAGGTAGGAGCGCACGTCAAACTTTCTCCCGTCCACCAGCAGCGGGTTCTGGATGTACCTGGGGGCACCATGTCGGGGCTGCTGGGCTGAGCCACGGGGCCAGCCTGGCCTGCATCCCCTCACACCCCACCCCGGGCCTGTTCCATTTCCTCAGCGCCCCGCCTCTGTCCCAGGTGTGACCTCCAGGGAAAGGGGGCATTTCTGGGCCTGAATATGTCAGGGGAATTGGGAGGAAAGGCCTGGCACCCTGATGGGTGCTCCAGGGCATAACCGCAGTAGGAGCCTGGAGGGCTGCCTGGAGGAGGAGGGCATGAAGGTGGCTTTGGAGAGGAAGGGAAGGAGCGCGCCAGGCGGGCGCTAGGCAGAGGGAGCACAGCAGGCAGAGGGGGTGCGCCAGGCGGAGAGCTCGCCAGGTGGAGGGACGCGAGGGAGGAGCCGATGGAAGCTGGGGACGGCAGACGGCAGCTGTGGTCAGAGTGAGGCTCTACGAGGGCCGGGGGTGAGGTCGACAGGTCTAAACCTTCAGCCTCGTGCAGCCACGGGGCTTTCTGGAGGAAGCCTTCCCACTCAGGGAAGGAGTGGTCAGCTTGGCCATAGGCCTGAAGGCTGCAGCTGGCTGGCTGGGCCGGGGAGTAGGGGGGCTGGCAGCCGGGAGGCCACCCAGGCCAGGCCACCTGCAGGACAGAGGGGGCCCCAGCTGAAGGACAAACTGACTAACCCCTCAACCCTGGATCCTGTGTCTGTGACCCCGGCCTGGTGTGACCCCTCCCCTCTGCTGGCTACACGGGGGCCCGGCTGTGGTCTGCACAGGGGCTGGTGGTGCGGCTGCTTTCCACGACCAAGGGCTCCTCGGCGGCCCTGCTGACTGCACCAGTGGGGCCCGGGTCAGCCAGCCCAGACCCTCACCCCTCCGGGCACCCGCCGCCGCACCTCTGCACCACCCGCGCCTGAGGCCCCCGGAACGGCGTCTTGTGGTGGATGGGGTCGTCCTCCATGCTCCGGGTCTTGGCCTGCAGGGCGGCAACTTCCTCCTGGTTCCGGAGCAGGAAGATGCCTTTGCCCTGGTTGGAGGCTGTGGGCTTGCAGATCCATATCTGGGTTTCTGCAGAGAGCGCGGCCTGAGCCCCTGGCCTCGCCCCCAACCCAGCCACGCCCCTCCTAGGGCCCGACCAGGACCCTCCCCTCCAGGCTGCGACCCTCGGCCCGGCCATTCCAACCTTGGCCCTGCGCTAACCACACGCCTGGCCCCAGCTCCTGCCCGTGCCTCGACCACGCTCACCCGGACCAAGCTCCAGCCCTGGCCCCAGTGCCCTCATACCCCAACCTCCACGAAGGCCAGACCCTCCCCTTTCCAACTCCTCAGTCCCCACCCAGACCAGGCCCAGCCCTGGCCCCTTCCTGACCACCTCGTCTCGTCCCAGCCCCACGCAGCCCCTCCAGACCCAGCCCTGCCCTCATCAGCCCCCGCCTTGGTCCAGCCCTCACCCTGTCTCCCCAGGGCCAGCCTGGTGTCCGGCCAGCAGCGTCTCACCATCAAACAAGGTGAAAAAGGCCTCTCTCTCGTGTTTGAGGTCCAGGCGGTAGGTCTCTGGGAAAAACTCTTCCATTCTCAGGACCCTGCAGGGCAGGGAGGCAGGAGGATGAGCTGCTGTCCCTTCGCCCCTGGCTGGGTGGGCGGTTTGAGGCCCAGCCTGTGGCCCGGCGGGAGGGAGTGTGGGCAGTGGCACCTGGCGCCCGCGGCCGTTCTCCTTGTGGGGACTTTGCGTTTCCTGCCCCTTTGCAGCACCCCCCCAACGGGCTGTGCTGCTGGCTGCATCCTTCTGGCCGCTGACCCCCACCCGGGCCCCTCCCGCTGGCTGCTTTTTCCCTCATGGTTGCTCTCCCGGCTGGCACCGTCTCAGCCATTTGTGAGCCACCACCTCATGGCAGTGTCCTCACGGCTGGGATGGGCGGAGAGCGTGGCCTGAGCCCCTGGCCCTGCCCCAGCTCTGTGTGCACTGGGGGGTCAGCGTGGATCTCGGCCTGGCCTGGCTGAACCTCTGACTCTAGCTCGTGGTTTTCCTTTGTGTGGGACCCCCGCCCCGCTTTCTCCTTTTCAGACGACACCAGGTTTAGGTCTGAACTTCGGTCTGAAGGGCCCCTCACAGCTGGGCTGAGTCTACCTCTGTGGCCTGAGGTATCCTGGGCTTGTCCACGGGAGGTCCTCCAGGGCGGGCGCTGCTGCGTCCTTTTCCAGCCTGCAGCCCAGGGGACAGAGGGCCTGGACTGAGGGGCCAGCTCATGGTGCTTGGAGCGGGTGGGGACTGGGGGATGGGGCATGGGTGGTGAGTGGGCGGACTGTGAGTTGTGGTGGAAGGAGGTGGCTGGGTGGACGGCGGTGCCTGGGGGAAACAGCTGTGTTGCTCTAGGCTGGAAGTGGACGCTGGACATGGTGTAAAGCTGGTGTCACAGGCAACCAGGGGCGGGGGGTGCAGATGGAGGCAGCTGCGGTTGGCTGGGCGGGTGCTTGGTGCAAAAATGTCTGGGCCAAATGAAGTGAGGAGGGATAGGTGGGTCCATAGAAGGGCAGTGGGCAGGGCTGGGAGCAGGAGGACGAAGTCGCTAGGATGGATGGCCCAGACTTGGGTGAGCGATGGACGGCCTCACTCAGGGCACCCACAGGTGACGGTGGGCACGGTGTGGGATTGTGGATGGATTGGATGGATGTTTGGGGTGAAGGCAGATTGACAGGTGGGTTGTACCTGGGTGGGTCTGTGAGATGGACAGGTGGGTGGGTGTCAGGCCCAGTGGGTTGGGGACGTGTGGGATCTTCCCCGTTCAGCCACGAGGAAGAGGGTGGGTTTATGGGACAGGGGTTTGGCCCTTTAAAGGACAGGTGGAAGGTGGAGGCAGGTGCTGACGGGTGGGGGCTGGGGCCAGCCTGGGAGCCCAGGTGGCCAGGGGCAGGGGCAAGGGCAGGGGCAGGGGCTGGAGCCAGCCTGGGAGCCTGGGTGGCCAGGGGCAGGGGCAAGGGCAGGGGCGGGCGCAGGGGCAGGGGTGGGGCGGGTGCAGGGGCAGGGGCAGGGGCAGGCGTAGGGGCGGGCGCAGGGACGGGGGCAGGGGCAGGGGCAGACTCACCTGGCCTGGACCCCCCCCGGCACCTTGCTGGCCTTGCTCATGGCCCGTGCCCGTCCCCGAAGGGTGCTGAGCAGCCCGATCTTGGTGGTGAGGAGCTTGTTGTTGGGAAGCTGGTACAGCAGCTGCTCTCCTGGAGGTCAGAGGCCAGGGCTCGTGTGGAGGGAGCGCAGGACCTCGGTCCCCACCCCTCCAACCTGCCCTGTGCTCCGGCCCAGGAGGCCCCTGCAGGCTGCCCGCCTCTGGTGCCGGCTCCCGCTACCTTCCCGGAAGCTGCCGTAGCTGTCTCGGCTCTTGACCTCACACCACTTCAGCGTGTAGTCGTCCCGGCGGCTGTCATGGATGCGCTGCCAGCCCTTGCTTTTGCAGTAGGAGCTGATGCTGCGAGGGGTGGGGGCGGGGGTGACCTGGGGGCCGAGGCAAGGGGTTGGGGATGGCGGGCGGCCAGCGGAGGCCGGGCTGGGCCCCGGGAGCAGGCGGTGGGTATTCAGTGGGACCACGGGCGCCCAGGGCCGCTACTCACATTGTGGCCCCGTTGCTGCCTCCAATGTAGAAGAAGGGCCCCGGCCGGGTGCTGTGGGGCGATGGCTTCCCACCCCCCAGCAGGAGCCCCTCCAGGAGGGCAGCTGAGGGCCCGGCGGCGTTAGTGTCATCCGAGTCTGCAGGCCGGTGGCTGTTCAGGAGCCCAGGGGGTCCGGGTGTGGCAGAGGCTCTTTCTGCCCCCTCCAGGTCCGGCCCACAGTGTCCATCTGCGTCGTGGTCTGGCTGGCTTGGCTGACACCGGAGTCCCTCCTCCTGGCTGCTCCCCATTGGCCTCTCGTGGGCCGGGCCTGTGAACGGGGTGGGGTCCCACCGGGGTGGCTACGGGAGCTGCCCACTCAGCCCGGACATGGCTCAGCCAGTTTGCTCCCAGCCCATTTCTCCAATACCCTGGACAATCCCCCTGGCCCGTCTGGGGCTCAAGTTCAGCCCGAGCTCTGGCCCCACCAGGCGGCCTGGGGACTGCTTACATCTGGGGAGGGGCCGTGACCACCCTCCAGGGCCAGGCTTCCTGCCGGCAGGTTCCAGGTGGGGGTGGGGAGCTTGGAGCAGGGGGCAGGGAGGTCGCCCCTCCGACCCTCCTCACCAACAGGGCAGTGGCCTGGTGCAGGGCAGGGGCCGGGCTGTGAGGCCGGTGCTGGGTGCAGACGTGACGCAGGGATGGTCCCTGGAGGGCAGGGGTCACAATGTCCATGATGATGTCATGGGTGACCCAAGGGGCCATTGTCAGGCCGGGAGACGAGGGGCTGCCCTTCCAGGGGTGGTGCCAGCCAGGCGGAACCCTGGGCCGCGGAGCGCGACAGCTCCCCTCTGTGCCTGCAGAGCCCGGCGCCCACAGCTGGCCCCTCTCTCGGAGCAGCGGGGCATGGCCATGTGTGGATCCTGCCCCTGCCCCATGAGGCCGACTGACTTCCTTGGGTATGGGGCACCCGTCCCAGGGAGGCCTTGGCCTTGGAGAGGTAGGAGGCCACCCAGGGCTGCTCTATTCACCTGAGACTCGAGCCCGAGGCCTCTGCTGGATCCTTGGCCTCTTGCCCCTCTTGAAGCCGGCTCGGGTCCGAGTGGGTGGTCCCCGGCGGTGGATGAACCGGGTGCAGCTGTGGTCCATTGGCCGGGGGGTGCCCGGGCGAGGGCCCTGAAGGGAAGATGCCGCTCTGACCCTCCTGTGGGACCTCCGCGCGGCCCGAGGCCCCAGTGCTTGGATGGAGCAGGCAGTCAGGCCCACCCTGCCCAGGAAAGGGCGCCTCCCAGGGCCGTGGGCTTGAGCCTCTGCGTGCGGCTGGCTCCCGTCTCTGTGGCAGCTGTGGGGCCTGGCGCCGTGTGGGGGCGAGGCTGTCTCTGCACCCTGTCTCTGCCGGGCATGTCCTCCCTGGCCGGAGCGGCTCTTCAGGTGTGGCTGAGCTCGGCCTGGGTGCCGGCTGGAAGGAGGGGCAGCGTCAGGCCTGCTGGGTGGGGCGCCTGCCTGAAGAATGGAGGGTGGGAGGGCTCCTTGGCCTGAGCAGGGGTCTTCTCTGTCTCCGCTGCTGACCCCGGAGCCCAGCTGTGGGCTGTGTGCAGCCGCCTGGTACCTGCCATCAGGGTTCCTCTGCGGCCGCCCCTGGGTGCCAGGCCCGACCCCCAGGACACTGTCTCCAGCAACACCTTCCCATGTTGCAACTTAGGAATTTTCAGCCAGTTCCTCGACAGATCTTTCTACCTCTGTCTCCAGCAAACAAACCCATCTTGGGGCTGCTTGGGAGGTGAGAACTTTTTTTTTTTTTTTGAGACGGAGCTTCATTCTTGTGGCCCAGGCTGGAGTGCAATGGGGCGATCTAGGCTCACTGCAACCTCTGCCTCCCAGGTTCAAGCGATTCTCCTGCCTCAGCCTCCCAGGTAGCTGGGACTACAGGCACCCACCACCATGCCCAGCTAACTTTTTGTATTTTTAGTAGAGATGGGTTTTCTCCATGTTGGTCAGGCTGGTCTCAAACTCCCGACCTCAGGTGATCCGCCTGCCTCGGCCTCTGAAAGTGCTGGGATAACAGGTGTGAGCCACTGTGCCCGGCTTAGGTGAGGGCTTTCAAGGGTTTGAAGGAACTCGCCCAGGAGACAGGGGAGCACACGGCAGTGTTGGGCAGAGGCTGTGGGGGCTCTGAGGCTGGAGAAGGCTGGGGTAGGCCTGAGGCTCCAGGCTGGGCACAGAGCTCGGCACCAATCTCACCCGCAGGAAGCCTTTGTGTCTGCCCCTCCCTGCCCCGCCTGAGTGACAGGAGGGAAGGAGACAACGAGGAAGCCCACGGGCAGGGGAAGGTGGGGAAACTGAGGCAGCCGTCTGCACGATGACCCAGTCGGGTGGGGCCACTGGGACCCGTCCTCAGGGAGGAGCGGAACACAGGCTGGGCCCCCCACCTGTGTCTGGGAGAGCCTCACGCCCTCTTCCTAGGGTGGGCTGGGCAAGAATGGAAGAAGTCAGGAGCCCTGAGACCCCTCCCCACCCAGAACAGGAGGACTTTTGGAAGAGGCTGGACCCTGCGCAGGCACGGAGCAGGTGTGTGCGTGCAAGACTCTGCATTAAATGGGAGACCTCAGCTCCTTCTCATGGGCCCTCAGCACCCAGGATTCCTGCTGGGGAAGGGGATCCTCTAAAGTACTGACTCTCAGCCAAAGGGGCTGCCCAGGCCCAACAGGCATCATCAGAGGGACTCCCAAGTGTGAAGAAGAGTGACACAAGGACAGCCGGGCGCGGAGGCTCACGCCTGTAATCCCAGCACTGTGGGAGGCTGAGGCGGGCAGATCATGAGGTCAGGAGATTGAGACCATCCTGGCTAATATGATGAAACCTTGTCTCTACTAAAAATGCAAAAAATTAGCCGGGCATGGTGTTGGGCGCCTGTAGTCCCAGCTCCTTGAGGGGCTGAGGCAGGAGAATAGCTTGAACCTGGGAGGTGGAGCTTGCAGTGAGCTGAGATCGTGCCACTGCACTCCAGCCTGGGCGACAGAGCGAGACTCCGTCTCAAAAAAAAAAAGAATGACACACAGACACATTTACACACACACACGCACAGACACACAGCTACACACAGACACACACAGACATGTCGACACTTGCACAGATGCACAGACACACCTACACACACAGACACATGGATGCACAGACACACCTACAGACATGCACACACACACCTATAAACATGCACAGACACACCTACAGACACCTACACACAGACACGTCTACACACACACGTACACACAGACACACACACAGACACCCACACACACACACAGACACCCACACACACAGACGCTGACACACACAGACACGCAGACATGTAGACACACAGACACACAGACGCACACAGAGGAAGAGAAAAGGGGAGAAACAGGGAAACAAACCAGCCTGGAAAAGGCTGGGGTGATGGAGACAGGACCCCTCAGAGAGCCGCGTGCTTTTAAAGCAAAGGCACAGAGAATACAAAAGAGCCGGTGGGAATTAAAAATGCAACACCGGGGTTGGGATTTAAGTCAAGGAAACTGCCCAGAAGGGAACCCTGGGGATGGGACTGTGGGTGTAAATCCGAGGTGCCGCACAGCAGGGTCACCGTGGAGCCCCAGGCGAGAGGGGAGGCCCGGGGAGATACAGGCACAGAGCCGGAGGAAGGAGGTGTGGTCCTGGCCAGCCCTGGGTGCCCACCGAGGCCACTAGCAGCCCTCCAGCCTTCCTGGGGACACACAGGGCTGGAACCGGCCCAGGAGGCTCCCAGCCGGGAATTCCAGGAATTCCATACCTGGCCTACCAGGTGTGGAGGTGGGAAAAGGTGTGGAGGTGGGAAAAGGTGAGGAGACATCCGTCCCTCCGGGAAGCCTGGAAGACTCTCACAGGAGTGAGCTGTCAGGGAAAAGATGCAGCAGCTGTGAGCTTGCAGCTGACCTGATGACTGTGTGCCCCAGCCTCTCCAGCTGTACAGCGTCAGCCTCTCTCCAGCTGCACAGCGTCAGCCTCTCTCCACCTGCACAGTGTCAGCCTCTCTCCACCTGCACAGCGGCTGGGAGCAGCAGCCTCTCCACCTGCACAGCGTCAGCCTCTCTCCACCTGCACAGCGTCAGCCTCTCTCCACCTGCACAGCGGCTGGGAGCAGCAGCCTCTCCACCGGCACAGCGGCAGCCTCTCTCCACCTGCACAGCGTCAGCCTCTCTCCACCTGCACAGCGTCAGCCTCTCTCCACCTGCACAGCGGCTGGGAGCAGCAGTCTCTCCACCTGCACAGCGGCAGCCTCTCTCCACCTGCACAGCGTCAGCCTCTCCACCTGCACAGCGTCAGCCTCTCTCCACCTGCACAGTGGCTGGGAGCAGCAGCCTCTCCACCTGCACAGCGTCAGCCTCTTTCCACCTGCACAGCGTCAGCCTCTCTCCACCTGCACAGCGGCTGGGAGCAGCAGCCTCTCCACCGGCACAGCGGCAGCCTCTCTCCACCTGCACGGCAGCAGCCTCTCCACCGGCACAGCGGCAGCCTCTCTCCACCTGCACGGTGGCAGCCTCTCTCCACCTGCACAGCGGCTGGGAGCAGCAGCCTCTCCACCTGCACAACAGCAGCCTCTCTCCACCTGCACAGCAGCTGGGAGCAGCAGCCTCGCAGGGTTGCTGCAAAGATGGAGTTTCCACATGTAATGTCAGGACAGCACCCGCCACACACTGCGCAGTCTGCAGGGCTGTGGTGATGGTGACTGTGGGGGTGACGGGAGGCAGAGAGCTCAGGGACAGCTCAGGATAGGCGGGAACACAAGCACATGTGAAAAGCAAGGCGATCGCCAACTCTGAGGAAAACAAATGGGCACCACCCGGGGAGGCCGGGCAGCTCTGCCCCAAACATCATTCGTGCCGGGATGATATGGACAGGGCAGCGTGTGGAAGACAAGCCCCTTTCACCGTCCACGGGGAATTTCTGCACTGGAAGCTCCAGAAGCAGCAGCATCAGGTGCTTTTTGGAAACAGGCAGTTAGAAAGCGGAAGCACAGCACCCACCCCCCCACCCAGGAAACTGCCTCCGTCTCTTCTGCTGCAGAAGAAGCAGCAGCTGGAAGAGGCAGCCAGGTGCTGATTTCATCGTAAGCCTGAGGCCTCCTTTGGGCTTTTCTAACTTTATGTCCTTATGATGTTCACAAATAACTAAATAAGTTGTGAGCTGTTATTTCTTGTCATTGAAATTAAAGGTGTTTTTTTTTTTAATTTTTTTAGACGAAGTCTCACTCTGTCGCCCAGGCTGGAGTGCAATGGCGCAATCGCGGCTCACTGTAACCTCCGCCTCCCAGGTTCAAACAATTCTCCCGCCTCAGCCTCCTGAGTAGCTGGGATTACAGGCGCCTGCTGCCATGCCCGGCTAATTTTTGTATTTTTAGTAGAGACAGGGTTTCTCCATGTTGACCAGGCTGGTCTCAAACTCCTGACCTCGTGATCCGCCCACCTCGGCCTCCCAAAGTGCTGGGATTACAGGCGTGAGCCACCGCCCCGGACTGAAATCAAAGGTTTCTTAAGCAGCTGCCCGCTGTGTGTGTGGTGAACCCGGGGCCTGAATGCAGGTGGGACGCAGCCTCCCAAGCGCCGGGAGCCGCTGGCTCCTCACGCCTGTCGATCTAGCAAATGTGCTTTGGAGTCTCTGACGGACGCGATTCTGAATCCAGAAGGAAAGCGTCTCACTCCGAGATGCTGACTGACGTGTCCTTTATAGCGGTGGGACTTGGGAAGCCGGTGACGCCCGGTGTGGAGGACGGTTGTGACGCCCCTCGGTGGGGACACGGTGTAAAGGCGGCGTGGAAACTTGGTGCACGACCTTACAATAAATTGTAAAATAAGCGTTTTACCTGGTGAGATGAAAAGACCGGCAGGAGACGGCACCCCGGTAGGATGAACAGAAGAGACTTTTAAACCTGAAGAAATCATCCAAAAAGCGACCACATGTTAGTGTCCTGCTGCGAGTTCTCCCCCCAGAATCCAAGCTTGGCCACGTGGGGCCCTAGGAAGGTACTGACATTGTTCGAAGAGCTGGTGCCTCCCGGCCGGAGGCCGCTGTCAAAGGACGCACGACCTGTGGGCTCAAGCAGCCGTCCGTCCAGGACTTGCTCTGCGGAGGCAGACCTGGTCCCAGGCCACGGAGCTCGTCCCAGGGCTGCCCAGCCCTCCCACCCCACCGGGTACACACACCGTTCCCCGGCCTGGCCTGGACCCGAGCCTCTCGCACGGTGGCGCTGGGGTCCGGGACCCGCAGAGCAGGCTCAGCCTGGCCCCACCCTACCCGATCCCTGTCCAGTCCCCTCCCCAGCCTCCTCCTCTCCTGAGCAGCCTCCCGAGGGGACCCGCAGGCAGGGCGTAGGAGGGCGGGGCCGAGCCCACTGGACCCCAGCTGGTGGCCGCCGGCGCTTCTTACCTGCCCAGCCCACAAGGTCCTGGGAGCCTGGGCCAGGAAACAACAGTGGTGACCTGGCAACCGTCTCCTGGCAACCCCCACCCAGCCGGAACCCAGAGGTGAGCTTGGGTTTTCGGAGGATGGGGAGGGGCTGCTGAGTGGCGGGGCCAGCCCGGGAAGCCGGGCTGAGGGCTGAGGCTGGAGAAGGGCACAGCTTCATGGGCACAGCTGCCTCCCAGTCACTGCTGGGACTGCCTGAGCCTGAGCCCCAGTTGCTGCCCCTCCGCCCGGCCCTCCCAGGATGGTCCCTGAGCCGTCTCTCAGGCCCCACCCATGCTCAGCACCCCAGGACCTGGCCCGGGCCAGGCTCTGCGTGCACCCTGGTGATGTTGGCTGGATACACGGCTGCCGATCCCTGAGCATTCTCTGTGCTTCACGTGGTCGGGTCCCTGTTCTCACTCCACAGCGGACGAGGTGCCACTGTGCCCCCCTCTGCAAACAGGAACCGGGGGCTCCACAAAGTGAGTGCCCCCCAGAGGGGGACTCACATCTATCGGTCCAAACTGCACCTTTCTGTAAGCCCCTCGCTGTGTCACAGACCTCGGCCAAAGTGAAGCATTCCGCAGGGGTTTGGGCCGTGAGGAACAGCCTGCCCGACACCTGACTTGAACACTCTGCGGGGAAAAACACCGAGGAACATCACGATTACCTTCTGCGGGAACAAGGGCCAAACAAACGGCCTCATCCTGAAGCCGTGTGGCCCGGGCCGCTCCCACCCATACCTATAGGCACCCCAGCCCGTAGGCGGCAGTGGGCTCTGGCATCCAGCTGGTCCCCCACCTCTGCAGGTGTTTGCAATGTACCCGTGTTGATGTAAGGCTGCCCTTTCTCCATCTCTGTGTGTCTTTGTTTAACCCTCACATTCTCTCTTTTTTTTTTTTCAAAATACGGAGTCTCACTCTTTTGCCCAGGCTGGAGTGCAATGGTACGGTCTCGGCTCACTGCAACCTCCGCCTCCCAGGATCAAGCAATTCTCCTGCCTCAGCCTCCCGAGTAGCTGGGATTACAGGTGCCCACCACAGTGCCCAGCTAATTTTTGTATTTTTAATATTAATTTTATTTTTTATTTTTATTTTGTTTTATATTTTATATATTTATTATTTTATATATTATTTTCTATATTATTATAATTATTTTATTATTAATTTATTATTAATTTTAGAGGGTTTCATCATGTTGGCCAGGCTGCTCTTGAACTCCTGACCTCAGGTGATCCGCCCGCCTCGGCCTCCCAAAGTGCTGGGATTACAGGCGTGAGTCACTGCGCCTGGCCTGCCCTCGCCTTCTCTTTAAAACACCTAATGATACGAGGTCTGGGAGTCCTGGGCTCCTGGCATGACCCATGGCACGGTCTGATCCCCTCTGCCTCAAACTCTGAGCCTCCAGCCACGTGTCCCCTACCCATCCGTGTCCTTCAGAGCTTTGCGTGGGTCACGAGGGCCTCTGTGCTTAGGGTCCCCTTGCAGGGGGCTGGTGGTGCCCCCAAAAGACAACCACATCATAGCCCTGAAACCTCGAATGTGACCTTATTTAGAAGAAGGGGCTTTGCAGGTGGGGTTACGTCAGGATCTCTAGTGACATCACCCAGGGCAGGCCCTGAATCAATGGCCTCTGCCCCCCTGAGAGGGAGGTGGAGAGAGGAGACGCAGACGTGGGGGAGACGCCGTGGGACTGGGGGGCAGAGATGGGTGACACGGCCACAGCCACTGATGCCTGAGCTGGCAGGGGCTGGGGAGGCAGACAGGGTCCTCTCCTGGAGCCCCCAGAGGGGTGCAGCCCTGCCTGCCCTGTGGCTTTGGAGTTCTGGCCTCCAGATGCGGGCGTAAGCGTCTGTTGTTGTGCCTGCCTGTGTGGTTTTTCAGCAGCCGGGAGGAGAAGCCACCCTTTCGAGAGTGTGGTGCCCGCTCCGGAGCCGCCTCCCCGACCCACGCCGGGGCGGCAGCCTGGGGGTTCCCCGCTCTGTGTCCCTGGGGCCTGAGCTGTGGGGGAAGAAGGGGCCCCGGCTGTCCCTGGGGAGTCCCTGGAAGGAAGAGAGAGCTCTCGGAAGCGGGGCGGTGGGGGGCGTCTCCCACCGTCCTCCTGGTTCTGTCCAGCTGGGAACAGTGTCCTCGTCCCCTCCCCGCACTCCCACCTTGCGCCTGGTGCTCAAGCTTTGAGATGGTCCCGCTGGACCCTGGTGCGGAGCAGACCCAGGAGGCCCCTCTGCCCTCTGGGAGCCTCAGGTCAGGTGGCAGGTGGGGCTGGGGCAGGTCCTGGGCTGAGTGGCTGGGCCTTCGGGGAGCAGGGCCCACTTGGTGGGGGTGACGGGTGGGGGGTTCCTTCGGTGGCTGCTGTGGCTCTCCAGGCTGGGAGCAGCAGATCCGGGTTCGGAAGCTCTGACTCTGGGAAGGGGCCTACGTGTGTCCCCTCCTCCCTGAGGCTGAGGCAGGTGGCCTGACAGGAGCTGATGGGGATGGGAAGGACTCGCCCAGCTCCTCTCCA
This sequence comes from Homo sapiens, assembly GCF_000001405.40. NCBI lineage: Eukaryota > Metazoa > Chordata > Mammalia > Primates > Hominidae > Homo > Homo sapiens. Next base: position 1,171,406 of record NC_000001.11, on the reverse strand, counting down.
GAACTGGCCCTTCCGGGAACAGAGCAAGGCAGGGTCCTTGCCCCTGGGCTGGGAGGGAGAGCCCCGTGTTCATCTTTGTGGCGCACCGGCCTTTGGAGGATGTGATCTGGACACACACCTCGGAGGACGGGTTTCCTTGTGTGGGGGGAGAGGGGGTGCAGCGGGCAGGTCCCCCAACCCCTGCAGCCTCCCCTCCCTGGGGCCCCACACAGGCCTGAGGACTCCCCACCGCCCTCAGAAGCCCCCAGGCTCCCCAGCCAGGCACTACCTCGTCCCTCACAGCTTTCCTGAGTTCAAACTTGAAAACTCTGCCCCTTAATCCCAAAATCTGGGTGGTGTGGCAGCCACGGATACCTGTAGCCCCAGCAAGGTTCCTGCGCAGGGCAGGTGGGAGCAGGACCTTGGGCCGTGGGTGTGCCCGGCCCGCGTGTCCAGGTGGGTGCAGCCCCCAGGGCCAGGCAGAATGGGGGAGGCCTGGCACCTCTCGGGCAGTGGGTGGGGTCTCCAGGCAGGCCAGGCCCTGCCACTGGAAGGGAGGTGGCCCCTTTGCCACCAACCTGTGGCTGTCACCGGGGCAGGTGTGGCTGGACCAGGAAGCCCTCCTGGCTGGCGCCTGGCTGCCTCCATCCTGTCCGCAGCCCTCGCTCCTGCTGGCCGGCACCATACGCTCTTGGTCACCTGCTCAGAGAGGCCCCCCAGGGCCACCGGCTGCCCCCTCGGTAGCTCCCTTCAGCACAGGCTGAGGTGTCTCCACTCAGGGACTCCCCCTTCCCCCAGAACCTTGACCTGAGCTGACCACAGGAGAGTCAGGGAAGATTCCTGAGCAAAAGAAGGAGGGAGGGAGGGACGGAGAGAGGAGGAGGAGGGAGGAGGGGGAAGGAGGGATGGAGGAGAGGAAGGAGGAGGGGGAGGGAAAGAGGAGGGAAGGGAGGGAGGGAGCCTCTCCCAGGAACCTTGGGGGCCTCCGGGGCCGGATGCAGTGTCTGGGGTTCTGTCCTCAGCTGGGCCCTTTGCACGGCGGGGGTCTGTGCACGTGTGGTTAAAATAAGGAGCTGGTCCAAGCATGGGTGCGTGAACTGCAGACTTTATTACTATACAAAGACTTTTTTCTGTTTTGTTCCCGGTGCTTATGGAGAGGAGGAGGAGGAGGAGAAACCGCACAGGGAGGCTCTGGGTACGGCCCCGCCAGCCCCAGCAGGGTCCTTCCTGTCACACCCCGTGCAACGCAGCAGGCGCTGTGGAGAGTGAGCCCCACTGCAGTGTGGGGCGCAACTTCATCCGAGGGGTGCTTGGAGGGACTGGCCAGACGGGCACAGCGGTGAGGAGGTGCTGGGATGGGGAAGGTCCCCGAGCTCCGGGCGGTGTTGGATGAGCTCAGGCTCACAGGTGTGGCCCTGCCTGGCCCGAGCTCTCCAGGTGTGTCCAAACCTTGTGTTATATGCACCTTGCAGTCCAGGGCTCACCCGTGCGGTCTGGTGAGGTGGACGCCACATTCTGGGGGTGGCACTCCAAGTTCTTCCCCACACACGTCGCTCAGGCGGCAGCAGCATGGGGGTGGTTTCAGCTGGCCCTGCGGGGGACTGCCCCATCTCCCCAGGGAGGAAAGAGGGTCTGGAGATAGCCCCGGGTGGGGGAGGTCAACCTGCAGATCCCGGCTTGGGGACAGCTCCAGATGACACCTCGTGAGCCGCCTGGGGTGGAGGGGCCCCCAGTGCAGGGCTGCGTGGCCCCAAGCACCTGCCTTCCCTATCCCATGGTCTTGCAGCTGGGCACCGGCCCCGCCCGCCTCAGCCCCAGAGATGGGCCCTGGAGGGAGAGTGTGGTCTGCATCCCACGGCTGGCCCCTGGAGGAGGAGGGCCAGGGCTGGCCCCGGGAACCTCCCAGAGGTCTCTGCGTCCTGCTGCCTGGCCGCTGAGACGCTGTGACATTGTCCCTGCTGGGCATTTGTGCTCCTCCGTGCCCTGGGCTCAGGCACTTTGGGGGGCCCAGCTGCTTCTGTCTCAGCCTCCCCAGGTGGCGAGGGGGCTGGGGCTGTGGGGTGGGGCTCCGGGTATCTGTGACTGTGACCCCAGGGGCCAGGCTGATAGCACGGGGTCCACAGCATCTGCCCGGGGACTACAGCTCGAGGGCCCCAGGAGGCCGGGTGGGCACAGGCCATGGCGAGGGTGGGGCACAAGAGCCCCAGACCCCGGCGGCTTTGCACTGATGGGCTGCGGATGGGCACAGGCCATAGTGAGGGGGGCATGAGAGCCCCAGACCGGGCGGCTTTGCACTGATGAGCTGCAGGGCAGGCAGCTCTCTCCTCTAACGGTGATCAGGCAGCGGATGGACGGTTTTACCAGACAGTATTAGACAGAGGGCCAGGTCTAACCATGTCTGGTAAGACGCCCATCGGCCGGCGGTGGTGTGGGTGGCCTCCGGGTCCTGGGCTGGTGTCTGCGGGGCCTGTGAAGGGAAGGCCCCGGGGGCGGCTCCTGCCACCTCCTGCAGCTGCCCTGATCCCTCCTGGGTCTGCAGAACGAGCCCCCGAGGCACTTCCCTGACAGCCCCCATCCCAGCACCTGGTCCCAGCCCAGCCTGGCTGTGTGGGGGTACCCGGGAGCCACCTGGTCACCCAGGCCCTGCTCTTGGCAAAGGTTCCCTGCAGCCCCTCGCTGGCTTCCTGAAGCTCGGTCGGGTTAATGAGTAACAGTGAAGGGCAGCCTCTCCCCGGTGGCTGCCCCCTCCCCAGGCTGGGGCCTTGTGTGGGGGTGCGGTCCCAGGCGCCCTGGTTGCAGATGGAAAAGATGAAACAATGGGTCATCCTGGCCTGGTGGGTTTTGGACAAAGTTCCTGTTCTTGTTGACTGGGGGAAGGAATGAGACCCCTTGTCCCTCAGAGGGCAAGCGCAGAGCGTCCCCGCTCCCCTGCATGGTGGGGCTCGGGAATCTGAACCCACCTTGTCCTTCCTGCGCCCCCAGCAGACCCTCCACGGAGCCCGGACCACGTGAGAGAGGCCACTGTTGCTCTTCCCTCTCCAGCCCTGGCATCCCAGCCCTATGGCCTTTCCTGGAGCCAGGTCACCCTAAAACCCAGCCTGGGAGGTTGGGTGGGGGAGGCACAGCGGCTCCGGGAGGGGGAGCAGGATGCCCTCCAGGCCACCTGTGGAGGCACCAAGGGGTCCTCAAGGTGTCAGACCCAGCCTGGGCGTGAGTGACCCCGGGGGCACCCCCGGCAGAGGCCGGCCCCTCCCCTGGGGGCTGGACTTCGGAGCTGACACAGGCCCTCTGCCGCCCGCTCAGCCCTCCGCCCTCACCCGTCTGCTGGCCCCGCTCGGCCCTCCGCCCTCACCCGTCTGCTGGCCCCGCTCGGCCCTCCGCCCTCACCCGTCTGCTGGCCCCGCTCGGCCCTCCGCCCCAGCCCATCCCTGGAGTAGGAGCTCCGGATGTGCCTCGGTGGTGTCCCCGGCGAGCGGCGGGTCACCTTTGAACATCGTTACCAGACAGTGTTAGAGTCAAGCTGGGAAATCCAGCACTGTCCGGTAAGATGCTCACAGGGGCCCGGGAGGGACGTGGGGTCCCGCCAGGCAGGCAGGGGCTGCTGTGGAAGCCCAGGGAAGAACCGGAGCGGTGAGCAGCCAGGGGTGGTGCCGGGACCGGACAGGGCTGGCGGAGAGGGGCTTGGGGGCCCTGAGACTGCACACAGGCCCACCCTCCCTGCTTCCTCCAGGGCAAGGGGACCCTGGGGCTGCTGACCCGGGACCAAGGCGGGGGCACTGGTCTGCTCGGTGGCCGGCCCACCCTGTCCGGCAGGAGGGAAGATGGCTGTGGCCAAGCTGGGTGGGGCGGCTTCCTCTGGGTTCCACGTGGCTCCCGGTTGGGCCTTGCCCTCCTGAGCCCTCTGTTGGGTCCTGCTCGGCCCGCACCTGCTGGGTGTGACAGCAGCTCCCGCCCAGGCGCTGTGGGCAGGGCCCGGACACCTGAGCGTCCTAATCCCCAGATCACTGTGGGGCGCCCTGGGTGCAGCTGCAGGAGGCCTTGCATTCCGGGGTCTCTGAGATGCTGGTGGGGGGCGCCCCAGCCCCCTTCCGAAGGTCACGTCCCCCCGTCACTCTCCCCAGAGCCATCTGGCCCGGACGGGGTGGGGTCCGGTGAGCGGGCTGTGTGGGAGGGGAGTGTGGGGCTCGGCGGGAGGCCCTGGGGGCCGGGACGGGGTCGGCCGGTCGCTGCGTGCAGGGCTCCGCCGTCATCATTACCAGGCAGTATTAGAGACCTGACTCCATCCAATGCTGCCCAGTAAGATGGCCACGGCTGCCCGAGCTGGGTCCGGGGGCCGCCCGGCTGAGGGTTGCATGGGACTCGCTGGGAAGCTCAGTAGCTGGGGGGCCTCGTCCTCCTGGGGCACTGAGGACAGCATCGCCGGAGGGCAGGGGCCCGGGTGAGCCCCACCCGCCAGCCCTGCCGAGTCCAGCAGCCACCAGCTTTGGGTCCTGGGGTGGGCACCTGGGGGGCCGAAGTGTCCTGGCCAGACGGCCGAGGACTAGGTCGGAGTGGGGCTGACACGGGCCCTCTGCCCGCCCCGCTCGGCCCTCTGCCCCCACCCCTCTGCGGGGGACCTTCCCTCTGGGTGGTCCCATAGGAAGGCCTGGACAGCAGCCCCAGCCCCCCGGGCCCCACGTGCTGCCTTGTCTGAGGCAGGGGACAAGGGCCTCTGTCTCCAGGATGGTGTTCCAGGAGCTGCTTCCCTGCCCAGCCCCTTCTCTTCTCAAAGGCCCGGTGTCTGCGAGGCTCTCGAGACAGAACGGTCCCCGCCACCTGGAGACCCCTCTCCCATGCTGCCCCGCTCACTGCACAGCGTCTGAGGGCAGGGGGTGCAGGCGGGGGTGGGGGTGGGGGTGTGGGTGGGGGTGCGGGCGGGGCAGGCTCCTGACCCTGCCCAGCCGTCCCTGCGGTTTGTGTGTCTGCTGGTCTGGGGTCTGACCCAGGCACAGAGGCAGACCGGCCACAAACACAGACACAGGCAGTCAAGCCTCAGACGCCGCGAGGGCTGAGCCGCCTCTGCAGGGGGGCAGGAGGAAGTGGGCAGCCCTGTGGCCCCTCCTTGCTCAGGGCCCTGCCTGGAGCCCAGAGACCCTAGGCTTCTACTCCAGGCACACTCAGGACCCGAGGGAGGTTCAGCCCTCAGGCCAGACCAAGGCTCCCCGCCCGCTGGACACGCCGTCCTTCCTGTCCTCCTTCCCACCCTTTCTCTGCAACCACCTGGTGCCAACTGGGCCCAGAGAGCTGGCCAGAGCCACTCTTCAAGTTTTCTGGCACCTTCCACCCACAGAGGCTGTAGGTGGGGCGCAGGCCCTGTGCCGATTCCCCTGTCTGCCCGCCGACCACAACAAAGGTCGTGTCCGCCCGCCCCCGCCTGCTGCCGGGTCCACCCGGTTCCAGTCTCCTCCTCCAAAGGCCACGTCTCCGAGGTCCTGACCCAGCTTCCCTCACGCCTGGACCCTCTCCGGAGACCCCACACCAGGTCCCCTGCCCTGGCCCCAGCCTGTCAGGCTCCAGGGCACCCGGCTTTCCCTTTCCATCACCTCACAGGCCTTCGCCACCAATGCCATCAAATCCCATCAAATCAGTGCTTCAGGAACACAATTTCACCTGTTTTCTGAGCTAAAGGAAACTAAGACTTCCCGTTCAGAGCAGAGTTGAATTTCAGCTCCATTCCTGGCTGCCAGGTCACGTGGGGAGGGCAGCAGGTGCCCGGCACTCGTCCCTTGCAGCTGGGGCCAAACACAGTTCCCAGCCCACCCGGCGGACGGGCCGGCCTCCCACTGCCAGGTTCAGGGCCCGGGGCCAGTGTCCCCAGGCCCTTGGCCACCCAGGGCCAGCCTTCTCAGGAACCCCACAGGGCCAGAGCTGGCCTGGCCACCCCAGGCTCATCAGTCATTGCGTTCTCACCCGGGAGGCTGAGGGGCACACGGCAGAGGCTGGGACCCAGGGACAGACCCGTGTGGCAGGCAGGTGGGAGAAGCCTCCTTCCTAAGTTCCAGGGCAGGATTCCCAGGCGCCTCCTGAGTGCAGAAGCTGTAAAGCCAACGAGCAGCTAGCAGGAGAGGCCGACCCTGGCTCCAGGGCTGGGTGGGGAGATGGTGGCCTGGGCCGGCAGGCTCAGCTGGGGGACCAAGGATTTCGCAGGGCCTTGTGCCTGGCACAGGGGTGAGGGGCAAGGAGTCGGGTGGGCAGGCGGCCGAGTCTTACCGTGGCCACAGGTCAAGAAATGAAAAGCGAAAACGGACCTTCCCTGTTTTCCGAGAGCCCCACGCGGCGCTTTCTTGTCAACCGTCGCCGGGAAGTGGAGCTAGCGTGGCGGTGCCGGTTGAGGTGTTGGGTTAATCATCACCGCGGGGCCAGACTCAGCTTGGGAAAATCCAGGAGTGAGTCAGGAGGCCCAGAGCCGCCCCAGCAAGGGGTTCTCTGCGGAGCACACTCCCCGTGGAGGCGCCCCTCGGCGCACCTGGCCGCCCTGCCCGCCTGCCTGGCCGGGTCCCACCTGCACAGGCTGGGGTGGGGTGGGAGCGCCCGGCGAGGAATGTGATCCCGGCGTGAAAACCTAACTTGTTGGTTAACCTGCCCGACGGGCTTAATCAATGGTGCGGCCTCGAGAACAAAGTGTGAAATCCAACCCTCCCCGACCGCGGGAGCCGAGCCGGGAGTCAGAGGCTGCCGGGGGGTGGGGTGCGGAGCTCGGCCTGGCGGGCACTCAGGTTCTTCCCTCTGCGTCGCCGGAGCTACGCGTCTGGGAGGCAAAGCCGCCATTTCACCCACACGGCGGGCGTGGATTTGCAGCCCTCGCAGGCCGGCTGTGAGCACGGCCCGTGTGTCCGGGCCACGTCCACCCGCCCCACAGAGAACACACCAGCTCCTCCAGGGATCCAGGGGTGCGCGACCTCCTCGGCCCATCTCATCTTCCTCTAGATACTAAAAAATGTTCTGACAAACTCGTTTCGCAAATAAGTATTTGCAAATTACCAAAATGTCTGAAAAGAACCGCAAACTGCATCCGCATTTTCACAAATGCAAACCTTAATTTTGCCAAATTCAATGTGCTGCCAACCATGCTTTTAAACATTTCATCTGGGTTACTAGAAAAACAAAACCAAACCACGTCTTTCCCCAGACACTCAGCGTAAACGGGGCCTGAGACGCTCCCGGGGGGAGGCCTGAGACGCTCCCGGGGGGTTAATTAAAGCATCGGCTCTTCACGCCCTAAGAATTTTGTTCATCAAGAACAATGAACCTTACCTCCCGCCACCATGATCAATCAGTTCCCAAACTTCAAGAAAGCCAGTGATCCGGGCTGTAAAACCGTGTTCAGGTGCCCCCGCGGCAAGTTCAAGGCTGGGCCTCGGTGGGTCGGACCTTGTTCCCGGCTGCGGCCACCGTACTGAGCCGTTTCACATTTAAGTAAAAAACCTCACGAGAGACGTTGCCCCCACCCCAGTCATAGCGCGGGGCCTGGGAACCGGCTCCAGCTTCTCCGGGCTGAGCCCCACCTGTACCAGACCAGCCACGACCCCAGGCACCAACCTCACCGCCCATGGGCTCGGCCGGCCTCTGACCAGAGGGTGCTGAAACCAAGCCCTTCCCACCGCAGACTCCAGAGCCCAAGGGAGACGCGGTCATCCTCGCACCCGGCCAAACCCTTCTACGCACCCACCTCTGAGGCGACAGCTTCCCGTCTCCGCACAAAGTGCCTCAGGACGGCGGTGGCTGCTTCTGGAGAGAACTTTCTAGAAGGCCTGCTGTCAGGTAGGCGGCAAGAACGTGACCCCTCTCGGAGCCTGCCCTCTGCCCAGGCCCTGCCCTGAGGGCACCCCATGCCTGGAGCCCACACACTGTGCCCGTGCCCGGAAGACGCAGCCCGTGGGTCCAAGATGGCTCCACACCCGAAACCCAGCCGCATCTGCGCAGGGGCCCACCTTTCCCTGGGGGGGGGAAGGACCCGCTCCAGCCTGTGTCTGCAGTGACCGGAGCTCCCCTGGACGCTGGCCAGGCTGGCGACAGCCCATCTGTCACCTGCGCCCCTGCCCCACGTCGGCCACGGCGGGGGCTGGCGAGGGCCCCCCTGCAGGGAGCCGCCTCCCCCTGCGCCTCAGCCTCCCCGCTGCCCGCCCTTACCTGCCCCGACAGGTTCCACTGCTGCGGCCGCGGCCCAGGAGCCGGGTTGAGGCTGCTCCCGCCCCGACCCTGCAGCCAGCGCCTCCCCTGTGCCAGGCCCGGGTGGGTGTGAACCGGCTTCGGAAGGAATGGGGGGCACCTGAGCCCGTCCGTCCCGGTCCACGGAGCTGGGTGCTCTGCCTCAGCCAGGGTCAGGCCTCAGGGCGTCCGTTGGCGCGGGGAGACCTGCAAGGGTGAGCTTCCTGCCCCCGCTCAGGCGAGGCCCTGGCACAGGAAGTCAGTTCAGACCTGCACAGGTGGACAACTCGCCCGTCTCTGGGAGAGTTTCGAGGGCGACGGGACAATGGGAGGCGGTGGCGAGGTGGGGGCCTCGGGAGGGAAGAGCCGGCTCGGCGGGGGCTCGCCTTACAAGGAGCAGTGCTCCCCGCCCCACACAGGTGCGAGCTCCCGCTGGCCAATCTCCGCTCCTGGCCCCCGACAGGTGTGTCCCCTGGGCTCCCATAGGCCGGGCGGGAGGCGGGCCAGTGACGGTGACGCAGGCCCGGGCCCCGCAGGCCCCGCAGACTCCGTCCCGCCCCCACCTTGCCGCCCACCGAGGTTGAACAAAAGCCAGGATGGGAAGGCTTCTGTGGGGCCCGTGTGGAGTGTGGGCGACATGGGCAGGGGTAGGGGCAGCCGCGGGCAACTCTCGCCTCTCCACCTCTGCCTCCCCACCCCCCAGCTCCGCAGGGCTCCTTCCCAGGCTGCCTTAGAAGCGGGTAGGGTGGCCCCAGGGTGAGGGGTCACAACCTGCCCGCCGCCTCCCTGCAGCGGTGGTGCCCTGTCCCATGGGGCTGAGGCCTCTCATGGACAGAGGGCAGGGGCCATACCTGCCTGTCTTTGCTCCAGGCCCGCAGCCCTTAATTTTGGAGCAATGAAGGGACCCCCCGTAGGCCCAGGTGGGTCTCAGGATCGGTCTCCTCGCCAGGGGCTCGGAGGAGCTACGTGCCCCCAGTCCCACCCCAATGGGCAAGAGGCTCCGAGACCCCACAGACCCACAGCTGGGGGAATGAGGGAGGGGTGTGGGTGCCTTCCTGAGCCTCCCTGCGAGGCAGGGACAGCTGAGAGGCCCCAGCAGCTCCCGGAACATCCCCATCTGGGCTCTGGAGGTTACTTTGGAGCCCCTGGAGTGGGGGTTCAAGTTTTCTTTGGGAGCTTGGAAGGCCTGGGGGACCAGGGGTCTGGGGGTGGGGAGGGCAGGGCCCCCGCCCGGTCCGGGAAGCGCCCCTCCCATGGCAAAGTGTTTGCTTCTCGCATCTCCCAGAGGAAGAGCCCATAATGAAACGACAAACGGTCTGTAATTAGCCCGACCAGCAGAGAGGTCCCAGCGGACCCCACGGTTTTCCATAATGAGCTCTGGGAGCTCGGTCAGGAGCCTCATCACCGTGGGCCTGTGCCCGGGGCTCCTGGCTCTCTTCTCGCTGGAAACTGGTCCTGGGGGCACCGGTGACCTCTGACCCACTGCCCTTGCCCCAACAGTCCCTCCCCCGGACAGTCAGGGCCCGGCCCACTCTGATGCCCACTCAGGTGTCTGTGTGGGGCAGGTGGGGGTGGGGTCAGGACACACCCGGCGGGTGGGCTCTTGTCTTCTGGGGAGACTAAGGCACCGCCCACACCTCCAAATCCAGAGTCTGCTGTTGGCATCCAAGTGGGAGAAGGCTGGACCCCCGTCTCGGGCTCACACCCCCACTACCCGCACGCCGCCTCACTCACTGGTCCCAGGTGTGGCCCTTGGCCCCCTGCACGGCGGGACCTGCCTGGGAGCTGGTTGATTTTTGGGACAGGTGTAGTCAGATTTCATGGAGCGATGGGGGCGGCTGGTGAGCCACCGCACGCCATGGGGACCAGGCAGAGTCAAGCTTCCCTGGGGCTGTGTCCACACGCTGCGTTGTTCCACGGCTGTGACTGTCCGGGAATGGGCGAGAGGTGGGGCGGAAGCGTGACAGCCCCCCGGGATGGGACGGGACGTCTGGGCAGAGGCTCTGGGGTGGAAGGGCTGGGGGCAGAGCCTGGGGAGAAGCTGCTCTTTCTCCAAGGGCCACGGAGAATCGTGGAGGGCAGGGAAGGACCCTGGGCAGGGCCGCTCTGGGAGGTGGACGTGGGTCCCTGGGTGCTGGCGGAGGCTCTGGGCAGTAGGGAGAGCCGGGGGGCAGGAGGGGCAAAGGGCCCGGTCTGGGGGCTTCGGTGGTCTCGGGATTGGCTGGTGGTGGGTGGTGAAGGCGGGGCTCTTCCCGGCTGTGGTGGAAAACCTGCTGCCTGGGGACTCCTGGTGGGAGCTTGGGGCCTGTGATGTGGGGGTGCCTCCGTGAGAAGAAAGGTCACTTCTGGCCTTAGACCCCAGAAGCCCCCCTCATGAGTCCATGGGCTGCAGCCCTGAGCCTCCCAGGATGGGCCTGGCTCCGTGGGCTGCTCTGAGCCCCGGCCAGCCAGAGCCTGTGCAGCCGCTCCTGAGGGTGGCCCTGGGAGGGCCAGGACTCAGGCACACAGCCCCACCACCACCCTTGGTCTCAGGTAGGTGCAGGGGTGTGGGGGGCACCCCAGGTGTCGCTGGGGCCCACGGGCATCCTCAGGCGAGTCTGGAAGGACTGGTGCCTGGTCGGACGGAGCAGGTGGCCCCCGAGGCCCCTCTGGTCCACGCTGCTCGTGCACACGGCCTCCGCTCTGTCCGGGTCCCAGGAGCAGTTCTTCCTGGACCCCCTCTTGGTCCACAGGAGCCTGGGTTCAGCTCTGACTGAGACAGGGAGAGAGAGCACACAGGTGAGGTCATGCCAGGGAACGCCTCACAGAGCCGTGGGTCCCTCTACTGTCTCCCTCCCTTGGACACAAGCCAAGGCCCCACGGAGGACAGACAGCGGCCCCCGCGTGCCCTCCGACCCAATCAGGCCCAGTGTGAGCAGGAAGCAAACCTCCACTGACCTCCACTGAGCGGAGGGCTTGGCACCTCCTTCCTTCCCTTCCCTCCTCCCTGCGCATCCCCCCCGACCGTCCCTGCGCTCTGATGGCGGCCCCTGGTCAGGACTCTGCCTTCTCCATCAGTTCCAAAGCTCCACCCGCAGACGAAACGCTTGGAGCAACGTCTGCCCTCTGACCTCAGTGGTAAAACACCATCCGGGTGCGGTGGCTCACGCCTGTAATCCCAGCACTTTGGGAGGCCGAGGCGGGCGGATCAACTGAGCCCAGGAGTTTGAGACCAGCCTGGGCAACATGGTGAGACCCCGTCTCTACAAAAAATTTAAAACTTAGCTGGCTGTGGTGGTGCACACCTGTGGGCCCACCTGTGGGAGGATTGCTGAGCCTGGGAGGTGGAGGCTTCGGTGAACCGTGATCGCACCACCGCACTCCAGCCTGGGCCACAGAGTCAGACCCTGTCTCAAAAAAGAAAACACAAAGGCAAAAGGCCCCAGAGTTTTCTGCAGAATTATAAACTGTGTCTACCTGGAACTGAGAAACAGTGAGCGAGCAGCTCACCAGCCCTGGGACGAGGAAGGCCCCAGCCCCGTCCACGGTTCCTCCCACCTGGGCAGCTGTGTCCTGGCCCAGGTGCAGCCGAGCTCTGCCCTGCACAGCACAGGGCCCTCCACCCTCGCTGCTGTGGACATGGAGAGTGGCGGGGCACTGGGCGTGCCCCCGTCGCCCCATAATAAAATCCACTGTGGCCGCTCCCCTGGCTTTGAGGAGGAATATTTGCGTCTGGCTGAACACCTGCTTCCCGGCTTCATGGTGACACTCAGGCCCCACACCATCCTGCCTAATTCCTGAGTAGAGGGAAAATGACTGTGTCTGGCTGTGGAACTGGAGCTGCCTCTGCTCCTTGTGTGGAGCTGCTCGGAGAAGCGGGAGCTTGGCAGCATGGCCCAGACTTGCTCACACGTCCTCACCTGCTTTTCTTTTTTTAAATGGAGTCTGGCTCTGTTGCCCAGGCTGGAGTGCAGTGGTGCGATCTCGGCTCACTGCAGCCACCACCTCCCGGGTTCAAGTGATTCTCCTGTCTCAGCCATCAGAGTAGCTGGGACTACAGGTGTGCACTACCATGCCCAGCTAATTTTTGTATTTTTAGTAGAGACAGGGGTTTTGCCGTGTTGGCCAGGCTAGTCTCAAACTCCTGACCTCGGGTGATCCGCCTGCCTTGGCCTCCAAAAGTGCCAGGATTACAGGCATGAGCCACCATGCCCGGCCCCTCACCTGCTTTTAAACCAATCACGTGGTTCCCACTGCCCTGCTTTCATCCTGGATGAACCTGGGTATGGCTGCTGGAGGACCCCGAGCTGGCCAGTCCCTACCCAGGCCCCAGGGCCCTCGGGTGCCTCTGAGCTCCGTGGATGGCCAGTTCTGAGGCCCTGAGCTGGGGGGAGGATTGCTAACGGAGTGGCTGAGGGCTGATGCCCGCTCTGGGGTGCAGCAGGGCCCCCGCACCGCCCGGGTGCAAGGCTCAGGGAGGGGAGGCCTGGGACGCTCGCTGGCACAGGTCTCTCTGGGGGCAAGGGCAGGGGCAGGGCTCAAGTCTCGGGAGGCCCAGGCCGGCATCCCCCACCTACCAAGGAAGTGAGTGGCCCTGGGGCACAGCGCGTGGCGCCCGAGGCCTCTCTCCTCCTCCACGGAGGGGGCCCAGTGGCTCTGCCAGCTGGCGTGAGCTGGTCGGTGTGGGGCCACTCCACACCCGGCCCCGCACAGTGGCTGCACTTGGTGTCGGAATCTCCAGGAACTGGTGGCTGCCAAAGGTTCCGGCCTGGTCCTCCTGCTGGGTAGGACATTGTCATGGCAGCCGGGTGGGGACCGTGGAGGGGAGGGGGTGTGGCTCTCCGGGGACCAGGCTGGCGGCTGGTGGCAGAGCCGGCCAGAGGGTACCCAGCCCCCAGCCCCCAGCCCTGGCTGGGCCCGAGGTCTCGCTGGGCGGGGCAGGCAGGACAAAGGCCCTTTGTGCTCTGGCTCGGGGCTACTTCCTGATGGCACCAGACACAGGAAGCCACAGGGTCCCCGTTTCTTGGGCCAGACTGCCGAGGGTCCCGCCTGCGCCGGGGGCTACCTTCCCCCTGGGACGGTGCTGGGAAGAAGGGGAGGGCCCAGGAGCCTCTGGAGCTGCGGGCTCAGGGCTGGGGCCCCCCTCAGGCAGGGACACAGCTCAGCGCCGCCCGGGGCTCCTCCGCTTCTTCCGGGTTCTCCGCGCACAGCCCCGGGAGCCGCTCCTGGCTCCTCGGCCACCGGGGCGCCCACAGCGGGCGGGATGGCTGGAGGCTGGGGGCGCCTGCCCAACCCTCCCTGGGGACGGTGCCCCACCCAGGGTGCCAGGCCCCGGATCCTCGCTCCCCCCTCCTGACCCTCCGCAATGTCAGGGTCTTGACCGGGAGCGGGGCGGGGCCCGTGACCCCCTACGGGTTGAGGGGAGGCCCGGTGGCCCCTTCACTACTTGAGGGAGGGCCTGGGGCTAATTTTGGCTTTGCCTCCTCTAGTCAGCACCAGCCTGGAACACAGACAGGCTTTGCTTGGAGAACCCTGGGAGGAAAACCCAGTCTCCTCGGCGGGAAGGGTGGCGCGTCCCCAGGGCCTAGAGTTTGAGATTAAACAGGATCGGGCGGAGGGAGGCCCCTCCCAGCAGCTCCGCCTCCTCGGGGCGCCCAGCGGTCTTTTCCACCTCGTCGCCTTCCCCCTTCCTGCTCCACACGAACCCCGGTAGCAGACACCCGTTTCCACCCCGGCAGGAAGGCCAGGGAGCCTCCAGGCCGATGGGAGGCAGGGCTGGGGCGGGGCTGCGGGCGGGGCGGGGATGGAGGGGCTGGGCTGGGGCGGAGCTGGGGGCGGGGATGGCGGGGATGGCGGGGATGGCGGGGATGGCGGGGATGGCGGGGATGGCGGGGATGGCGGGGATGGCGGGGATGGGATGGGTGGGCGGGGATGGGATGGGTGGGCTGGGGGCGGGATGGGTGGGCTGGGGGCGGGGCTGCAGTCCCTAGGGCTCGCTGGATCCACCTGCTGCCTTTGCCTCTGGACCTTGATTCCAGGGCCCAGTGCTCCCCGCCCAGGCCATGCCCTTCTACCATGCTGCCAGACAAGGCAGGTGACCCCACCATGATTTAATGCTGCACAGAGCGGGGGGCCTCCTGCACCCTCTTCCAGCTAGCTACCTTTTCTCCCACTTTGTCCCGGCTCCTCCCACCTGACCCAAGACCCCAGGCACCTGTTGGCCACTGCAAGCTCAGGGCACCACGGTTCAAGCCAGAAGGTCACTCTGTCCCCAGCCCGAGGTCCTGGGTCCTGGTCCTGCTGTGCGACCTTGGGTCTGCCCACAGAGGGTTGCCACAGGGCGGACCAGCCCAGTGCCCGGGACCTCCCCCCGCCCCCCTAAGCAAGTGCTGGCCCACCTTCCCCCCACCTTCTTGCCCTGAACCAAGCTCTGGGACCTGCCCGTGTCCAGCTGGGGCCTGTGGGTCAGCACAGCCTCCTCAGCCTGGCTCACCCTGACCGGACCCACCTCCACCTGAGGCCCTGAAGCTCCCATGTCCTCCCCCAGGGCTGTATCCCTGATAGCTGTGAGGCTTAGCCACGGCCTCTACTGAATTCTCAGAAAGGCGTTAACCAAAAGTCTGGAAGCTTTGCCCGTGGTCTGAGACACAGCCCTCTCCCGGGAGCCTGATCTGCAGCCTGTCCCTTTGTTTTCTTCTCAGTTATTCATTGAGATCTGCCCCAGTCCTCCACAGCCACCCTCGTCCCCAGAGGCCTCTAGGGCGCCAAATCCAGGGGTGACCCTACGGCCTCCCAGCCCAGCCTGTGGGCAGCCGGTCACCACGTGCCTCTGAGGCTCAAATCCAGAGGTGACCCTATGGCCTCCCAGCCCAGCCTGTGGGCAGCCGGTCACCACGTGCCTCTGAGGCTCAGCCCACTCAGCCACCGGAGCACAGGCATTCCTGGGAACCAGCGGGCTGGGGTGCTGGTGCCGGGGAAATGGAGGGGGTGGATGGAGATGGGGACAAGGCGTCTGGAGGCTGGGAAGAATGTGCACACTCTTCCCTGGTGTCGTCGGCACAGATTTCCTGCAGATTCCAGCTGAGCAGGTGTAGTTTGAGTGGGAGTTTCCCGAGTGGGGACTCCATGCTGGTTACGGCGCCCGGCAGAGCCTGGGTGGAAGTGCACTGGCTTCGCCTGATGACGAGGGAACGGAGGCTGTGGTCAGGTTGGCGGTGCCCTGAGGAATCCCAGGACTCCTGGATGGGAAGAGTGTGGGGTCCTGAAGGCCAAAGGGAGAGAGTGCCCCAGGCAGGAGACATGGCCAGTGCCCACAGGGGTGGCCTGTTTGCAGGCGTGCTGGCGGAGGTTCTCAGATCCACCTGCTGGCTGAAAAGTACTGAAATGTTCAACCATCCGATTAAAGCTTCGAAGAGCCAAGGAGCTGGTAAGAACTCACTAAGCCAAAGCCATGGATAAAATATTGCCTAGAGCACTCTGCCACGTTCCTCGGGGGTCAGCAGATGTGAACTTTTGTTCCAATGTGGAAATCATCCACCAGGAGACCCTCCCCACAAAACCTGGGAGTCCCAAAGGGCTCCACTCCCAAAGTGAGGACGAAGTGAAGTGACTCCATCCTCGCAGCCCCAGTTCAAGTCACTTCCACAGTGGTCTTCCAAAGGCCACTCAGGCCCAGGCAGTATTGTCCCAGGTGTCTGGCAGAGGAAAGCCGAATGGGGCAGTGCCTTTGCTCGAGGCATCAAATCGTCCTACAGATACTTGTTCAAGTACAATGACCAGCACGCCGTCGAAGATAACCAGTCTCGCAAAGATATGATATAAGCAAGAACGGATGGAATCAGACACCAGCAAGCCCCACAGGGGCCTGAGATATTGGATTATCAGACACAGACCAAAAAACACTAAAATCAGTGTGTTGAAAACAAAAAAAGACGTTTTATATTTGCAGAGAACTTTAGCTTATAAAAATTATGTAGTAGATTTAAAAAGACAATGAGCTTTTAGAAATGAAAATATAACCACAATTTAAAACTCAATGGATAGGCTTAACAGAAGATTTAAAATTGCTGAAAAGAAAACTGGGGTCTGGACGCGTTGGCTCATGCCTGTAATCCCAGCACTTTGGGAGGCCGAGGCGGGAGAATCACCTGAGGTCAGGAGTTTGAGACCATCCTGGCCAACATGGTGAAACCTTGTCTCTACTAAAAATGCAAAAATTAGCCAGGTGTGGTGGCAGGCACCTGTAATCCCAGCTTCTCAGGAGGCTGAGGCAGAAGAATCACTTGGACCCAGGAGGCGGAGGTTGCAGTGAGCCGAGATTGCACCGCTGCACTCCAACCTGGGTGACAGAGCCAGACTCTGTCAAAAAAAAAGAAAAAGAAGGTAGGAAGGAAGCAAAAGAAAATTGGGGAACTGGAAGACAGGTAAGTGTAAATTATCCAGAATGAAGGCTAGAGATTTTTTTTTTTTTTTCGAGATGGAGTTTCACTCTTGTTGCCCAGGCTGGAGTGCAATGGCACAATCTTGGCTCACTGCAACCTCTGCCTCCGGGGTTCAAGCAATTCTCCTGCCTCAGCCTCCCAAGTAGCTGGGATTACAGGCATGCGCCACCACGCCTGGCTAATTTTGTATGTTTAGTAGAGACGGGGTTCCTCCATGTTGATCAGGCTGGTCTCAAACTCCCAACCTCAGGTGATCCATGCACCTCATGCTCCCAAAGTGCTGGGATTATAGGCCTGAGCCACCATGCCTGGCTGGCTAGAGATATTTTTAAAAGACAATATGGATAAGGGTGGGAGGGTGAAATACATATATAAAATATAGAGACTTGGAAGAAGAGAGAATGGGAGAAATTAATATTTGAAGAGATACTATCTGAGAATTTTCCAGAACTGTTAAAAGACATCCAAACACAGATTCAAGAAGCCCCATGAATCTTAAGCCGGATAAATACACAGAAATCCCCAGCTTGCCGCCCACGTGAGCCATCCTGAAAGCCAACAATGAAGAGTTGAAAACAGCCAGGGAAGAGTGAGACAGGTTCACTTCCAAAGACCAGTGGTGGGACTGGTGGCAGACATGCCCACAGCATGATGGAGACAGAAGACAGTGGAACAGCTGCTTTACAATATGCACTGGCCAGAAAGCAAAACAAACAACAACCAGAAGAGAGCTGAGAACATTTGCCACCAGTAAACGTTTGCTAAGAGAATGTGCAAAGCACACACAGCCACGGGACGGTTCCAGGCAGAAGGTCTGCTGTGTGAAAAGTGATGAAATCCCAGTTGATTTTGGCTTTGCACAGCAATAATACTAACAATGAATTGCGGCATTTTTCAATATCTGGAATTAAAATGCAATTGTTTGCTGGGTGCCATGGTTCACATCTGTAACCCCAGCACTGGGAGGCCAAGACTGGGGGATGAGTTGGAAACCTGCCTGGGCAACATGGTGAAACCCTGTGTCTACAAAAAATACAAAAAATTAGCTGGGCATGGGAGTGCGCAATGGAGTCCCAGCACTTGGGAGGATGAGGCGGGAGGATCCCCTGAGCCCAGGAGGGTGACAGAGTGAGACCCTGTCTCAAAAATAAAAAAATAAAATGCAATTGTTTACAGTCCCACTAGTGGAGAAACCTGATGGGCACAGCCTCAGCTGGGTGATGGAGGGGAGTGTTGACAGAGCTGGGTCGTGTGGAGAGCCTGGGTCCCTGAGAGGATGATAGAGCCGGGTCATGTGGAGAGCGTGGATCCCTGATGGGATGATAGAGCTGGGTCATGTGGAGAGCCTGGATCCCCAATGGGATGATAGAGCTGGGTCGTGTGGAGAACGCGGAACCCTGATGGGATGATAGAGCTGGGTCATATGGAGAGCCTGGGTCCCCGATGGGATGATAGAGCTGGGTCGTGTGGAGAGCCTGGATCCCTGACGGGATGATAGAACTGGGTCGTATGGAGAGCCTGGGTCCCCGGTGGGATGATAGAGCTGGGTCGTGTGGAGAGCCTGGATCCCCGATGGGATGATAGAGCTGGGTCGTGTGGAGAGCCTGGGTCCCTGAGAGGATGATAGAGCTGGGTCGTGTGGAGAGCGTGGATCCCTGATGGGATGATAGAACTGGGTCGTGTGGAGAGCCTGGGTCCCTGAGAGGATAATAGAGCCAGGTCATGTGGAGAGCGTGGATCCCCAATGGGATGATAGAGCTGGGTCGTGTGGAGAGCCTGGATCCCCAATGGGATGATAGAGCTGGGTCATGTGGAGAGCCTGAGTCCCTGAGAGGATGATAGAGCTGGGTCATGTGGAGAGCCTGGGTCCCTGAGAGGATGATAGAGCTGGGTCGTATGGAGAGCCTGGATCCCCGATGGGATGATAGAGCTGGGTCATGTGGAGAGCCTGGGTCCCTGAGAGGATGATAGAACTGGGTCGTGTGGAGAGCCTGGATCCCTGACGGGATGATAGAACTGGGTCGTGTGGAGAGCCTGGGTCCCCGATGGGATGATAGAGCCGGGTCATGTGGAGAGCATGGATCCCCAATGGGATGATAGAGCTGGGTCGTATGGAGAGCCTGGGTCCCTGAGAGGATGATAGAGCTGGGTCGTGTGGAAAGCCTGGATCCCCGATGGGATGATAGAGCTGGGTCATGTGGAGAGTCTGGATCCCTGATGGGATGATAGAGCTGGGTCATGTGGAGAGCCTGGGTCCCTGAGAGGATGATAGAGCTGGGTCGTGTGGAGAGCGTGGATCCCTGATGGGATGATAGAGCTGGGTTGTGTGGAGAGCCTGGATCCCCGATGGGATGATAGAGCTGGGTCGTGTGGAGAGCGTGGATCCCCGATGGGATGATAGAGCTGGGTTGTGTGGAGAGCCTGGAACCCGGACTCAATGGGGTGATGGGACACTGGGCTCTGGAACTTAGGACTCCATCCTCCTCTTCGCAAAACCCATAACCCCAGAGTATAATCATGAGAAAAACATCAGACAAACCCAAACTGAGGGACTCTCTACAAAACACCTGAGCAGCACTCCTCAAAACTGTCAAGGTTGCTAAACCAAGGAAAGTCTGAGAAGCTGTCACAGACCAAGGAGAGGTGACGAGGCCACGGGGCCTGGATGGGGTTCTGGGACGGAAAGGACAGGAGGGAAAAAGGCTGGCCAGCGTGTGGGGTTTAGCTGCTGGTCATCACTGGCTGCTGCGACAGACGGACCAGCTGACGTGCGGGTCTCACAGTGACGCCAGGTCTCTGTGATCTTTGAAACCCCTGTGCAACTTTTCTGTTGATCAGAAATTATTAGAAATAAAAAGTCTATTTAAATGTGTATTTAAAGTCCCACCAGTGACCTTTGTTGATGTCTTGCTGGTGGCAGAAGTGGCTGCTGTGAGCGGAGGCCCCGGGGGTAGCAGGAGACAGAGACGGAGGCCCCAGGGGCAGCAGGAGACAGAGGCAGAGGGGAGCGGGGCAGCCCCAGGCTGGGCAGAGCAGGAAGGGGCGTGGAGCCTCCGAGTCCTGGAGAGCCGAGGCCACAGAACGGACCGTGGCTGCCCCTCCTCGCACTCCACGCTCCCCCTGGGTGGGGCCGTTCTGGGTTTGGTGCCTTGAGCTCACCCTGAGGCTCTGGCTGGGCCCGAGCATTCTTGAGAGCCTGGCCTGGGCTTGGCAGTGCCACCGTCACCTCCACGTGTTGTCTGCTGGGGTTGCCGCCTCGACTCCGGGGAACTCGCCAGGGGTCCTGCCCCAAGAGACTGTGGGGAGGGGACCCTGGAGGCAAACCCTGTCTGGGACACGGAGGCCGGCCGTGCGGGAGGCAGGCGGCACTCCTGCTGGGTGGGGGGCCCGGGACAGGTGAACTGCGGAAGGGGCCTGGAGCCCGAGATCTGGGTGCCGGAGAAGGCCGTTGAGCGGTGAGGACCCCGGGCTTCTCAGACATCCTGAGCTGCGCAGGAAGGGCCCCCAGGTGGCTCCTCGGAACAGACGGGCAGGGCCCACCCCAGGGGCTGCTGACCTGGTTCTTAAACACACCGTGAGTCCTGAGGTTCTGGACCAGAGATGCCTCCAGACCAAGCCCTTAGGACCAAACTCGGGGAGCCTCAAGGGACGGTCGGTGACCCTCAGCACCATGGGCCCTGGGTAACTGCTCCCCAGCCAGTGTTCCCAGGGCTCGGCCGGGTCCCAGAAGGTGAGGGCACCTGGCGGAAACAGAACCTAGGGCTGCAGGCTTCACGACGCCTGGGAGGGAGCAGGCATGGAAATCCCAGCCCGCAGAACCAAAGCAGCCATGGAAATGTCTCAGGCAAATCACCCGGCAGCAGCCCCACCGGGCACGCAGGCCCTAGACGCAGCCCTGCTGCTCGCCAGGACCCCTCCCGGCCCCTCACCTCTGCTCCCCGGCACCCCCTCCCAGGCTCCTAGAGGCCCAGAGGGAATCTGGGGACTTGGGGCCTGAGAGAGGGATGAGGGCGGCTGCCCCAGGGTCCCCAGGGAGTCCGAGGCTGCCCTCAGGTCCGGTGGGTGACAGGACACCCGGGGTCAGAGCTGTTCCAGGGCGGCCACTTTTTGTCTTTGGGAGGAACAGCCGTGAAAGCTACCAGGACGGCCCCCTCAGGCCTTGGGGTGGACGCCCTGGAAGAGGCCAGTGAGGGGGCCCCAGCTCTGCATCCCCCTGCAGCCCCTGTGAGGGTTCAGGCCCTAGGTCTGGCCTCCTCCCAAATGGGGCCCTGGGGAGGACGAGACAGCCCCATGTGTCCCCCTAGCCCTCGGATGGTCCTGGCCTGCCCCCTGCCAGACCGAGAAGCTCTGGGTCTGGGGCTCCCAGTCTTCTGCTGGGGAAACCGGGGCCTGCTTTGGGGGCCCAAGCCGACAGGGTGAGCCCTCCTGCCCCTCGCCGGGTGGGGCCAGCCCTGCTGGGAGGCTTTCTAGGTGGGGACGGCTGATGACTCACCAGCCTCCAGGAAGGAACACAGGGCAGGCAAGGCCTTCCTGCAGGTGCTGGGACCCACCTGGGTGGGCCTGTGTGTCTGTGTGTGCCCTGCAAACAGGTGTGCAGCTTGGGCCTGAGGTCATGCACCCGCTGGGGAGACGGGAAGCGGCCCTACCCGGCCGGCGGACCTGGAGGCCTCTGTGCACCCCTGGGCCACCACCTCCCACCTTTCCAGGGCACCAGGAGCCCCAGACCCGGAGCGGCCTGGCTGGGGAGCCTTGGAGGCCGAGGATCTTCCTGAGCTCAGGCCTCCACTGGCCACCCCTCACCTGGCCTGCAGCCCCGTGCTCTCACAGCAAACTTCTCCACTGCTCAGCAGGGCCTAGAGTACCTGGAAGGGGGCCTTGGGCAGCCCCCCTCCATTGCCAGCCTTGCAGCCCACACTCAGCACCCCCATGGGGTCTCTGACCAGCCCCCACGCCTCCCCCTCCTCCAAGGGAGGGCTGCAGACACTCCCCATCCTCATAGCCTCCGACTGCTGCATCCCCAAAACCAACCTCCTGACGTCCCAACCCCACATCTGTGTCACCTGCAGGAACCCCCAGACTCCCAGGACACTGGCGTTCGACCCACGGGACCTGCCCTCCTCTGCCCCTTCCCACCACGCCCCTTCCCACCATGGGGCGCCCCTTCCCACCACGCCCCTTCCCACCACGGGACCTGCCCTCCTCTGCCCCTTCCCACCACGGGGCGGGCCCGCGGACCCTCAGCCCTCCAGCAAACCCACCCCAGCCACTCAGCCACCTCCTCCCCTCGGGCTGGGGAGGGGTCTGCAGTTGTCCCCACCTTCAGCTTCCAGGCCCCGCAGCTTGTGTCCCAGCCTCCTCACCCACCTGCCTGAATTTCCGGGGTGTTTGGCCCTGTCTATTCCTCTCCGCAAGGCCTCCTGTTTGGGGTGACTCGCCCCAGCCCCTCCCTCTCGCACCCTCACCAGGTCCCTGGGTCCCCCTCGGCTGCTCATGCCACACAGGGTGCCCCCGTGGCAACTGCACCCCCCTGACCTCTGATCCCGGACCCCACTTCATTCCCTCCTCCTTCCCTCGGGGGCTGGAGGACTGGCTGGGGCCTCGGTTCCTCGTTTATTAGTTTTAGAGACTTTCCTTCGTGGGAGTTCTTTCTTTTCATTCTGAAATAATTTCTGCAGAAGAGTTGCAGGTGCTGCTTCTTCTGGGCCTGACGCTCTTATCCTGAAACTCGGGTGTCCATGCTGCAAACAGAGGCCCCCCAAACACCCGCAGTCCGAGTGCAGGCTGAGACCTTCCCACACCCCAAAACACCCGCAGTCCGAGTGCAGGCTGAGACCTTCCCACACCCCCAAACACCCGCAGTCCGAGTGCAGGCTGAGACCTTCCCACACCCCCAAACACCCGCAGTCCGAGTGCAGGCTGAGACCTTCCCACACCCCCAAACACCCGCAGTCCGAGTGCAGGCTGCAACCTTCCCACACCTCGTCCCCATTTGTAGGCAGGACCCGGGTCACATGATGAGCCATTATTTTCTTTCATCTCCATCAGCCCGGGACGTGCCTGGGCCATTCCCCGACGCCCTCGCAGGTTCCGGGCCAGGACGTCGCACGCGGGGCTCAGGTCCTCGTGGCCCTAGGAAGGCACAGAGTGGTGCTGAGTCCTGCTCCCGACAGTCACCCACGGCGGTTTCCCAGGAACCTCATTCCTTCCACACCATCAGCCGCATTCTACCGTGAGGAGAAGCTTCTCTGCTCCCCACTGACTTACTTTACAGCCCTCAGGGCGACCCCGGCACTCCTGCTTCCGCTGCGGGTCACGGGCTGTCCAGCTCTGCTCCTGTCCTCTCCGTCATTCCTTGAGTCCTTCCTTGCTTCCCAGTACTGCAAGATGCTCCAGGCTCCTCCTGTATCTTTTCTGCACAGCCCAGGAATCAGCCTGGTTCCTCCCGGTGGAGAATGGGATTTAGAAGCCAAGGGCTGGGTGTGGGTGAACTTGCGGCTCCTGGGGTGTTGCTGGGTGGACGAGCTCAGGGATATACGTGCGGCAACCCAGGGACGCACCGGCACCTCGGCTCTCCACCCCCACCTGCTGTGGCGGGATCCACGGGCTCCGGCCCATCCAGCCTTCTAGATTGTGTGACGTTTGTGGCGTATTCATCAGCTTTTTTTCAAAACTTGCCATTTATTGTGATTTTGTTTCAGGTTGTAAATAAATATTTCACTTCTTTCCAATTTTTCATGCTTTATTCTGAACTCTTGTTCTTCCCTTTTTTTTGAGACAGGGTCTACTGTGTCTCCCAGGCTGGGGTGCAGTGGCATGATCTCGGCTCATTGCAGCCTCAGCCTCCTGGGCTCAAGTGATCCTCCTACCTGAGCCTCCTGGGTAGTAGCTGGGACCACAGGCGCCGCCACACGTGGCTAAGTTGTTTCATTTTTTGTAGAGACGGGGTCTCTCTGTGTTGCCCAGGCTGGTCTCAAACTCCTGAGCTCAAGCCATCCTTCCTCCTCGGCCTCCCAAAGTGCTGGGATGGCAGGTGTGAGTCACCGCGCCCGGCCTGTGCTTTTTCTTAAGGAGAGCCCCAAACAATATGAGCCTCAACAGCCAAGACGGGCGCCATCCTCTCTCCTCAGCAACTTACACTGAGTCCCGGCAGGAGGGCCCTTGTGCCCCCCAACCCTCCCTCTTTTTATCAGACCCCTTGCAAACTGCAGCTTGAGTCCTGTCGTCCACCTGTGGGGAGCAGGCTGGGGCCGCTGCAGGGCCTGGAAGATGGGTCCAGACTCACTGACTCCAATCCCCCAACCCCACATTGCTCGGCCCCTCAGCAGGGCTGGCACCTCGGGCTGGGACCTCTGCCTTGAGGACTTTTCCCCTTGGGCTCCAGGCACCGGGGGTCCCCACCTTCCTACCTGGGCTCCAGGCACCGGGGGTCCCCACCTTCCTACCTGGGCTCCAGGCACCGGGGGTCCCCACCTTCCTACCTGGGTTCCAGGCACCGGGGGTCCCCACCTTCCTACCTGGGCTCCAGGCACCGGGGGTCCCCACCTTCCTACCTGGGCTCCAGGCACCGGGGGTCCCCCCCTTCCTACCTGGGCTCCAGGCACCGGGGGTCCCCACCTTCCTACCTGGGTTCCAGTCACCGGGGGTCCCCACCTTCCTACCTGGGTTCCAGGCACCGGAGGTCCCACTTCCCACCTCTCTGCCCCTGGTGGCTCCTTTTCTGGCCCCTCCTGTTCTGACCTCTGAACCCACCGCCCCAGGGCTGTCCTTGGTGTCACCTGGTCCCTAGGCTCTAACGCCCTCTGCAAGTGCAAGTGGCCAGGGGCCACCCAGGTCCATGTAAACCTGAGCACAGATGCCGAGCTTCCCTGGACCTGCCCCCGCCAGCCTCCCAAACCTTGGGATCCTCCACATCCCAGCCCTCGGGAGAGCAGGCTGTGCTTCCAAAGTGCGCCCAGAACCCTGGGTCCTCGCAGCTAAAGGCACTGCCCCCGACGGCCGATGCCCGCAGCCTGGCTGGTGCCACGACGCCCACTGGCCCCGTGGCCACCCTGCACCAGTGCAGCCAGTAAGGATGCGTGAGTTGGGCCAGCCCTGCACTCAGAGCAGGCCCAAGTCCCTAAGAGTCCTTATTGCCCAGTCCCCACTCCCTGCACCCGCTTCCCGCCCTCTGCCCAGGCAGAGCCCCTCCAGAGCAGCCCCCAGTGTCTGTGCATTTCTGGGTTGGGCCCAAGCACCAGCCTTCATGCCTCTCCTGGCCGGCCCAGCAGATCCAGCAAAGCCACCTGGATGTTTCCCCAAGCGGAGGTGAAACGACAGTTAAAAAAACCCCAAAATCCCCAAAAAACCCATTCAAGGTCAACTTCTAACCGGCTCTGCTTCTAGCTAACAGTGGCCTCCCGCCACCGCTGACTACTCTCCTCCCTCAAGGCACAGGGCTGCCCCAGCAGGAGGAGGAGCTGAGCCCCTTTCTGAGGCCACGGCCGGGACCCCCGTGGGAAATTCCGGCCAGAGGTGGCCACAGGAAGGCGTCTCTGTGCACCCTTGGAGGGGCTGGACACTGTCCCCTGCTGGAACCCACAGACCCATGGCACTCCCAGGCTGGGGGGCAGCTTTGCTCCCTGGAGGCCTCGACTTGGTGCGGACCCTGCCCTGGCACCGGCCGGGCCCAGGGCTCCCCCAGACCTGACTCGGACACAGCCACGTTTGCACAGGTGACAGATTTGCTTCCCAAAGCAGCAGTGGTGGCAGCATCAGCATCTAATTTGAGTGAGAATTCTCAGATTCGGGGCAGGGGGGGCTCTGGAACCCCACGCAGTGCCAGGCAGTACTGAGAATGGGCCCTCCCAGGGCTGCCCACCGGCCCCCAGACCCCAGAGGGTGCCAGGAAGGCAGTGGACAGGCTCCTCTCCCACCAGGATGGGGCCGAGAGGGCTCTGCGGGATCCCCTGTGGCCTCCTGGCCCTCCCAGCCCCTGCACTCCCGGCCTCTCCATGCTGCTTTGTGGCCTCTGACCCCTGACCCTCCTGGGTCAGCCAGTGGAGAAGGTCTGCCCCTGAGCCTCAGACGCCCTGGCAGGCCCCACCCTGGCACCACCTCTGCCAACGTCAAAGGCCGCTCCCCCTGGCTCTGCCGGACCTGCAGCCCCTCCGGCCTCCTGGACTCACCTGGGCTCTGCCCCTGCCCCCAGCCCTCGGCCTTCTGGGAGCCCTCCTGGGGGGTCAGCCATGAGGTCAGGGGGGTCAGTGAGGTCATGAGGATCAGCCATGAGGTCAGATCGGGTCGGCCATGAGGTCAGGTGGGGTTGGCCATGGGGTCACTGGGGTGAGCCATAAAGTCAGGTGGGGTCAGTCATGAGATGGGGTTGGGTCAGCCGTGCGGTCAGGTCAGGTCGGCCATGAGGTCAGGTGGGGTCGGCCATGAAGGTGGTGGGGGTCATGAGGTCACAAGGGGGTCGGCCATGTGGTCAGGCGATTACATGCCCTCCTTGCCTTCCTTCCCCGGGCGGCCCTCAGCTGCTCCCGCCTGTCCCCTGGCAGGGCGTGTCCTCTGGAGATACGGGCGGGGCTCTCGGGGCAGAGGCTGGATGGACGGGGCCAGGTCCGGTGCTGGAGTTCAAGTGACACTGACTGAGGTTCCCGGGGAGCACAGGCCAGGAGGGGCCACGGTGTCAGCCAGGAGGGACTGTGGTTGGGTGTGGAGGGGAGGAGCGGGGGGCTGTGGGGTGAGACCCCTCCCGGCTGACTGGGTGCTGTGGGCACTGCCGGCCGCATGCCAGGGTTCCTGCCTCGTGGGGACTCCGGCCTGGGCGAGTGCAGGTCTCAGAGCGCAGGTGCGGCAGTGACCCCAGGCCTCAGTCCTCTCCCCTCCTGGGGGTGGGAAGGGAGGGGAGAGAGGCCCGGAAGGCCGGGGACTCCCGCCAGGGGACTGAGGGAGGCCTCGGAGGGGTGGGTGGCCTGTCTGGGAAGCTGCTCTGGATCCGGCGTCTGGCCTGGCCCGGTCCCCGTCTGCACAGCACACACCACGGAGGAGAAGGAGGAATCGCCCGGAAGCCCCGAGAGGCAGGCGCGGCCCCACAGGCTGTAGAGCCCCTCGAGGTGCGCACAGCCGAGTGTCCCCGGCAGGCCAGGCCCCGGGCCCAGGTGCCGTTGCTGGGGCCCTGTGGCTGGCGGCTCGGCTGATGCAACCCAGGCTCCAGGAAAGGCTGTCGTTATGGGCTGTTTCCCTGGCAGGGAGGGGAGCGCTGGGGCCCTGGGCTCCTGTTGGCAGAGGCCTGACCCAGCTGGGCCAGGTGTGGCCAGGTTTCTCCAGGCCCCTGAGCTGCGGGAGAGTCTGCAGCCGCCCTGCCCTGCCCGTGGGCTGGCTCCTTCCCCCTTTCTCGACGCCGCAGCAGAGTTAATGAGGCCACTGGGCCTCTGCCGGGTAATTGGTCTCCAAAGGCGGGAAAGTGTCACCAAAGACGCTGCCGGGACAACAGCAAGAAAACCGCCACCGCCTTTTCCACTCCCGGGTCTAACTGTGCCCTGGGCCACCCAGCCCGGGGGGAGTAGGCTTGTCTCTCAGAGGCACCGGAGAGAAGACGCACTTCCTCCTCTCCAGGTGCTCAGAGGAGGGCCGGAAACAGGCCTGGGCCTGGGCAGCCGCCGAGGGTGATGGGGCTGCCCGGGGCCGTCGAGAGGGGAGGCTGCTTGCCCGGACCTGGGAGGCAGGTGCTGGCTGTTCTCAAGGGGCTGCGTGTGATGGGAGAAGGGGCGGAGACAAGGTGCATTTTGCAAGAGAGTTTGTGTTTTAATTGGAGCAGAATTCACATAGCATAAAATAATTTTGAAGTGAGAATTTGGTGGCATTTATTGCACTCACAGGGCTGAGTATCCACCACCTATATCAAGGTCCAGAACATTCCGTCACCCCGAGGGAGGCCGAGCTCCCAGGCTGCAGCCACCGCCCCGTTCTGTCTCCACGGACTTGCCTGTCCCAGGGGTTGCCCAGTACCAGGGTCACACACACGATCCAGGGCCTTTCCCGCCTGGCCGAGGGGACCCCACTCCACACAGCCGCGCCCTCAGACACGGGGCAGCTCTGAGCTCCCGCGGAGCCTGTCCAGTTTGTTCACAGCAATGGCCCTGCCCTCAGCCTAGGCTCTAGGAACTGGCAGGGCAAGGGGGCAGGAGGGGGCCCAGCAACAGGGCCACACCCTCAGGGGATGCCCAGGAAGGACGGGAGAAGCCACGCAGGGCTGAGCGTGGGGCGGCTGGGTGCCCTGATGGAGAGCCGGGGCTCTGTCCACACCTGGACACCTCCCGGCCGTGGAGAGCAGAGGTCGGCCTGGAACTGCTCCCGAGATGCAGTGTGGGGCTGGGGGAATAGAGAGCGAGTCAGGCGAGTCCCCAGGCAGTGCAGGGCTGGGAGAATAGAGAGAGGGTCGGGGGAGCCCCCAGGCAGTGCGGGGCTGGGAGAATAGAGAGAGGGTCGGGGGAGCCCCCAGGCAGTGTGGGGCTGGGGGCCTAGAGAGTGAGTCGGGGGAGCCCCCAGGCAGTGAGGGGCTGGGGGAATAGAGAACAAGTCGGGGGAGCCCCCAGGCCTGAGGTAGGCAGCGCGGGGAGGCGGGTTTGGGAGAAAAGCAAAGACCACAGTTTTAGACACAAGTTCGTATGAGAGCAGGACACTTCAGCGACCGTTAGGGCGGGAGGCCGGGCCCATGAGGCTTGAATTTGAGGCGACCCACAAGGCCTCAGCCCGGGGTGGCTCAGCCCAGCTGGGGTCTCTGAAGTTCCCGGTGCCAGAGCTGCCACGTGAGAAGAGGCAGGTGCCGCCCTCCATGGCACAGCCCGCAGCAGGCATGTGGCACCAGTAAAGCCGGGTCCTCCAAAGACGAGAACAGCAGCTGGGGGGGGACCTGGCATTTTCCGAAGACACAAGGGTGTCTGGGGAGAAGGGCTCTGCTGCCCCTGCTCCCTGGTGGACGCTGGCGCTGCCTGGAGCTGCGTGGGGACCTGGCTGACGGGGATCCCTCCCTGCGCCAAGACGCTTGGGGTTGCTAATATCAGGGGTGAGCCGGCCCCTGACGTGCAGGGTGACCATGTGCCTGGAGAAGGAAGATCCTTTTAGAAGGTAGGAGGAGCAGAGCGTGCAGGTGGGGAGGTGGGAGGACAGCAGGGGTCCCGGCTGCCTTCAGAGGCCGAGGGGAGGCTGGGGTCGTGGCAGGAGGCAGTGGGGGAACCGTTTTGCTAAACGGGAGGCTGAGAGGGCGGCAGTGCAGGGGTGCTGTGGGGAGGACGGTCTTGACTGAAAGACGGGGACGGGGTCGGGCACAGTGACTCACGCCTGTAATCCCAGCACTGTGGGAGGCCGAGGTGGGCGGATCATTTGAGGTCAGGAGTTTGAGACCAGCCTGGCCAACATGGTGAAGCCCCATCTCTACTAAAAATACAAAAATTAGCCGGGTGTGATGCTGGGCACCTGTAATCCCAACTACTCAGGGGCTGAGGCAGGAGAATCCCTTGAACCCGGGAGGTGGAGGTTGCAGTGAGCCGAGATCGTGCCACTGCACTCTAGCCTGGGTGACAGAGCAAGACTTCATCTCGAAAAAATAAAAAAAAAGAGAGACGGGGATGGTGTGCTGGGGACTGAGGGCAGACACGGCTCAGTGGGAGCGCAGGGCCCCAGCCGAGGGGTCCAGGCCTGGGGGCTCCCCTCTCCCGAGCACAGAGGGGTCCAGGCCTGGGGGCTCCCCTCTCCCGAGCACAGAGGGGTCCAGGCCTGGGGGCTCCCCTCTCCTGAGGACAGCGTCCACGCCGAGGACTGACGGGTTGACGTGAGGAGGAGGCAGGCGGGGGTGGCAAGAGCCTGTGGGGTCTTCAGAAGCCAAAGAGGGGCCGGTGTTTCCTGTAGCCAGGTCAGCTGTGGAGCCGAGGGTAGGGGAGTGGTCTTGGGCCCTGGGGACCAAAGCCCAGCGTGAAGCTGCCCCCAGGGATCCACAACCATGCAGGGTCTCCCCCGGTCGGCCCACGGGCCCAGGTGCCTGTCTCCTGGGGCTCGGGCTGAGGGGAGCTGAGAGGAGGGAGCAGCATGGACCGGGGACCGTGGGCGAGACGGCTGCGGCCTCCGAAGGCCACTCTCTGGGTGCAGGAGGCCAGGCCGGGGGACGTTCATTGAGGCTGGGGGTTGGAGGGGCACTGTGGGGGGCAAGCGAGAGCCTCTGAGAGGGAGGACGCTTGGCCGGGTTGGTGGGGACAGGAGGGAGTCAGGTGGATGCAGTTGGGGAAGCAGGGATGGGGGGGACAGGGGTGGGGATGAGGGTGGGGACAGGGGTGGGGACAGGGGTGGGGATGTGGTGGGGGCGGGGGGTGGAGGCGGGGGAAGGATGGGGTTGTGGACGGGGCGGGGATGGGGGTAAGGATGTGGGTGGGGATAGAGGTAAGGATGGGGTTGTGGACGGGGCGGGGATGGGGGTAAGGATGGGGGCAGGGACGGGGGTGGATATGGGGGTGGGGATGGGGTGGGGGTGAGGGCGGGGGGATGGGGTGAAGAAGGGGTAGGGGATGGGGACAGGGATGGGATGGGGACGGGGGTGGGGATGGGGGAATGGGGGTGGGGCGGGGGTGGGGACAGGGATGGGGATCGGGGGATGGTGTGAGGAAGGCGTTGGGGATGGGGGCAGGGATGGGGCTGGGGGCGGGGACGGGGGTGGGGATGGGGGTGGGGATGGGGTTGGGGACGGGATTTGGGGAGGCGTGCTAGTGCACGGGGGGCTTTTGAGGAGACGGTTTGCCGGGACCCCCGAGTGCCCACCTGAACAAGTCAAACCGGTCCCATTTCCCGCACCTTTGTCTGGTGGGTGGGAGGCTAAACTAACCGCCTCAGCGCCGCGAAGAACAAAGCCGGGTGGGGCCGTGCCCACCAGCCTCGGAGCCGGACCCAGCTTCTCCCAGGCTGATTTCTGGCCTGGCCCTGGTGTCGGGCCAGCGTTGAAGCCTGAGCTCTGTGGCTGCCAGGGGTTCTGGAGCAGTGACGGGGTGTTGGTGAGCACCCCACACCGTTCCCTGGCTGCCTGGTGAAGGCCGTTCTCCACCTGTGGACTCTCTGGGACCCATTTCACTGCTTTACACATTGAAACCCCCACCTTCTGACCCCAGGAAGCTCCCCAGGACCCAGGTCCCCCGGTTCGACGTTGACACCCCCACCTTCTGACCCCAGGAAGCTCCCCAGGACCCAGGTCCCCCGGTTCGACGTTGACACCCCCACCTTCTGACCCCAGGAAGCTCCCCAGGACCCAGGTTCCCCGGTTCGATGCTGACACCCCCACCTTCTGAACCCAGGAAGCTCCCCAGGACCCAGGTCCCCCGGTTCGATGCTGACACCCCCACCTTCTGAACCCAGGAAGCTCCCCAGGACCCAGGTCCCCCGGTTCGACGTTGACACCCCCACCTTCTGACCCCAGGAAGCTCCCCAGGACCCAGGTCCCCCGGTTCGACGTTGACACCCCCACCTTCTGACCCCAGGAAGCTCCCCAGGACCCAGGTCCCCCGGTTCGACGTTGACACCCCTACCTTCTGACCCCAGGAAGCTCCCCAGGACCCAGGCCCCCCGGTTCGACGTTGACACCCCCACCTTCTGACCCCAGGAAGCTCCCCATGACCCAGGTCCCCCGGTTCGATGCTGACACCCCCACCTTCTGACCCCAGGAAGCTCCCCAGGACCCAGGTCCCCCGGTTCGATGCTGACACCCCCACCTTCTGACCCCAGGAAGCTCCCCAGGACCCAGGTCCCCCGGTTCGATGCTGACACCCCCACCTTCTGAACCCAGGAAGCTCCCCAGGACCCAGGTCCCCCGGTTCGATGCTGACACCCCCACCTTCTGACCCCAGGAAGCTCCCCAGGACCCAGGTCCCCCGGTTCGATGCTGACACCCCCACCTTCTGACCTCAGGAAGCTCCCCAGGACCCAGGTCCCCCGGTTCGATGCTGACACCCCCACCTTCTGAACCCAGGAAGCTCCCCAGGACCCAGGTCCCCCGGTTCGACGTTGACACCCCTACCTTCTGACCCCAGGAAGCTCCCCAGGACCCAGGCCCCCCGGTTCGACGTTGACACCCCCACCTTCTGACCCCAGGAAGCTCCCCATGACCCAGGTCCCCCGGTTCGATGCTGACACCCCCACCTTCTGACCCCAGGAAGCTCCCCAGGACCCAGGTCCCCCGGTTCGATGCTGACACCCCCACCTTCTGACCCCAGGAAGCTCCCCAGGACCCAGGTCCCCCGGTTCGATGCTGACACCCCCACCTTCTGACCCCAGGAAGCTCCCCAGGACCCAGGTCCCCCGGTTCGATGCTGACACCCCCACCTTCTGACCCCAGGAAGCTCCCCAGGACCCAGGTCCCCCGGTTCGATGCTGACACCCCCACCTTCTGACCCCAGGAAGCTCCCCAGGACCCAGGTCCCCCGGTTCGATGCTGACACCCCCACCTTCTGACCTCAGGAAGCTCCCCAGGACCCAGGTCCCCCGGTTCGATGCTGACACCCCCACCTTCTGAACCCAGGAAGCTCCCCAGGACCCAGGTCCCCCGGTTCGACGTTGACACCCCCACCTTCTGACCCCAGGAAGCTCCCCAGGACCCAGGTCCCCCGGTTCGACATTGACACCCCTACCTTCTGACCCCAGGAAACTCCCCAGGACCCAGGTCCCCCGGTTCGACGTTGACACCCCCACCTTCTGACCCCAGGAAGCTCCCCAGGACCCAGGTCCCCCGGTTCGGAGTCCTGCTTCCCCCGGATGCAGCTCAGGATGCCTCTGTGGGTGGTCCTGGGGCAGGATTCCTTCCCGCCTTGTGAACGGGGTCCCGCCCAGTGTGGCCCCTGGGGTCCAGAACCCGCAGGCTGGGCCCTCCCATGACCTGGAGGCCGTCCCATTGCAGAGATAGGGCCCTAGAGTTCACCTGCAACACTGCAAGCCCCAGGCCCCCCAACCTGTCCCCAGACGGGCAGGTCCGTCTTCAGAGAGCTTCTCCCTAAGTTCTCACACCGCAGAATCCCCCCAGACCTCCCCCAAGCACAGCGTGTGGTGCCCCAGCCCTCTGCTGTGGTGACCATTGCCTGAGGCACCGACAGTTGTGTCTGAGTGGGCCAGGCCCTATGGGTCACTCCAGCCACCTTCGCTGCCAGGTGGGACCAACTGTGGCCATCCCACCGCCCAGAGGATGTTCCTGCCCCTTCTCCTTTCCTTGGCCTTTTGTCACTTTTTTTTTTTTTTTTTTTTGAGATGAAGTCTCACTCTGTCGCCCAGGCTGGAGTGCAGTGGTGTGATCTCAGCTCACTGCAACCTCTGCCTCCCAGATTCAAGCAATTCTCCTGCCTCAGCCTCCCGAGTAGCTGGGATTACAGGCATGTGCCACCACACCCGGCTAATTTTTGTATTTTTAGTAGAGATGGGGTTTCACCATGTTGGCCAGGCTGGTTTTGAACTCCTGACCTCAGGTGATCCACCTGCCTCGGCCTCCCAAAGTGCTGGGATGACAGACGTGAGCCACCGCACCCAGCCAGCATTTTGTCTTTTCTAAAATGAATCCCCAGGCCGGGCACAGTGGCTTGAACCTGGGAGGCGGAGGTTGCGGTGAGCGGAGATCTCGCCCTGAGACCCCCCGCCCGCCCCCTGCTCATTCCCACCGGGCAGGAACTCGTGGGCACGACCTCCTCTCGCACAGCCCTGTCCTGAAGGCCTCCATGGGCTCCTGGGATGGGAAGACACCCCTGAGGCGTGAACTCCCTCCAGGCCACACAGGACGTGAGCCTGAACCCAGAGGCTGGGCCACACCTGAGCATGTGCCTGGTGGGAGAGGAGGGGTGCGAATCCCTTAGGGAACCCCTTCCTCTGAGAGTCCTCACTCCTGCTGGCAGGCTCAGGGGTCCCCACTGCAATGGCCAAGACCCCCTGCAGGGCCCACCCCACTCACTGCTGGGGGAACCAGACCTCCTGGACAGAGGACCCCGGGCCCCGCCCCAGGACCCAGCCAAGGGCTGGGCTGGGAGGGAGAGGGGGAGGGAGGCGGGGAGGGTACACGCCCAGTCGCAAGCCCTCCAGGCTTTAAAGCTGTCCAATGGCAGCAGGCTGCTGTGAATGGGGTCCGACACAAATTTGTAAACCTTCTTAAAACATAAAACATAATGGGATTTTTTTGGCAATTTTTTTTTCGCTCATCAGCTATCGTTAGTGTATTTTATGTGTGGCCCAAGACAATTCTTCCAATGTGGCCCAGGGAAGCCAAAAGATCGGCCACCCCTGCTTTAAAGCACCTGCCCTGTTCCCGGAAACCCCCAGCCGGGACTGACGGGTGACTTCAGTCCAGAGGGTGCACAGCCTGCGGGTTCCGGGGAGGGGCCGCGTGGGGGGTTCTCGACCGCAGCCCTCCCACCCCAGGGCCACAGAGAGCCTGCGGGGGGCGGGGCTGAGTGTCCCGGGCCCCCAAAACCCGGCCCAGCGGGGGCAGGGTCCCCGCATCCTCGCATCCTCGGGGTCCGGCCCCTCGTCGCGTGTCCCGGGCTCTGGGCCCCGCCCGCCCCCCTGGCGCCCCCACCCCACGCCGGCCTCGACCCCCGCCACGGTTCCTCCGGTCTTTCCCTGAGTGTGCGCAGGAGGACGGGAGCTCCCAACGCACCGCAGAGGGGGCAGGGGGACCCCCAGGACCCGCCCTCCCGGCACCGCCTTTGTCCCCGCGCACCTGGCGGGGCTCGGGTTTCCCGGGCGGCGCTCGCTCCGGCCGCGCCCTCCCCGCCCTGGGCTCCCCCAGCTCTCGGTGGGCGCCGCGTCGTTAGCTGGAAACCAAAGAAGGGGCGCGACCGAGCCAGGCAGGTGGCCCAGAGGCCCAGGTGCAGCCCCTGCCCCGCCCAGGGCCCGACCATCCCAGCCCAGCCAGCGGGGGTGTGGGGTCCCCACCATCCCACAAAGGCACGTGGGGCCAGGTCCTCAAACTGACCACCCGGCCGCCCCTCCTGCTGCCTCCCCCCAGGCCCCGCCAGTGCCAGGGAAAGGGTTAAGTCCACCTGGCGACCGCACCTTTGTTTGCCCGAGAGCTGCACCTGCGCCCCAATTAACGTGGGCAAATGAAGTGAGACCGGGTCCAACAGGAAAGGAACCGCCCTCCTGTGTGCCAGGCGGCCCGCAGGGACCCAGGGCAGGGCCGGCTCGACACGCCCTGCAGCTCCCACCTGACCCCCTCCTGCCTCCCATCAGAGAAGCTGAAGCTCCCTGTGCTGGATCCTACTTTCTCAGAAGGTTTTAGGCTGGCCACTCAGCACCCCACACAAACACAGCATCTGGCCTAGCTCCTCTGCCCTGCCCAGCACCCACAGGGCCTCCACCTCCACGCCCACCGTCCCCAGTCCCCACCCTCACCCCCATCACCGTGTTTCTCAAAGCCCTGTCCCTTCCCCTTCCCTCGACCACACCATAGGCCAAGGGTTGCAGTAGCCCCCAGCCCAGCCCCCAGGCACCCAGAGGGCTGTGAACAGTGGGCCCCAGGCACACAGGGGGCTGTGAACAGCAGCAGGCTCCTTTTGGCCTTGGCCCTCTCAGCATGCAGCCCCCTGTCTCTTCAGTGGAGTGAGAGGGGCCGGCCTCTTAGCCAGGACTGGTTTGTGCCACCAGGGACCACACCAATTCCAGACCTGGGTTTTGGCCCCTGGACAGAGTACAAAATGCAAAAGCAGAATTTCCAGAAGCCGGACCCTGTGAGCTGCAGAAGCCGGGCCCTGTGAGCTGCAGACAGAATGAGGCGTGTCGGGATGGGAGACACCCGTGCTTCCAGCATTGCAAGGAGAATGTGGAACGCTCCGGAACCCCTCACCCTCAGCCTTGCCCACGGGAGCTGGGGCAGTGGCCCCTGCCCACCTGCACTCACCAGCTGTCCTGGCAGCGTGAGACCAGCCTGGTTGAGGTCTTTATGTCAGAGACCTTTGAACCAGAGCAACTCCATCTTGCACAGGGCCTGGGTAAAATGAGGCTGAGCCCGGCTGGGCCACGTTCCCATGAGGTCAGGCATCCTTAGTTACAGGATGAGATAGGAGGTTGGCACAAGACTGGTCACAAAGACCCCGCTGATAAAACAAGATGCTGTGAAGAAGCCGGCCCCAAATCACCAAAACCAAGACAGCCAGTCCTCACTGCTCATTATGCGCTGATTATAATACATTAGCATGAGAGACACGCCCACCAGCACCAGGACAGTTTAGTTGCCACGGCAACGCCAGGACGTTACCCTAGATGGTCTAAAAGAGGGAGGAACCCTCACTTCTGGGAATTGCCTGCCCCTTTCCCAGAAAAGTCCGGAATAATCCACACCATGTTTAGTACATATCAAGAAACAACAATAAGTATTCTCAGTGGAGTAGCCCAGGCCGCTGCTCAGCCTATGGGGCAGCCCTTCTCTTATTCCTTTACTTTCCTATTAAACTTGCTTTCAGTTTATCAGTGGACTCCCCCAAACTGTTTCTTGCTCGAGGTCCAAGAGCCCTCTTTGGGATCCCTTTCCGGTGACATTTACGCCCAGGGAATTTGTGCCCAAATGCACAGATCAGGCCCCTACCCTGAGGGCCCCCACTGCCTGCGACCATCCCATTCCAGACTCTCCCAGGCCCCTCCCTGGGGAGGGAGGTGGCAAGACCCTGTATCCAGGCCCCCGTGGTGGAGTGGGGTCTCCCGAAGGCCCAAAGGATACGGGAGGAGCCCCCGGGTGGTCAGAGCATCGGGGCGGGGAGGGGACGGTGACCCCGGGGGATGGACAATGGCTGCAGCCAAGATATCTGCCTGGGGGAGGTGGGATCACGGGTGGGGTCTCCAGGAGTGGAGGCCTCGGTGGCTACACGGAGATTCAAGCCCTTTGACGCCGCAGGCAAAGTCAGCCAGGACCCCATGGGTCCGTGACTCAGGAAGGCCCCTGGGAAGCCAGCCATCGCTGCCCAGCCCCCAGGGAGCCTGGCGAGTAAGCCACCCCCTCACGGTGTCCCCCTCCTGAGAGGGGCTGCAGCCTCAGATGGCGAGGAAGCCACACCCCTCACGGTGCCCCCTCCTGAGAGGGGCTGCAGACTCAGATGTCAGATGCTGCTGCGGGATGTACCCATCGGGGAGCCTCCCCACGGGGCCACCTGCTACTGTGGGGCTCTGCGCCTGCACGGACCCCCACCGGCCTCCAAATGTGCAAACACAGGCGCCTCTCAGGCACTCTGGGCCCCTGTTCGGCGGAACGCTGAAAAGGGCTGGTGCCCATCCCACTGAGGGTCCTGCGGGCACCTCAGCAGGACAGCGGACCCCGAGGAGCTGGTGGAGACACCCAGGGCCCTGCGAGGCCTCAGCCTCCCCGTGTCGCGGGGCCGTGTGCAGGGTCTGGGTGTAGGGACAGCCACACTATGCCAGGCCTGCAGGAGACCCCTCCCCCCTGAGGCAGCCCCCTGGTCCCTCGGGGAACTGGATGTTACTGGTGCTCCCAGGACAGCACAGAACTGTTTAGGGAGGGAAGCACTGGTGACCTGTTCTGGTTTTTGAGAGTGGAGTCGGGGTGGCGAGGTGAGGGGGTGAACGGTTTGACAGTGGAGTTGGGGTGGCGGGGTGAGGAGGTGAATGGTTTGGGACAGGGCAGAAAGCAGACGCGGGCATGTGGGGAGGGGGGCGTGAGGGATTTCGCCATGCGGGGATGTTTTGACAGCACTGGTTACCTGAGGCCTGTATTTCTTTCTTTTTTTTTTTTTTTTTTGAGACGGAGTCTCGCTCTGTCGCCCAGGCTGGAGTGCAGTGGCCCCATCTCGGCTCACTGCAAGCTCCGCCTCCCGAGTTCACGCCATTCTCCTGCCTCAGCCTCCCGAGTAGCTGGGACTACAGGCGCCCGCCACCACGCCCAGCTAATGTTTTGTATTTTTAGTAGAGACGGGGTTTCACCGTGTTAGCCAGGATGGTCTCGATCTCCTGACCTCGTGATCTGCCCGCCTCGGCCTCCCAAAGTGCTGGGATAACAGGCGTGAGCCGCTGTGCCCGGCCTTACCTGAGGCCTGTATTTCTTAGGAGAGAGAGAAAACCACTAAGTTTTCTTGGACACAGGAGGGGACCTCAGCAAGGAAGCATGAGCAGCCGCCCTTTTCCAGGAAAAGAAAACAAAATCTACGTCCTGGGAAGCTTTCCCTCCCCACGTCAACCACCTCCCCAGCCAGACCTGTGGAAGGGAGGCTGGGAGGCCTCAGAGTAGGGCCAGTGCCTGCGTAGGGTCAGTCAGCGGGGAGGAAGTGGAACATTAAACCCCAGGCGGAGTCGTCCTGGCCGCCGGCCCAGCCTCTGCCTGACGCTGGGGTCAGAGCCCAGCATCTGCTGAGGAGGCCGGGCAGGCAGGCGGCGGGCAGGGCGCAGGGCGAGGGGTGCAGCCACCGGGAGCCCCCCACACCGGACCCCGAGCATTGAGACTGCAGTGCCCACCCAGCCGGAGCGTCATCCTTGGCAGGACCCCACCAGGAGGGATGTACCAGGGATGCTGGACACCCAGGCCC
Organism: Homo sapiens; assembly: GCF_000001405.40. Lineage (NCBI taxonomy): Eukaryota > Metazoa > Chordata > Mammalia > Primates > Hominidae > Homo > Homo sapiens. The sequence continues at coordinate 1,133,302 of NC_000001.11, read as the reverse complement.
CGCCACCCCAAAACAACGTCTCCACGTAAACCCAAGCGACCTTCCCTGGGGTGGGTGTGACCTGCCCTCCCCACCACTCTCAGGGCAGTTTTCTCCACCTGTAGCTCCCCCGGGCTCCCCAGGGTTCCTGGTCCTTCTCCTCTGTGTTTCCTGCTTGCTCCTAAAACTCAGCTTTCAGGCGGAACACACAGCCCGGAACCACCCTGCTCTCAGGCGGAACCCGCGAGCACACGCAGCAGAGCTCTGCTCTTCCTGGGGTTTTAAGGATGAGACATTGCAAGGTCCCCCGGGCTACACAGTGACCCCTCTGGCAGGTTGTGCCCCCAGAGTTCATGGTTAGAATCCAAACTCTCAGTACCAACAACGCGAGCGTGTGTGGAGAAGGGGCTACGAGACAGGTGAGTATGTGGGAAGCAGCCGTGAGGATGAGCCCTGGCCGGGTCCCACTGGTGTCCTAGTTGCAGGAGGAGGTTAGGGCAGAGGGACACGGGACGGACCTGCGCAGAGGCCGCCTGAGAGAAGGCAGCAGCGGGAGAGGCCTCCGCAGAACCAGCCCGGCAACCCTGGGACACCGGACCTTCCCCTCCCCCTCCGAGGCTGTGAGAAAATACATTTCTGTTGCTTAAGTCCCCAGGCTCGGTATTTTGTTCCAGCAGCTGGAGCTAGGACAACCCCAGACGCACCCGGCCAGCCCTGAGGGAGGGCGTTCACCGGCTTCCCATACGCATTGTAGGAGGCCGCATGGGCACCCTCCTCAGCCCTGGGCACCCTTGTCGTACCTGACAACCCTGTGTAGATTCCCTGCAAGCATCCAGGGTCCAAGGCGGCCGCAGGCTCCTCAGACAAAGGGCTTCCTCCACACATGGGCTCAGGGCTACGGGCTCCCTGACATCGACCTCCCCGGCAGCCGCCCTGGTGTTTCTCCCATTTGCCAGCGGACACATCCCAGGTGACACCCCACCTCGGAAGAGGCCCTCCTGGCAGGTGCCTGGCCCCAATGCCCAACGCAGGGCTCGCGGCGGCGATGGCGGCGGGTCTCAGGCAGGAGTGGGATCTCTCTGCTGTCCGGTCCTGCCCCTTGCCCCTGAGAGGCCCCACAACCCCACCCCCAGCACACCCTGCATGGGCACCCCCGTCTCAGGCTCTGCCTCCCGTGCCCTGACCCTGGGCGCAGAGGGCCACGTGCCTGTGACTCCGCTTCCCTGGCGGTGAGGGGTCCGGCCTTGTGTCCCATGACTCGGGCTCTGCTCCCTGACGACCTCGCTGGGGCTGCCCCCACCCTTCCGTGGAGTCCTTTGCGACGGTTTCTAAGGGCTCAGAGTGCAGCATTGATTTCAACCATGTGTCTCTGTCATTAAAATAGTCCCCTGACTTTGCCTGTGGAATGTTTTGCTCTCTTCCCATTTTAAGTTAAATGTGGTCAGTGTGACGGAAGGAAATGCGGGTTTTTCTCCAGACCGTCTTGTGCAAGGAGAAGAAGCCTTGAAAAGAAGAGGCACAAACTATCAGGAACGTCCTCGAAGAGATGAGCGAAAGCACGTGGCCACAGAAAACCATGAGGATGCAACAGAAAGAACGACTCCGAGGGGCCGGGCGTGGCGGCTCACGCCTGTCATCCCAGCACTATGGGAGGCCGAGGCGGGCGGATCATGAGGTCAGGAGATCGAGACCATCCTGGCCGACACGGTGAAACCCCGTCTCTACTAAAAATACAAAAAATTAGCCAGGCATGGTGGTGGGCACCTGTAGTCCCAGCTACTCGGGAGGCTGAGGCAGGAGAATGGCGTGAACCAGGAGGCGGAGCTTGCAGTGAGCCGAGATCACATCACTGCACTCCAGCCTGGGCGACAGAGCGAGACTCCGTCTTAAAAAGAATGACTCCGAGGACAGAAACGAAAAGCGCTGGAAGGGACGGAGCCAGGACGTTCCCCGAACGTGACGTGAAAAGGCAAAGAAAATGGGATAGAAAAGGTGATTAGAGGACCTGCTCCAAATTGCAGCAATATTCACCAGAGAAAGAGAGAGCAACAACAAAAAGAAAAGATAAAGAACAAAATCATTTAAAAATTGTAATTCAAGAACATTTCCTGGAGCCGAAGCTCAGGCATTTCCAGACAGAAAGAGCCACTGAGGACCCCGTGAAAGGGATGAAAACGGAACCACACAAAGATCCACCTTCACAGGACAGCAGAGATGGAGACAAAAAGAAGGCCCCAAAAACTTTCAGGAAAAAACCCGCAGAAACAGGTTCCATACCAAGGCCCCGGGGTTGGGATGCCATTGCCGGACCCACAGCAGCCTCGGGAGCCGGGGACCCTGCGGCGAGGTTTTCTCAACTCGCAGGGAAGCGAAGGCCTTGGTGGGGGCCCGCCCTGTGCCCTTCACAGGCAGCTGCAGCTGTGGGCGTGGTGGGGGCCCACCCCCTGCACCTCACGGGGAGCTGCGAGGGGCTTGTTCCACCAAAACACTGAGAAGACAAGAAAGGGGAGGTGTGGGGCCCGGGAAAATCCCACCCAGGGGAGAAGCAATGGGACCTTTGTGACACGGACCACGAAGCCTGCAAGACGCCAGCCCTGCCCCAGGCCCGAGGGAGCCGACCAGCCCCGGGCAGGGCAGGAGGCTCCCGGAGGCCCCTCAGAAATACCTGGCGTGCCGGAATTTAAGTCATGGGGGAGAGTCTGAGGCTGAATTAGTAATGAGTTCAGAGAAAGCTAAGCAAGAAGAAAAGCAAAGGCGATTATTAACTTCAGGGAAACAGCTCAGAGTTCGGGTGAGAACAGGCGGCCACGGTGGACCTGGCACCAAGCTAGTCCCCGGCGCCCAGCAGAGTGACAGCAGAGACCAGGCGCGGCGCGTGACGGCGGGACGAGAGGTGGGAGGGCGGCAAACAGCCCCTTCCACAGGGCAGATTCAGGGCTGACCCTGAAGCTGGAGTGCTGAGAAGCTGCCGTTTGCCAGTGACGTTGGAAGTAAACACAGGAGCCTCCCAGCACACGGAGCTGGTGGCCTCGGCGCGGCCTGAAGATCATATGTGTCCAAGCCTTGCAGAAGTGTTTGACTCTCAAGCAACCTACAGGCATAACTGGTTTTTTTTTTTTTTTTTTTTTTTTTTTTTTGAGACAGAGTCTCACTCTGTTGCCCAGGCTGGAGGGCAATGGTGCCATCTGAGCTCACTGCAACCTCCGCCTTCCAGGTGCAAGCGATTGTCCTGCCTCAGCCTCCAGAGTAGCTGGAATTATAGGTGCCCGCCACCACATCCAGCTAATTTTTTTGTATTTTTAGTAGAGACAGGGTTTCATCATGCTGACCACGCTTGTCTCGAACTCCTGACCTCAAGTGATCCGCCCGCCTTGACCTCCCAAATGCGAACCACTGTGTCCGGCCACAAGCATAACTTTGATAGAAAAGGCAATAACAAATTAAGTTGGTGCGAGCTTTACCCTCTGAGTCCTCGGAATCATTTTTAAAACATAAAGGTTTCCAGAACTCACAGCTGTGAACTTAACTGTTCTCAAGGGGGTATCTTTGATTGATTTTCCTAACTCTTCTACGATAATCGGCCTTTTCCCCTCTTCTGCTTCCTCTCGTTCTGGCAGCCGATGCTCACATCCATAACAGTGTCTGTTTCCCTGGATTTTCCCATCCCAGGGCCACGCAGAGTGCAGCTCCCCTACACGGCCACGGCATTCTGTCCCTCTGTCGCGTGGCCATGCGTGGCTCAGTGCCGTGGGAGCCTCTCCGTGTCTGAGGCCGAGGGCAGGCTGGTGCCCCATTCGCTCTGTGCCTCACAGGCGGCCCTGATGCTCTGTGCTCCAAATCTCTGCAGGACTGGATTTCGGCCGGGACAGAGGAGGCTGTGCCCCCACCCACGTTGTTCCCAATGCCCACGCACCTTGTCAACTGGAATAAATTTGGTTTCCCTGCAAGAGCTCTCTGCCAGGAAATGTAAATCATGGCTTCTCAGTCTCTCTCCCCCTCTGAGGGCCCCCTGGCTGGGTCATTCACAGGCCCCGAGGAACTCTGGGGCCTTCGCAGCCATCTTTTCCTACAGGAACCCCCAGACACCCATAATCATCACGGGGACCCAAGACCCCAGCTTCTCCCGGGGGGCACATGGTCACCCTGTGGCCCCCTCCAGGCATCTCCGCTCAGGCTGTGGGACCCCAGGCCCGGCCCACCTGGCCAGCACAGCCCTGCAGGCCCCAGCTGACCCTCACCACCCCCCAGCCAATAGCAGAAGCCGCCAGCCCTGGGGAAGGCCCTCCGGCTGAATCCCTCCTCTTCTGAGGCCTTGCCCTCCCCGCGGGCTCCGCCTGCCACAACTGTGCCCTGGGCTCACCAGCGGGACCCCCAGGTCCTCCCCAGCACACCATGGAGGCCCCTAAGGGCTGGGCCTTGGCCAGGCGACTGGGGAGGGGCTGGTCCCGGAAGAAAAGCTTTGTGGGGCCGTGGGTGCGGGGGCTTTCGGCTCATCAGAAGCCACCAGCCCTTGAGACAAAACCTCCCAGACGCTGTGGGTCAGACCCACAGAGCCTCAGTCCTACCTGGTCCTGGGAGGGCGGAGGGCGGTGTGGGCCTGGTCCCAGGACGGCGGAGGGCAGTGTGGGCCAGGCGCGGACTCCCCCGGGCGCCCTCATGGTCTTATCTCTGCCCGGCCGGCGGAAGGCGGCGGGAACCTTTGCCTGGTACAACCACTACTGCTCCACAGCCCAGGAATTTGGCATTGAATAATTTTTAACTTCTGCTCTGAGAGAGGAGCTGGCCTTGGATTTAGTGTCCGTGCATGCAGGAATGCCGGGGCTCCATTTTCAAGTAAGTGCCTCGCGGAAAGCCGGCCTCGGAAAAGCAGAGAGAAAAGAGCAAGAAAAGTCAGAGGGGCAGGTCTGGCTGGCATCCAGCGGTGGCCAAGCCCGCAGCCCAGGTCTGACCTCACAGATGGACAGCTCCCCATGTGGGAGAAGCCGCGGGCATCTGGGGGGGGCACCAACTCCCTGGGGTCTAAAGCAGGGTTTGCGCTTCCTGGCAGGGGGGAAAGGCTGCACCTCACACCTCTCTGGGTGCAGAGCGGCTCCGGGACGGCTCCCCTCTCCTGCGCGCCCGCCCCACCTGTAACCCCAGGCCTGGTCCCGCATGATATGTTTGAATGCCAGAACCCGACGCAGCCCGCGCCACGCCCGAAACCTGCACCCCCGTCTTGCAGTCGCTGCCCTTGGCAGTCAGCACGAGCACCAGACCTGGGGGTCCTTCTGTGCTTGTCCGAGGCTCAGGCCTGTGACCCTGGCTGCTGGCTGCCCCCACTCCCACAGCACGGGCCACCAAAGCCCCAGTCCTGGGCCACAGTGGGGCGGTGGCGATGACACCCAGGGCCCTGCGGCTGAACGTGGCCAGGGCTTCACAGAGACCCGGGGCCGCCTTGTCTCCAGCCACGGTGGAGGAGGCAGCGGCCCTGTGGCTCTGCCCATGGAGTTGGGAAACATAAGGCCCAAAAGCAGACTCGTCCTTTAACTGAGTTTCGCTGGGGCCGGCTTGGGGACCCACCTCTCACGAGAGCACTGGCCTGCCGGCATGCCAGAGCCCCTGACACCACACAGGAGCCGGGTGGGGCTGGGCGTAGCCCGTGGTATCGGCCCCCCAGACCTGGCCACCTAGGCCCAGGGCAGCACCCGGGGAGGACGGGGGTCTGGGTGGCCGGTGGCTTCCCGTGGCCGCTGCTCAGCCCCACTCTGTCCAGCCCCCTGGGAGTGGCTGTGGAGGGCATCCTGTGTGCTGGAGGGGCAAGATGGGGAGGGCTCTTGTCCAGAGACCCAGGGGTGCCGTTTCAGAAAACAGAGCATCATGTGCTGGGACCAGACACAGCTCATCTTTTCCAGGGGACGGCGAGAAGGACACGCTCGGTTCCGCACTCTCAGGCTCCTGCTCCTCACAAGGCAAGCGCCTCCAGGGAGCTGCATTTGGGAAAATATCCACCAAGCACTAAAGAAACACAACCATAAAGAACCATAAAGCATCCACGCGGAAAAGCTTATTCAGATCAATAAAGCTGCGGCGGGCCGGGCACAGTGGCTCACACCTGTCATCCCAGCACTTTGGGAGGCCGATGTGGGTGGATCACGAGATCAGGAGATGGAGACCAGCCTGGCCAACATGGTGAAACCCCGTCTCTACTAAAATACAACAAATTAGCTGGGCGTGGTGGCACGTGCCTGTAGTCCCAGCTACTCAGGAGGCTGAGGCAGAAGAATTGCTTGAACCCAGGAGGCGTAGCTTGCAGTGAGCAGAGATTGCACCACTGCACTCCAGCCTGGGTGACAGAGCGAGACTCCGTCTCAAAAAACAAATAAATACATAAAATAAAAGTAATAATAATAAAAAAACTGCAGCGAGGGCCCAGCGTGCCCACCACTCATCAACAAGTCAAAGCGCGAACCCTGTGGGTGCAGCAGCCGGACCTCGGGTGTGCTGGCTTTCCGACACCCAAACCAGCAAACCTCACACCCGCTGCTCGCGGAGGGCCGCTGAAGCCGCAGCGAGGTGAGCGAGACTCCCCACTGGGGACAGAGAAAGACCCCTCCTCCCCCAAGTCACAGAAAGACCCCGTCTCCCCCAAGGCAGAGAAAGACCCCGCCTCCCCCATGGCAGAGAAAGACCCCGTCTCCCTCATGGCAGAGAAAGACCCTGCCTCCTCCATGGCAGAGAAAGACCCCGCCTCCCCCAAGGCAGAGAAAGACCCCGCCTCCCCCAAGGCGGGCGGATCACCTGAGGTCAGGAGTTCGAGACCAGCCTAGCCAAAATGGTGAAACCCCGTCTCTATTAAAAATACAAAAATTAGCTGGATGTGGTGGCGGGCGCCTGCAATCCCAGCTACTCGGGAGGCCGAGGCAGGAGAATTTCTTGAACCCAAGAAGCAGAGGTTGTAGTGAGCCGAGATTGTGCCACTGCACTCCAGCCTGGACGACAAGAGCAAAACTCCATCTCAAAAAAAAAAAAAAAACAGAGAGAATTCCAGGGAGGAGGTCACCACGCCGGTGCCGCCCCGGGAGCAGCTCACACTGACTTCACAGACGCACAGGGAGGCCATGGCGCAGGACAGGCAGACCGGCTGGCAGGCCAGCACTCCAGGCTGCTGAGGGGCCGCTGCTGCCAGCTGACGGGGAGGCCCTCGGCCCCCACCCCGCGGCCCCTGCCCTCCTCCGTCCCCCGTCCTTCCCGGGGGGTCCCTGACTGTGACGGACAGCAGTGTGTTTGGTGTCTCCTGTGCCTGCGGAGCGGTTCTGGAGTCTGTCTATGGAGTCTGCTTGTTTGAAGGCTGCTGTGACTTTCTTATATTTATCAGCAAATTTTGGGGATTTTTTTCCAGCGGGCGAATGGCCCAGGGCTGGAAGCAGGGTCCGTGCTCCCCCGAGCTGCTCTCCTGGGCTTCTTGAGGGCTCAGCTCTCCGGAACGAGGTGGATTGAGGATGGGTCCCCTCCAAGTACACTCCACCCCAGGCCCAGCACGAAGGGTACAGAGGGCGAAAGTCTGGATGGGATACCCCAGCCTGGGAATCTGTGCTTGCCTGGGACTCTCAGCAGGAGGTTGGAAGAGGACGGAGGACCCAGGACTCTTTCTGCACAGGGCCTGGGCCATCCACTCTTTGCCCTGGGGTAACTTGAGGGCCTGTGGAGGAAACATCTTTCCTGGAATCCTGGCCTGAGAGGATGCTAAGGGTTAACCCCTGAGGCTGACCCCAAGGGCGTCCATTCCTGCATAAAAGGCCCAGCTCAGCCAGCCCCATCGGCCACCTCTGTCAGGGGAAGAGTGTAGCTCAGGTGAGGTGTCGGGCGGGCCCCTGCTGGCCTCAGAGTCCACCCCTGCAGGCCACACCTCGGCCGCGGCAGTCCCTTTGAAGGAGAGGAAGGCCTGGAGGAGAGGCCTCGAGGCAGACACACACCCTCCCCTGTCCCCGCCACGGTCCTCCGAGCTCCTCCATGCCTGCTTCTGTGGTAGAGGCTCCTGTGGGGGCAGCTGTACTGGGCCCTGAGACCAAGCACTTCCCTGTGGGGTCAACAGGCCACCTCACTGTCTGAGTGCCACCCTGGGGCGTCTTTCTGGGCCACAGCCCCGGGAGCCGGGAGCTCCTCCAGCACCATGGCCTTCCCTATCCTCTCATCAGAACAGAGAGAGCAGGCACGGGGGCCGTCTTGTACCACGCAGACCAGGCTCCAGCAGCCGGGGCTCCCACCGCCCCTGAACCGATCTGGGGACTCACGGTCAGAGGCCCCCCTTTCCCCACATCCCTCCTGCCTCCCCCAGGCGGACAGACCCCTCGGCCTCCACAGCCGCTCAGCGGCTGCCCTGGGGAAAGCCTTCCATGGCCTTCGTCCTGGTGAGCCCTTATTTGTCAAATAAATATTTGCCCAGGGTGGGGCTTGCCACTCAGGGTCAGGCATTAAATGAGCCTAAAGTCCGCGGAGCCTGCAGCAGTGCCGTGGCCCAGGCCAGCAGCAAGTGAGGGGGAGGCTGGACCAGGGGTCTCTGCCTGACCTGGATGCATCTTCCAGCGCTGAGCTCCTGACTCACAGAGACTCTGCAAGGCCAAGGGGTTCTTGGGGTCTGGAGAACGTGGAGACCCCGGAGCTGATGCGAGGCAGCCTCTCCCTGGGTGGGGCAGTGGGTGGCGAAGGGCCCCACCCTCAGCCTGCGAAGCTCCTTCCAAAGAGAACCTGCAGTGCCTGCCCTGCCTGTGCCCACAGGGCTGCAGTTTCCAATAGAACAGAGGCTGAGGGAACCCGGGAATGTGAGGTCTCAGAGGCAGCAACCCCACGCATGTGGCAGCCCCAAGCAGTGAGCGGACTGGGTGCAGGAGGAGGCCCCAACCACGCCCAGAATTCACGTGGCTTCCTGCATGAGTTAGCTGCTGCCGTGTAACAAGTGACCCCACATGCAGTGGCTGGAACATGCACGTTTACCACGTCTGCTTCCAGAGCTCAGAAACTCAGAGCTGTGGACGTAGCAGGAAGCACAATTGCGAAGTGGACAGGGTGGTGGTTTCTCAGAGCTCAACTGCAGGGCATGTGTGTGCATAGGTGTGTGCCCAGGTGTGTGTCCAGGTGTGTGTGCAGGTGTGTGCCCAGGCGTGTGTGCATAGGTGGGTGCCCAAGTGTGTGTGCAGGTGTGTGCTCAGGTGTGTATGCAGTGGTGTGCGCAGGTGTGTGCACAGGTGTGTGTTCTCAGGTGTGTATGCAGTGGTGTGCGCAGGTGTGTGCACAGGTGTGTGGCGTGTGTGCAGGTGTGTGCGCGCAGGAGTGTGCACAGGTGTGTGCTCAGGTGTGTGTGGCATGTGCGCAGGTGTGTGCAGGAGTGTGTGCAGGTGTGTGCGCAGGTGTGTGCAGGTGTGTGCCCAGGTGTGTGCTCAAGTGTATGTAGAGTGTGCGCAGGAGTGTGTGCAGGTGTGTGCTCAGGTGTGTGCTCAAGTGTTTGCAGATACGTGCTGAGGTGTGTGCGCAGGTGTGTGCTCAGGTGTGTGCAGATGTGTGCTCAGGTGTATGTGCAGGTGTGTGTGGTGTGCACAGGTGTGTGCATGGGGGTGTGGGTGGGGTGTGCTCAGGTGTGTGTGTAGGTGTGTGCACAGGTGAGTGCAGATGTGTGCTCAGGTGTGCGCAGGTGTGTTTTCAGGTGTGTGTGCAGGTGTGCTCAGGTTTGTGCACGGGTGTGTGGCGTGTGCACAGGTGTGTGTGCACAGGTGTGTGTGCAGGTGTGTGCACTGTGTGTGCAGGAGTGTGCGCAGGTGTGTGTGGCGTGTGCGCAGGTGTGCGTGCAGGTGTGTGCTCAAGTGTGTGCTGCATGAGCTTCCGTACTTGCTCCTGGGCTTCTCACTGGCCAGGGCTGGTGTCCAGGGCGAGCCATCCCAGGCAGAGCACACAGGACGCAGCGTTTACAGCCCCATCTGGAGAGCACCACCTTCACTTCTGCCTTTGTCCACAAGGGAGGGGCTTGCATGGGGGAAGAGTAAGCGCTGCCTACCCGGGGCCCTGGATGTAGAACGGCCTGCAGCCAGGACTCCCGTCCGGTGTGTTTGGTGTTGCTGTTTTCCTGGAAGCCTCTGCGTCCCATCTGCGGGTTTGCTGGTACTGGTGGCTGACCGGTTAATGGTATGAAGTAGAGCAGTTTTGAGAAGCTCTGCATTTTGTTTTAGCTTCATGCAGGCACACACGACCCTGCGGGGCCAGGAGAGCAACTGCGGAGAAGGCTGTGCCCTGAGGCGGCAGAGCTGAGGCCAACAGCAACCGCAGAAGTGTGGGGCTTGTCCTCGTGCTGCTCCTCAGTGTTCCTCTTCATTTTCACAGACACAGCTCCGTGCTTTGCACGTATTTCACCATCTGTGTCATATGTAATTAAACTGCATCCTTGCACGGCCAAAGCTCTGGCCTGCGTCTGAGTGACTGGCGTCCCTACGGTGAACCAGGGTTTCCTGTGTGGACGCAGGACTTTGGTGCATAGAGACCCGCGTGAGGCAGAGGGGCTGGTGGATGGGGCCCCAGGTGGGCGTCTGGGGTTCGAAGCTGGGGTGTCTGCCCCACGCTGGCCCCAAGGGTGTTGGTCACAGGCCCCACCTCCCCACGGGCGAGGGGCACCCCTTGATTCAGGAGGTAGAATGTGGCAACAGAGAGAGGTGCCATGGGCACGGGAAGACGCCCCCACCTCGCTGAGTCGCCAGCAGGTAGGAAGGGGGGCCCCTGAGGCACGGGGGCCGTCGGGGGATGTGAGGATGGCTGTGGTCTGAGCTTCGAGGTGCCGTAGCTTCACTTCCGAGGGAGCCGGCCTCACAGGCCGAGGCCAGGGGGCCTTCTGCCACCCACCCAGCCCGGCGGGGCTGCCTCCCATCAGCTCCGAAGATCCCCCAGGTCCTGAGAACCCCTGCTCAGGGTCTCCTGAGGAAGGTCCCGGCCACACTGCCTGACTTCCCGGGCAGGAGTCGGAGCGGCTGGGTCGGCAACGCCAAGTGCAGTGCCCAGGTCCGGGCCCGGCACCCGTGAGGGAGAGACGCCACCTGCAGGCGGGCTCAGGGACCTGGCACTGGGGAGACGAGGGTCCGCGGATGCCCCAGCCTGTGCTCCCAGGGCCCCACGACCCAACCCGAGAGTCTCTGCCTGGGTGCCAGGCCCACTGAGGCCACAGGGGAGGGCGGAGGGTGGGGTCCCGGGGAAGCCATGGCGGGACAGAGGCCCCCCAGCCTCCTGCCCAGCCAGGCAGCCGAGCTCCAAAGGCAGCTGCAACCATCGTCATCTCAGCCCTGGCAAGGTTGAGGCTGTCCCACAGCCGCCGGAGGCTCTTTAGCCAGCACAGGACAGTTTCTAGGGAAGAGACGCCCCCCACACAGAGGGTTCCTGAAGCTCTGAGGAGGGAGCACCCACAGCCCAGCCCGCTGGTCCCCACGTCTCCTGGTCGTCCATCGGCCGAGAGCCCAGTGGGCATCAGGGCCAGTGGCTCAGCCTGGGAGGCTCCAGGACCTCAGGGCTGGCACCCCTCTGCCCAGAGCAAGGAAGGCCCCACCCCACCCACAGAACAGGCGCCACGTGAGGCTGGCCTCACCCCTGGGCCTGCTGCGGCTGCTGTAGGGGCAGGAGTCCCAGATGGGGTGGGGTGGGGGAGGGGGGGCAATCCCAGGGGGCAATGGGGGGAGGGGCAGCGTGGGCACCGGGAGGGGCTGGGGGTCGCCACAGCCCTGTTCAGCGCAGAACACAGGGCCTGCCTCCGCAGAGCAGGAGGCTTCAGCCTCGTTGCAGGGCAGCAGCCTGGCTGGGGAGGAGGTGGGGCCATGAACAGCACTTGCCTCCTTTAATTAGGGGATTAACTGCGTGCTGATAATTGAGCCTCCCCCAGCACCTGCCTGTTTGGAAGAGCTAACACCTCCACCTGCTCCTCCCTTAGGCAAGGAGGCCTCTGGGCCCTGCATGTCGGTGTGGGGGGGTGGACAAGGTGTCCAGGCTCAGCACTGCCGGGGGTAAAGGGCACCCAGCTGCAGTTCTGAGCCTCCCTCGTCCACGCACGTCCTGGTGTAGCTATGTGGGGACTGAGCCCCTTCCCCGTGAGCTGAAGAGCACCCCCCATCAGGGAGGCACGGCCTGGCCTGCTGGGAAGAGCAGCCCTTCTGGGAATGGCCTGCGGATAATTGGAGTCCCAGTGCAGTAGGAAGCCAGCGAGCCTTGGCACGCCAGCCCCAGGGACCGCATAGAGGTGACGCAACAGAAACCGAACCCCACCAAGGCCCCCAAAACCGAGCCCCACCGAGGCCCCCAAAACCGAGCCTCACTGAGGTCCCCAGGAGCCCTCAGGAGGAGCTGCTGTTTGGCACGGCTGGGAGCTCCGCCTCAGTTTCCCTCTTTCCGAAGTCATCTCTTAGGCTTTTTGTTTGTTTTTGAGACGGAGTCTCGCTCTGTTGCCAGGCTGGAGTGAAGTGGCGCGATCTCGGCTCACTGCAAGCTCTGCCTCCCGGGTTCAAGTGATTCTCCTGCCTCAGCCTCCCAAGTAGCTGGGATTACAGGCGCATGCCAGCATGTCCAGCTAATTTTTGTATTTTTAGTAGAGACGGGGTTTCACCATGTTGGTCAGGCTGGTCTTGAACTCCTGACCTTGGGTGATCCGCCCGCCTTGGCCTCCCAAAGTGCTGGGATTACAGGCTTGGGCCACCAAGCCCGGCATCTTCTAGGGGTTTTGAACTATTTGTCCAAATAGCCATGTCCTAGAATAAAGGACAAAGTCAAAGGCCCAGAGACCATTAAGCCCAGTCAGGGCCGAGGAGCTCAGGGATCCCCCACCACAGCTTCCCCCAGCGGAGCTCAGGGACCCCCACCCCCCACCCCTGCTTCCCCCAGCGGAACGGCAGGAACAGGAAGGCAGTGTCATAACCAGGAGGCATCCAGGCCCATGTGAGTGGTCCAACCTCCCGCACCCCTGGGGTGCCCGCCCCACCCCTGCTCACCACTGTGATCTGTGATCCAGCTTCACCGTTTTGCCCTTTAAGAGCTGTAGAACCAGGCACGGTGGGAGGGGGGCAGGTCGCATGAGCCTGGGAGTTCCAGACCAGCCGGGTCGACACAGCAAGTCTCCGTCTCTGCTTAAAAACATTTTTAAGAGGGAATGGTAGACCGTGGAACCACCGAGCACGCGCCCTTTTGAGGCAGGATTTTCTCGCCAGCCAAGGCCCTTGGAGTTGTTCAGGTCCCCCCAGATGGACGCTGCCTCCTTTGTTGTTGTTGGTTTTTTTTTTTTTTTCGTTTTTTGGGTTTTTTTTTTTTGGAGATGGAGTCTCGCTCTGTGGCCCAGGGGCGCGATCTCGGTTCACTGAGACCTCTGTCTCCTGGGTTCAAGTGATTCTCATGCCTCAGCCTCCTGAGTAGCTGGAATTACAGGCGTGTGTCACCACACCTGGCTAATTTTTTTTTATTTTTAATGGAGACGTGGTTTCACCATGTTGGCCAGGCCTGTCTCAAACTCCTGACTTCAAGTGATCCGCCCGCCTTGGCCTCTCAAGAGTGCTGGGATTCCAGGCGTGAGCCACCGCGCCCAGCCGGATCCTGGCCTCTTCATGGTGCCCGCTCCTCAGGGTGTCTGCACGGGGTGGGCTCACCACCCACCTGGGGGGGAGTGTTGTTTCGAGTTTGGAGCTATTAAAATGAAGCTGCCGGCGAGTGTGTGAAGTTTTTATTTCTCTGAGATGAATGCCCCAGAATGCCACTGCTGCCTTCCACGGCACCTGCATGTTCCAATTTTTAAGGAACTGCCAAGGGCTCTCCAGGGGGCCGCACCATTCCGCAACCCCCGCAGTGCATGAGGGACCAGCTGTGGCTGTTTAAATCCTGGCCATCTGGACAGGCGGTGGCATCTCCTTCTGCTCTTAATTCACAGCCCACCAGCAAACATTTTACACTGTATTTACAAATGCGTATGTTCTAACTCGTTTGCAAACACTTTGAATTAACAAAATCTTCCCCACTAAATCACTGATATACCTCCAGACTCGTTAAACATATAGTTTGTTCCTAAAATCTCTTAAGTTTTCCAAGACCCTACATAAATGCAGTAAGATTCCACTTACACTACAGAGCCTAAATAATTTCCTCATTTGAAAGATGATTCAGTGGCAAAGCCGACCCTCTCTCAGGACAAGTTCTCTTGAGCATTATGAATGCCGGGCTGGGCACGGCAGCTCACACCTGTGGCCCCAGGTGCTGTGGGAGGCCAAGGCAGGAGGATCCTTGAGCCCGGGCGGTCGAGGCTGCAGTGAGCTACGATGGCACCACCGCACTCCTGCCTGGGCGACAGAGCGAGTCCTCATCTCAACAAAACATCCCGCCCCTACAAAACCCCATGCATTACAAACATAAGATGGTTCTATTTTAATACAAAAAATATTAGTGCACAGCTTTTTAGTTCCCCAACCTTCCCATACTGCACCTGAAGTCTCTGGGGAGGAAAGTGCTCCCTTTCGGGGACACAAACAGCCCGGTTGGCAGAGGTGGGGTCCCTGGTGTGATCTGTGGGCACCTGCGACTTACGATGCTCCCCTGTGGCTTTCAGACCTAGCATCCCTGCTATAACCTGAGGATGGGATTCAGCCCGTGTGGCCCTTAGGGGAGTAAATGTCGTTTCTGTTTTAGTCTAGAGATTGTCCTTCAACTTGATGCGACCCTACGGTGTCCTTATGTTTCCACCTGGCCTAGTGGAATCCTGCACCCTTTCGTGTTCTCGGGAATGTGCACCCCGTGCGGTTACTCAGGAGGGAGCCTCCAGGGACATCTCGCATGGCCTCGTCTCCCTTCCCCAGGGAGAGGACGAGCTATCCACTGCCCGCCTGACAGACGAGGGAGTGCCCAGTGCCCAGGCAGCTGCTGTCAGGTTGGCCCACGCCGGCAGGGGCTCTGCTCCCAGAGATCAGGTGGGTGCTGGTCTCAGAGCACAGTTCAGCAGGTGCTGGGTGGGCCCTGTTGGGGCCTGCAGCCCGGGCCCGAGGCACACACACATGCACTGCACGGCTTCCCGCAGCTCCAGGACTTTGCCTTCTTCCCTCTGACAGGGGCCAACGTGTAGAGAGGTGCAGACCACCATGAGTGACGGAACAAGGGGCGGGGACACTTGTGGACCAAGCTCCAGCATAAGGACACGGTCACCCAGGGCCACAGCCCCAGGCCAAGCCGAGGGGTAGGGACTTGACACTGACACAGGCAGCTTCCGCAGCTGTGAAACCACCCGGGAAACGCTGGTCTTCAGGAAATAGTCAAGAAAGTGGACGCCAGGCATGGTGGCTCACGCCTGTAGTCTCAGCACTTTGGGAGGGCCAGGCGGGAGGACTGCTTGAGCCCAGGAGTTTGAGACCAGCCTGGGCAAAACAGACCCCCGTCTCTACAAAAAAATAAAGAAATATGTGTCAAGGCATGGTGGCACACACCCGTGGTCCCAGCTACTCTGGAGGCTGAGGTGGAGGATCGCTTGAGCCTAGGAGGTCCAGGCTGCAGTGAGCCACGATCATGCCACTGCATCCAGCCTGGGTGACAGCGTGAAATCCTCTCAAACACAAAAAAACAAAAAGGAAGTGGAAACACTGGCTCAGCTCCACAATGAGTTGCCGCAGACGGCAAGAGCCTGTGGCACAGACTGGACTCCGAGAAGGGGACCGCGACTGTGTCCTCCCCGTGGTCCTCAAACGTCGCCCAGGCCAGGTTCCTCTTAATGGGACCGACACAGAAGCTGCACGTCCGCGGGCGCATGGCCGGAAACCCTGCAGCTGTCAGCGAACCCCTGGTGCTGGGCGCCCACGCCCAGGTGTCCCACGGCCAGACACTGGTGGCATCAACTCCTCCAGAGGCCCTGAGGGAACCCTGGGATGGACCCTCAGGCGAACACTGTCCCTCTAAAGAGAAGACACAAATGTGACTTCCCCAGCTGTCCCCAATACTGTTTACAAAACATCCTCACGCTGTTAAGATGGGGGCTTTATTTCCATTGAAATCTCTGGCATTTAAACTTGGGATGGAACCCGGAGGCGGCGTCCATCAAGGAGGAACAACCCCAAGGCGCATGCAGGACGGGCCTGGGAGCTCCCGGGAGCAAGGGAGCTGGGGGGTCTGGGGGCCTGGGAGGTTGGGGGGTCTGGGGGGTTGGGGGGTCTGAGGGGTTGGGGGTATATGGGGGGTTGGGGGATCTGGGGGTTTTGGGGGGTCTGAGGGGTTGGAAGGGTCTGCGGAGGTTGGGGGGGGCCGCGACACCTGCAGCGCCCCCCCACCCTGCGCGCTGGCCCAGCTAGGAGAGGGCCCGGGGACACCGACAGGATTGAAGCCTTTGATGAGCGGACGGACGTCCCCAGTTCCTTCGGGGAGCTCCTTTAAACATGTTTGCCGAAAGCTGCGGGCGCCGCGGGACGCACAGAGCTGTCTTTTCTCCGAGGGTGGCTCAGAGGCAGAGCCCCGGAAAAACCCACGCGCCCGGCCTGTGGGGCAGCGACGCCGCCCAGACCCCGGGGCCGCCGAGACTCACGGGGGAGCGTCCTGAGACCGCAGAGCCCTGACCCGTCCGAGAGGCGAAGCCCCGGGAGCCCTCTGGGTCCGAGCCGTCCCAGTCCCGCACCCAAGGCAGGGTCTCTCCCGCCGCGCTCCGACACCGGCCGCCGAGGTCCCAGCACTGGCGCCGGCCGCGGACCTGGGGCGCATTTGGCGGCGGCTCGCGAGGCGCTCGGGGCGCTCCGTGGGTCTGGAGGGCGCTGGCCCCGCGCGCCCGCGGCCAAACCTGGTGCAGCCGCGCCGCCTTCTCCGATGAAGCCGAAGCCGCCCCGGCCGCCCCCAAACGCTCCGCCTCCGCCTCCGCCTAAACCGGCGGAACGCTAAGGACGCCGACGCTTGTGCGGTCGCCCGGGAGACCCCGACGACGCCCCGCCCCGTCTCCCGGCAACGCCAAGCAGCCGGCGCGCGAGGAATCCGGGGGAATGTAGTCCCTCCGTGTCAGGGACCCGAGACATGCGCTGGTTCTTCTAGGACTACATTTCCCAGGGCGCTTCGCGCCCCGCCCCGGCGCCCCACCCACGGCCGCGCGCGATGGTACCACCAGGCGAGGGCGGCTCTCGCGCGGGCCGCCGGGAGTTGTAGTTTTCTTTGGGAGCTGCGGGGCCTGGCGCCGGGGCCGGGGCGGAAGAAAGACTACAAGTCCCAGGGGGCGCGGCGCCACCGCCTGAGGGCGGGGTGTACGAAAGAGAAACCCGGAGGGCGCCGGGGTGAGTGAGGGGCTGGGGGCAGGCGTGAGGGTAGCGGGTTGGGGCGCTGGGGTCCGTCTGGGCGGCCGGGTCGGCGCAGGGAGTGCGAGAGGCAGACAAAGGTCGGCGGCCCTGGCCCGGCCCGAGGGACGTTCCCTGCGCGTCCCCCATTGTGCGGCGCGCGGAGGAGCCGCCAGCGCCTGGGCCCGCGTCCTCGTCGCCGCCTCCCAACGAGCCTGGCCGCGGTCCTATGGGGGAAAGGCGCCCGGGCTGAGCGGGACGCCTGGGGAGGGGAAGGGGCGTCTGAGGAGGGCAGGGGGACCCCGGGGAGGGGTGGGGAGGGGGTCCCTAAGGAGGGGAGGGGGTTCCCGGAGCGGGGAGGGGGGGTCCCTGGGGAGGGGAAAGGTTCCCGGGGCAGGGAAGGGGGTCCCTGGGGAGGGGAGGGGGTCCCTGGGGAGGGAGGGGGGTCCCTGGGGAGGGGAAGGGTTCCCGGGGCAGGGAAGGGGGTCCCTGGGGAGGGGAGGGGGTCTCTGGGGGAGAGGGGGCACCTGGGGAGGGGAGGGGGTTCTCGGGGCAGGGAGGGGGTCCCTGGGGAGGGGATGGGACGGGCGCCCGGGGGAAGAAAGGGGGCGCGTTCGCCTCGCCTTCCCGGCAGCCGGGAGTGGGGGCACCGGCGCGGTCCCCGGTGTCCTAGAAGTCGGCCACGATTCAGGTCTTTTTCCCGCGAGGCTTTAGGATTTGTTTTTGTCCGTTTGTCACCTGGAGTAGCCGAGGGCTAGTCGGGGTGCAGTTTTTCGGGAGCGCGTGTTCCGGTGGCAGCGAGTCGATGATTGAGTTTGGGTGTAATTTAAGCCCAGGTGTTCGGGGGCATTTCTTACCGCGTTTCAAAGCAAACGCGGCTTCTTCCCCGGGAACTATTTTGTGGCTGAATTCTTAGCCGCCTCGTCCTGTTAAATTTCAGGATGTCAAACTTGGCCTCCTTTTTTTGGTTTTCATTTTTCTTAGTATTACCAGGGTGTGCAGAGAAGGCAGAGCTGCGTCTTCCTCTTTTATTTTTCCGTAAGTTACTGGGGTACAGGTGGTGTTTGGTTACTTGGTTACATGGGTAAGCTCTTTAGTGGTGATTTGTGAGATTTTGGTGCTCCCATCACCCGAGCAGTACGCACTGCACCCTATTTGTAGCTTTTTATCCTTGTCCCCCTCCCACCCTTCCCTCCGAGTCCCCAAAGTCCAGTGTATCGTTCTTAGGCGTCTTCCTGTTTCCTGATGGCTTAACCTGGGAAACCCTCGCAGAGGGAGCCGGTTTTGAGCCCCAGGGTAGGGGCGGCCGCCTGGGATGTTCAGTGATGCGCCTGATTACTCAGGTTTATGTTCCCCGTTTGCATTCAGCCAGGATCCGTCATGGCCACGTTGTTTTTAACATACATGTTTATGAATTATACAGAAACGTTGTTTTCCTGACACACATCCCGCCCCCAGTACTCCTCCTAAAAGCCAGTCAGGCAGGTGTTTCCACACGCAGTCACCTCAGCCCTGGGGTGCACAGGCAGCATCCCGGGAACCCCTGAGATACCTCCCAGCTGCTCCCTGCCTTGCGGCTGCTCTCCACCTGAGCTTTGACTTACTGGGTAGCTCATTTAAAGAACAGCTAGCGCTGTGGGTGCTGGGGTGGGAGATCGCTTGAGACCAGTCTGGGCAACATAGGGAGACCTCGTCTCTATAAAAAATAAAAAATATTATCCAGGCATGGGGGCAAGCACCTGTGGCCCGTTACAGTAGGTAGCTAGTCAGACATGAGCAGGGCAGAAGAGGGGCCCCCCTCTACCAGGGACATTTGGCTGGTAAGAGAAGGCGGCCCTGGCTGTGCGCGGTGGCTCACACCTGTAATCCCAGCACTTTGCAAGGCCGTGGGGGGAGGGGGGCGGATCAGAAGGCCAGGAGTTTGAGATCAGCCTGGCGAATATGGTGAAACCCCGTCTCTGATAAAAATACAAAAATTAGCCGGGCATGGTGGCGGGCGCCTGTGGTCCCAGCTACTCAGGAGGCTGAGGCAGGAGAATCGCTTGAACTCGGGAGGCGGAGGTTGCAGTGAGCCGAGATTGCGCCACTGCACTGCAGCCTGGGTGACAGAGCGAGACTCCATCTCAAAAAAAAAAAAAAAAAAAAAGGCCTCGAGGGAGCGTGCGCACAACTCCAGTAAACTCTGTGCATGCTCCCTCCCAAGTGCCCGCAGCCGCTGTGCGGGTGGACGGCCCACCCCGAGGGAAGAATCGGGAGACGTAACACCCCGGAAGCCTCCAGCGTGGAAGACCCTAAGTCAAAGGTCAAACTGCGCACTTGATCTCTCAGGTCTCCTGCCTGGCCTTCTTCCAAGGGCGCTTTACTTCCTTTCATTCCTGCTCTAAAGCTTCTTCATAAACTGTTGCTCCTGCTCTAAGGTCTCTTCTGCCTCCTACCCGTCCATCAAACTCTTCTGAGGAGGGAAAAATTGAGGTTCACTGCTGCTAACATGCTTTGGTGTCAGAAGTGGGACATATTCTGCCACTAACAGTCCCAGCTACTCGAGGGACTGAGGCAGGAGGATCGCTTCAGCCCCGGAGGTGGAGACTGCAGTGAGCCGAGATCGCAACGATGCACTCCAGCCTGTTTCACAAAGAAAAGAAAGAGCCACCTCTTCTCACCACTCTGGCTGAGGGTTGCGTGTGCCGAGGTGGAGTGTGGAGCTCAGGTGAGCCTTCAGAGCTCTATTACTGGCAGAATGTATCTGAGTTTCAGCACCAAAGTATGTCAGCAGCGGCCTCGATTCTCGCTGCCTCAGAAGAAAGAATTTGATGGAAGGACATGAGGCTGAAGGAGAGACTGAGGCAAGTTTTTTTTTTTTTTTTGAGATGGAGTCTGTCTCTGTCGCCCAGGCTGGAGTGCAGTGGCACAATCTCGGCTCACTGCAAGCTCTGCCTCCCGGGTTCATGTCATTCTCCTGCCTCAGCCTCCCGAGTAGCTGGGACTACAGGTGCCTGCCACCACAACCGGCTAATTTTTTGTATTTTAGTAGAGAAGGGGTTTCTGCATTTTGGTCAGGCTGGTCTCGAACTCCCAACCTCAGATGATCCACCCACCTCAGCCTCCCAAAGTGCTGGGATCACAGGCGTGAGCCACCGCACCCCACCGACTAAGGCAAGTTTTAGAGCAGGAGTGAAAGTTGTTGAAGAAGCTTTAGAGCAGGAAGGAAAGGAAGTACCCTTGGAGGAGGGCCAGACGGGCGATGTGAGAGATCAGGTGTGCGGTTTCACCTTTTGACTTGGGGTTTTATAGCCTGGCAGGCTTCTGGGGTCTTGCACCCCTTCTCCCCTGATCCTTCTTCAGGGTGGGCTGTCCACCCATGCAGCATCTTGCTAGTACTTGGGCGGGAGCATGCGCCATGTGTTCCCTGGAGGGAGGGAGCATGCCCGGTGTGTTCACTGGAGGGAGGGAGCATGCCCCGTGTATTCACTGGGGGGAGGGAGCATGCGCTGTGTGTTCACTGGAGGGAGGGAGCGTGCGCGTTGTGTTCACTGGAGGGAGGGAGCATGTGCCGTGTGTTCACTGGAGGGAGGTAGCATGTGCCGTGTGTTCACTGGAAGGAGGGAGCATGCGCTGTGTGTTCACTGGAGGGAGGGAGCGTGTGCGTTGTGTTCACTGGAGGGAGGGACCGTGCGCCGTGTGTTCACTGGAGTAGTGCCCATGCTCACCTGAGGCGTTCTTCCGTTACCTGTCAAACGTCCCTAGAAGGTCATAGAACGGTTACACGCCGCCATTTTGCCTCTCAGTGCACACGCTTGAGCCAACTCGCCCAGTTCCTGAGATCGTATCGGGAAGCTGCCCATCACCGGATTTCATGTGTTTTCTAGCTATTGGGAGCCTGTCTTTCCCTGGCGCTGGGTGCAACCAGTTCTTTTAGACAGTTAACAGCCACCTGACCATCACCTGATGGTGGCCTGACATTCCCGGTGGGGGGATGGGCCCGATCCTGCCCTGCTCACGTCTGCTGAGCCACCTACGGCAACCGCCCGACTCCGGTGTGCTGAGCCCACGGGTAGGTGGGCAGCGACTACCATGCATGTCAACAAAGGGGGATGTCTCCTTTACACCCCATCAAGGGGTTTGCGGTATTTGTTTTCTATCAAAGCACGAGAGGGATCTTTAGGTAGAGAGGCCCCAGACAGTTCTTATTGGGCCCTTAAAGCTACGTTTCACGTTGGCTTCCTTTGCTTGCTACGAAGATGACCAGCATTAGCTACACGGATGCAGTGGAAGCTCCAGCCAGCCCTCGGGGCTGTGTTTACCGAGGTTCAGCAGCGTGAGAAACCCGCCAGTGGACCCTCCCGCCTCCCCTTTTCAGTTACTGCTGCCTGGGCGGCTGGAGTTACGGTGAGCGTGGGTGTGGTCTACCCACTGCCCCAGCCGGTGGTTGCTTTTACAGGGTTGTTTTGCAAGATGTTACTTATTTAAAATCACAGTGACCTGAGGCATCATTTTTTTCTTGAAACCAGTTCTTTGTTGTTGTTGTTGAGACGGGGTCTGGCTCTGTCGCCCAGGTAGAGTGCAGTGGTGCGATCATGGCTCACTGTAGCCTTGACCTCCCAGGCTCAAGAGATTCTTTCACTTCAGCCTCCCAAATAGCTGGGACCACAAGTATACGTCACCAAGCCCAGCTATTTTTTTTTTTTTTTTTTTTTGGTAGAGATGAGATCTCACTCTGTTGTCCGGGCTGGTTTTGAACTCCTGGGCTCAAGCGATCCTCCCACCTTGGCCTCCCAAAATGATGGGATTGCAGGCCTGAGCCTCCACACCTGCCCTGAAACCAGTTCTTCTAAGGGAAAATAAGAGTGGTCAAAGAGTGTATAGCACAATTTAAATTCTCACTAAATTTTTCATTGCCTTGTAGAAATTTTCATCCCATTATTTAGCTTTTTGGCTCCAATGAGATTTTCAAAATAGAAAATGCATGTGTTTAGTTACTAAGGCATAATTTACATGCAGTGAAACACACAGAGCTTGTGTCCAGTTCAATTGTTTTGACAAAGGATTCACCAGACTCCTGTCGTGATGTAGAATCTGCCTGTGATCCATGGAGATTGCCTCGCAGGCTGCTCCAGCGCCCGCCTGCCGCGCCAGACAGGAGCGCTGCTGTGATTTTACCGACACTCTGAGTGTTAGGAGTCACACGTGCGGGCGGTTTTGCGTCTGCCACGGCTCACGCAGAGAACTGTTGTTGAGCTTCCTCTGAGGTGCTGCACAAGGAGTGGGTGTGGGATGCGCTGTTGCGTGCTCGTCGTCTCTGAGGGCGCCCGGGTGGGTTTCCGCTGTCTGAAGAGTTGGGCCTATTTTTGTGCACGTGTTTGGCGGGCGTGTGTTGTTTCTCTTGGGAACGTGCCCGGGGGGAAGGCTGCATCCCAGGTGTGGAAGTCCCAGCGGTTCTGTGTGTCCCCACAGCCGAGAGGCTGAGTGCCGTTTGGTCGTGGAGGCTTTAGTTTGCATTTCCCTGACGCTCACCCGTGTTGAGCACTGTCCACTCATCTGTTGCCATTCGCACACGTTTTCTGAGTGTCCGAGGATGTCTTTTGCCCATTTTTTTGATGACCAGATTGTGAAAGTCCTTTATATATTCCATATTCAGGGCTTTTGTCTGGTACGTGTACTGTGACTATCTCCCATTCTTTGATTTGCCTATTAATTTTATTACTGATGTTGTAAACTAAGAATAAAATCCTAAGTCCCCCGCCGACTGAACGAGCTCCCTCTTGGTCAAGGGGACCCCAGAGAAACCTTAAAAATTGAGTTTCCGGCCATAAAAGGATGGGAGGTTGGACACACCTGGTTATACTGCCACCCTTTTTCAGTTTAGACACAACTGACCAACATTAGTGTTAAAGTGGAGATCACGAGACTGACAGACTCTGCGGCAATAAGACGCCGAGTTATAATCAGGACCTAAGGCCGTGCCAGGCCGGGGTTAAGTCACACACCCTTACAGTTAAAGAATAAGGCTTGGGTTTTCTTTTCCTCTAGCAGTTAAGCAGGCACTGGCCTGAGACAAGCGGTATGGAAACAGTGATGGCTCGCTGCCAGGCACTAACTGACCCCCCATTTCACGGCCATAACTACAGCGTCACTTTCCATAACTTCCTCCTGATAAGACACCACTGGCCACGGACTGGTTCTGCTGGTCTATGGAGGATGTGACTGGAGTGACTCCCGGGCCGCGCCTCACCTTTGGCCATATAGGGCCTAATTGTCTTACATGTAAATGTGAAATCTCACCTCTCAGTGAACATGGGTCCTGCGTTACATGCATGTTTATCTAGTACACATGCATTAAGACAGGAGAGAGGAGCGCTTGAGCCCAGGAGTTCAAGACCAGCCTGCGAAACACAGCAAGACACCCTTTTTACCAAAAAATAAAAATAAAATTAGCCAGATATGGTGGCAGGCATGTAGTCCTAGCTACTTGGGAGGCTGAGGCGGGAGAGTTGCTTGAGCCCAGGAGTTCAAGATGGCGGTGAGCTATGATTGCACCACTGCACTCCAGCCTGGGCAACAGAGCAAACCCATCTCTAAAAGAAAGAAAGAAATTTTAAAAAGGAGGAAAGGAAAGAAAGGAGAAAAGAGGAAAGGAAAAAGGAAAGGAAACTGTTCCCATTAAACACTAACTCCCCATTCCTCCCTGCCCCCCAGCCCCTGGCAACCACCGTTGTCTTTTCTGTCTCTATGAATTCGACAACCCTGGGAACCTCATGAGTAGAATCATACAGTATTTGTCCTGTTGTGATGAGCTGCTTTCACTTAGCATAGTGTTTTCAAGGTTCATTCCTGTTGTAGCATGCGTCCAAAATTTCTTTTCAGGACTGTAGAATATTCCACGGTCTGTATAGACCACCTTTTGTTTATCCATTCATCTGTGGGTGGACACTTGCTCCCACCTTTTGGCTGTGGTGAACAATGCTGCTGCAGACATGGTGGCTGTGGTGAACGGTGCCGAGACATGGTGGCTGTGGTGAACGGTGCTGCCGAGACATGGTGGCTGTGGTGGACGGTGCTGCTGAGACATGGTGGCCGTGGTGGATGGTGCTGAGACATGGTGGCTGTGGTGAACGGTGCTGCCGAGACATGGTGGCTGTGGTGGACGGTGCTGCCGAGACATGGTGGCTGTGGTGGACGGTGCTGCTGAGACATGGTGGCCGTGGTGGATGGTGCCGAGACATGGTGGCTGTGGTGAACAATGCTGCTGCAGACATGGTGGCTGTGGTGAACGGTGCCGAGACATGGTGGCTGTGGTGAACGGTGCTGCCGAGACATGGTGGCTGTGGTGGACGGTGCTGCTGAGACATGGTGGCCGTGGTGGATGGTGCTGAGACATGGTGGCTGTGGTGAACGGTGCTGCCGAGACATGGTGGCTGTGGTGGACGGTGCTGCTGAGACATGGTGGCTGTGGTGAACGGTGCCGAGACATGGTGGCTGTGGTGGACGGTGCCGAGACATGGTGGCTGTGGTGAATGGTGCCGAGACATGGTGGCTGTGGTGGACGGTGCTGCCGAGACATGGTGGCTGTGGTGGACGGTGCTGCTGAGACATGGTGGCTGTGGTGAACGGTGTCGAGACATGGTGGCTGTGGTGGACGGTGCTGCTGAGACATGGTGGCTGTGGTGAACGGTGCCGAGACATGGTGGCTGTGGTGAACAGTGCCAAGACATGGTGGCTGTGGTGGACGGTGCTGCTGAGACATGGTGGCTGTGGTGAACGGTGCCGAGACATGGTGGCTGTGGTGGACGGTGCTGCTGAGACATGGTGGCTGTGGTGAACGGTGCTGCTGAGACATGGTGGCTGTGGTGAACGGTGCTGCTGAGACATGGTGGCTGTGGTGAACGGTGCTGAGACATGGTGGCTGTGGTGGACGGTGCTGCTGAGACATGGTGGCTGTGGTGAACAGTGCTGAGACATGGGGCTGTGGTGAATGGTGCTGCCGAGACATGGTGGCTGTGGTGAATGGTGCTGCTAATGTGTCTAGAATTGGTGGATTCTTGGTCTCACTGACTTCAAGAATGAAGCCGCAGACCCTCGCAGTGAGTGTTACAGTTCTTAAAGATGGTGTGTCCGGAGTTTGTTCCTTCTGATGTTCAGATGTGTTTGGAGTTTCTTCCTTCTGGTGGGTTCGTGGTCTCACTGGCTTCAGGAGTGAAGCTGCAGACCTTTGCAGTGAGTGTTACAGCTCATAAAGGCAGTGCAGACCCAAAGAGTGAGCAGCAGCAAGATTTATTGCAAAGAGCGAAAGAACAAAGCTTCCATAGTGTGGAAGGGGACCCGAGTGGGTTGCTGCTGCTGGCTCCGGCAGCCTGCTTTTATTCCCTTATCTGACCCCACCCACATCCTGTTGATTGGCCCATTTTACAGACAGCTGATTGGTCCATTTTATAGAGAGCTGATTGGTCTGTTTTGACAGGGTGCTGATTAGTGCGTTTACGATCCCTGAGCTAGACACAGAATGATATTTACAGTCCTCTAGCTAGACGTAAAAGTTCTCCAAGTCCCCACTAGATTAACTAGACACAGAGCAGCGATTGGTGCATTTACAAACCTTGAGCTAGACACAAGGTGCTGATTGGTGCGTTTACAAACCTTGAGCTAGACACAGAGTGCTGATTGGTGTATTTACAATCCTGTAGCTAGACATAAAGGTTCTCCAAGTCCCCACCGGATTAGCTAGATACAGAGAGTGCTGATTGGTGCATCCACAAACCCTGAGCTAGACACGGAGTGCTGATTGGTGCATTTACAATCCTCCAGCTAGACATAAAAGTTCTCCAAGTCCTCACCCGACTCAGGAGCCCAGCTGGCTTTGCCTAATGGACCCAGCGCCTGGCCGCAGGCAGAGCTGCCCACCAGTCCAGTGCCGTGCGCTACACTCCTCAGCCCTTGGGTGGTTGATGGGATCGGGTGCCGCGGAGCAGGGGGTGGTGCCCGTTGGGGAGGCTCGGGCTGTGTGGGAGCCCACGGGCGGGGGTGCGGGGGGCCTCGGGCATGGCAGGCTGCCGAGCCCTGCCCCGCGTGGAGGCAGCTGAGGCCCGGCAAGAATTCGAACCTGGTGCAGGGGGGCTGGCAGTGCTGGGGGACCCTCCACAGCTGCTGGCCCAGGTGCTAAACCCCTCACTGCCCAGGGCCGGGGGTGCCGGCAGGTGCTCTGAGTGCGGGGCCCGCCGAGCCTGCACCCACCCAGAACTCACGCTGCATGCAGCCCCGGTTCCCGCCTGCAGCTCTCCCTCCACACCTCCCTGCAAGCAGAGGGAGCCGGCTCCGGCCTCGGCCAGCCCAGAGAGGGGCTCCCACAGTGCAGCGGTGGGCTGGAGGGCTCCTCAAGTGTGGCCAGCGTGGATGCTGAGGCCCAGGAGGTGCTGAGAGTGAGTGAGGGCTGCTAGCATGTTGTCACCTTTCACTAAGACATGGTGGTTGTGGTGAACAATGCTGCTAAGATATGGTTGTACAAATGTCTCTTGGAGTCCTGGTTTTCAGTTCTTCAGGGTGTAGAACCACAAGTAAAGTTGCGGGGTCATAGAGTAATTCTGTGTTTAATTTTGTGTGTGTGTTTAGTTTTTTGAGAAACTGACATACTGTTTTTCACACCATTTTATATTCTCAGCAGCATGCACAAGGGTTCCATTCTCTCCACATGCGTTTGCCAACATTTATTTCTGTTTTTTTGGTAATAGCCATTCTAATGGGTGTGGAGTATTTCATTTTGATTTTGATTTGCATTTCCCTAATAGTGACATTAATCGATAGTTTTTAATTGAAGTATTTAATTTAACCATTTGTATTTAATGTAGGTGTTAGAGTGTTTGGGTTGGAGTCTACCATCTTTATGTTCGATTTCTGTTTTTCCACCTGCTTTTCCCTGCTCCTCCTTTGCTTCCTTTTTTGTAGGTAGAGGGATCAAGTTGTCTTCAATTTTATCTCCTCTGCTGACTTTTTAGTTCTGCCTCTTTGTGTTGTTTTTTAAGTGGTTCCTCTGGAGATTAAATGTACTTCACAGAACCTCAGCGAGCGGACTCCAGTTATATTCCGTGCTCTTGTCGGCACGCATTTCACTTCTAGGTATGCTAGAAAATTCTACAACACACTTATTACTATTTTATTTATTTATCTATCTATTTATTTATTTATTTGTTTGTTTTTGAGACAGAGTCTCGCTCTGTAGCCCAGGCTGGAGTGCAGTGGTGCTATCTCGGCTCACCGCAAGCTCCACCTTCCCAGGTTCATGCTATTCTCCTGCCTCAGCCTCCCGAGTAGCTGGGACTACAGGCGCCCGCCCAGCTAATTTTTTTGTGTTTTAAGTAGAGACAGGGTTTCACCATGTTAGCCAGGATGGTCTCACTCTCCTGACCTCGTGATCCACCCACCTCGGCCTCCCAAAGTGCTAGGATTACAGGTGTGAGCCACCATGCGTGGTCCACACTTATTATTTTTACTTTAGTTAATAGTCTAATATTTAAGGGTATATTGTTTTTTAAATCCAATGCCTTTACTTTTTATTTATTTTTTTTTGAGATGGGGTCTTACTCTGTCATCCAGGCTAGGGTGTGGTGGCGCGATCTCGGCTCACTGCAGCCTCAACCTCCTGGACTCAAGCGATCCTCCCACCTCCCTCCCAAGTAGCTGGGATCACAGGCATGTGCCATCACGCCTGGCTGATTTCTGTAAGGGGTTTCGGTGTATTGCCCAGGCCGGTCTTAAAACTCCTGCCCTCAAGCGATCCTCCAGCCTCAGCCTTCCAAAGTGCTGGGATTACAGGTGTGAGCCACTGCTCCTGGCCTTTACTTCTTAAATTGAAAATTTCTATAAACTTTTACGGTAGTTGGCCAGACATACTGAACATATTTGTTGAGTGTTGCAGTTGAAAACCATCAGACTCCAGTTTATTCTGGAGCCAGAGGGCCTGGCCTGGGCCTAACCCTGCCGCCTACTCACAGTGTGGTCTTATGCAAGTCTTTTCCTCATATTTAAAGTGGGGCGATAAGGGGCATTGTTGAAATTAGTGAAATCAGTTTGTGTGTATAAATCCCTTCGCGTGGTGTCTGGCATGTGGCAAGTGCTCTGGAAGTGTTGATTGCTGCTGTTGTTGGACAGTGAACAGGTTTACATCCCTTGGAGACCCAGGATCTGTAGCACAAAAAGACTTATCCTTTCAGCCCATGTTCTCCAAGTTCCCTGCTGCCAAAGCTTTTTTTTTTTCCTTTGAGACAGGGCCTCGCTCTGTTGCCCAGGCTGGAGTGCAGGTGCGTTCCCGGCTCGACCAGCTTGAATGCGTCTGCACTTCGGCTTCGAACTCCTGGGCTCAAGCAGTCCTCTTGCATCAGCCTCCCAGGTAGCTGATATTCTAGGTGTGAGCCACCATGTCCAGACCATGCAGGCTTGTTACTGCCCAGAGTTGAGCACCTGGGAAGCAACACCAGCGCCCACCGTCTAGAAACTAAAATCGCCTTGGTTTCTGGACACAGAAAGCCGTATGATGGGGTTCTACTTCAGTGGGAAAGAGTAAACTTCTAACAGAGTGACCCTGCCATAGCACAACTATAACCATGGACAGAGTATGAAAAACAGCTCCCTGAGGGCTCTGGAGAGTGGCAGATTTTGGAGGGAAGTTTTGACTTGGAGGAAGCAACCAGCACAGTTTCCTGTTTTTGCATCTTTGCCCTGAGGGCAGCCACAGTCCCCACATGATAGTGTGGGGTGACTAACGCACTGATAGAAAGTCCACTGTCTGGGCCGGGTGCAGTGGCTCACGCCTGTGATCCCAGCACTTTGGGAGGCAGAGGCAGGTGGATCACGAGGTCAGGAGTTTGAGACCAGCCTGGCCAACATGCTGAAACCCCGTCTCTACTAAAAATACAAAAAATTAGCCAGGTGTGGTGGCAGGTGCCTGTAATCCCAGCTACTCGTGAGGCCGAGGCAGGAGAATCGCGTGAGCCTGGGAGGCAGAGGCTTCAGCGAGCTGAGATTGCGCCACTGCACTCCAGCCTGGGTGACAGAGCGAGACTCTGTCTCAGAAAAAAAAAAGTAAAAATTCTACTATCTGGCAGGGCAGCTCACTCCTGTAATCCCAGGATTTTGGGAGGCTGAGACGGAGAATTGCTTGAGGCCAGGCATTTGAGACCAGCCTGGACAACACAGTCTCTACAAAAGAAAAGGACGTTACCTGGGTGTAATGGTGTGCACCTGAGGTCCCAACTATTCAGGAGGCCGGGGTGAGAGGATCGCTGCCACTGCATTTCTGCCTGGGCGACAGAGGGAGAATGTGTCTCCAGAAAACAAACAAGCAAAAAAGAAAGTACGCTATCTTCCTTGTTCCAGGAGCAGGCAGGGGAAGGAGCTAGGCACCCATAGCTCCTCGAAAAAGAGAGTAGAAGCCCCAGAAAGAGCCAGAGGGGAGGAGTCCTGTGTATAGATGCCGCTCGTTTCTGGCAGACCCCTGACCCCTGCGTGCACCCTGTGCCATGCAGTGACCTGAGCCACCGCTCACCGCAGGTGTGACAGCGTTTGCAGTTTGAATCTAATGAAATTAATTGCCTGCTAAGTAGAAACATTGATTCTCTTCAGAGGAATATCACAGAATTCCAGTGTCTTCACAATGTAACGTTTGCAATGTACAGGGTACAGTTCAAAATCACTCAACATATGAAGAGCCAGGAAAATGTGAGCCATTCTCGAAGGGAAAGACAACAGATATCAATTGTGTTATGACCTAGCTGTTGGAATAGTCAAAAAAGCACTTTGGAGCAGGTTTAGTGTCTGTGCTCAGTGAAGAAAAGGGAAATGCACGCATAATGAACAAAGTGCCGGAAATCTCAGCGAGGAAACATGTTTAAATGAGCCAAATGGGAATTTTAGGTCAAACAAACACAAGATCTGGCTGGGCGTGGTGGCTCACGCCTGTAATCCCAGCACTTTGGGAGGCTGAGGTAGGTGGATCACCTGCGGTCAGGAGTTCAAGACAAGCCTGACCAACATGGTGAAACCCCGTCTCTACTAAAAATACAAACAGCAACAACAAAAATTTAGCAGGGCTTGGTGGTGGTCGCCTGTAATCCCAGCTACTCGGGAGGCTGAGGCAAAGAATCACTTGAGCCCAGGAGGCAGAGGCTGCAGTGAGCCCAGATCATGCCACTGCACTCCAGCCTGGGGCTGGGGGACAAGAGTGAAACTCTTGTCTCAAAAAAAAACAAGATCTGAAATTTTATTTTATTTATTTATTTTTGAGACAGTTCTACTCTGTCACCCAGGCTGGAGTTCAGTGGCACGATCTCGTCTCACTGCAACTTCTGCCTCCCAGGTTCAAGTGATTCTCCTGCCTCAGCCTCCTGAGTAGCTGGGACTACAGGTGCCCACCACTACGCCTGGCAATTTTTTTTTTTTTTTTTTTTTTTTTTTTTTTTTTTAGTAGAGACAGGGTTTCGCTATGTTGGCCAGGCTTGTCTTGAACTGACCTCAGGTGATCCACCTACCTCAGCCTCTCAAGGTGCTGGGATTACAGGCGTGAGCCACTGTGCTTGGCCAAGATCTGAAATTTTAAAATTCACTGAATGAACATAACAGAAGGGAAATAACAGAGAAAATAGGCAGAGTCCTCAAAGACAGAGGAATAGAAATCATCCAAGCTGGAAAAAAAAAAAAGGGTGGAAGTGATTGGAGGAAAATAAAACAAAACCATGAACAGAGCCTCTGGGACCTGTAGGTGATATCTAAGCCTCAGGGACCTTAGGTGATATCAACATGTCTAACACATGGGTAATTACAGAGGTCCAGGAGAGGAGAGGCACAGTGGACAGAAGTACTTGAAGAAACAGTAACCAGAAACTTTCAAATTTGGTGAAAGACATAAATGTTTAGTTTTAAGAATCCCAAACAGGATAAATGAGAATAAAACCACACCTGGACCCATCACTTCAAAAGTTTGTTTTTTTTTTTTTTTTTTTTTTTTTGAGACAGAGTTTTGCTGTTGTCGCCCAGGCTGGAGTGCAGTGGTGCGATCTCGGCTCACTGCAACCTCTACCTCCCAGTTCAAGCGATTCTCCTGCCTCAGCCTCCCATGTAGCTGGGACTATATGCCCGTGCCACCATGCCCGATTAATTTTTGTATTTTTAGTAGATACGGGGTTTCTCCATGTTGGCCAGGCTAGTCTCGAACTCCTGACCTCAGGGGATCTGCCTGCCTCAGCTTCCTAAAGTGCTGGGATTACAGGTGTAAGCCACCACACCCAGCCCTAAAACTATTAAAAACTAAAGATTAACTTTAAAAATCTTGAAAGCAGCCAGAGAAAAACAACAGATCACACACAGCACAGCACTGTGAAGACTGAGCTGATAAACCATGAGCCAATAGACCGTGAGCCGACAGACTGTGAGCTGATTGATAGACCATGAGCCGACGGACCCTGAGCCAATAGACTGAGCTGATTGATAGATGTGAGCCAATGGACCCTGAGCCGATAGACCATGAGCTGACAGACCCTGAGCTGATAGACCATGAGCTGATAGACTGAGTCTGTGAGATTTAAAAAAAAATTTTTTTTTATACAGTCTTGCTCTGTTACCAAGGCTGGAGTGCAGTGGTACAGTCTCAGCTTACTGCAACCTCTGCCTCCTGGGTTCAAGCGATTCTTGTGTCTCAGCCTCCCAAGTAGCTGGGACTACAAGCGTGTGCTACCATGCTGAGCTAATTTTTGTATTTTTAGTAGAGATGGGGTTTTGCTATGTTGGCCAGGGTGGCATCAAACTCCTGGCCTCAAGTGACCCACCCACTTGGCCTCCCAAAGTGCTGGGATTACAGGCGTGAGCTGCCACGCCCGACCAAGTTTGTGAGTAATTATGGAGACCAGAAGAAAGTGGAACTGCTGAAAGAAAAAAAAAGCATAGAATTCTGTATTCTCTAAGAATAAACATTACATGAAAATATTTTCAGAAAAAGGAAAACTGATAAAATTTGTCACCATCAAATTGTGCTACCGGAAATGCTGAAGATAGTATATACTACAGTGAAACTCAGATCTTTAAGAATGAATGATGAACATCAAAATTAGTAAATATCTGGGGAAAAATTAAAACATCTCTTGGGTTTATAATGTATGCAGATATGACAGCCACAACGTGAAGAGTAGTAGAGGGGATCCGTGGACTGTACAGTTGCAAGGTGTCTACATGTCTACATTTTGCATAAAGTGGTATAATGCTAGTTCTAAGTAGACTAGAAAAAGCAAGGTTGAAATTGCAATTCCTAGAGCAACAACTATGAGAATAATGGAAAGAAGCACAACTAAAGGGCCAAAAGATAACTTGGAAAGGAATTTTTAAAACTTCAAATCACGCAAAAGAGGGCCAGAAAGAGAATAGAGGAACAAAAAACACAGGGACAATCAGAAAACAAATAATAAACGGTAAAAACGGTAGACCTGAAATCCAACGATAGTGTCATTATACACTTGCCAAAGCTCAGCACCAAGAACGTGCAGCACCAAGAGTGCGCCCTCGTGTCAACCATGGACTTTGAGTGGTGGTGATGTGTCACTGTCGGTGTGTCAGCTGCAACAAGTGGGATGCTGAGGGTAAGGCTGTGCCTGGGTGGGCACAGCGGGGAGGCACAACTCCTTGTACTTAACTGCTCAATTTTGCTATGAACCTAAAATCACTGAAAAATAAAGGGCAGCGTGTGTATACAAAGGGACAATCAGAAAACGATTAACATACCTACATCTACCCATAACAGTAATTATATTAAATATTAACATACCTACATCTACCCATAATGATAATTATATTAAATATTAATGAATTAAACCCTCCAGTTAAAAGGCAGAGATTGCTAAAATGGACAAATTAGCAAGATTTACTACATGCTGTCTACAAAAGATGCACTGTGGTGTGTGTGTCTGTCTGTCCGTCTATGTATTTGTTTTTTAAGAGATGGGGTCTTGCCTTTTTGCCCAAGGTAAAGTCTAGTACTGCTCAAACTCCTGGGCTCAAGTGATCCTCCTGCCTCAGTCTCCAGAATAGCTGGGATTAGGGGCATGTGCCATCACACTGAACTAAAAGATGCACTTTAAATATAAAAAACACAAGTAGGCAGAAAGTGACTGCAAAAACCATACATATATAGACAACCCACAATCATAGTTGGAGATTTTAACCTCTCTCTCTCCAATTCTTAGAACAATAGACCAAAAACATCAATAGACAACCCAGAATCATAGTAGGAGATTTTAACCTCTCTCTCCGATTCTTAGAACAATAGACCAAAAACAGCAATAGACAATCCACAATCATAGTCGGAGATTTTAACCTCTCTCTCTCTCCAATTCTTAGAACAATAGACCAAAAACATCAGCAGACAATCCACAATCATAGTCAGAGATTTTAACCTCTCTCTCTCCAATTCTTAGAACAATAGACCAAAAACATCAATAGACAACCCACAATCATAGTCGGAGATTTTAACCTCTCTCTCTCCATTTCTTAGAACAATAGACCAAAAACATCAATAGACAATACACAATCATAGTCGGAGATTTTAACCTCTCTCTCTGCAATTCTTAGAACAATCGACCAAAAACATCAATAGACAACGCACAATCATAGTCGGAGATTTTAACCTCTCTCTCTCCAATTCTTAGAATAGACCAAAAACATCAATAGACAATCCACAATCATAGTCAGAGATTGTAACCTCTCTGTCTCCAATTCTTAGAACAATAGACCAAAAACATCAATAAGACAACCCACAATCATAGTCGGAGATTTTAACCTCTCTCTCTCTCTGATTCTTAGAACAATAGACCAAAAACATCAATAGACAACCCACAATCATAGTTGGAGATTTTAATCTCTCTCCGATTCTTAGAATAATAGACCAAAAACATCAATAGACAATCCACAATCATCGTCAGAGATTTTAACCTCTCTCTCTCCGATTCTTAGAATAGACCAAAAACATCAATAGACAACCCACAATCATAGTCGGAGATTTTAACCTCTCTGTCTCCGATTCTTGGAACAATAAACCAAACACATCAGTGAAGACATGGGGGATCTGAGTAACAGTATCATCATGTTGACCTGAATGGTATTTATAGGAAGTTACACATATCAGGCTGCACATGGGGGCTCAAGCTTGTAATCCAGGCACTTTGGGAGCCCGAGTCGGGTGGATCACCTGAGGTCAGAAGTTCAGGACCGACCTAGCCAACATGGCGAAACCCCATCTATACTAAAAATACAAAAATTCGCTGGACGTGGTGGCGGGCAGCTGTAATCCCAGCTCCTCGGGAGGCTGAGGCAGGAGAATGGTGTGAACCCAAAAGACGGAGTGACCCGAGATCGTGCCACTGCACCCCAGCCTGGGCAAGAAGAGCAAAACTCTTCTCAAAAACAAAAAGAAAAAGTTACGCCAATACTCCTAAGTGCACATGATACATTTTCCAACACAGACCAACTGCTGTGTCCTAAAACAAGTTCCAACGAATTTTAAAAGAATCATACAAAGTATGCTTTCTGAGCACAGAGGAATTAAATTAGAAATCAACCACAAATAAAATAGGAAAAACTCAAATGTTTGGAAATTAACCCACTATTGAATAAACCATGGGTCAAAGAAGAACTCAAATGGGAAATTAGAAAATATTTCCAGGCTGGGGCCAGGCGCAGTGGCTCACACATGTAATCCCTGCACTTTGGGAGGTCGAGGTGGGTGGATCAGAAGGACAGGAGTTCAAGACTATCCTGGCCAGCATGGTGAAACCCCATCTCTACTAAAAGTTTAAAAAATTAGCTGGGCGTGGTGGTGCACACCTGTAATCCCAGCTACTCGGGCGGCTGGGGCAGAGAATTGCTTAAAAACCCTAGAGGTGGAGCTGGCAGTGAGCCAAGATCGCACCACTGCACTCCAGCCTGGGTGACAGAGCGAGACTGTTTCAAAAAAAAAAAATTTGTAACTCAGGTGGGGAAAAAATAACAGAAGAAGAAAAAATATTTCCAACTGAATAATAATGAAAATATAACATCAAAATTGTTGGTGTAGCTAAAGCAATACTTAGAACTCTGTAACTAAGTGCGTGTAAAGGCATGAAAGCAGAGACCTAAGATTCACTCCCAGAAGCCAGGGAAAAAAGAACAAAGCCAAAAAAGGGAAATAAAGACAAATACAGAAATCAGTGGCATAGAAAGCATGAGAAAAATGGAGAAACTTAACAATATCAAAAGCTGATTTTTTCCCTAAAAGATTGGAAAGATTGACAAACCTCTACTAAGAATGGTCAATTTTAAGAAAGAAGAAAGAGCCAGGTGAGGTGGGTGGTTCACGCCTGTAATCCCAGCACTTTGGGAGGCATAGGTGGGAGGACTGCTTGAACCCAGGAGTTTAAGACCAGCCTGGGAATCAGAAGGAGACCCCATCTCTACAAAAAAAAAAAAAAAAAAATTTAATGAGCTGGGTGTGGTGGCTCGAGCCTGTAGTCCTGGCTAGTCAGAAGGCTGAGGTGGGAGGATCGCTTGAGCCCAGGAGGTTGAGGCTGCAGTGAACTGTGATCACACCACTGCACTCCAGCCCAGGCGACAGAGAGAGACCTGTTTGAAAAGCAAACAAACAAATAGAAAGATAGGCCAAGCACGGTGGCTCACACTTGTAATCCCAGCACTTTGGGATGCCAAGGTGGGCGGATCACTTGAGGTCAGAAGTGAGACCAGGCTGGCCAACATGGTGAAACCCTGTCTCTACTAAAAATACAAAAATTAGCCAGGCATGGTGGTGGGTGCCTGTAATCCCAGCTGCTCAGGAGGCTGAGGCACAAGAATCGCTTGAACCCGGGAGGCAGAGGTTGCAGTGAGCCGAGATCATGCCACTGCACTCCAGCCTGGGCAACAGAGTGAGACTCGGTCTCAAAAGAAACAGATAGCACAAATCACCAATATCAAGAACAAAAGAGGCATTATTTCTAAGGATCCTATAGACATAGTAATAGACTATTGCCATCTCTGGTGGCTCACACCTGTAATCCCAGCACTTTGGGAGACCGAGGCAGGAGGATTGTTTGAGCCCAGGAGTTCAAGACCAGCAACATCATGCTTCAGTTTTGTTTCATAGCGAGACCCTGTCTCTACAAAAAATCAAAAAATTAGCCAGGTGTGGCAGCACTTGCTTGTGTTCCAGCTACTTGGGAGGCTGAGGTGGGAGGATGGCCTGGGCCTGGGAGACTGAGGCTGTGGTGAGCTGAGGTCACACCACTTTGCTCCAGCCTGGGTGACAGAGTGAGGCCATGTCTCAAAATAATAGGAGACTATGATGAACAATTTTAGGCCAGTAAATGTAGCAATTTCAATGCAATGGATAAACTCTTGGAAGAATATAACTTGTCAAAAGCAATGGAAATCTGCATGGTCCTCTTTCTGTTCAGGAAATTGAATTAATTACCGGAGAACCTACCTACCAAGAAAACTCCTGCAAATATACATGGTTTCCTGGTGAATTCTATCAAACATTCAAAGAAGAAATCACAATATTCTTACACAAACTCTTTCAGAAAATAAAAGAGGAGGGGGAACGGGTGCTGTGGCTCCCACGTGTAATCCCAGCACTTTGGGAGGCTGAGGCAGGAGGATCACCTGAGGCCAGGAGTTCGAGACCAGCCTGGACAATATAGTGAGACCCTGTGTACAAAAAAAATTATACCTGTAGCCCCAGCTACTTGGGAGGCTGAGGTGGGAGGATCCCTTGATCCCAGGAGCTCAAGGCGGCAGTGAGCCATGATCGCACCACTACACTCCAGCCTGGCAACAGAGTGAGACCCTGTCTCTCTTTAAAAAAAGGAGGGCCTATTTCCCAGCTTGTTTTATGAGGCAATATAATCCAATACCAAAACCTGACAAAGACACCTAAAAAAAATTATAGACCACTATCCTTCATGAACACAGGCAAAAATCCTTACGAAGGTATTGGCAGGTGAAATCCAACAATAGCCTAAGAGGGCAGTACACCTCGGCCAAGTGTGGTTTATCCTAGTGATACAAGGTTGTTTTGATTCATAAATGAATCTTTGTCGTCACCATATTACTAGAATAAAGAAGGAAAGGATGATCACTGAAATAGATGCAGAAAAGACATTTGGAAACATTTATACCTGTTTTATGATTTTTTTAAAAAAACCTCAGTAAACTAAGAATAGAAGGAAACTCCCTGAGTCTGATAAATGAACATCTATGAAAAACCTACACTAGACGTTGTACTTTTGATGGCGAAATATTGAGCATTTTATCCCTAAAATCAAGAACAAGGATGACACCCATTCTCACTCTTCTGTCCAACATTATACTCAAAGTCCCAGCCACTGCAATAAGGTAAGAAAAAAGGCAAATTGAAGTCACAAGGATTAGAAAGGAAGAAGTAAACTGTATTTATTTGTAGATGACATGATTATTTATGCAGAGGGTCCTAAGAAAGCTACAGAGAATTGCTAGAACTATTAAGTGAATTTAGCAAGATTTCAGATATCAAGGCTAAGGTGCAAAGTTTATCGTTATATAGTAGCAGCAAACTATCGGAACATGAAATCAGAAATTACATTCTATTTGTAATAACAAAAAGTAAAATCTTAGTAATTATCTTAACAAAAGATATACAAGACCTGTTCACTGAAAACTATAAACACTGCTGAGATAAATTGAAGAAGATGCGGAGGGATGAAGAGAGACAGCATGTCCGTGATGAAAAGACTCAATCCTGTTAAAACATCGGCTCTGCCAGTCAAAATCGCAGCAGGCTTTTTTGTAGGAATTGACACAATGAGTCTAAAATGGAAACACATGTGACCTGGAATTGCCAAAGCAATTAATCAAAGTGGAGCTGATACGTGCCCTGATTTCAAAGTTTCTATTCTACTTACAGCTTCAGTAATCCAGTCAGCCGCAGTGTCCCTGAAGAATAGACACACAGGTGAGTGGAACAGAATAGAAAGACTGGAAATAGACCCCACCTCTATAGTCCATTGATTTTCAATGAAGATGTCAACGTAATTCCACATGGAAAGAAAAGTCTTTTTAGCAACTGTTTATACATAAGGAAAGAAATGACGCTTGACCTGCATTTCACCATACACAAAGGTGACTCAGAATGCAAAAGCTAAAACTGTAACACTTCTGGAAGAAAGCAGTAAATCTTAGTGACCATGAGGTCAAGGCAGAGATTTCTTAGGACATAAAAAACAAGAACCACAAAAGGAAAAATGGATGCATTCAATTTTATTAAAAATTTCATTAAAATTAAAAACATTTGCTCTTCAAAAGATGTCCATAAAAAAATGATAAGACGGGGGCCGGGCAAGGTGGCTCATGCCTGTAATCCTAGCACTTTGGGAGGCCAAGGCAGGCGGATCACAAAGTCAGGAGATCGAGACCATCCTGGCCAACATGGTGCAACCCCGTCTCTACTAAAAATACAAAAAATTAGCCGGGCGTGGTGGCGGGCACCTGTAGTCCCAGCTACTCAGGAGGCTGAGGCAGGAGAATGGTGTGAACCCAGAAGGCGGGGCTTGCAGTGAACTGAGATCACGCCACTGCACTCCAGCCTGGGCGACAGAGACTCCAATTCAAAAAAAAAAAGATGATAAGACAAACCACAGGATGGAAGAAAATATTTGCAATACATAAGTCTGATGAAGAATATGTGTTTTAGCTGAGCGTGGTGGTGACGCACACCTCTAGTCTCAGCTACTCGAGAGGCTGAGGTAGGAGGATCACTTAAGCCCCGGAGGTCAACATGGCAGCATGCACCTGTAGTCTCAGCTACTCGGGAGGCTGATGTAGGAGTATCGCGTAAGCCCTGGAGGTCAAGGCTGCAGTGAGCCACGATCCCACTACTGCACTCCAGCCTGGGCAACAGAGTGAAACCCTATGCCCCCCACCCCTGCCAAAAAAAAAAAGGTATATGTTGCAACTCCACCCAATTAAACAAAATGGGCAGAAGATGTGAGTAGGCACTTCAGAAAGAAGATATATAAGTGGCTAATAAACACATGGAAAGATGCCATCATTAGTCTTCAGGGAAATGCAGATTGTAACGACACAGAGATACTCCTGCACATGCACGGACACCCTGCGTGCACCCACATCGCCAGTGGGAGGGTATACAGCACAGCCACTGTGGAAGACGGCTGCAGTTCCTTAGAAAGTTAAACGTGCACCTCCCTGTGAGCCAGCCACTCTGCTCCCAAGAGAAATGAAGACAGATGTCCACATGATGACATGTGCCAGGACCTTGGCCGCAGCTCCATCCAGTCACCAGGAACTGGGAGCAGCCCAGGCACCCACTGGCAGGTGATGGGCAAAGGCGGTGACGTTTGGCCAACACAGTGGAAAATCCTCCGACTGTGGAAAGGAAGAAAGTGCGGATAAAACAACATGGAAGGATCTAAAGGTCAGTGTGTGCAACCCCTTTGTGTAAGACCCTAGAAGATACAGCTGCAGTCTGGTCAGCTCCTGGCTGCCGGGAGCCCGGGCTTGTGGGGGCCGCAGCGAGTGCTGGCAGCTGTGTGGGACCGGGCACCGTCCTGGCTGTGGTGGCAGCTTCAAGGGGGTGGTCACACTCACCCGCTTGTGTACTTTACACGGATGTGGTTTATTGTATGTAAAGTAGATCTCCATGAAGTTGACTAAATAGCAGATGAAAGTGTTGATTGAAATCTTGGACTTCTGGTTCCTGAATCAAAATGATGTTTTGTGACTTAATGTGGCCCTCAGGATGCCCTTTAACCAGAGAGGGAGCAGAAGGGTCTGTGATGTCTGGAGTTTTCCACTGAGCAGGGGAAGACGGTCTCTGCTGGGCAAATGTTAAAGGGACAAAAGGACAAACTAAGACTTGATTGCACTCTGTGGGTGGGGCGAGCAGCATGTCTGTGACTTCAACACGTTCCATCTGAAAGGATTTCACATCAGAGAGGAGGAGCTGAATCAGAGGAGAGCATGCTTTTTTTTTTTGAGACGGAGTTCCCCTTGCACAGGCTGGAGTGCAGTCTCCGTTCACTGCAGCCTCCACCTTCTGGGCTCAGGTGATCATCCCACCTCAGCCTCCTGAGTAGCTGGGACCTCAGGCTCCCACCACCAGGCTCGACTAATTTTAAACTTTTTGTAAAGACGGGCTGTGTTGCCCAGGTGGGTCTCCAACTCCTGAGCTCAAGCATTCCGACCACCCCCACCTTCCAGAGTCCTCCGGCAGGCTCACACCTGGGCAGCCTGGTCAGTTTGTGAGGCCATGACCTGAATCCAGCATGGAATGGGTGACAGAGTGGACCGTCCCTGTGCGGAGAGTGGACCGTCCCTGTGCAGAGACTGGAGCTGTGTCCTCCAGGGCCTCCGTCTCCCTGCTGCTCACAGCCCTTGTCCCAGGACCCCGGCCTAGGCCCATCAAGAGGAGCCCCACAGGCCTGGCTGGGCCTCAGCCCCCCTCGGGGTAACTTGCCAGGGAGGCCCCTGAGCCAGTGCAGTGACACCACTTGAGGATTTGTGCGCCTGGCAGGCGTTTCCTCCCTTAGGAAGGCAGGGCCATGGTAACAGGTCCTGTGGCTGGAAGTGCAGGGGGGAGAGAGGGGGTTTGTGCGGGAGGACCGGTGTCCACCAAGTGCAGCCTGGGCCACTGAGCTCCGTACCTGGTCCCTGAGCAAAGGCCGGGCCGAGGGCCCGTATCCCAGCGAGGGCCTGTATCCCAGGCACTCTCACCCGCAGGAGGCCAGGAGGCCAGCTCGGGGGAAACACTCGTGGAGACAGCCCCTCCAGGACGCCCTGCTCGACAGCCAGGGGCCGGCAAGGGTGTGGACAGAGGGCCCGGACCGGACCCAGACCCCGCACCGTAGGCCACGGCCCACCTGGGTTGCCCTCGCGTGACCACGGCCTCACCTGCTGTCTTCATCTGCAGGACTGGGCCGGGGTCTGCAGGGCTCAGCTGAGCCCATGAGCTCCCAGAGCTAACCCCTGAACACCCAGGCGGGCAAAGGGCTGATGTCGGTAGTCCCCATCCTGGAGGGGCAGGTAAGGCCCTGCCTACACCTCGCCCCACCCGTGCCTCCAAAGGCCCCAAGCCTTCACTCTTTCACCCCACCTCCATTTGGCTCCACCTTCCCTGTCGTGGCCCTGCACCCCTGCCACGGCCCTGCCCCATCTCCATTTAACTCAGTCATCTGCCGCGGCCCCGCCCCACCCCATCTCCATTTGGCCCCACCCTCCCTGCCACAGCCCCGCCCACTTCCATTTGGCCCCACCCTCCACCACAGCCCCGCCCACTTCCATTTGGCCCCACCCTCCACCACAGCCCCACCCATCTCCATTTGGCTCTGCCCTCCTTGCCTTGGCCCGCACCCCCCCAACATCTCTTGACCCCACTTTCATTTGGCCCCACCCACCCTGCCTCAGCCCCACTCCATCTCTTTGGCTCCGCATGCTCCTCCCTGTGGCAGGCTCTGCGCATCTGCTCCTGGCATGGCGCTGCGGCACCTCGCCCTCCTGGCTGGCCTTCTCGTGGGAGTCGCCAGCAAGTCCATGGAGAACACGGTAGGTGCCCCCCTCACGTGTCCACGCGGCCTAAGCCAGAGCCTCTGTGGAGGGCGGTGGGCCCTTCCCCTAGAGGGTCTAACCCTTCCACCTTTAGGACACTGATGTCCCAGCCCCAGAGGTGCTGACCAGGTCCACTGCTGGGGTCAGAGGGGCCTGTGCCTCGCAGAGGGGAGCCCTCCGCTGCCTGCTGGGTGAGCGCCTGCTCAGGAATGGCTGGGTCAGGCGGGGCCCCCACGGTGAGGCATCCTGGCCCGCAATGGGAGCACCTCTGCCAGCGGTGACAGCACAGCGTGCCGCGCATCGCTATCGGGGAGTGTAGCTGCGGCGGCTCCAGACTCCCAGGCGGAGCGGGTGGAGGGTGGGGACCCCTCACTGTCCTGGCTGGGGCGTTTGAGGGACCGGACCTGGGCCCCTCCCTGGCGGTGTGGATTCTATCCCGCACTCCGCAGTCACCCCTGGACGCCCTCACCGTTCACTGCATTCAGGTCACGAGAAACAGCACAGCTGTGATCAACACACAAGCTGAGGGTACCCTGAGCCCCCCAGGCCTGTCCAGTCTGCCTGTGGTCAGGGAATGGGCCCTCACACACACCGTAAGTGCCAGCACCCAGCGCACCTGTGCAGTACCTGGGCACCTGGGCGTGAATTCGTCCCCTGAAATGCCAGCCAGGCCCGGGCACTTCCTCTGTGGGGTCAAGCGGAAACCCCTGATGGAGAGCCTCCGGAGACTTGCAGAGAATGTCGGTGGCGCTGCCATGGCCTGCGGGTGCCGCCTCCTGGGGGTGGTTTACTCTTCCAGGCCCAGCTTTTCCTTGGAGACCGCCCACCCAGGGTCCCACAGGGATGTGCACTGTGGCTGTGAGGCCCCTCCTTGCTCCCAGGCCCACAGGGGACAGAGGGCCACCCGATGCTGACTCCAGAAGAGGCCGGAGCTGCGGACATTGAGATGTGCTCCCACGGCACCCCTCAGCCGCTGCTGCTCTGGGCGTGAGCCTGCCTGGCAGGCGCGTCCTGGAGTTTCACTGCCGTGTCCCCTCCAGGCCCAGCTGCCCGAGTGCTGTGTGGATGTGGTGGGCGTCAACGCCAGCTGCCCAGGCGCAAGTCTGTGTGGTCCAGGTAAGCCGCTTTGTCCCAAGCAGATTCCAGACCGGCCCCTGAGCCACTGGTGTGTGTGTGCCCAGGGCCCTCCCCTCGGTGACAAGGACAGTGCTCATCTGTGCTGCGGGACCTGGGGAGTGGATGGGGCAGTGAGGGCTGTGGAGCTTGGGGAAGGACATCTGAGCCTCCTTTCTGGCGGGCGGCCTTGAGCGGCAGCCTCATGAGAAGACTGGCCCAGCAGAGGGCTGGGAGCAGAGGCAGGAGCTGAGATCAGAAAGGTGCCTGGAGAAGGGTCTGGGGGAGTGGCCCATGAGCTCAGCCATTCTCACGGGGCTGTCCTGGCTCCAGGGGCCTCTGGCAAAGCCCAAGACATTTTTGCCTGTCCGTGCTCGGGCAGAGGTGCTGCTGGCCCCTGGTGCGTGGAGTGGAATGCCAATCAACAGGACGCCACGAGGATGCCGGCCTGTGTCAGCGTGCCACGGGCAGGCCCTGTTCATCAGAGGTTCTGGGAGGCTGCGGAAGGGACTGTCTGGGGGCAGCTGGGTGTCAGGAGGTTGAGGCTGGTGAGGGCAGCCAGTGGGAGCAGCCAGGGGAGGGGAGGACAGAGTGAGAAGGTGCAAGGGCCACTCCTTGGCGGCCCTTGGTGAACTTGGGGCTGAGATGCCCCAGCTGTACCTCCAAGGGCCTTGGCACTCCCATCCTGGGGGTCCAGCCCTCCCATGATGGAAGAACCCAGAAGGGCTGCTCCTGGGGACTCAGGGGCCTCGTGAGGAGGGCGTGGTCAAGACGGCGGCTGTGGCAGCCAGTGAGGCTGGGCGCGGGGGTCCGAGGCTGGGCGTGGGGGTTGGGGAGCCCACAGGAAGGCAGTGATGACATCTGAGGCACACGCAGGGTAGGAGGAGGAGGGCACCGCTCTGAGGGAGAACAGAGGGGCTGGGAGGAAGCTGAGCACCTTGGGGTCCTCATCGTCTGATGCTGAAGCCCTGGTGGCTGGGTGAGAACCACTCCCCTGGCACCCCATGGCAGCAAGAGTGCTGGGGCCGTGGCGTCTCCTGTGAGGGATTGTGTACCCCAGGCACTCTGTGGGTGCAGGCAGCTGTGCAGCAGTCACGGTGCCCATGGAGGGGCCAGGCCAGCGGGTCGTGAAGTCCAAGGGCCGAGGTGGCCCCATGCACAGGCGCAGGGTGGGGACCGTCTGGCGCGCGTGGGGAGGGGCCGGGCCTGCGGTGTTGGATACGCTTCCCCCTGCGTGCGGCCCCAAGCCAGGTCACGTCTCCGCTCGGGGAGGCAGCGGGCACTTCTGGGGACAGTGCTGCGCTGGTGTTTGGCTCCCTGCCGTGGACTCCGTTCTTCGGCCTCCGGGGCAGAGACTCTCAGACAGAGCCTCGCTGAAGTCGCCCGAGCCCTGTGCCAGGAGATGCCGGGAGACAGAGGCTGCCCCCAGTGCTGGGAGAGCGCAGCTCCACCCTGGTAGGACTGAGCGGGTGGACTTCCATTCTTCCAAGAGGTGTGTCTGCAGAGTGACCCCTGTCACAACCGTGCCGGGGTCTCAGGCCCACTCTCCACCGCGGGGTCCCCGTGTCGCCGCGGCCCGTTTGTATTCAGATCAGTCTGTGAGGAAGGGTCGAGGCGTGTGGTCCACCCGTGGCCCGCACCAGCAGCCGCACCGCAGTCGGCATCAAGAGTGTGTCTACTCAGCTCTGGGCTGAGTGTTGGAGATATTTAGAAAGTCAAGGAGTAAAAGTCAATTCCTGTCCTTAAAGGCGCCCTGGCCGGTGGGCGGAAATGAGGCTTCAGGCGCAGCGTCGGCCTGGCGGGGGGATGAGGCTTGGTTCTGCAGGATCCCCCGAGAGAGACCCGGGGGAGGGTGCCAGGGTGTGGAGGTGACAGATGGACCAAGGGTCGGGATCAGCTTGGGGCAGGAGGCTGTGCTGCTGGCGGGTGGGCCTAT
The DNA here is from genome assembly GCF_000001405.40 of Homo sapiens. Classification (NCBI taxonomy): domain Eukaryota; kingdom Metazoa; phylum Chordata; class Mammalia; order Primates; family Hominidae; genus Homo; species Homo sapiens. Next base: position 1,088,419 of record NC_000001.11, on the reverse strand, counting down.
CCTGCTTGGGCGGCATGAGGGAACACGGGGTGCGAGGCAGCCGCTCCAGGCACTGCAGATGGGGGTCTTGGGGGAGGCGTGGGGGGTCCTGGGGGAGGCCGTGGGGGGGTCCTGGGGAGGCGTGGGAGGGTCCCAGGGAGGCGTGGGGAGGTCCCGGGGAGGCGTGGGGGACCCTGGGGGAGGCATGCGGGGGTCCTGTGGGAGGCCATGGGGGGGGGGTCCTGGGGGAGGCCGTTGGGGGATCCTAGGAGAGGCGTGGGGGGGGTCTTGGGGGAGGCCTGGGGCAGGCGTTGCAGTGGGGGTTCTTGGGGAGTCTGTGGGGTGAAGGCTGGGTGGTGGAAGCCGGGCCCAGCCTGCAGTCCTGCAGAGCACGAGTCCCTCCAACAGGCCTGTTCATTCTGGATGCTGCCGCCTACCACTCTCTGAAGTACGCAGTGTGGAGTACTCAGGGTCGGGGTGCTCAGGGCCGGGGTGCTCGGCGTGGAGTGCAGCGTGGAGTACTCGGGGCTGGGGTGCTCGGCGTGGAGAGTGCAGCGTGGAGTACTCGGGGCCGGGGTGCTCGGCGTGGAGAGTGCAGCGTGGAGTACTTGGGGTCGGAGTACTCAGGGTCAGGGTGCGCAGTGTGGAGTACTCAGCGTGGGGTGCTCACGGCCCCGCCATGCTCCCTGGGGGTGTCCTTGTCTGCCGCCCACCTACCCTCCAGAGCATGTTAGTATCTGGAATGAAAGTTATCTCACCAACTCAAATAGAGAATCATTCCCAGGAGACCCAGCTGGTGTGGATTTTGCTTTGGCTGACATGCCCGTCCTCTGCCCCACGCAGGCTGTTACAGGCGCTGGAACGCGGACGGGAGCGCCAGCTGCGTCCGCTGTGGGAACGGAACCCTCCCAGCCTACAACGGCTCCGAGTGTAGAAGCTGTAGGTCTGCCCGGCTCCCCCCGGCTCCCTTCTCACAGCTCCAGCTGTGGGAGACACTGTGGGAGTTGCTGTCTGTGTCCCCACCTTGCCCCAGAGCCACTGTCCACTGGGGAACAGCCCCGGGAGCCCCCTCTTCCCGAGTCTGCTGGGCCATTCGGGACAGCTCTGTGGTGAGGGCTGCTCCGCCCCCTCAGCCCCTCGCTTTCATATTTCCGTCCTGAGATCCCTTCAGGGTGCACGTGGGTGTCCCCGTGGGCTCCGTGCACACAGGCTTCCCACAGTTCTGCTATCCCACAGTTGCTGGCCCGGGTGCGCCATTCCCCATGAACAGAAGCTCAGGGACCCCCGGGCGGCCACATCCTGGTAAGTCTCAGCAGGCCACAGCCACCTCTGCCGGTGTCCTGGGGGCTGGGGGCCGTCGGAGCCAGTGCAGACCCTCACCCTTGACGCAGCCACAGCAGGCTCAGGGTTCTGCAAAACAGCCAGAGGGGAGCGTGGCAGCCCCTGCAGCTTGGGGTCAGCTGGTGTGGGTGGGGGATGTGGGGCGTCATGGGGGGCTCTGCCACATCTCTAAAGGGCCGTAGTTAGGGGAGGCCCTGATGGCCACACCGCACTCTCTCAGGGTCACACAGCTCACAGCCACACGCTCTCAGGTTCACACTCATGGCTCACGGCCACACCGCACGCTCTTAGGTTCACACTTAAGGCTCACACTCACGGCTCACGCTGACACCACACACTCTCAGGTTCACGCTCACGGCCACACTGCACGCTCTCAGGTTCACACTCACGGCCCTGAGCTGGCCTGGGTCCATTGCTGACCTGAGTGGCAGTGTTTTAGGGTGGGGTTGGCCTGGATGGGCTCCTGGCCTCCTGTGGCTCTGTGCTGGGGCAGGAAGGAGCGAGGCCCCCAAGCCTGGCAAACACGCCTGTGTCTCAGGGTTGGGGAGTCTCCTCCCCAGCATCTCAGAGCACACCCAGCAGCCATTGCCAACTGTCCCGAGCCCCAGGCCAGCAGCCCTGGCCTGTCCTGGCCCAGGCAGGTGGAGGTGAGTGGGGTGCAGGAGCACCTGCTGCCAGCTTGAGGCTCTGCCCTGTGTGGGGGCCCCAGGGCCTGTGCTGAGCCCGGAGGAAGGAACAAGGCTGAGAACCCCCTGGCTTTCAGGGGCAACTGGAATCGGAGAGGTGTTTCCGCAGAGCCCGGCCAGGGTCAGCCCCTGTAACGCTCCCAACATCCGAGCTCCTGAGAGAAGCTGAGGCCGGGGCAGGTGGTAACTTTCCCAGACCCCGCGGCCAGATGCCCAGGCATGGCTGAGCCTGCAGGGATGACCCAGGCCCATGTGCAGAGCCCTCGGCACCCACAGCCGGTCCCGTGAGGCTCAGGCATGTTCAGAGAGCAGCGCATCTGCCATGTGCAGGGGGCACCGGGGGCCAGGCGAGGAGCCAGGGCCACCGTCCTGCCCGTCTGCTCAGCGGTGTCTGTTTGCAGGGGCTCCGCGCGTGGCCGCCTCCCTCTTCCTGGGCACGTTCTTCATTAGCTCCGGCCTCATCCTCTCCGTAGCTGGGTTCTTCTACCTCAAGCGCTCCAGTAAACTCCCCAGGGCCTGCTACAGAAGAAACAAAGGTATCTCCCGGACCAGCACCTGCCCCACGGGAGGGCACAGGGCAGGCGGCATCCAGCCGTGGAGATGGGCCTGAGACTGGAGTGTCCCAGGCCAGAGCAGGCTGGCAGAGGCCGGGAGGGAGCAGGGCCTGTCCTGTGGCTTTTGGGTCCCGGTGTGAGAAGGCCCGTCACTTCCCGGAAACAGCCGTGTGTGGATTTGAAGGGTCGAAGCACCAAGGGGCCTTCCTCGGGGCCCAGAACCTCTGCTGGAGCCCTCTTCCGGCAGAGGCGTCTCCCCGGGGCCCTCAGGGCATCACGAGGGGCGAGTGGAGCGGGGCTGGGTGGCTCTCGGCAGTTGGACTTGCCTGGGCTCCTCCAGCAGCCATGGTCCCCCCTCCCCTCTCCTGGGGTCAGGGCTGGCCAGGCTGGTGCAGGGCCCACACCCCAGCCTACGCCACGCCGTACACACGGTCACCCCGGGCCTGGGCACTGACCCCTTCCCACTGGAGAGACGGCCTTGTGACTGTGGTGCCTTCAGGCGGGGGCGGGTTCTGAGCAGGGTCCGTGGTGCCTGCCCTCGTTGTCCAGGGCCGGCCCCCGCAGGGTCCCTGCCAGGCAGATGGTCCAGCCAGCAGTTCGGACCCCAAGGTGAGCACTTGGCCAGACTGTGATAGCCGAGCTGGGGCCTCCTCCCAGGTCTCTGGGCAGCCCCACCTGGCTGCTGTGAGACCCCTGTCCATCCCCCTCAACCTCTCTCGGGGTCTCAGGGCCCAGCCTCCAGTCGGGAGCCCGCTGCCAGGGTCTCCTGCACAGCCAGGCACCGAGAGACCCGGCCTGCTCAGCATCTCTGCCTATGGGCACCCTTGGAGCAGAGCAGGGCTCAGGGCTTGGTCAGCCCTGGTGGCCACGGGACGAGAAGCCAGGTTGGCCACGATGCCACGGCACCCCCATCGCGGGGGCACCATGGAGGCAGAAGCCCACGGCCGTGGGGCTCAAAGCCACCTCGTGCCTGAGGCTCCTCCCGGGAGGGTGGGAGGGCAGCCCTTCCCCTGGGACCCTGGAGCCTGGGGAGACGCTTCTCATGAGGGGGGCTTGTCCCCTCTGCTGAGGCGGGAAGGTGGGTCCAGGGAGCGGGGACTCACCTGGGGTGCTAGGGAGGCCCCCGCACCTGTGAGTGCCCCGGAGGAATGTGGCAGGACCGAGGGCCAGGCTGATGCACCGCAGGGAGAGGTTGGGGGAGACCCTGCAGCCCCGGGGCCTCTGCTGCTCCGAGGACGCCGCACTGGGCTGAGGCTGAGGCAGCTCCTCGCTCTGCTGTCCCGGACGCTGCACTGGGCTGAGGTTGAGGCAGCTCCTGGGCTCCAGGGTGACTCTCCGCTTTCTCCCCCACAGCTCCGGCCCTGCAGCCTGGCGAAGCCGTAAGTAACCCACATCATCCGGGCTGAGCGTCCCTGGCCGCGTGTGCCTGTGCCAGGCCATCCCGAGTCCTCACTCTGCCTTTCTCTCCTTTTCAAGGCTGCAATGATCCCCCCGCCACAGTCCTCAGGTAACAGCAGCTGTCGCATCCCCCTGTGGGGTTTCCCATCTCTGGGCCAGTCCCAGGGTGCTCTGTGGGTTTGTCCCCAAACGGGTTTGCCTGGCTCTGGATCTCGGCCACCCCTGCCCGGGTCCCCAGGAGACCCACCCACAAGGCAGGGCCAGGGCCGGATTTGGCTGGTGCCCCCTGCTCTGGATCTCAGCTGGATTTGGCCGGCGCCCCCTGCCCGCCCCCCTTTAATCCCCGTGACTTCCATGCTCTTTCCTGTTCCCGAGACGTGGGGTCTGCAGGAAAGGAGGACCCACCACGACAGGGCAGACCCCCAATACCTGCTCCTCCTTGAAGTCCAGCTCCACCCGAGGACAGACGCAGCCGGCCTCCGCCAGGCCCTCCTGAGCAGCCATCGCTTCAGTGGTGCTGGGTCAGGCGGACCCAAGAGTCAGCCCGGTTAGGACCCATTTTATGTGCGGGGCCACAGACACAGGCTGAGTGACCGGCGCACAGCCACACAGCTCCAAGGCCATGAGCAGGGCTCACCCGGCCTCCGTCCCCCTGTGCAGAAGTCTGTCATGGGGGCAGGTGACCGTGCCTTTAGGGGACAGACCGTTCTCCATCAAGGCTGGACGTGCCCCGTCCCTAAAGCAGCCCTGTCTGCAAGTGCCCAGCAGACCCCACGGTGCCCGAGTGCCCCGGGGCTGCCAGCTTCAACAGCAGACCTTTAATCTGACTATCCTAGAGTTCAGAAGTCCAAAACCAAGGGGCAAACAAGGCCACACGCTTCCCGAGGCTCCGGGGAGGACGCTGTCTGCCTTCCCAGCCCCTGCCGGCTCAGGCATCTGTGGCTGCGTTGCCCGTCTCTGTCCCCTGGTCCCACGGCGTCTCCCCCACCTCTGCGTCTTCTCTCTCTGCCTCTCTCTCAGGTGGGCCCTGGCCGTTGTTTCAGGGCCTGCCCGGGGAACCCTGGGCGATCACACCTGAGACCCTGACGTAACCCCCTGCAAAGCCCCTTCTTCTAAATAAGGTCACATTCGAGGTCTTGGGACTACGGCCTGCTTGTCGCCCCCTGAGGTGCATGATACTCTGGGACCCACATCTCTGTCTTCGGGGATCGCCTGGCCCTTGTCCAGGCCCCGGGGCCCAGGGTGTAAATGAGAGGACACAGCCGGGCAGGAGGAAGCCGTCCCTTTCCCGAGCTGGAGCTCTGAGGGCGCCTTAGGGGCAGGGGGCATCTGGGTTCCCACCTGGTCAGAGTAAACAGCCCCGGGCGCCTGTGCCATATGCCCACTCCCGAGAGCCTCCGGTGAGGGCTGAGGCCTGCACTGTCCCTGCTGTCCAGGTCCCACTCTGACCTCGCCTGTCTCTGACCCGTTTCAGTACGGAAGCCGCGCTACGTCAGGCGGGAGCGGCCCCTGGACAGGGCCACGGATCCCGCTGCCTTCCCGGGGGAGGCCCGTATCAGCAATGTCTGACCTGGAGGCCGAGACCACGCCACGCACTTGGCGGCAGGGACCCGGAGGCCGACCCCTTGGCGGGAACCAGCACAAAGTGTTGGCATCGCCCGGCGCCCGGGACAGTCCTGGGCACAGCCTCGGCTCTGAGTCCCTCCGCCTCCCAGCGACGGACGCCAAAGGGTCCCGGGCCGCCTGAGGCTCCTCCCCACCACAGCCATCTCGTTTATCGGACCAGGAGCAGGCATCCATGAGACCTCAGAGCTTCAGATCGAGGCCTTGGGGGGTCCGGGCCCCCCCAGGAAACACGGTGAGGCCCCAGCGCCTGCAGCCAAAGCTGGCACGATCTATGGGGCAGGTGCCGCTCTGCCTAGAAAAGCCAGGGGCTCTGCTGCCGTGCCCTCCAGAGCCCACAGCGGGCAGGACTCCTCCAGCACCACCACACCCAGTGGCCCGAGACCCCTCTGAGAACAGTGAGGCTGGTCCTCGTGCCGTTCCAGCCGGTGCCCGGCCAGTGGGGAGGACACAGCCTAGGAACCAGCTGCCTGAGACCAGGGTGCCTCTGGGCTGTCCTCCCGCGTGGCGGAGACCCCAAGCACGCAGCCACCCATTTCCGGAGCTGCAGGATAGAGCTTCCTCTTGATCTCTGTTTTTAAGCAGAAATTCATTGTGCAGAAAAGTCCTCCAGAGCTCTGTGGCCCCGCTCGGATCCGCTGGACCCCCATGCCTGGCTGATCCCTGCCCACGTGGGGCAGGCCCACATCTAACCCCCACAAGTCACTGCCTCACTGCACCTGCCAAGGCTGCCCTGGCGCTGAGTCCTGGGGTCCCTCCCGGAGTTCCTGGGAGAAAGGCGCCGTCGTGGCCGCCTCCCGCACGCCAGGCCCGGGCTCCACCGTGGGTCTCAGACGCCCTGCGGCACCGGCACCGTCTGCTTTAGCATGGGACCCCCCTCTGAGGGGTGGCCTGGCCTTCGGGGTCCCCACGCTCCTTTGCGAAGTCCACTGTGGGTGCCATCATGGTCTCCGGGACCTGGGCCAGCGGGAACGTGGGGGCACTGGGTGTGCTGATATAAAGTCGGCATTACTCAAGCTGCGTTCCGAGCTGCTCTCTCCCGTAGGATGCTCTGTTCTCTAAGTGCAGGTCGGGGAGCAAAGCCCCCGCCAGGCTGGCCCCACGCACTCCGCCACCGTGTGCTGGGGGCAAGGAGGTGGGACGGGGGTGGAGGAGAGTCCAGGTTGGGGCTGCCTGGTTGGGACCCCCCGCCCCGCGCCGCACATTTTCTGCCACAGGCCCATTCCCCAGATGCAACCTGTGCAGGTGGGACCTGTGGTCCCCGAACCCCCAGCTCGGAGTGAGGTGGGACAGAGTGTGGGTGTGCGTTTCCATCGGCCGGCCGGGCTGCGTGGGGGCTGCAGACACGGGCCCCGGGAGGGCTGCCATGGCCATCTGGGGGGGCAGCAGTGTGGGGGTGTTTGCTGACAGTGATGGGCCTGGCCAGAGAGGGCTGAGCTGGGGCAGGACAGGCCTTGAGGGCAGAGGGCCCGGGCACCAGGATGCCAGAGCGCGGGCCCTGCTCTCGTAACCGTGCCCTCCACCCAGGCAGAAACGTCCACTGCCTGGAGGGTCGTGTCCTTAGACACCTGCATCCCTGTCCCCAAAAACCCCCAGCCTGAGGTTTGCAGCCAGGGAGTATCTGGGGGAGCATTGGCTCTGCCCTGGGCCCTGGCCCAAGAAGTGTCCTGGGGCTGGGAGGGTCACTGGTCCTGGGGAGAAAGGGAGGGACTGGACAGCCCAAGGCCACTCTGAGCCCAGTACCCACCGCCCCACCTGATGCCCTGGGCCACGCCCCTGTGACGCGGGAGCCCCCAGACTCCTCCTGTGGGGAAGGAGACAGGGACCGAGATGGGAGCAGAGGGAAGGAGACAGGGACCGAGGTGGGGGCGGAGGGAAGGAGACAGGGACCGAGGTGGGGGCGGAGGGAAGGAGACAGGGACCGAGGTGGGGGCGGAGGGAAGGAGACAGGGACCGAGGTGGGGGCGGAGGGAAGGAGACAGGGACCGAGGTGGGGGCGGAGGGAAGGAGACAGGGACCGAGGTGGGGGCGGAGGGAAGGAGACAGGGACCGAGGTGGGGGCGGAGGGAAGGAGACAGGGACCGAGGTGGGGGCGGAGGGAAGGAGACAGGGACCGAGGTGGGGGCGGAGGGAAGGAGACAGGGACCGAGGTGGGGGCGGAGGGAAGGAGACAGGGACCGAGGTGGGGGTGGAGGGAAGGAGTCCACATCCCCCTGGAAACTCCACTCCTGCATTTGCACCAGGCTGGGCGTCTGGTTTGGAGGATAAAATCGGAAACAGGCACGAACAGCAGGTCCAGCCAGGCAGGGTCTGGAGGCCAGGCCAGACACAGACAGGCACCTCCCAGCCCACCCTCTGAGCAGCCCCCCAGGCCCCATCTCTCAATTCTGGGTCCCCTCCTCCTCCTCCCACCCAGTGGCCCAAACCAAAAACCCAGGGTCATCCTGACACCTCCACATATCCCCCTCAGCTGGCTCCCCACGTCCCCCACCTGCGCACTCGCGATTGGCCCTTGGGCAGCACGTGGTCAGCCAGGACCTGTGGCAGCGAGGGGCACGCCCTCCTCACTGGGCACAGGAGGGACACACTGAGCTGGGCCTAGGGGCGGCCCCAGCACGTCAGGGGCAAAGCTAGACCCAAGTGCACGTCCCGGAGCCCTGCTCCCCCGCACCGGCCTCCCCTCTGCACATCTGGGCCCTTGGGAAAGAATTCCAGTCCCACGGCCAACAGAGCCGCTGCATTTGAGGCAATGGCCCAGCACGGGGCGGGGCGGGGTGGGGCGAGGCCGGGGGCCCCACAGCAGCCTGGAAGGCCCCTCCCCGCACCGGCCGCACCACGTCCCCAGGCCTGGCAGTGCCAGGTGTGACCCGTAACCGAGGCCTGGAGGGGAAGGAGTCCCTGAGAGGGCGTGAGGAGACCGAGTGAAGGAGGTGAGGGGTCAGGTGCTCACACCAGCATCCATGTCTCAAGCATGGGCACGTGTGCTCACACACGCCCACACGCTCACCAGCCCAGCCTCCCGCCCACTGGCTGCGACGGAGGGGACCAGGCGGGCCCACCCCCTGCCCTGGAATCTGCCAGCCAAGCTGCTCTGAGCCTCCCGAGAGCCCTGAGAGACCGTCTGAGCTGAGAGAAGGGGAGCTGCTGGCTCCTCTCCTGCACAGGGAGGCCTGGCCTGGCGCCGAGACCACACATTCCTCCGGCCTTTCCTCACCTTTGCCTCCGGCACGAGTGTCAGCCGGGAGCCCAGAGTGACCTCAGTGCCAGGATATTCCCAGGAGCTGTCGGGAGGACGTTCCCAGAGCTGCAGGGGCCAGGGTGCTTCCTGGAGGCGGCATGTGACCCGAGTCACGGACCTCAGGAAGCAGGAGCCTCCGACGAGTGCTTTCAGGGCCTCACAGCGGCCCTGCACAGAGTCCCCATAGCCTCAGCCTCCCCCCACGGAGTCCCCATAGCCTCAGCCTCCCCCCACGGAGTCCCCATAGCCTCAGCCTCCCGGCACGGAGTCCCCATAGCCTCAGCCTCCCCCCACGGAGTCCCCATAGCCTCAGCCACCCCCCACGGAGTCCCCATAGCCTCAGCCTCCCCCCACGGAGTCCCCATAGCCTCAGCCACCCCCCACGGAGTCCCCATAGCCTCAGCCTCCCCCCACGGAGTCCCCATAGCCTCAGCCTCCCGGCACGGAGTCCCCATAGCCTCAGCCTCCCGGCACGGAGTCCCCATAGCCTCAGCCTCCCCCCACGGAGTCCCCATAGCCTCAGCCTCCCCCCACGGAGTCCCCATAGCCTCAGCCTCCCCCCACGGAGTCCCCATAGCCTCAGCCTCCCCGCACGGAGTCCCCATAGCCTCAGCCTCCCCCCACGGAGTCCCCATAGCCTCAGCCACCCCGCACGGAGTCCCCATAGCCTCAGCCTCCCCGCACGGAGTCCCCATAGCCTCAGCCTCCCCCCACGGAGTCCCCATAGCCTCAGCCTCCCGGCACGGAGTCCCCATAGCCTCAGCCACCCCTCACGGAGTCCCCATAGCCTCAGCCTCCCCCCACGGAGTCCCCATAGCCTCAGCCTCCCCCCACGGAGTGCCCATAGCCTCAGCCTCCCCCCACGGAGTCCCCATAGCCTCAGCCTCCCCCCACGGAGTCCCCATAGCCTCAGCCTCCCGGCACGGAGTCCCCATAGCCTCAGCCTCCCCCCACGGAGTCCCCATAGCCTCAGCCTCCCCCCACGGAGTCCCCATAGCCTCAGCCTCCCCCCACGGAGTCCCCATAGCCTCAGCCTCCCCCCACGGAGTCCCCATAGCCTCAGCCTCCCCCCACGGAGTCCCCATAGCCTCAGCCTCCCCCCACGGAGTCCCCATAGCCTCAGCCTCCCCCCACGGAGTCCCCATAGCCTCAGCCTCCCCCCACGGAGTCCCCATAGCCTCAGCCTCCCCCCACGGAGTCCCCATAGCCTCAGCCTCCCCCCACGGAGTCCCCATAGCCTCAGCCTCCCCCCACGGAGTCCCCATAGCCTCAGCCTCCCCCCACGGAGTCCCCATAGCCTCAGCCACCCCTCACGGAGTCCCCATAGACGCAGCCTCCCCCCACGGAGTCCCCATAGCCTCAGCCTCCCCCCACGGAGTCCCCATAGCCTCAGCCTCCCCCCACGGAGTCCCCATAGCCTCAGCCTCCCCCCACGGAGTCCCCATAGCCTCAGCGTCCCCCCACGGAGTCCCCATAGCCTCAGCCTCCCCGCACGGAGTCCCCATAGCCTCAGCCTCCCCCAACGGAGTCCCCATAGCCTCAGCCTCCCCCAACGGAGTCCCCATAGACTCAGCCTCCCGGCACGGAGTCCCCATAGCCTCAGCCTCCCCCCACGGAGTCCCCGTAGCCTCAGCCTCCCCCCACGGAGTCCCCGTAGCCTCAGCCTCCCCCCACGGAGTCCCCGTAGCCTCAGCCTCCCCCCACGGAGTCCCCGTAGCCTCAGCCTCCCCCAACGGAGTCCCCGTAGCCTCAGCCTCCCCGCACGGAGTCCCCGTAGCCTCAGCCTCCCCCCACGGAGTCCCCGTAGCCTCAGCCTCCCCCCACGGAGTCCCCGTAGCCTCAGCCTCCCCCCACGGAGTCCCCGTAGCCTCAGCCTCCCCGCACGGAGTCCCCATAGCCTCAGCCTCCCCCAACGGAGTCCCCATAGCCTCAGCCTCCCCCAACGGAGTCCCCATAGCCTCAGCCTCCCCCAACGGAGTCCCCATAGACTCAGCCTCCCGGCACGGAGTCCCCATAGACTCAGCCTCCCGGCACGGAGTCCCCATAGACTCAGCCTCTCGGCACGGAGTCCCCATAGACTCAGCCTCCCCCCACGGAGTCCCCATAGCCTCAGCCTCCCCCCACGGAGTCCCCATAGCCTCAGCCTCCCCCCACGGAGTCCCCGTAGCCTCAGCCTCCCCCCACGGAGTCCCCGTAGCCTCAGCCTCCCCCCACGGAGTCCCCGTAGCCTCAGCCTCCCGGCACGGAGTCCCCGTAGCCTCAGCCTCCCGGCACAGAGTCCCCATAGACTCAGCCTCCCGGCACGGAGTCCCCATAGACTCAGCCTCCCGGCACGGAGTCCCCATAGCCTCAGCCTCCCGGCACGGAGTCCCCATAGCCTCAGCCACCCCGCACGGAGTCCCCATAGACTCAGCCTCCCCGCACGGAGTCCCCATAGACTCAGCCACCCCTCACGGAGTCCCCGTAGACTCAGCCTCCCCGCACGGAGTCCCCGTAGCCTCAGCCTCCCGGCACGGAGTCCCCGTAGCCTCAGCCTCCCCCCACGGAGTCCCCGTAGCCTCAGCCTCCCCCCACGGAGTCCCCGTAGCCTCAGCCTCCCCCCACGGAGTCCCCGTAGCCTCAGCCTCCCCCCACGGAGTCCCCGTAGCCTCAGCCTCCCCCCACGGAGTCCCCGTAGCCTCAGCCTCCCCCCACGGAGTCCCCGTAGCCTCAGCCTCCCCCCACGGAGTCCCCGTAGCCTCAGCCTCCCCCCACGGAGTCCCCGTAGCCTCAGCCTCCCCCCACGGAGTCCCCGTAGCCTCAGCCTCCCCCCACGGAGTCCCCGTAGCCTCAGCCTCCCCCCACGGAGTCCCCGTAGCCTCAGCCTCCCCCCACGGAGTCCCCGTAGCCTCAGCCTCCCCCCACGGAGTCCCCGTAGCCTCAGCCTCCCCCCACGGAGTCCCCGTAGCCTCAGCCTCCCCCCACGGAGTCCCCGTAGCCTCAGCCTCCCCCCACGGAGTCCCCGTAGCCTCAGCCTCCCCCCACGGAGTCCCCGTAGCCTCAGCCTCCCCCCACGGAGTCCCCGTAGCCTCAGCCACCCCCCACGGAGTCCCCGTAGCCTCACAGCCCTGCACGGAGTCACCATAGCCTCAGCCTGCCCCACGGAGTCCCCATAGCCTCAGCCTCCCGGCACGGAGTCCCCATAGCCTCAGCCTCCCCCCACGGAGTCCCCATAGACTCAGCCTCCCCCGACGGAGTCCCCATAGCCTCAGCCTCCCAGCACGGAGTCCCCGTAGCCTCAGCCTCCCCCCACGGAGTCCCCGTAGCCTCAGCCTCCCCCCACGGAGTCCCCGTAGCCTCAGCCTCCCCCCACGGAGTCCCCGTAGCCTCAGCCACCCCCCACGGAGTCCCCGTAGCCTCACAGCCCTGCACGGAGTCACCGTAGCCTCAGCCTGCCCCACGGAGTCCCCATAGCCTCAGCCTCCCGGCACGGAGTCCCCATAGCCTCAGCCTCCCCCCACGGAGTCCCCATAGACTCAGCCTCCCCCGATGGAGTCCCCATAGCCTCAGCCTCCCAGCACGGAGTCCCCATAACCTCAGCCTCCCCCCACGGAGTCCCCATAGCCTCAGCCTCCCGCCACGGAGTCCCCATAGCCTCAGCCTCCCGGCACGGAGTCCCCATAGCCTCAGCCTCCCCCCACGGAGTCCCCATAGCCTCAGCCTCCCCCCACAGAGTTCCCATAGCCTCAGCCACCCCGCACGGAGCCCCTCACAGAGCTCCCACCCCTCCCCAGCTCTTGAGTCCCCAGCCCTCCCTGTCTGAAAGCCCAGCCCCAGCCCGCGCCCCGCTCTCTGAGCATCCACCCCTCCCTGTCTGAGCACCCAAATCCGCTCTCTGAACCCCCCTAACCCCCGACTGAGAGTCCTCATGGAACTGGCAGGGGTCCCCCCAACCCCTGACTGAGAGTCCTCATGGAACTGGCAGGGGTCCCCCCAACCCCCGACTGAGAGTCCTCATGGAACTGGCAGGGGTCCGGCCCTTCCTGAGCCCAAGTCCCTGTGCTCCTCCTCGGGGTGTTGCCCCCTGGCCTCTGCAGTCCTGGTTCCCACTTCCCAGCATCCCTTGGGCTCCAGGATGCCCGCGGCAGCCCTGGGGGAGCCTCTGGGTCCCTACTGAGGGGTCGGCGGGCACCTGCATGGGAGTTGCCTGAGGGCAGTCTGTGGGGTGGCCCGGCCAGCTCTCCCACTAGGGTGGGTCCCTCACTCCCAGCCCCACCCAGTGTGGCACCCCCCCAGGCTGGTGTGTGGAGTCCCAGCTCAGGTCCGGCCCAGGCCTCATGGCGGGGATGGGGCTGTGGCAGCCGGGTCGGACCTCCCCTTGCATGAGGTCCACTGGGCTGGGAGAGAGACGCCTCAGTGAGGTGGGGAGCTGGCAGCTGGACAGCCTGGGGGTGCAGCTCTACACCAGGCCCTCGGGCCCACAGCGGGGTGTGCGGGGGACGGGGCAGCCCATGCCACTGGCTGCTCCTCTGAGACCCACACATCCTCCATCCCAGCCCTGCCAGCCTCAGCCCCCAGACTCTCAACCAGCTCCAGCCCTGGTCTTTGCACAGACCAGTCCTGTAGTCTGCTAGGGCATGTGGACATGGCATGTGTGTGTGTGTGGACACAGGGCACGTGTGTGAGAGCATGTGGACATGGCATGTGTGTGAGAGTGTGGACACGGCGTGTGAGTGTGGACACGGCGTGTGTGAGTGTGGACATGGCATATGTGAGCTTCCGGACACGGCACGTGTGTGAGAGCCTGTGGACACGGGGGCATAGAGCGTGTGAACACATGGCCCATGTGTGAGAGCAGCCACGTATGTGTATGGATGAGGCAGGTGAGCACATGGGTGGGTGTGGGCAGGGAAGTGGCAGGAATGGGCTGTGAGGGCAGGCAGCAGTGAGCAAAGGGCAGGGGCAGGCTGGGCATAGGTTGTGGGGGGCTCGGGGAGGGCCCCTGCTAGGAGGCCCACCCAGGAGCTCAGGGGCCACAGGGACCTGGAACTGCGGTGAGCAGCTTCCAGCAGGTGCTCCAGCCTCCTGGGGCTATAGGGAGAGAGGGCTTTGTCCAAGCACACACCCCAGCCCAGACCTGCCCAGGCTGCAGCGGCTGTGCTGACCCCTACCCGGCTCCGACCCTCACCCCTCCCTCCCTGCCCTCCAGCTGCCTGGCCCGCCAAGGAGAGGATGAAGCCAGCCAATCCCTGAGGCTTGCGGCCACACCCTTGGCCCATAGGGTATAAATAGACCTGCTTGGGAGCCCACACCCAGCAACTCACACCTGCCTCAGACCAGAGCTCTGTGCGGGTGACGGCGCACGCATTCCTTGTGTCCCCGCCTGTCTTGGACAGAGCAGAAGCCACACCTGCCAGACCAGTGCCACCGGGACAGCTGCTGGTGGCCGGCCCCGGGGAGGGATACCTGCTGGGTGAAGCACAGGCCGGGCCGGGCCCGGAGAAGAGGAAGCAGACACTGCCACGGCAGGGCAGCCCAGGGCCTTGGAGCCCAACCGTGGCCGGCGAGGAGGACCACGCCCAGGCCCGCTGACCCCCGGCCACCAGGTAAGGCCAGCTCAGCCCGTGTTCACCCCTTACCTGCACAGGCTCAGGGTGGGGCACCATCGTGGAGGGGTGGGGCCTCGTGCCAAGGAACCGGTTCTGTGGGGTACACAGGCCGCAGAGCACAGTCCCCAGGTCCCGGTGCCTGGGGCACTCACGGCCTCACAGTGACGGCGTGTGACTCAGGTGGTCACAGTGACCTGTGTCATCCCGCCAGCCTGTCTGGGACTCACTGGCAAGTCAGGGGTGGGGCGGGGCAGTGCCAGGAGTCACTTCTGGGGCAGCCTCCTGGGCCCCACGGGGACGCACGGCCAGGCCCTTGAGTCTCACTGTCACCCTTGCCCACTTCCCTCCAGGTGGGACCCCTGTGGCTCCCTGCAGCGGATCCTGGGTGCAGGGGAGGGGCGGGAGGTGGAGCAGGGTCCCAGGTCAGCTGAGATGCCCACCTGAGCCATGCCCAGGGGCAGAGCAGCATCCCCCAGTGTCCGTCCCCCAGGGTCCCTGCCATGAAGTGGGATTGGGTCAGGGAGAAGAAACACCCACTCAGTGGGCGGCTGAGGGTGCCCTGACCATCACCTGACCATGAGGCAGTGGGCTGGCCCAGAGGGAATGGCTGGGCTTATCCAAGTCCCACCCCCACACTGTGCACATCAGACCCTCAGCAGCTAGACAAGCCGGCCCCGCAGGCCGCAGGTCGTGCCTGACGTGCACCTTCCTCGGGCACTGACCCCTGCCCCTGCCTGGGCCCTCCCTGTCGTCCCAAAGCCCCCGGGGCTCAGCCCGGTCCCCAGACCCAGAGACCCCCACACCCCACCCTCACATAGCTGCCTACAAATCAGGCCTGCACCGCCCAAGCCAGGCACCCATCCTGGGATCTGAGTTCAAACTCACTTCACTTGACTTGGAGTCCCTGGCCTGCCTGAGAGCCGTATCTGCCAGGGTCCAGGGCCCGCCAGCTCCCTTGGGGTGGCCCTGGCCGAGTCACCCATGCTCTGGGCGGCCTTTTCCACACTGTGGCGTTGTGTGAGTCCCGTGATGTGGGCCCAGCCTTGCAGAGCTCCGACATAAACAGTGACGACTGTGGCTATTGTCATCCTCACCATTATTTCTGCCCGGGCAGCAGGGCCAGCCAGGTGGGGCAGGGCCAACAGGAGGTGTCTGCCGAGCGGTCAGTGAGACCCCCCTACACACGGCCTGCATTCCCGGAGCAGGCCTGGGGCCCTGTGGGAGGCTCACCCCGGTGCAGCCATGTGATGGGGTGGAGAGGACAGGATTGCACGTGGGGCAGAATGACCTCCAGGGGCACCGGAGGAACTTTCTGGAGTGGCGCGCAGGAAACAGAGTCCTTCCCTGGGATCTCTGGGGCGAGAGAGGGGAGGGAGAGATAAAACACCACCAGAAAGGGGCGGCCGGTGATTGCTTACCACAGTCCCTGTCCCACAGCTCAGAGACATGTCGTCAGGCCAGCAGGTGTGGCACACGGCTGTGCCACCCCCTCGCCGGAGCAGCTCCATAGCCTCGATGCCCAGGTCCCCCAGCTCGGCCGGCAGCCCCAGGTCCCCTGGCACCCCTGGCTCGGAGAGGGTGGCCTCCCCCCTGGAGTGCTCCATCTGTTTCTCAGGCTATGACAACATCTTCAAGACACCCAAGGAGCTCTCCTGCACCCACGTCTTCTGCCTGGAGTGCCTGGCCCGGCTGGCGGCTGCTCAGCCTGTGGGCCGCCCCGGTGGTGAGGCTGTACCTTGCCCCTTCTGCAGGCAGCCCACGGCCGTGCCGCCCGCCGGAGCCCCCGCGCTGTGCACCAGCCGCCAGCTGCAGGCCCGGATGCCGGCGCATTTGCGGCGTGAGGAGCCTGTGTGGCTGGAGGGCACCAAGCTGTGCTGCCAGCCACTGCCCACCACACCTGGCCGCGAGCCCGGTTTCGTATGCGTGGACGTGGGTTTGAGCAAGCCTGCCGAGCCGCCCGCGCCCGCCCGGGACCCTGCCCCCCGCCGGGGCCGCCTGGCCCGCTGCTGGGCGCGCTGCAGGGACTGGAGGCGCATGGCACTGGTCTCTGCCCTGCTGCTGATGCTCTTCTGTGTGGCACTCTGGCCGGTGCAGTGCGCGCTCAAGACCGGGAACCTGCGCTGCCTGCCCCTGCCCCCCCGGCCCCCGGCCACCAGCACAGCCGCCTCCCCCCTCGGGCCTCTGACTGATAATTAGGGCCAGCAGCCTCTGCCCAGGTCAGCCGCCCTCGCCCAGCTCCATGGGGCGTCCCCCACTGGGGGGCCCAAGGGCACAGCAGCCACTGGAAGTCGGTCCCCGAGGACGCGAAAGGAGCCTGGCATCTCTGAGGACTCCACCGGGGCCCCACCAAGACCAGGCTCCATTTAGCTTGTCCACCCCTCATTCTCCAGGCTGGGTCCTGACGGGGTGGACAAGAGGATCCCCAAAGCCTCCAAGAACCACAGTCTCACCGGGCGCGGTGGCTCACGCCTGTCATCTCAGCACTCTGGAGGGCTGAGGCAGAAAGACCACTTGAGGTCGGGATTTTGACACCAGCCTGGCCAACATGGTGAAACCCCATCTCTACTAAAAATACAAAAATTAACCGGGCATCGTGGTGGGTGCCTCTTAGCTACTGGGGAGGCTGAGGCAGGAGAACTGCTTGAACCGGGGAGGTGGAGGTGGCAGTGAGCCAAGATTGCACCACTGCATCCAGCCTGGGCGACAGAGGGAGACCCTGTCTCAAAACAAAACAAAAAAAAACAGGCTCGTACAGGAAGGGTCCAGGAGAGCAGCTGGTCAGCATCCCCCCCACCCACACACCCTGTGAACTGCCTGCCAGGGAAGCCCCTTGCCAAGAAGGAAGGGGCCTTGCCGTGCTTCCACTCATGCTGACATTTCCCCGCAGGGCTGGTCCTGCCATTGGGTGGGGGTGCTCATCTTGCCCTCGGACTGTGGGGAGAGAGTGGAGGCAGGGCAGCCCCCCAGTGCAAGGTAACCACAGAAACTTCCAGCTACCCCTCCAACCTTGTGAATTGTACCTTTTAAAATAAATTATTTGTATCCATCTTTGGCAAGAGGGCCTCACCCTGGGTGCCCCTGCTGCAGCCTCAACCCAGAGGATACCCTGACAGAATTAGACTCCCAGCAGCCACTGGGACAGGTGGGCCCAAGGTTCTAGGGGGTCCAACTCCCAGCCCCTCTGGCTGCAGACAGGCTGGGGGTTTCTGGAGTTGGCTGGCGACTCAGCAATGTGAGGCTCCCCAGGGAGATGGGGAGAGGCCCAGGACACTTGGGGCAGGGCAGGCTGGACCAGGGGGAGGGCTTCAGCTTGGTTCAGAGCCCGGGGGCTGACAAAGGGGGCCTTTCTCTTCCCCCATCCTCTGCCGTGGCCATACTAGGCCACACCTCCAGGAAGTCACGCCCCATGGCCCTGCTAGGGTCCCTGACTGGAGAACCACAGAACCATGACCCCTGTGGGAACCCAGAAGCAAAGGTAACAGCCAGCGTGCAGCCTGCAGATCCACTGACTCTCCGGCAACTCCCAGGGCCAGCCTGGCTGGGGAAGAGTCAGAGGTCAGCTACGTGAGGTATCGGCAGGAGGCTCGCCAACCCCAGCCCTACCCCGTCTGTCATCAGCCCCAGGAATCCTGCACCACCAGGCAGGCACGGCCAGGAGGGCCCAGGCCAGGTCCAGCTCACGCAGGCCTCCTCAGCCTTCCCATCCCTGACCCCAGAGCCCAGGTACTTCCTGCTCCAACCAGCTGGGCCTCTGGTCCAGGGTGGGGAGGGCTCGGGAAGGCCCCACAGAAGCTGACTCCAGCTGTGGGGGCCACACCCACCCTTGCCCCAGGTCCCAGCGAAGACACAGAAGGGAGAACACAGCACTTTACCGGAAGGCTGTGAAAGCCGGTGATGTGGGGAGTGCAGCCACGGGTCACAGCAACATCACTCTGTGTCACACACACAGTCATGCCCACGCAGGCCCACACCCTTGTCATCGGCAGGGCCAGGCGCGTGACGCTGCACGGGTGGTCACATGAATATGTCACACACACCTCACTCCACAGACATCCACCCTGTGCCTGATGGGGCCGGGTCCTCACCGGGGCCACATCCCAGACCACGGGAGCAGGCAGGGCCGGCAGGCCGGAGCTGCGGTGAGGGCAGACCCGCACGGAGTGGCCGAGCTGGGGGCGCACGCGGGTTCACACGTGGTCACCGGTGGGCTTCGCAGCCTGTCGCTCCCTCTGCCGCCCCTGGACCTCCCTGAGCTGGGGACAAGCTTGTGGCTCTGTCCTGGACACAGTCCCGGCCCGCAGCTCCGGCCACACGCGGGCGCGGCTAGGCCGGGGGTTCCCTGCGGCTCCTCAGACACCCGCGGCTCCGCAGGTTCGCGTCCTCGCCGTCCCAGGGCTGCGGGGTTCTGCGCGCGGAGCAGCGGCTCAGCCCTGCACCCCGCACGTCCCAGTCCCTCCCAGAGGACTCCGGACCGGCCCCGGCGCTCCACTCACACCGGGGATGCCCGGGGAGCCGGGGGCTGCAACCCGATTAGCGGGGGGCGGCGCCCACGTTTTGGTTCTCGCGCTCCTGAGGCGGCTCGCGCTGGGGGGAGGGGCCGCCGGTCACCATGGCGACGCCCGCACAGGCCACGCCCCGCAGGGCCACGCCCCCACCTGCTCGCGCAGGCGCAGTTACTCGCCCCGGATGTGCCGCTGCAGCGCCAGGTACGTGAACTTGTACGGAGCCTCCGTCTGCACCATTCCCCAGTGCTGCCGCCAAACCAGCTGGATCGTCTTCGGGACGTCGGTGTCGCAGTCCAGCCCTGCGGACAAGCGCGCTTGGGGAGGGGCTACGGATGGGGGGAAGGTGCCGGCAGGCAGGGGCGGGGCTGCTGATGAGGGGCGGGGCTTGCCGGTAGCGGTGGGGTCGTCCTGAGGGGTGGGGTCGTCCTGAGGGGTGGGGTCGTCCGGAGGGGTGGGGTCGCCCGGAGGGGTGGGGCTATAGCAGGGCAGGGCGGGGGGACCCAGAGTGGAGCGGCTCGCCCTGCCTGCGGATGACGTCCACCAGGATGTCAATCACGATGATGGTGCCCGTGCATCCGATGCCCCCACTGAGGACAAACTAGGCGGCCTTTGACGAGAGTGGGGGGCGGGGGCGGGGGCGCCCCCGCCCACCCGATGGCTCCGCCCTCGTCGTCCCGCGTGGCCCCGCCCCGCCGCACCTGCACCTGCACAGCCCGCGTGGCCCCGCCCCGCCGCACCTGCATCTGCACAGCCCGCGTGGGCCCGCCCCGCCGCAGCTGAAGTGCACCACCATGGGCCCGGCCCGCGGCTTGCTGCTCTGGGCCCGGTTCACCTCGTCCCGGAAGCCGAGGACGCCGGCGGGATCGGCCCGGACGCCGTAGTCCGGCCAGCCGAAGTACTGGAAGTGCTGCACCGTACGCTGTGGCTCCTCCTGAGCGGGGCAAGCGGTGAGTGTGACCCCAGGGTGGGAGGAGGAGGCTGAGGCACAGCTGGGTTTCCGGGAGTGCCCAAGCGGAGGGGCTGCGGGAGCCAAGGCGAGCAGGAGGAGGAGGAAGGAAATGGGGAGGGGGCGCCGAGATGGCCCCAGGTGGCTCAGGTGCCTGGGGAAGGGAAGAGGGAGCTGGGGGCGGGCGAAGCAGGCTGTGAGGACAGTTATTTTATAAGGAAAAACCAAATGTGAGGGGTCCATGGGGTCCTGGAGGACCCCCCCACACACACTGGGCGGGGGCTGGAGGGAACACGAGGTAATCTGCCCGGAGCAGAAATGGGCGTCTCTGGTATACAACGGAGACCAAAGCTGCAGTTGGAGAGGTGTGTGGGAGGAGCGGCCGCCAGCCCAGGGCTGAGAATGTGGCCACGTCAGTGACCCCTGTCCAGGCTTGGAATGCACCTCCTGGGTTGAGGGGTGTGGAAGCCCCCAAAGGCAGTGGGGTTGGATGCAGGCAGGTGTGGGGTCTCCCAGTGCAGGCCGACAGCAGGCACGCTCCACAGCCGCCAGGCTCACCTGGCCCGGCCGCCACACCTGCAGCTCCCGCACGCAGTAGCCCTGGGCCTGGCCCTTGCCGAGGACGCGCATGTGCACACGGCCGAACTCTTGGCTGCCGGGCAGCTCTGGCCAGTCCCGGAAACACTTGTTCCGAGGGGAGCGCTTTGCATCAGCCTTGCTGGCAGCACCTCGGCACCCCGCCCCTGCGACCTGCAGAGACGCAGGTGTGTACGTGCAGCCACGGGGCTCTGTGGGAGCCTCCCCACTCCCACGGCGTCCCACAGCCTCCTTGGCCTGGTCGGGAAGGGCCTTGGGCAGCCGAAGATGCACGGGGTGGGATGGGCACTGGGAGCACTGGCACCGCACCCCTACCCGGCCCCGCTCCATCTCCCTGGTGGTCATGACGATGACACGCGTGTTCTCCTGGTGCACCGTGGCCCAGAAAGCAGCCACCGTGGCCTGCAGACAGGCCTGCAGACAGCCCTGCAGGCGATGTACACCCTGCGCCCGCGAGGCCCTGCCCCGCGGGGAGGAGCCACAGCGTACGGTGCAGCACTTCCAGTACTTCGGCTGGCCGGACTACGGCGTCCGGACCGATCCCGCCGGCGTCCTCGGCTTCCGGGACGAGGTGAACCGGGCCCAGAGCCGCGAGCCGCGAGCCGCGGGCCGGGCCCATGGTGGTGCACTTCAGCTGCGGCGGGGCGGGCCCACGCGGGCTGTGCAGGTGCAGGTGCGGCGGGGCAGGGCCACAAGGGATGTCCACCCTGCCCCTGCCATGGCCCGGCTCCTCCTCAGGGTCAGTCTGAAAGGGAATGAGGCCAACTGCTGCTGTTAACAGAGGACAAACAAGTCCATGCAAATGCTATGCAAATGATATGCAAACGACACACAAATATTATGCAAAGAGCCCTGGTGGCTTAAACACACTCCTCACTCCAGGCCAGCAAGGGGCTGAGGACCAATGCCCGTCCAGCCTCTCTGAGGACCCCTTGGAGACTGCCGCCCACCCCTCCCTTGGGGACCCTGGTTCTTCCTGAGCCCCCCAGGAGCAATGGGCCCAGGCCCCGCCTCCCGCACACACCCACCCTGATGTAGTCGGCTCCGGGCCCGCTGTCATCCTCGTTGAGCAGGATGACTCAAGGGTAGCATCAACTGGGAAGGGAGGTGCCGCTCAGTTCTCCAGGGCACAGCTCGTGGGCCTCACCCTGCCTCTTTGCCCGCAGACCCTGTGGTGAGCAGAGATGGAGGGTCCAGGGTATGCAAGGGGGAGCCTCAGGTCAGCGGTGGCAGATGCTCGGCCTGCCCCCCACCTCCCCCAGGCCCGACGGGTGACGCCCTGGCCTCCGCCCTCACAGGGAAGGATGTTCTTGTAGTGATTCTTGGGCTTGTTCTCCACACTCTGCCCCTCCTTCCGAGGGTACAGGAACCGGCATTCCTGCTGCTGCAGCATCTGGAGGTGATGGAGCCTTCAGCTCACAGCCCCGGCCCCTTCCCAGAGCCCGAGATGGCCACCCCCAGCCCGTCCCGTGTGGGCGGAAGAGTACCTAGGTGCCGAGGCAAGAGACTGAAGGCACAAACTGTTTCAGTATAATAAAGAAAATAGAATAAGAATAGTCATAATACAAATTAGATACAGCGATGATCATGAACAATTATCCATCATTATTATAAACATTATTAATCATTAGCTTTTAATATTACTCTGTTGCATTAATAATATAACCTAGGAATAACCGGCAGGTATAGGGTCAGGTGCTGAAGGGACATTGTGAGAAGTGAATAGAAGGCAAGAGGGGAGCCTTCTGTCATGCCCGCATAAGGGCCGCTTGAGGGCCCCTTGGTCAAGCGGTAACGCCAGTGTCTGGGAAGGCACCCGTTACTGAGCAGACCGGGAAAGGGAGTCTCCTTTCCTTGGAGGAGTCAGGGAACGCTCTGCTCCACCAGCTTCTTGTGGGAGGCTGGATGTTACCCAGGCCTGCCTGCAGTCATCCGGAGGCCTGAACCCCTCCCTGTGGTGCTTCAATGGTCACGTTCCTTGTCCACTTTCATGCTCCTTCCGTACTCCTGGTTCCTCTTTGAAGTTCGTAGTAGATAGCGGTAGAAGAAATAGTGAAAGTCTTAAAGTCTTTGATCTTATAAGTTCATAGAAGAAAACGCTGATGCCTGCCGCCTTCTCTCTCTGCTTCAGCTACCTAAGAGGGAAGGGCCCGCTGTCCTGTGATCACGTGACTTGCTTCACCTTGTCAATCACTTAGAAGACTGACCCTCCTTATCCTGCCCCCTTGTCTTGTATGCAATAAATATCAGCGAGCCCAGCCGTTCAGGGCCACTACCGGTCTCCGTGTCTTTGTGGTAGTGGTCCCCGGGGCCCAGCTGTTTTCTCTTTATCTCTTTGTCTTGTGTCTTTATTTATTACAATCTCTCATCTCCACACACGGGGAGAACACCTGCTAAGCTCCGTAGGGCTGGACCCTACAGTCCCAGACCCTGCGCTCCCATCGGGCACTTGCCCCAGCCCCAGGGGACAGAGTCTGAAGGTGACAGCGGTCAGGATGCACCTTGAACTCCACCCAGAAGCCCTGCCTGGCCTTCCCGCTGGCATCAGTGGCCCTGCTACTCCTGCACACAGCCCTCCAGGCTCCGAGCACTGATCCTCGTGGCCTTGAGGGGCTGCCAGGGAGAGACCTGCATCTAAGCTTAGGGCCCCCCAGACCCCACCACACCCCCCCAGGGCCCCGCAGACCCCACCACACCCCCCGAGGGCACCGCAGACCCCACCACACCCCCCCAGGGCCCCGCAGACCCCACCACAACACCCCCAGGGCCCCGCAGACCCCACCCCCCCCAGGGCCCCGCAGACCCCACCACACCCCCCCAGGGCCCCGCAGACCCCACCACACCCCCCCAGGGCCCCGCAGACCACACCACACCCCCCCAGGGCCCCGCAGACCCCACCACACCCCCCCAGGGCCCCGCAGACCACACCACACCCCCCCAGGGCCCCGCAGACCCCACCACACCCCCCCAGGGCCCCGCAGACCCCACCACACCCCCCCAGGGCCCCGCAGACCCCACCACACCCCCCCAGGGCCCCGCAGACCACACCACACCCCCCCAGGGCCCCGCAGACCCCACCACACCCCCCCAGGGCCCCGCAGACCACACCACACCCCTCCCACCGAGGGCAGCTGCCCCGGGCCCCGCACCCCCGCACCTGGCCACCCTGCCCCGGGCCCCGCACCCTCGTCGGGTCATGGAGGTCGCCATGTGCCAGGAGGACACACGGAGGGGCTGGTAGGTTTTCCTTCCCGTGGCCATTCAGGCGCCTGGGGTCTCCCTGGCAGGGGGTCTTCCCTGAGCCCAGTGGACCCCCAGCTGCTTTCCTGGGTGAGGCTGTGCCCACGGCCCTGGTGCCTGTGGAGGGGCTTTTACCTGCTTGAGGTGCACAACCGCCCCCACCTTCCCCATCAATGGGCTCTTCCTGCTACACCGGGTCTCCGAGGGTGTCAAAACGCTCCCCGTCTCCCACTTCTCATCCGGCCGTGGGGGTGGCGGTGAGGGGCCTGGCCAAGGCCGCCCGCCCTTCCCAGAGGCCGCCCCAGCTCGCCGCCCCCTCCCACCTGGGAGTGAGTCATGATGTGCGTGACCTGTGGCTGGCGGCCTGAGCCCTGCGCCTCGTCCCACCCTTGCGTCAGCGCTGACAGCGGGAAGCCCCCAGGATCGCTCTGACTCATGTGCACCAGGAAGCTGCCCGGATGCCCCTTCTGCAGCAGCAGCTTCTCAGCCTCCTTGCCAGACAGGCGCCCGTGGTACCACCTGGGCCAGGCACAGGCGAGCACAGGTGAGGCTGGAGGCCACGGCCTGGCCAGGTGAGGGGGAGAGACCCACACGGATAGGGCAGAAGGCTTAGCGAGACATACGCAGACCTTGGGGGTCCAGGCAGCACCACCACCCGGGCCCCAGAGCTGCTCTGCTCGCCTTTCTGGCCCTCGCCCCACCCAGGAGCCGGCAGGAGGCAGGCGGGCGCTGCAGGGGCGGGCGGCCACCAGGTGGCGGCCTGGTCCTCAGCAAGGAGGGGCCAGGGGCCTCCCCAGACCAGGTCTCCTTCTCTGCAGATGCAGCCCGCTGCAGTGGGGAAACTGAGGCTGGAGGAACCAGCTCAGCCCAGGGTACCAGCCAGGAGGGCAGGGATGGGGCCAGGGGAGGCACCGGCTTCCCTGAGTCACCCTGGACTCCAGTGCCTGAGACCTGAAGGAAGGAGGCCTGAGGGAGGCAGGTGCAGGACCCTGTGCCCTGAACCAGTGCTTAGCAGACGCCGTCCCTCAGGATGCAGGCACACGCACACACACACACACACACATGCACACGCACACACATGAACACACATGGACACGCGAACACACACATGCACACGTACACACGTGTGCTGACACGCGGATGCTGGGCCAGGGCTCACCACTCCAACGCGGGGTCCTGGCAGCCCAGCGGGTACCAGAGCTCAATGGGAACCCCGCTGCACTCCCCAGCTGCACCCCCAGGCTCTGGCAACACGGTCGCAGCCACGGAGGCCCTGCCTGTCCCCAGGGCCCTCACAGGGGAGGAAAGGGTCCTGCTGAGCCCCTGACTCAATGAGCCCTCCCCAAGGGCCTCTCTAAATAGTTCCTTCCTGCCCAGAGACCGCCCAGCACCACGTCCAACTCTCACCACCTTCCCAGGGCATCGGCCCCCCGCACCAAGTCCTCGTGTCCAGGAAGCTGCCCACCGGTCCTCCAGGAGGCCTTCAACCAGACCCTGTCCATGCCCAGCCAGGGCCCACCCACCTGACGGACAGCGTGAAGCCCCCCGGGCTGCTCTCACTGGGCCTGGCAAGGAAGTCCCCACGCTGACCTCTGGATAGGAACAGCTTCTCCGCCTCCACCCTGCTGATGTTGGGGTGAAACCACCTGGAGTGGGGAGAGCAGGTCAGTGCCCAGAGGAGGAATCTGGCCCCACACAAACCTCCCTCATTGTTTCCACGGTAACACCCACGATGGTGGCTTGAGGCCACTGTGCTCGAAGCCGGGAATGGCCACTGGCCAGGGGCTGTGGGGTCCCAGGGACACAGAGGGGCTGGAATTCTCCCCCAAGTGGCAGGGCCTGGGGCCACTGGGGCTCCCTCCTTCTCCACACGCCCCCGAGGCTGTCAGCAGCCCCGTCCACTCCACCCCTCCCAGCCTCCACGGCCAGGATCTCGGACTTCCAGCCTCCAGAGCTGAGGGAAGGAGCGCCTGCCCGCCCAGCTTATGGTCACTGTTTCAGCAGCCCAGCTGCCTGACGACGGGTTCTTATCTCCCAGAGGGCAGAAGCTGTTCCCCGCACTGTGGCGTCCCAGGTCCATAACACTGGAATTGAGACACTCAGTAGAGGGATGGGGGTCGGGGGGAGGAGGGGGTGGTGCACAGGGAGGGGCCGAGAGGCCAGCGGGTGCCTGTGCGGCCCCTGGGAGCCGTGCTCCGTGTCCGGGGCAGGTCAGGAAGCTCGGGGGATGTCACTGCAAACCTCGCGGCCCCATGCAGGCAGAGGCTGGTGCTGCCGGCATCTGGAGGGGAGGCTGAGGCTGCAGCCCTGCCCCTTCCTGGTGAACAGCCCCCCCGTCCCAGGACCTTCCTAGTCTGCAGCCCCCCATGAGGTCAGGGCTGCCCCGGAGCCCACGTCCGAGATCACAACTGCTCCTTACTTTTGTGGCACTGGACTCCGGAGCTCAGGACTACATTGTACTCAGGCGGCAGCCCCAGAGCCCAGAATGTCAGCAAAAAAGAGCCACACCCGTGAGTGACTGAGGGAGGGAGGGAGGGAGGGAGGGAAGGGGTGTGAGAGGGAGGGAAGGAAGAGGGGAGGGAAGGGGATGTGGGAGGGAGGGAATGGTGGTGAGGGAGGGAGGGAAGGAAGGGGGAGAGGGACGGAGGGAACGGGGACAAGGGAGGGAGGGAGGGAGGCGGCAGAGGAAGGAACTGAGGACGTGGGGCTCCCCCAGCCCTCTGTCTTCCCCAGCTGTGCTGTCCACACAGGGGCGGCTTCTGGACACCTGGCTCTTGGGCATCTCCTGGCTGCATAGATGATACCCAGGTGGGGCCTGCTGGCTCTAGGACCTCCGCCCCACGCTGGCCCGGCCTGGTTGTCAGTGGAATCATAACCTGTGCACGAATGGGTGGGGGTTGCTGTGCCCTGGGCAGACCTTGCTCCGGCCCCCATGGCTGGTCCAGAGGAGGAGGAAGGTTGAGGGCGGTCCTGCCCCCTCTGCCCCACAAAGGGCAGCTGCAGGGCTCTTTCTAGAATGGAGGCCTCACCGCAGTCTCTGTTAAAGGCCTCCATGACCAGGCTCATGCCTATAATCCCAATTACTCAGGAGGCGGGTGGATTGCTTGAGCCCAGGAGTTCAAGACCAGCCTGGGCAACATAGCCAGACCTCATCTCACTTAAGAAGAAATAAAAAATAAAGGCCTCCACAGGCTTTCACCCCTGAGAATGGAGCCAAGATCTCCCCTCCTCTGCAGCACCCACAGGTCCTGGCTGGTCCCCCTGGGGACCCCATCCCCGGCTCCAGCCCACCCTGGCCAGGTCCCTCTCCCGGGGCCCCAGCTCCTCCTCCTCCTTCGGGCCCTGCCTCCACTCCTTGCAGCTCCTGCCCCTCTGCTCCCCTCTGAGCACAACTTCTGGAAGAAGTTTGTATGGCTGTGTGATTTGTAAATAGGAATGAATTAAAATTCATGGCCGGGTGCGATGGCTCATGCCTGAAATCCCAGCACTTTGGGAGGCTGAGGCAGGCGCATCACCTGAGGTCAGGAGTTTGAGACCAGCCTGACCAACATGGTGAAACCCCGTCTCTACTAAAAATACAAAATTATCCGGGTGTGGTCATGGGCACCTGTAATCCCAGCTACACGGGAGGCTGAGGCAGGAGAATCGCTTGAACCCGGGAGGCGGAGGTTGCGGTGAGCCGAGATCTCGCCACTGCACTCCAGCCTGGGCAACAAGAGAAAAACTCAGTATCAAAAATAAAAATAAATAAATTAATTAACAATAATAAAATTCAGCAACAGCCACGGTGCCACTGCTCAGGAACACCGCGGTGCCGGTCGGCACGGCCCGTCCTCTCCCTCATCTCCAGAGCCGTGTCCCGCCCTCCAAGCCCACGGAGGACTTGGCTGTCAGGGTTGCCACGGACGTCGGGGCCCAGCCGGTCCTCAGCAGCCTCCGAGGCCGTCAGTGCCGCCTTCTTCCAGTGGCGCCTTCTCTGCGAGGCTCTGTGGAGGCTGCACTTCCCGGCTTCCCACCTTGCCCTGGCCAGGGCCCTTTGTCCTCCTCCTCGATGGGAGCCCCAGGCCCTGGCTCTTCTGTGTCTGCACAGAGTCTAGGCCAGTCCAGCGCCACCTCTTCTCTGAGCTCCAGACACCCGGTTTCAGCACCTCCGTTTGCAAAGTCAGCAGCACGTCTTTCCTAACATCTTCAAAACCCAAAGCTCCTGATCTTGCCCCCGCGGCCCACACCCTCTTCTTCATCTTCCCCACACAGGCAAGGGTGGCCGCCCTGCCCCCGGCCCCCCTCGGCGCTCCCTGCCGGCTCCGATCCATGAGTTCCTCTCATCCTACCTTCAAAAGGTGCCCAGAGGCCACACGCGGTGGCTCACACCTGTAATCCCAGCAGCGTGGATCACGAAGTTAGAAGTTGAAGACCATCCTGGCCAACATGGTGAAACTCCGTCTCTACTAAAAATACAAAAATTAGCCAGGCATGGTGGCATACACCTGTAATCCCAGCTACTCCGGAGGCTGAGGCAGGAGAATTGCATAAACCCGGGAGGTGGAGGTTGCAGTGAGCCAAGACCGCGCCAGTGCACTCCAGCCTGGGTGACACAGTGAGACGCCATCTCAAAAACAAAAAACAAAAAACAACAAAGGTGTCCAGAGCCGACCACTTCTCCTCCAACCGCCTGGGCCTGCCAGGACTGTTGGTTCCGTTCTGCCCGACTCTGACCCCACAGCCAAGCCTGAGTGAGGCCAGGCCTGGCGGGCCAGGGACCAAAGTGTCCTGGCAGGGCCTGCGGGTGGAGGGGGGCAGGCGTCCAGGACCCCGGGTCTGAGGCGTGACCCAGCTGGGAGCGCGAGGAGGGCCCGGGTGGCATTTCGCCACGCCCACCTGTCGGGGCCGTAGACGCTTCTCCTGGGGTCCAGGATTCTGGGCCGCCGTGCGCCGGGCTCACCTGCACGAGGGTCTCACCGCGCCGCTCGCCGGCGCTCGGGGTGCGCTCTGGGCGGCCGCACCCTCCGGCAACTCCGCGAAGGCGCTGCCTGGGCTCCGCCCCCGAAGCCTCGCCCCGATGCCACGCCCCGGGCCACGCCCCGAGGCCACGCCCCCCGGCCTTCTTAAAGGGTCCGCGCCCGCCACTCTTGCCGGGCGCCTGGGAGTTTGGGCTGCAGGCGGAAGCTCCGGCCGTCCCCGCTTCAGAGCCGGGGGTCCCGCGGGCAGCCGGGTCGCGGGTCGCGGGCGTTGCAGGCGGCTCCGTCCCGCCCTCCATTCCAAGACCCTCTGGCTTTTCCGGGGCCGCCTCCACTGCGGACCGGGGCCGGAGGGGGGCGCTCCAGGCTGGGGGGCGGGGCGGGGCCCGCGGGACCGACCTCCCTGGCTGTGCCGCGTCCGCCTCCCTGTAGGTCCCAGCCCCAGGCCCGCCGGTTTCCGGAGTCGAGCTCCCACCGCGGTCTGTCCCGGACACGCGCGCCTCTCCCTCGCCTGCGCTCAGCTGCCATCCTTTTCAGCGGTGGCCCCGGGCTCCCCTGGGCTTCGCCTCTCAGACCCACAGCCTCCAACCTGGGACCCACCAGCGCCTCTCCGCCCGCGCGGCTTCCCTCCTCCTCACCCCCGGCCACGGAAGGCCTCGTCACCCTCCAGGTCCCCTTTGAGTCCTCTGGGTCCTGCGCGCTCCGCAGCGGTTGCTCCCCAAACTGCCTCTCCTGGTTCTGCGCACCCTCCTCCTCCCCTCCGAGGTCCTCCTCCCTCCTCCATTTCTGGCGTCGGGGCTTTTTCTCCTCTCCTAGGCAACACCCAGCAGGAGCACCTGCCTCAGGCTTCAGCCCAGCCTCTCCCTGCCTGGCACCCCTCGGCCCCCTGGACCCCACTCAGGGAACCCCAGCTTCCCCAGCCCAGCCATCCCTCCAGACGCATCAGGGCGAATCCACCCAAAGCTCCGGTGCCTCCAGCTCCATCTCCACGTCCCTGAGCGCCTCTTCTCACCCCCCTCGACCCGCCCATTCTCCCCCAAATCCCTCCCTCTGCTCCCCCTGCAGCCTAGCACCCTGTCCTAGCCAGGGGCGTCTTCATGAAATCTGGTGGCCTCCTGCTTGGAGCCCTCCAGGAGCCTCCCACAGCTCCTCAGGCAGCACCCCCAGCTCTCTTCCCCAGGCCCACGCAGCCCCACTGGACCTGCCCTGCCCATCTCTGTCCAGCCTCTGCTGCTCTGACCTGTGGCCTCTGTCCTGCACGCTGGCCTCTGGCCGCTCCTACGCCTCCGCTTCCTGCTGAAAGATCCCTTTGTCAAGCCACAGGGCCCTGCACACCGTCCAATGGACCCACACCACATGCCCCGCCTCTGGCCTCCTCACCTGCCCTCCCCCTGCTCATGCTTCGGGTCTGGGTTTGGGCGTGTTTTCTCTGGACCTTTCCTGAAAACCAAAGTTAGTCTGCCCCCACCCTGGCCCCCCACCGTCAGCGACCTGTGTGTGGCCACCGCTCCTGGACTCTCTCCTCCCCGACCCCCAGTGCCTGACACCTGCCAGGCACACAGGGTCGGTCAGCATATCCCCAGAGGACCAGGTGATGAAAAGCCCAGAAAGCAAACACTCAGACGCATGGGACCTCCTGGGTGTGGAGCTTGTGGGTATTATCTTTTCATTTTTTTTTTGAAACGGAGTCGCGCTCTGTCGCCCACGCTGGAGTGCAGTGGTGCAATCGCGGCTCACTGCAACCTCCGCCTCCCGGGTTCAAGCGATTCTCGTGCCTCAGCCTCCCGAGTAACTGGGATTACAGATACCTGCCACCACGCCCAGATGTTTGTGTTTTTAGTAGATACAGGGTTTCACCATGTTGGCCAGTCTGGTGTTGAACTCCTGACCTCAGGTGATCCGCCTGCCTCAGCCTCCCAAAGTGCTGGGATTATAGGCATGAGCCAATGTGCCCAGCCATTGGTGTTATTTTATTTCGATGTTTTTGTGGTTTTCTTTTTTCTTTTTTTTTTTGAGACGGAGTCTCCTTCAGCCACTGAGGCTGGAGTGCAATGGCGTGATCTCGGCTCACTGCAACCACCGTCTCCTGGGTTCAAGCAATTCTCCCGTCTCAGCCTCCGGAGTAGCTGGGACTACAGGCACCCACCATCATGCCCAGCCAGTTTTTGTATTTTAGGAGAGACAGGGTTTCACCATGTTGGCCAGGCTCGTCTTGAACTCCTGACCTCAGGTGATCCACCCGCCTCGGCCTCCCAAAGTGCTAGGATTACAGGTGTGAGCCAGCGCACCTGGCTTTTTTTTTAAAATCATTAATACAAAATAGAAAACTACACTTAGTTATTTTTCATAAGAGACAGCAGTTTGCGAAGGGCCACCCAGCTGGCCACACACCCTACCCCTTCTTCCCCTGCTTCTCCCCAGGGCTCACATCTGCCGGTGCTGGGTGCCAGCTCTGTTTTTTAGACAGGTTCTCGCTCTGTCACCCAGGCTGGAGTGCAGTGGTGCAATCACAGCTTGCTGCTGCCTCAACCTCCTGGATTCAAGTGATCCTCCTGCCTCAGCCTCCGGAGTAGCTGGAGCTACAGGTGTGTACCACCACGCCTGGCTAATTAAAGAAATTTTTTTGCAGAGATGGGGTCTCACTATGTTGCCCAAGCTGATCTCCCACTCTTGGCCTCAAGCGATCCTCCAGCCTCAGCCTCCCAAAGTGCTGGGATGACAGGTGTGAGCCACCGCGCCCTTCCCTGAGGCTCAGCTTCTGCAGTGCTGTCACCCACACACTAATTTAGGAAGCAGGTTAGAGGGAGTCCAGGAGCCCAGCTACCCCAGGGGTTTCTAGTTAGGGGCTTCCAGCAGTGCCAAGGGTTGGTTCTGCACACCTGGGCCAGTGAAAAGGCTGCCCAACAGCCCCACGCACCCTGGCTCCCCCCAGACCCTTCCAGTCCTGGGTGCAGCCTCCTCCCAACCCTGTGCTCTGACACAGATGTGGGCCAATTATGTGTGCAGGCACACACACACACACACACACGTGCACGCCAGAGAGCAGGCACACACACCCACACATACACGCCGGAGAGCAGGCACACGCACCCACACACGTACATGCACCCACACATGCACGCCGGAGAGCAAGCACACGCACCCACACGCACACGCACCCACACATACACGCCGGAGAGCAGGCACACGCACCCACACACACGTACATGCACCCATACATGCACGCCGGAGAGCAGGCACACGCACCCACACCCACACGTACCCACACGTGCACGCCAGAGAGCAGGCACACGCACCCACACGCACATGCACCCACACGTACCCGCACCCACACGTACCCGCACCCACACGTGCACGCCAGAGAGCAGGCACATGCACCCACACGTACCCGCACCCACACACACACACCCCCACACGTACACGCACCCACACGTGCACGCCAGAGAGCCTCCTGCCTCCACGGCCCCGCCTCCCACAGTGCTCAGCAGTGTGTGCTCCCCACTCAGGGCCTCATCAGCCACAAGGATCCCTGTGCAGGGCCTGGCTCCATCCAGGGCCACCCAAGGGAGCTCCAAGTCCGTGCTCCCACCACAAAGCGGAGCAAGAAGCCAACGGGCCAGCGCGCTGGTGAGGATGGACAAAAGCAATGCTTTTAAAGTTTTCAGACTTTATTTCACAGCGATTGACACAGAAACATACTAGAGTTAGTAACACGGCACCCAGCCCCACCGCCGCCCGCTTCATCGGGTCCTGCTCCTAGGAGGACTGGGCTGGGGCTGGGGGTGGGGATGGGATGGGGGTGGGGAAGGGACGGGACGTTGCAGTTTAAGGCATTTCTGGCTTCGGAGCCATCCCTGCCACCTCTGCACCTGCCCCTTGACCTTGGTCAGACACTGGCTGGCCCCTGGTCATTCTGAGACAAGGACGACTTTCACTGACGCTGTGGGGAGGATTTGCAGTGAGGCAGCCCTCAGCCGCTCTCAGGCGAGATGGGAAAGATGAGACCCACCACTCCAGGGGTCAAATAAAATCAACACATGAAGAACACAGCCATGGCCAGGCCCAGATACCCAGGCAGGCGGCAGAGGTCAACCCCATCCCACAGTGAGCTCCTCTCGATAGCCCCTCGCAGGGCCTGGGGTGTGGCAGAGGGATACGGTCACGTCCAGGGTGGCTGGGCAGGGCCAGCTGAGGGTCAGGACACCCAGATCGGCCCTGGTCTGGCCTCTGCTCCTCAGCAGCCTGGGGCTGGCGCAGGCAGCACGGGAGCAACGCAGAGCTGTGCCCAGCAGTAACATTGTTTGGAAGTCACAGTATTGGCGCAGGAGGCCGAGGCAGGGCCCAGAGCACACACAGGAAGGAGCAGCTCAAATGGGGGCTTGGAAAGGCCCTGTGGGGTCACCC
This sequence comes from Homo sapiens, assembly GCF_000001405.40. Taxonomy (NCBI): domain Eukaryota; kingdom Metazoa; phylum Chordata; class Mammalia; order Primates; family Hominidae; genus Homo; species Homo sapiens. The sequence continues at coordinate 1,055,362 of NC_000001.11, read as the reverse complement.
GGAGGAAGGGCCCCATCAGACCTCAGCAGCCCCTTCCTCTCTGGGACACGAGTCCCGCCTGACGGAGCGAGGGTGATTCAGGAGCCGGGGCTGCTTCCCGGCGGGGACACCGTGGGGCAGGCGCAGTGCAAGGCGGGGGCTCAGCACCTTGAGGCAGGGGTGTGTGTCCTGAGGCTGCCATCCACGCCGAGCCCTCCACGCTGCCACCTCGCCTGTCCATCCCTCGGCACTAGGTCTGTCTGCAGCACGGCTGCCTGGACGGAAGGGAGGCCGGGCCAGCAGTCCCTCCGGCCAACACTCAGGCAAGAAAATCATATCAAAAAGCAACAAGTTTACAAAAATAGAAAATAATTACAGCGGGCGCGGGGCTCTGGTGCCAGCTCATGGGGTGGGGCAGGGCCGCAGCTCTGGCTTGGTGACGGCGTCCTCCAGCAGGTGCAGCGGGTGCCGGCCCACCACCACGTCCCGCAAGCAGCCCACAAAGCCTGTGCCGTAGGCCTTGGGCAGTGCTGGGCCCACGGGCAGCTCCGGCAGGCCCCCTGCAGCACAGACAGTGGGAGTCACCCGGCTGTGACTCAGTGATGCTGATGGGCACCCCAACGAGCAGGTGACCAGCAGGGGGCCCACACCTGGGCACCCGCCTCCCGGCCCCACAGCACTGGGAACTGCAGGGGCTACAGCGGGAGAAGAGAGCCCAGCCCGCCGGCTCACATGCACCCTGACTCAAGGGTGGGCGCTGGGGGGTGGAGTCTGTCCCTCGGATATCATGAGACCCTTGGGCATCCCTCTCTAGTCTCCCCAAAACACTCACCAAGCCACAGGGCTCCATCAGTGTCCAGCTGCGTGGCGCCCAGCGGGGAGGAGCCGGTCACAGGGGCCTCATTGCCCACCTGCAGGGAACCTTCCCTCTGCTCCCTGGGTGTGCAGGGAGGGGGAGACCATCAGGGCCCAGAGTTCCCTCTGCCTCCTCTAGACCATAAGCCCTGCATCCTTCCTATGCCCTGCAGGTGCCTCAGCCTGGAGAACCCCCGAGGTATCACCCCTGGGGGCAAGGATGAGGTGGCCTTGACCCCAAGGAGGGCACTGGGAGCCAAGGCCGGGGACATTCCTGCAGCTCAAGCTTTGCTGGAGGCGACGGCCAGGCTCAGACTGGAGCGACCCCCGGCAGGCTCCGGGCAGGGCCGGGATGCCTTTCAGACGTGGAAACTGATCATTGCTTCTCCTGCATCTTCTTGGCCCTTCCTCCTCCCACTGGCAGTGACCTCGGCTCAGGCAGCAAGGCGTGTCCTCCCTGACCCCTGGTCACAAGTGACTGGACACAGCCCAGCTGGGCAAGTCTGGGCAGCCCTCGCCACTATTCTCGGCACGCTGGGTTCCCTACTCACCTATGTGCCACGACCCGCAACCAGCGGTTGGTGTTGACGGGCACGGTGGAACGCAGCACCACGGGCTGGGAGCCCAGGTTGTAGCTCAGTTGCAGGTGCCCGTCCACAATGGCCAGTGCCACATAGTCTGCCCGCTCCGTGGCCTTGCCACTCCAGAGCACCAGCCCCTGCGTGGCCTCAGTGCGCAGGCTCAGTTCAAAGTGGTTGCTCTGCAGTGCCTTCTCGCTGGAGGGCAGAGGGCAGGTCAGGGCCTCTAGGAAGGTGGCAACAGGACAGGGTGGGGGAGGCGGGAGGACAAGGGCCCCAGCTGCGGAGGCCACAAGGGCTGTGACGGGACCCAGGGGTGGCTGGTGGGCAGACACCGACAGTGGGAGGGAGAAGAGGGATGGAGACAGGGGCAGCCTGGCAGAGAGAGATCAGAGAGACGGGCGGGAGGACAGATGGGCCAGCCAGGGGTCTGCAGGCACTGCTGCCACGTGCTCACCTGTGAAGGGCCCCGGAATCCAGAGTTTCGGGGCTTAGAAGCAGGAAGAGAGGGAGGCGGGTGAGCAGGGGACAGGCGGGGCCAATGCAAACCCATCTCAACACTGTGGGGTGCAAGGAGCAGGCACCCACAGAAGACATGCGTGACCTCGAGGATCACTGGCCGCCCACCAAAGAGCCCAGCAGGGACACCTACACATGCTTGTGCGGACACGAGACACGTGAGGGTGCAGACACCCACGTGCAGACACGAGACACTTGAGGGCACAGACACCCACATGCAGACACCCACGTGCAGACACCCACGTGCAGACAGCAGGGGAGCACAGCCAAGGCTGGGCGCAGAGATCAAGGAGGTAGGCGTAGGGTGGTATGGAGTGGAGACCAGGGGCTTGGATGCCCCAGTACACACATGCATGTGTGCATGCACGCAAACCTACACACGGACACACACACCCCTCCATGTTCACACACATACACACGTGTACACGAACACACACAGACACACCTGAGTGCTCCCCACTTACACCTGTTCATACACACACACATCTACATATCCCCCCATATATACACGCATATACACGGACCCATGCACACACTCGGACACACACCTGTCTCCCCCACATATACACACACATACATGGACCCATGGACACACACTCGGACACACACCTGCGTGTCTCCCTCATATACACACACATACATGGACCCATGTGCACACACTATACACACATGGACCCATGCACACACACTCGGACACACACCTGCGTGTCTCCCTCATATACACACACATACATGGACCCATGTGTACACACTATACACACATGGACCCATGCACACACACGGACACACACATGCATGTCTCCCTCACCTATACACACACATACATGGACCCATGTGCGCACACACTCAGACACACACCTGCGTGTCTCCCTCATATACACACACATACATGGACCCATATGCACACACACACACACGGACACATACCTGCATGTCTCCCTCATATACACACACATACATGGAGCCATGCACACACACGGCCGCATAGTCACACACGCATATCTACATGTCCCCCCCACATATACACACACACATATACATGGACCCATGCACACACACAGCTGGATATTCACACACACTTGCACATCCACTCCATATACATAGACACGCACAGACACAGCTGCATGTTCACACACGCGGAAGTGCACACGGACACAGACATGCATGCATATGCGCACAGGTGTGTACAGCCTCAGTGGTGGGGGTTGGCTGTGGGGCGACCCTCGGCCTGTGCCCTGGGAGGGGCGACTGCACTTCTGAGGCAGGAAACGGCCTCTTGCAGCCAAATAGCGCCGGACCCCCATCCTCCGCCACAAGGGATGGAAAGTTCCCCGGGGGCTCCGGACTCTGCTCCCCACCAGGAAGGATGGAGGAGTGGGAGTGAGAGGGAGCGGGGGGCGCCGAGCTCTACTCACACGGGGATCTCATTGGCCAGTTCGCTTGGAAACAAAGAGACAGACAGTGAGAGGCGGGAGGACCGGGAGGTGAGAGAGAGGCGGGAGGACAGAGGTGGCAGCACCGGGCCGTCCCCTCCTGGGCCCTCCTGGTGTGGGGGTCCGGTGTCCCGCCCCGAGGGCACAGATGGAACCGACAGCCAGCAGAGGATGGCACGTTACCTCTCGGTCACAGCGTTGAGGTACTCGACAAAGGTCCGCCCGTCAAAGGCCAAGGTATCCACGTCCCCCGCTGACTTCTCCACCAGCCCTGTGAGATAGGCAGGTGAGGGTGGGGCCTCGTGGGCTCCGGGCCCATCCGGCCTCCGCCCCCTGCCCTGTGCCAGGCTCACCCTTCTCGCAGTGCGGTCCTGAGAATCCCCCGGGACACAGGCACACATAGGCAGCCTCCCTCGGGACGCAGGAGGCCCCATTGAGGCAGGGGTGGCCTGAGGCCCGGGTGCAGGGGTGACCTGCAAAGGACGTGACGTCCACCTGCCGCAGCACGTGCTCCGGGGTCAGCAGCTGGCGGCCTCCGAGGGAGACCTGCAGGGCAGGGTGAGGGCCTTGTCCCGCCTGCCACCCCGCCCGCCCCGGAGGCCCTGCTGGGACGCCCCGCCCCCACATACCAGCTGGATGGCACCGTCGAAGCCAGAGGACACGGCAGCAGCACGGGCCAGCTTGCTGAAGTCGGGAGCGCCCCCTACGTAGAGCGGCTCCTTCAGGTTGAGGACGGTGTGCGGAACCTGCGGGGACGCCAGGTAAGTGGCTGTGCAGAGCCCACCCACGGTGCAGACCCAGGGCCCAGGCACCTGCACGCACCCGCCCCACCCGCCCATTGCCTATCTAGGGGGCAGCGTTAATCACACAGAAATGGCAGGGTCCTTAGTGGGGGAGGAGCTACCCTAGGGGTTGAGGCGCCAGAGACGGTGAGCGGATGAGAGGCCGACAGTACCTTGCGGGATTTCTGGCCTCCGAAGAGCGGGTGGGGTTGCAGAGCGAGAGCAGAGAGCAGGGAGGCAGAGGAGGCAGAGGACAGGGCAGGCGGCCAAGAGAACAGGACAGAAAAACAGCTCCGTGAGCGCCGGCAGGGGCGGGGCTGCCGCCCGAGGAGGAAGAGCAGGCAGCAGCGGGAGTCCCCTCGCGGCCCAGAGCACTCACCGGGGACTCCCCCAACACACGGGGGCCGTCGCCCACACGCAGGGCACCCTTGCGGCCGTTTCGCTCCAGTGAGACCCTGGTCCAGGCTCCCAGGGTGACTGGCTCCCTGCTCCTGGTGAGGAGGGGCAGCGTGAGTGGGCTCTGTCCACCACCGGCCACGCGACCACCCAGGGCCTGAGCGACCTGCTGGTGCCCCGGCCCCGGGCCAGTGCCCCAGGCCTCCCAGAGCCACCCTTGCCGGCCCACCTGATGACCGCTGCCCCCTTGCCCAGGTCGTAGCGGAACTCCAGGCGGCGGTCCCGCAGTGCCAGCGACACGAAGTCCCCCTTGCCGTCCGTCTTCTGCCCGTTGTAGAGCAGGAGGCCGCTGGGGCCTCGTGCCAGGAACACGACCTCCAGCGCCATCTTCTCCCTGGGGTCATGGGGAGTCGGGGTGTCTTTGCTGTCCCCTCCCCACAGGAGAGACGGAGGTGGGGGCCGGCCCTTCCCCCTGCTCCTGCCCCACCGACCCCAGGTCCCGTGCAAAGGTGTGCAGGCCTCTCAGCTCCAGGTGGGAGAAGCCGTTGAAGTCAGCCAGGAAGGGCCCAGAGCCGTCCTGCCCCGAGGCTGTAGGGAGAGTCACCAAGGCCTCAGTCCTGACCCCCGGGGCCTCCTGCACCCCATGCCAGCCGTGTGTGGATCCTAACTCAAAACCCAGACTAGACTGAGCCGCATCCTAACTGCAATGCTACCTGGAACCTGTACCCGCCCAAACGTTCAACCCCCCCCCCCCCCCTGCCCCGAGAGCCCCACGCCCCCGACCTGTCTGGCAGAAGGTGCCCTCACGCCCCAGGGGGCACTCGCACTGAGCACCACCCTCGGGCAGCACACGGCAGGGCGCCGCCCCATGGCAGGGGTTGGGCTGGCAGGGGCTCTTCTCATCGGCACAGGTTGGTCCTGGATGGAGGAAGACGGGACCGGGACCGAGGTCCCAGGAGGCGTCGGTTGGGTACCGCCCACAGGCCCCGGGGTCCCACTCCCACCCGCCCCGGCCCCACCCTCACCGACGCGGCCGGGCGGGCACTGGCAATGGAACCTTCCAGCCTCCAGGTTCTGGCATGGGGCCCCGCCATGGCAGGGGTTGGGCAGGCAGGGGTGGTCCCCGCACTCGCCCACGCCAGAGCCTCGGGTGGCAGCCCCCGGCCCAATGCCAAGCTCCAGGCGCTGGTTGTTGACGTCCAGCAAACGGATGCACCCCCTCAGGCCGGCGCCCACGAAGGTCCGCTCCAGCGCCCTGCCACCAGGAGGGACACCGGGTCAGGGCTCAGGGGCCACAGGCAAAGCCACCTCGTACACCGGGACCCCAAAGGGCCGGGGTCGGGGCCACACCACCCTCCAAGGGACTCACACGGCAGCCTGGTCCTCGGGTACGCCGCCCACAAAGAGGTCTGTGTCCAGGTTGAGGCCGTCGGTGCCACTGGGACTCTCGCCCAGAACAGGGGTCTCACCATCCACCGAGAGGGTGCCCCGGCGCCAGTGCCGGGACAGCTCCAGGCGGTGCCACTGGCCCGGCTCTACCGGCACGGCACTGGTCAGCACCGCCGGCCCCGAACCTGTGTCAAACCTGAGGGCAGGAGCAGGTGCTCAGGACCATCGCCCGGCCCCGTCCCCACCCCGCCTACCTGAGCTGCCCCGCCCCCGTCCCCACCCCACCCACCTGAGCTGCCCCGGCCCCCCCTCCCCCGCCCGTCCCCTCCCCGCCCACCTGAGCTGCCCCGGCCCCGTCCCCTCCCCGCCCACCTGAGCTGCACGCGGCCATCTAGCAGCGCCAATGCCAGGAAGTCCTTGCCCCGGGCGTTGCCATTGTACAGCAGCAGCCCCTGAGGCTCCAGCGCCCGGAATTCCAGTGCCAGGCGCAGCGTGTGGTAGGCGCGGAGAGTGGGGAAGGCCAGGAAGGAGCGGCCCTCGAAGGCCGGCACAGGGGCGCCAAGCACTGCAAAGGGCGACCGGGAGGGCCGGCTGGAAAAGCTCCGAGGATTCCCCACTTTTATCCCTGAAACCGCCCCCTGCTTTTTTTTTTTTTTTTTTTTTTGAGACGGAGTTTTGCTCTTTTTGCCCCGGCTGGAGTGCAGTGGCGCGATCCTGGCTCACCGCAACCTCCGCCTGCCAGGTTCAAGCGATTCTCCTGCCTCAGCCTCACGAGGTGGGATTACAGGCGCCCACCACCACGCCCGGCTAATTTTGTATTTTTAGTAGAGACAGAGTGTCTCCATGTTGGTCAGGCTGGTCTCGAACTCCCGACCTCAGGTGATCCGCCTGCCTCGGCCTCCCAAAGTGCTGGGATTACAGGCGTGAGCCACCGCATCTGGCCGAAACCCCGCCTTAATCCGGGCTCCTGCCCCCAACTCAAAGCCTGATGGTGGCTTAGCCCCACCCCCAATCCTTGCCCCCACCCTGCTGCCTCCCCGCCCTCCTCTGCAGTGGACATCCTTACCCTTCTCACAGACGGCGCCTCCCCTGCCTGCCGGGCAGCTGCAGGTGAAGCCCCCGCCCAATGCCCAGTCCTGGCAGGTCCCCCCGTGGAAGCAGGGCTGTGAGTCACAGGGCTTTGGAGGCTGCTGGGGGGCCGGGGGCCGACGTCCGGGCACACGGCTGGGGGCAGTGGTGGGGGGCCGACGTGTGGTGGGGGCTGCCGTGGTCTTGGCAACGGGCTGGCTTGTGTGACTGGGGTGCGGGGCCCGAGGGGTCACAGCAGAGGACGGCAGGCGCGATGCAGTGGTGGCTCTGGCCGTGGCTCCCGCAGCAATGGCTCCTGACGTGGCCCCCGTGATAAACGCAGGAAACCAGTCTGCCGGCACAGGGAGCTGTTAGGGTTTCCTGGGAGCAGGGCCAGGAAGGGGTGAGGGGCAGGGGCATGGGCAGAGGAGGGGGCAGGTAAGCTGTGGCTCGTGGCCTGGCGCTCACCAAAGTCCATAAATCGCACGTGCTCCTGCAGCGGCCGCCTCACCCCCAAGGACCGGCGCCTGGACACCTGGATCTGCCGGAGCAGGGCCCGGGCCACGTCGGGTGCCCTGAAGGCTGTGGCTGGGGAGGAGGGAGCTCTGAGCATGGCAGAGCCCCAGGCATCCCCCACCCATTGCCTCCCAGGAAGGGTCCAGGGTGCAGGTCTCACTGGGGTCAAAGTGCACATCCACAATGGCGCGGACGGATTTGCCGGGCCCCAGGTCCCGCAAGCGGACACTCCGAAAATCCTTCTTGACGTCTGAATTCCGGAAGAGGTCGTCCAGCTGTGGCAGGGAGTAGGCAAGGACTTGGGGGGCCGCCCAAGCCGGGCTGCCCTGGTGCTGCTCTGGGTATCTGGGGAGGAAGGCCAGTGGGTAGGTGGGGGCTGCGCCCCCGTCTTACGGTGCTCTCAATGCTCCTGGCTGTCTCCCCGAACAGTTCTGACTTGGGGTCAGCCATCTCGGGCGTGTAGAACAGCTCCTGGCCCTCGACGCCCTCCAGCTCCAGGACGCCCTGGAACACCTTGGTGGCTGTGGGGGAGGTACAGTGAGGCCCTGCCTGGCATCTGCCTGGCATCCAGGCTGGCCCAGGCACAGGCCCCAGCAGCAAGCCACAAGGGTGCAAGGGAAGGTGGATGTTAGTCAGATGGTCATGAGGTTAGTGGGGACCCCAGGGTGGGGCTGGTGTCGGTTACCAGGAGGACTCCTCAGAGCAGTGTGCCACACCGGCTTGCAACGAGAGAGACGGGTTAGGCGTGGGGTCCCCGGCACGCACATGTTTGAGGGGGCCGAGTCCCAAGACCATAACCCCCGGCACTGACCTGCTGCCCAGGCGAGGGGGCAGCACCTCGGCCGAGCCCAGGCTATCCTCACACTCCCCTCGCCCAGCCGTCCACTCACCGGGGCAGTTGGAGCCCTCTGCGTCCAGCGAGGGCGTCTTCCCATCAGAGCAGCAGCCCAACGCGGAGTTGTAGCAGGAAGCCCTCTCGACAGGTGGCCCAGGGGTGGCCACGCTGCTGCCCTCCAAGGGCTCGAGCCCTGGGGAGACGCGCTCTGAGCCCAGGCTCTGGTGGAGCCTCTCGGCGCCTGCCCACCCACCCCAAGTCCTTGATCCCTGCTCACCCCCAGAGCCACCCCCACTGGCCTCCTGGTCCCCGCTCAGTTCCTCATCGCTGCTTCCATCAGTGCTGCCAGATTCACCAAAGGCGGACGCCACCAGGCTGGGTGCAGGGGAGGGTGCCGTGGGGGGCACCGTCAGCACGGGCCACACGGTGGTCCTGGGGACGCTGGCAGTGGTCCGAGGTCGTGATGAGGGCGGAGGGGTGGTCTGGCTGTGTGCGGTACTGCTGGGAGCCAGGGGGAGGGCGCCGGGGGGGGCCGGCAGTGCCTGGCTCAGGAGGAGCCCTGGGGTGGTCACAGTCACGGAGGCAGATGTCGGGTGAGTGCTGGGAGCAACAGCCTCTGCAAGGAGAGGGAGGTTGGCGGGGGGACCGGTTGGGACAGGGTCAGGTGGCTCAGGGCGGGTGGGGCTGGATTTAGGGCAGCGTCAGGCCTTCCTGGTCAGTTCTGGGGCAGTGGCCGTCAGGCCTCACCCTGGCACGGGCCCAGGCTCTGGATAGAGATTTGCAGGCCCTGGCGGCAGGCGATGGTCTTCAGCTGACACTCGTTGCCGTATGTGACTCCATCTGACCCACAGACCTGGGGCAGAGAACAAGGATGTTCAAGGCGAGGCCTCCTCCCCACTCCCCTTCACATCCCACACCCCTCACCTTGGTAGCGTTGGCCTCTGGACAGGTGAGCATCGGGCAGACACAGTGGGCTGAGCCAGACTCCTCCACGCACCGCGCACCGAACTCACAGCGCATCTCCGCACAGGTCGCAGGCGCAGAAGCGTCTGGGGCACGGGCATGGGAAACCTCTGTGGCTCGGGTGACCCCACCCCACCCCATGAAGCCCCAGGGTAGCGCTGGCCCTCACTCACCAGCTTCACAGCCCGCGGGGCCCAGGGCACGGCCGTCTGGACACTGCCCACACTTGGGTCCAGCCACCCCGGGCTTACACGAGCACAGCCCCGTCATCTGCTCACAGTCATCCCGCACGGCGCCTTGGGGATCACAGCTGCAGGCTTTGGGGAAAATCGGGGAGGAACGTGATGTCCGCACCTGGACGGGCTTCCCCACCTCCTCCAGAGCCTGGTCCCCAACCCTGGCTCTGCCCAGCCCCCAGCCAGGTGTGGGTCAGGCCAGGGCCTGGGCAGGTGAGGAGAAGCACAGTGATGGGGGTGAACAGGTAGGAGGGCATAGCCGGTGGCCAGTCCTGGGCCCTGTCACTCACGTGTACAGCCACTCCGGCCATCGGTGACGATGCCTCGAAAGTTCCAGAAGCCAGGCTCACAGCGGTCACACCTGAGGCCCCCCACACCTGGGCGGCAGGAGCACTGGCCTGTGGCTGGGTCACAGGTGCCGCCGTAAGAGCCATGGGGGTTGCACTGGCAGGCACCTGAAAGGCCAGGGCAGGACAAGGTCACGTGGCCGCACAGCCGCACCAGGCCCGGGGTCGGGGCTGAGCTCAGGTACTCACTGGGGCAGCCAGCCAGGCCCACGCCCCGGGCTGCGGTGATATTGTCCTGGCAGCAGCCGTAGGGCGTCTGGGCACAGTGTAAGGGGGCCACAGGCGGCAGCGGGGCGAAGGTGGGGCCTGCAGGAAAGGGTACGGGACTCAGATTTCATGCAGTGCTGGACACCCACCCTGGACCCAGCCAGTCTGCCTCCACCTACCCCCACTGTCACCACTCAGCCGTCCCGATCCCAGCTCCCAGAGGAGCCCGGGAGCCTGGGGCTGAGGACACAGGTGAGGCTCCCACATCTTACGCAAGAACATGTCTGTAAATGCAGATCCAGGAACACACAACACACAGAGCATCCAAAGATCACGGACACGCAGCTCTGTGCACACACACACGCGAGCTTCCTTGCAAATCGAGAAACAGACATCTGAAGACGTCAGCATGCGTTCTCACCCACATTCCTCCAAACCGTACAGTTAACGCCCCTCTGCAGACACACATCTGTGCACGCGCATCACACACACCGGGCACCACTTTTACCTAATTGATGTGATACATCGACCGGATGGACGTATGCAGAGAAAGTGCCCACACGGTGGGGCCCCGCATGGTTCACGCTGCCTCTCAGCACTGAGGCCTGGCCTGGTGCACGCCCACTGACTGATGGACACACACGCCCACACACGCAGCTGCACAAATGTGCACAGGCACCAACACTGGACGATGCTCACTTACAACACAATACACACGTCCACAGGGGCCCAACGCAGCACACGGGCACGCCCACATCCAGACACGGAAACCCAGACGCCGCCCCGCCTGTGCCTGAGACCCCACGTGCAGCCGGCTCACCTCGGCAGGCTCCCTGGGCCGCTACGTAGAGCCCTCGCTGTGACTCACACCTGGCCTTCTTCAGCTCACACTCGGTGCTGTAGGTGACCCCATCTGAGCCGCACACCTGGAGGGTGGTGTCAGTGTGAGCGGCCGCAGCCCCGTCCCCGCCGCCCGCCGAGAGCCAGGGGTACAGAGCTCACCGGGCTGCCTGGGACACTCTGGCAGCTGAAGTCACAGACACACGGCCCGTCCTCCGAGTCCTCGTCCCAGATGCCACCGCGCTGCCGGCACAGCTCCTGCTCACAGTCACCGTCCTCCCCAGAGCCAGAGCCTCCGGAACCGCACTCGGCTGCGGGGAAGGGGAGCAGAGTCACCCAGGGGCTTCTTGTCCAAAGCCAGAGCCCAGCAGTTTTCGCCAGCGTCCCCCGGCCTACCCTGCTCGCACGGCCCTGCCCGGGCCTCCTCGATCTGTGTCTGCTGGAGGCAGGCGGCTTCCCGTAGCTCGCAGGCACTGCCGTAGGTGACACCGTCGCTGCCACACACGGGGCCGGGCGGGGGGTGCTCACACCGGGGACACACACACTGCCCTGCGGAGCACACAGCCCCAAAAGCACACACGGCATCTCCACAGGTCTCTGCAGGAGACAGAGCCAGGCAGGGGTCGGCAGGCCCAGGCTGAGGGAGGCACAGGACCCTGGCCCGCCCGGCCCCAGGGCCTCACTCACCACAGGGTCCAGCTGAGGCCACGTGCAGGCTGATCTGGTGTGTGCAGGCGTGCACGTGCAGCATGCACTCGCTGGGGTACGTGTGCCCGTCGGAGCCACACACGGGCTGGGCCAAAGCCACGCATTCAGAGGGGCACACGCAGCGCCCGGTCTCGGCCTCGCACAGGGCTCCAAAGCGGCACTGCCCGCAGCGGTCTGGGGAGGAGCTTCCATCACCAGGCGACCAGGAACCTCTCTCTCCCCGACCCCCACCAGACCCCTCACCCGCCACTGACCACAGGGTCCTTTGCGCGCCACCTGGATCTCCCGCCCGAGGGTACAGGCCGTGGCCTCCAGCTCGCACGCGCTGCCGTATGTGACGCCGTCGCTGCCGCACACAGGATCGTAGAGGCTCGAGCACGCCTGCAGGCATTCACACGCTGCCTGCCCGTTCTTCACAGCACACGTCGCCCCAAATGCACACTGCACCCCGAGGCATGGGGACGGGGCCTGGTCTGGGAAGGACACAGGGGCTCAGTGGTCCCACAAGCCCCCCCTCCGCTGCAGGCAAAGCCCCCAGCCCCACGCAGCAGTCCCTCTTCCAGGGAGGGGATGGTGGAGGAAGAGAGAACACAGGAGAAGGGCCAGATGCACAGCAGACACGGCAGAGAAAGGGACAGACACGCGGCAGAGGCGAGCGGAACACACACCCAGGAGTCCCCGGTGGCTGCGGGCGAGGCTGCCCCCAAGCTTGGGGCTTCCTGATTGTCCACAGCAGGCTATGGGAGGGCCAGGCTTCCCCAGCCTGCCCAGGCCACTGACCCCTGACCACCAGCATCCCCAGGACACCCATGCATGTGGGGGGGCTCTCTGTGGGTGGGAGGAGCCTGCACCCCCAGAGTCACACCCAGGGCTGCACGGGGGAGGAGGTGTCTGTCCACTTGCTCTGAGGACCACAAGGCCAGGCAGCAGCAAGCCACCCCCCCTGCCGCACCAGGGGCAGACCTCGGGCTGCGGGCTCCTGGAGGGCAGGCACGGCACCTCATCCTGCCAGCAGGTCAGGCTGGAAGACACAAGAGGCGGAGCCGACAGGGAAGAAGAGACCAAAGAGAAGAGACAGACGCAGAGAGAAAGACCAGAAGATGGGCGAACTGACCAAGACGAACACGACGGGACACGACGGCCACTGCCTCCCCCTGGCCCTTCAAGTCCTGACACTGCCTCCAAAACGGCCGACGGCTGCCCATGTCCCAAGAGTGAGGACCCTGGTGTTGTGTCCAGCCTGCCCACCCCAACAGCCTGTGCTTACAGCGTGGAGACATGCGGACAGGCCAGAGGACTCCCAGGGAGGGCGTGGCTGAGGTCAGGGACCAGGGAGCCTGGACAAGGCCCCGCCTCTGCCTCACCAGCCCCCAGGTATCCAGGTACCCTCCGCACACAGGCTCCACCCTCCCCAGAGCCTTCCCAGAGGGACCGGCCCACTCCCAGGACCCCAAGAGGAACATGATGGATGAAGATGGCATGTGATGTCCAGGCAGGGACTGACGCAGGAGCAGCCCACCCCGCCTGGCCTCCACCCCGGGGCGCTCACCACACGGGCCCTGGTGCTTGCTGGGGATGGCACGCTGCTGCCGGCACTCAGCCTGCTGCCGCCAGCAATCACTGTCATACGTGCGCCCGTCCTGGGCACACACGGGCCTGTAGGCCCCGTCACAGGTGACGCGGTCGCAGGAGCAGCGGGGACGGCCACGGCGGGACAGGCACACGGCATTGAACCGGCAGGGCTCCGGGCACTGGTCTAGGACGCAGGGGTGAGGGAGTCACGGAGAGGCTGGAGCACCCTCCATCCCTGCCCTGGGATGTGCAGGGAGCAGGGGAGCAGGCGGCCCTCCCAGAGGGGAGCCGCCCACCTCGACCCTGGCACTGGCCGCAGCCCTCCCCCGGGGGAGCCGCCCACCTCGACCCTGGCACTGGCCGGAGCCCTCCCCCGGGGGAGCCGCCCACCTCGACCCTGGCACTGGCCGGAGCCCTCCCCCGGGGGAGCCGCTCACCTCGACCCTGGCACTGGCCGGAGCGCACTTTCTGCAGGAGGAGACCCCGGGCGGCCCCCGATCGGCCCATGACACAGTCGTTTTCGTAGGTGACTCCGTCGTCCCCACACACTGGCGCCTGCCGGGCAGGGCAGCTCTCGGGCCGTAGGAGCATCTCAGGGCGCCGCGTGCGCGGGTTCACACGGCAGCTGCGGCTCGGGTCAGGGAGGGCGCCCTGACAGGGGTCTGGGGGTCGAGGGCAGGAGTCAGGACGCTGTCGCCGCGCGCCCACAGAGCTCGAGCCGTGCGCCCGCCGCCGCGCTCACCACAAGGGCCGTCGAACTTCTTGAAGACATTCTCCTGGCGGGCGCAGGCGCGGCGCAGGAGCTGGCACTCGCCGGGGTAGTCGGCGCCGTCGCTGCCGCAGACGGTCCCCTCGGGGGCGCCACGGCAGGTCGCGGGGCACAGGCACGAGGCCGTCAGCCCGTCGGCCGAGCGCGCACAGGTGCTGCCGAAGCTGCAGGTCACGTTGGAGCAGGGGTCCCGCGAGCCTGCGGGCGGGGCTTTGCCGGTCAGACGGGCCGCCCCCGCCCCCGCTCCCGCCCCGCTCCCGCCCCGCTCCGCCCCCCAGGCCCCTCCCAGCCCCGCTCCTCCCCGCCGGGCCCCGCAGGCCCCGCCCCCGCTCCCGCCCCGCTCCGCCCCCCAGGCCCCTCCCAGCCCCGCTCCTCCCCGCCGGGCCCCGCCCCTGCCCCCGCCCCACTGGCCCCGAAGCCCCTCCCAGCCTCGCTCCATCTCATAGGCCCCGCCCCTCCCCGCCCCAGGCACCGGCCCCGCCCCGCTCACCGCACGGCCCGCGGCTGAGCAGGCGGATGCGGCGCTGCTGGCTGCACTGCGCCCGCTGCAGCTCGCATTCGTTGCTGTAGGTGGAGGCGTCCGACCCACACACAGGCGCCACCACGCTGGGGCACGGGCTCTTCTTGCAGACGCAGGACGCCCGGCCCGGCCCCTCCGCGTTGGGCTCGCACACGGCGCCGAAGCCGCACAGCATTCCCCGGCACGCTGGGGCGGGTAGGGGAGAAAGCTCAGGGTGCCGAGACGCCCGTACCCACGTCCACAAGCCTGAGAGACCTTGCCGTGCTCGCAGCCCGCGCATTCACCCGCCCCCGCGCCGCATCGGGGGTCCACCACGGACACGGACACGCGTGCGTGCGCTCACAGGACCGGCCCTGCCCCTCGCAGACCCCGCCCGCCGAGGATTCCCGCCAGCCCCGGGCCTCTCCAGGGATGACCTTTCTCCCCCACCCCGCACCTGCAGGCGCGGAGAGGGGCGTCTGCCGCAGGCGGCACCCGACTCTGTTTCTGCGACGGGCGAGCACCCACTTCCCACCCACCTCGTGGGCCTCCAGCGAAAAGCAGAGACGCCTCGAAACCAACTCGGGCACAAGCAGTCCAGGCCCCAGTTCTGCTCAGGAGCTCCTTCCACATCGGCACCGGAGCCCCTCACCGATTCACCCCATGGAGCCGGGGGAGCCCCTTCCCGCGCTGCTGCAGCGTCCAGCACAGCTGAGCCCTGCCGCCTCCCGCCCGGGTCGCACCCAGGTCCCGCGTCTGGCCCTCAGGGGCCTGAGAGCCCCACCGGGACGGGGTGTGAGGCCAGGTCACAGCTCTGGCCCACCTCTGGCGCCTCCCTGACCGCTCCCTGCGCCTAAGATGGGTGGGGAATCTTCTTGCCTCCCTCTCCCCAACTCTTCCCCAGCTTCCCTGGAGAAGTGCAAATTCCTGGCCTCCGCCTCTACTATCTCCTATTCTCCCTGGCCAGCCCCCCACCCGCGGCAGGCCTGTGCCCTTCTGCAGCCTCCCATCGCTCCCTGGGATCCCTGGGGCACCCACACGCCCCCTCCTCCCTGGGCATCCCCCGGCCCCCCACCTCACTCTTGCCTCCTCCATCGCCCTCACTCTCTGTCAAAGCGAACTTCCTTCTTGGAGAGGTGCAGGAACTGTTGCTCATTTTAGTTCTTACAGCTGCAGACCACAGCGCCTGACACACGTCCCATCACCAGACCTCAACGTGGCCAACAAAGCTGCCTCAGGCACGTTAAAACCCAGAGCCCCTGCGGCAGCCCATCCTGAGCACCCCCACCCCCAGCATGGCCCACCCAGGATCAGGGAAGGGTCCGTTAGCGGCTGCAGCTGTCTGGATTTAATAAATGTTTAATTGGGTCCAATTATCATTAATAAGTCATGTCAGAGGGGTGGCTACCACCCATCACTTCCCAGCAGGCTCGTGAAATGGGGCAGGAGGAACCCCCCCCATCTCCAAGGAGGGTGGGTGCACTGGGAGCTGGAGCCAGCTGTTGCTATAGCAACAGCCCACCCCAGGCTCTGGCGCTGTCTGTCTGGGTGTCCCTGCCCCCACCCCAGAAGGCTGAGTGAGGGCCATCCGCCTGCCATCCCTGCAACCTACCCATGCTCCCCCCACCAGATCCCTGTCTTCCTCCCCAAACCTTGGCTGTGCCCCCACCCCTCTTCTGCTACTCTCCCACCTCAGGTCTTACAGCCAGGCTGCTCAGCTCTGCATTACCCACTGTGAGAATGTGGGCAGGTTATCACCTGCCTGGGCCTCAGTATCCCCTTCGGTGAATAGGAGCAATAGGACCTACCTCCCAGGATTGTGGGGTTAAATGGGCCAGTATCTGCAAAGCTTAGAGGGTGCCCAGCACACAGCGCTATGTGGCCCGTCTGCTGCCACTGTAAGTATAGTCATGAGGGCTGTCATCACCACTGGCCTTCCCCCGTCCTGGCTCAAATCAAACTCAAACCACATGCACCCCTGGCCCTTTCACTTCCCTTCTGGTTCCCCTTCTCTCTCCCCTCAGCATCTCCCTCTCCCTTTGGCCCTGCCTTGTCCAAGGCCCTGGGACTCCCAGTCCAAATCCAACGGGCACCTGCTGATGCCCAGCCAGCTGTTCTCCTGGGCTTCGGCTGGACCTGTGGACCAATGGTTCCCCCCAGGTCCCAACCCCATGGCCAAGGACCCAGTCACCTCCCTGCACCAGGGCTCCTGAGCCTTTCTCCCCTTTTGGTCACCTTGGCTCAGCCAGACCTCTCCCAAGGCCCTGACACCATGGCCAAGGGCACTGTTCCTGGATGGCGGGCATGCTCCTCATCCACCAGGACCCGCAGCTCCCTCCATAGTCCAGCCCGAGGTCCTGCTACGTCCCAAGACAGAGCCTTGGGGAAGAAGGTGATGATGGCAGCTCACCAGGGTGAGCGGGGCTGGACTGCTTGCAGGGGCATGGAGAGCAAGCTCTGGGATGGGAGCCTAGAGGTACCTTAGGGACAGGCTCTGAGTGACCAGCTGCTGGACCAATGTGGCAGGGCAGTGGAGAGACCTTGGGTACCTGGCGGGACCTTGAAGCCAGGCTGAGCACTGGCTCCCCATCCCCATCTGGTGTGCAGGGCCAGGTCCTGGCCCCTTCCCCTCTGCCTCCAGGGCCTCAGAGAGTCCGCTCCTCTTGGAATGTGGCCCCAGCTGTGGAGTGGGGGTGGATCTCCCTCACAGCATTTGATGGTGTGACACTGCCGGCCAGCCCAGGGTTTAAAGGTCACAGTGCTGGTCCCTCCCTCCTATCCCCATCCAGGCTGGAAACACATCTGCCCCTCAAGAGTGAGCTCAGGAATCACGGCCTCCGGGAAGCCCCACCCCCCCATTCTCCGCTCACACTGCGGGCTTAGGTGAGGGGCCGCTCCCACCACTGTGCTGAGTCTCCACAGGCCTAGGGGATCATAGAGGCTCCACACGAGATCACCTGAAGACAGGTGCACGTGGTGATGGCACACACGCACGTACCCGCCAGGCACAGCGCATTGCAGCAGCCACGCCCCGAGATGTCTCCCCTGCCAGCTGGCAGGAGGAAGGTAGGCCACCTGACAAGGCCACACTGCTAGAAATGCCAGCACTGGGCTCAGACACATCTGTGCTCCGGTCACCTGCCCACATGGCCCCTCATAGATGCAGGTGACACACCTAGGACCCTGAGAGCCCTGTGTTCCCGATGGGTCATTTTTGGGGGTCCTGCCACGCCTGTCTTAGCTCCACCTCCTGCAGGAGCCCCTCCCCGGCCACTCGGCCTCCCCACCCACTCTCCCGCAGCGTGACGGGTCCTCCCACTGTGTGCAACGCTGGAGGCGGCAGTGCTTTTTATAGGAGCGGGTATATTTAACTCCCTTCCTGGTCCTGGGTAGGCTGGGGGATGGAGAGGATGCCCCAGCCCTGCTGTGAGCTCTGGCCCGTAACTATGACCACAGTTAGGTGGCATGTGGGTCACGATGGCCTTGGTGTGGAGCCCTCCGTGACTCTGTGGCAGGGTGGGCTGTGGCCAGGTGAAGGGGGCAGTGTGTAAAGAAAAGGAGACACTCCCCAGCCTTCTGGGTGTCAGGAAACGAGGCTGAGGATGCTAAGAGAGGGGACCTCCCACCTGAGCACCTCTTTAAATCCAGTTGGCTCCAGGCCTCTGGCTCACAGGTGGTGGAAACGCAGTTCTTGCCCTGGCCCTGCCCGGCCCCAGCCACCAGCATAGACCTGCATAGACCTGTCTCCTCCCCAGGACCCAGCCCACTGGGAGGGTTCAGGCCCCTTCCTGCAAGACTCGGGTCCTTCTCTGAGTCCATACCCTCCTGCCCCCAGTCCTGGGGCTGCCAGGAGGGAGAGGGTCTTCCAGGACAAGCCAGCTGCTCACCTACCTGCTCTCCCAGCCTGTTGCAGGCCCCTGCAACCCGTGTCCCCTCAAATGCCTCAGGTCACAAACCACCCATGGTGCTGTGCTGCCCTGACCCACAGGGCTCCTGAGTCTCAGGAAGGGGGACAGCAACCCCACCGGCATGAGGCCCCTCAGAGGCCTCAATCACCTTGGCCACGCAGACCGGTCTCCTCTCCCCACAGTCCAAGAGAAGCCTGGTGCTCTGAGGAGCCTTTGGGATCTCATAGGAACAGCCTGGTGGGGTTGGGGGGCGGGTGTTGGAGGGCCATCAGGGGCTGGGGGCCAACAGACAGGTTGCAGGGCTAGAGCCCAGGGGTAGGACGGGTTCCCACAGCCACCATTCCCCATTCCCGCTGCCCAGCTCCTCACCCCAGGCCCAGCGCTGCCCCAGGCCAGAGTCCCTGGGACCAGGAGTTGAGTAGCCAAGTGTGGGAGAACCACTGCCCACTTGCTGGTGTGCGGCTTCAGGAGCAAAGCACAGCTGACTACAGGTCACCCCAGCCTGGCAGGCGGTCGAGGAAGCAGAGGGCCTCCATCTCACACCCCTGAATCCAGCTCCGGTTCCCAGGTGCCTAAACTCCACACTCCGAGGGAAGACCCCACCCTATCTTTCAGACCACTGAGCATCCCAAGCTGCCCCCACCTCTCAGCACAGGCGGGCATCACAGGGCCCCCTGCCAAGGCCTGGCCACCTCCTCCAGCCATCATCCCCCACTCCCAAGACCTGGAAAGTGGCCGAGACGATCTATCCAGCCCAGGGCTCTGTCTTCAGATCACTTCAGGATTCCCCAGGTCGTCCTTCCCACCCCATGTGCTGGTCAGGAAGGCCTCAGCACAGCCCTCACAGACAGCCCTGCACACACAACTGAACGCAAGTGAGACCCAGTGATGGGGCAGGTGCTCCTTCCCCACCTGCTGGAAAGGACCCCAGGCCTGGCGAGGGAGCCACCGGTCCCCCCGTCTGTGTTCCTCTGCAAAGCTGACCACTTCCTCTCTTCCCCTCACACCCTCACACCACCCCGATGACAGTGGCCCAAACACCAGGAGCACCCCGGGGAGGACAGGCCCCACCTCACAAAGCAGGTCAACAAGGTCAGCCCGCCCCCTCCATCACTTGTGTCCCCCCATGACAGCCTGCAGAGTCCCAGGGACAGACTGCCGCCCTCCAGGCCCCTCCCCAGACAGCTGTCACTGATCAGGTCAGGGCCCTCCCCCAGCTCAGCCTTCCCTGCAAGCTCCTGTCCACTTCCAGCCTCTGTCCAGCCCCACCCCTTGCTGAACAGGGAGAAGGGAGGACAATAGAGCGGAGCCCCCTGACCGGACTCTGGCCCTGCCCTACAGGTCTGACATCACCTCACAACCTGTGGGTCCCAGGACTTGTTCCCAGTTTTGAGGCTGAGGGGGCTGAGGCCCAGAGAAGTGAGAGCCGAGGTCCAGTGCCGTCAGGCGGCGGCCTCTAGACCCCGAGTTCCTACTGCGGCCCACCGCTGCGGACTCCCAGGACAGACGCAGGTGCCCTTGTCCAGCCTCCTCCTCACTCCAGACACACTCCACACGTCTGGGTGCACACCTCCAAATGGCCCCTGACTCCCAAGAGTGCCACAGCCCATCCAGGTCCCCCGAACTCAGCCCTACTCACCATCAGGAGGCGTCGGAGGCACTGGAGTGAAGTGGGTCCCGGGTTTATCTGGAAGAAAACAAATCCCCAAGTTAGGCTCCTCTGAGCAGGCTCCTCCCTGTCCCATCCCTTTGCCCAGCCTGGAAAGGGGCACCCCTGCCCACCCCCCCCCCCCCACCGCTAGCCCCAGGGATCCAGGCTGCTGAAGGGTCCAGCCCTGACCCCATGGGCTGGCTGAGGTCTGAGACAGAGGCCCCTGCTTTTCTCTGCCCCTCCAGCCAAATAGTCATGGCCTGACCCCTGTCAGATGGGGCCCCAGCCACAGGGGTGCAGGCAGGACCCCCTTCCCTGGAAGAGTCCACCGCAGGTCCTGCCCTACCCCCAACTGCCGGCTCTCAGTGTAGCCGGCTGCCCCTCCCTCCCCAGCTCCCGCAGAAAGTGTTTCTGCAGCTTTGGGTGAGGGCCAGGCCCACTGAGAGCCCAAGGACGGCCTCCAGGGACCGAGGGGTCCGCAGAGTGACCCATCCCATCCCCGGGAAGCTGCCGGGAGCCCCGCGGACCCGCCGCGGCCTCCAGCCTCTATGTGCAGGGGCCTCGGGGTTGGGGCTTGGCCAGTGCGACGCCCCGCCCGCGGCCACCTACAGTTGTTGAGGAACAGCAGCACCGCGAAGCCGAGCGTGGCGGTGGCCAGCAGGATCAGGCAGGCGTTGCAGGGCACCATGAAGCCTCGCACCAGCAGGGAGGCGCCAGGCGGCTGCCGGGTGTCCCGCGCCAGCGGCAGCGGAGGCATGGCCCGGGGCTCCGGCTCTGCGCCCCACTCTCAGAGCGTGGGGGCTCCTCACGGGGTGCCCTTGGGCCTCTTCAGGGCTGCTCGCCCCATCCTGGGACCCCTGGGGCGGCGGACAGCAGCTGTGCCCTCAGAGTTCACCCAGTCACAGCCCTGGGGGTGCCAGGTCCCGGCTCCAGTCCTCCAGGCTCATCGTGGGAGGAGGGCAGAATTCTCCCGGAGTAGAAATCCCAAATGTGGGCTCCGAGGTAGGCGGAGGAGGGACTGGGAGCCCGCAGCCACCCCTGCTGCCCACAGCCTCCCCGGGCTGGCCGCCAGCGCTCGGTCTTCCCGGAGCCCCCGGAGCCGCGCAGGCCGGAGAGGCGGTGCGCGCGGCAGGTGCGCGGGGGCCGGGCGCCGAGGGTCTGCTGTCCCCGTCCCCGGCAGAGGCGGAAGCGGCGATAGGAGCGGGCAGGCAGGAGGGGCGGCCGCGTCGGGAGCGAGAAGAAAGCGCCGCCTGCGGAGGCCGCGCCGGGTCCCGGGCTCCCTCCAGCTCCCCTCGTCCCCGCGGGGCTGGGGAGGTGAGTGAGGGGCGAAGACGCCGCGGAGGGAGGGCGGGAGCAGAGACAAAGGAAGCCGCCTCCAGGGACCCCGGCGTCCGCGGGGAGTTCCAGAGGATCGGGCGGATGCGGACGGGAGAGCGCCGCACAAAAGGGAACGCCGGGCAGGCGGGGCCGGGGGTGCTCGGCTGGGGCTGGGGCTGGGGCTGGGCCCGGGGCCGGGAGCGCTGGGGCTGGGGCTGGGCCGGGACTGGGGCTGGGGTGGCTGAGGCTGGGGCCGAGGGTGGGCCTGAAGGTGTTGGGACTGGGGGTGGGACTGGGGCTGGGCCTGGGGGCGCTGAGGCTGAAGCTGGGGCCGGGGGTGGGACTGGGGGCGCTGGGGCTGGGCCGGGGGTGGGACTGAGGCTGCGGGCGTTCAACTGGGATTGAGTCGAGGGCAGCGGTGGGGCTGGGCCGGGGGAGCAGGGGTCGCGCCGGGCAGCGTCGCGTGCTGGAGCGGAGGCGGGTGCGGCCGGGGCAGGTCGCGGGAGGAGGAAGCGCCTGGGGAGCAGGAGCTGGGCCGGGCGGGTCCGCGCCCCGCACCCGCGGGGGTGAATCGGAGTCGCCGCAGGGGGCTCGGGGGGCCGCGTGCGACCGCGTGTGCGCGTCGTCGTGCGTGTGCCCGCGAGTGTCTGCGCCCGCGGCCCCGCCCTGGCGGGGCGTAGGTGGGGGAGGGCCCCAGGTGCGGCGCGAGCTGGAGGGTGGAGTGAGGTGAGCGGCCCAGAAATCGCCTCGCCCACTTTCCCCTGGGGATTGACAGTGGCTCCTCCAGTCGCCGGCGCCCCCGACTCCCGCGCGGGGCGGGGTCATGCAAATGAGCCCCATGCAAATTGCGGCGGGGACTCCCTGCGGGTCCGTGGGGCTGGAACGCCCCCAAGAGGCCGTTCCGGGAACGTCCGGGCCCTGACGTCACTGCGGCCCGGGGCGGGGAATGGGGGTCTGGGCCCATCTGGGACTCCTGACGCGTAGTCCGGCGTCCCCACACCCGCCCCCGTAGGTCGCCCCTCTCCCTGGCCGCTGCCCAGCCGGGGGATCCGGGGGTAAGGGAGGGGCCCGTCCGGTCCGGTGTGTGCACCATCCCCTAGAGTCCATGCCAGGCCCGACCACCCTGGAGGCCAGAATCTCTCGGCGACCGCACCTCAGCGCCCCCGCACACCCCTGGCCACCCGCAGCCTTTGGAAGGGACCCCTGCGCACCCATTACCCTGCCCTCTCCTCTGTCCCTGCAATGACCGACCCCATTCCCCAAGCCCCAGCTCCAGGAAAGCAAGGACCCGGCGCCAGGGCGCTTCTGCTCCGCCAGTCCCCTCCAGCACCGCGGACCAAGCCATCTGCCACACTCGGTCTCACCCACTCTGCAGACGACAGCTGCCGGCAGCCACCAGTGCCACCGCGTGGTCACACCCAGGCCTCACCTCAGTCCACCCCAGAGGACCCACTGCCCACACCTGCTGCCTTCCTGGAGTCCCCCAGCCGGGTGTCTGGGCCCCTCAACCCCATGGCCTCCATCTGGACTCTCCCCAACGCCTCCTTCCTTCCAGGTGCCCTGTCTCACCTCCTGGTCAGGCTCCTCCAAGGGCCCCAGCCAAATCCCACCAACCCCACCTTAGCTGGGAAGGTCCTGTCTTGCCAGCTCCCTCTCTTGGGACTCCTTTCCACCCCACAGCCAGGGACCAGCACCATGCCCCATCACCCAGACAGGAGGCCTCCACATCTCTACGGCCCTGGAACCTGGTGTTCCAATGAAACCCTGCAGGAAAATCCAAACTCAGCCAAGGGTTCTCACCCACCCCAAGCCACGTCCCATCCAGAGCAGCTGTCAAAGGAAGCACTTGGAGACCCACCCCTGCTGGCCTCACTCTCTCCTCAGGGGAGCTCCTACCCCAACCACCCCACCCTGCTGGACCTTGGCACTGTCCACACCAGGCTGACAGTGTTCCGGCGGTGCTGACTGTGGGTGCCCCGGGCAGGGTCTGACTTTTTATCTCCCCAGCGCAGGGTGTGACCCAGGGATGAGAAAACCCAGAACAGGACTTGCTGTGTGCAGAGGCAGGTGGTTCACATGCATTCCCCATTTCTCACCTCCCAGCTCTGAGTCCCAGGGGCAGTGCCAGGGTCAAACCCAGGCCGTGCTACCAGGTCACGCGCCAGCCCGCCTGCTGCCACCACCTTCAGCCATGGGATCTCTGGGCGGGCTCTGCAGGAGGAGGACAGGTACCACAATGTGGGAGGGGTGGGGGAGCCCCAGGTACGGGCTGGCAGAGGGGGCCTCAAACACTGCCTGGGAAGTTTGCCCCCACACAGAGAGACCCTGGGATCTGCCAGCAAAGGGGGCCCAACAAGCTGAAAGTCACGTGGGGGGCCTGGCTGCCCCAGGCCGACACTGGAATGAGGCTTAGGGCCCCTTGGGCTGGGCCAGGGGAAGGGGAACCAGGCAGGCAGCCTGGCCCCACCCAGCCCCAGTCAGTGTCTGAGCCCCCCACAGAGGCCCAGATGCCTTCAGAAAGACAAAGGGCCATTGAGGCCCCAGGCCCAGCCAGGGAGGGAGCTCAGGCGACATGAGCTATTTTGGGATCTTCAGACAAAATCATTCAGCCCTGACCAGCCCACGCAGGCTCATGTGCAGGAAAGAGTACTAGCCCCCTGGTCCCTGATCTCACACTCACAGCACCATGCACCGCACACACATACACACACATGCTGATCTCACACTCAGCACCATGCACTGCACACACACAGACATGCTGATACACTCACAGCACCATGCACTGCACACACACATGCTGATCTCACACTCAGCACCATGCACTGCACACACACAATCTCACACAGCACCATGCACTGCACACACACACATCTCACACAGCACCATGCACCGCACACACACACACACAATCACACTCACAGCACCATGCACTGCACACACACACATGCTGATACACTCACAGCACCATGCACTGCACACACACATGCTGATCTCACACTCAGCACCATGCACTGCACACACACACACATGCTGATCTCACACAGCACCATGCACTGCACACACACACACGCTGATCTCACAGCACCATGCACTGCACACACACACATGCTGATCTCACACAGCACCATGCACTGCACACACACACACGCTGATCTCACAGCACCATGCACTGCACACACACATGCTGATCTCACAGCACCATGCACTGCACACACACACACACACACATGCTGATCTCACAGCACCATGCGCTGCACACACACACACACACATGCTGATCTCACACAGCACCATGCACTGCACACACACACACTGATCTCACAGCACCATGCACTGCACACACACACATGCTGATCTCACACTCAGCACCATGCACTGCACACACACACACGCTGATCTCACAGCACCATGCACTGCACACACACATGCTGATCTCTCAGCACCATGCGCTGCACACACACACGCTGATCTCACACAGCACCATGCGCTGCACACACACGCTGATCTCACAGCACCATGCACTGCACACACACACATGCTGATCTCACACAGCACCATGCACTGCACACACACACACGCTGATCTCACAGCACCATGCACTGCACACACACACACACATGCTGATCTCACACAGCACCATGCGCTGCACACACACACGCTGATCTCACAGCACCATGCACTGCACACACACACATGCTGATCTCACACAGCACCATGCACTGCACACACACACACGCTGATCTCACAGCACCATGCACTGCACACACACACGCGCTGATCTCACAGCACCATGCACTGCACACACACATGCTGATCTCACAGCACCATGCACTGCACACACACACACACACATGCTGATCTCACAGCACCATGCACTGCACACACACACACACATGCTGATCTCACAGCACCAGGCACTGCACACACACACACATGCTGATCTCACACAGCACCATGCACTGCACACACACATGCTGATCTCACAGCACCATGCACTGCACACACACACACACATGCTGATCTCACACAGCACCATGCGCTGCACACACACACACATGCTGATCTCACACAGCACCATGCACTGCACACACACACACACTGATCTCACAGCACCATGCACTGCACACACACATGCTGATCTCACAGCACCATGCACTGCACACACACACACGCTGATCTCACACAGCACCATGCACTGCATACACACACACGATCTCACACTCACAGCACCATGCACTGCACACACACACGCTGATCTCACAGCACCATGCACTGCACACACACATGATCTCACAGCACCATGCACTGCACACACACACACACATGCTGATCTCACAGCACCATGCACTGCACACACACACACACATGCTGATCTCACAGCACCATGCACTGCACACACACACACGGCCACACAATGGGTATTCCTGGCCTGCCCAGCACCACCCCTGCTCCTTGACCCCCACTCTGCCCCATTCAGCCCCACTGCTGACCCCAGCCCCAGCCTCAATTCTCTCCCTCCACCTGCCCTCATAGACACGGGATGTCCCCCTCCCCCTACCTGCCTGCATAGACACTGATGTCCCCCCCACCTGCCTGCATAGACACTGATCCCCCCACCTGCCTGCATAGATATTGGGCATCCCCCATATCTTTGTGCAACATTAATTTTGTCCCTCAACCCCCACCCATACACTGGGAAGGCACGTTCTCCTCACCTCCCACCCATATGTTCCCGTGTGGACACAGGCACACTCTGGTTGGGCACCCGCAGGTACTTATCCTGCCCTCAGAAGGTGGGGGTTGGGGCCTGGAGTGGGTGGAGCACTGGGGCTCTCTGGCAATTGGCAGGCCCCAGAGGGGCTGGGGCTCGGTTCCTTCGGAAAGGGTGGCGTGGCTGTGGGCGCCCTTGGCCCACGAGGGGCTGGGGCTCGGTTCCTTGGGAGAGGGTGGCGTGGGTGTGGGCGCCCTTGGCCCACGAGGGGCTGGGGCTCGGTTCCTTGGGAGAGGGTGGCGTGGCTGTGGGCGCCCTTGGCCCACGAGGGGCTGGGGCTCGGTTCCTTCGGAAAGGGTGGCGTGGGTGTGGGCGCCCTTGGCCCACGAGGGGCTGGGGCTCGGTTCCTTCGGAAAGGGTGGCGTGGCTGTGGGCGCCCTTGGCCCACGAGGGGCTGGGGCTCGGTTCCTTCGGAAAGGGTGGCGTGGGTGTGGGCGCCCTTGGCCCACGAGGGGCTGGGGCTCGGTTCCTTCGGAGAGGGTGGCGTGGGTGTGGGCGCCCTTGGCCCACGAGGGGCTGGGGCTCGGTTCCTTGGGAGAGGGTGGCGTGGCTGTGGGCGCCCTTGGCCCACGAGGGGCTGGGGCTCGGTTCCTTGGGAGAGGGTGGCGTGGCTGTGGGCGCCCTTGGCCCACGAGGGGCTGGGGCTCGGTTCCTTCGGAAAGGGTGGCGTGGCTGTGGGTGCCCTTGGCCCATGAGGGGCTGGGGCTCGGTTCCTTCGGAAAGGGTGGCGTGGGTGTGGGCGCCCTTGGCCCATGCACCGCACACAGGCTCGAATGCAGACGCTGACTTCCGGTCCACCCAAACGCTCGGTGCCCCCAACCCCAACCAAGGAAAACAGCTGGCGTGGAGTGGTCAGTGCCCACAGGTGCCGCCAGCCAGGTGCAGGGCGGGGGGGGGGGGGGGGCGTTTCCCCACGGGAGAGAGAACGGCCAGCAGGGGAGACGGCAGCTCCGAGGCAGGAATCAGCTTGCTCCCAGCTGTGGGGTCACGGCAGCTGACGACTGCGCCCCAGCCCTCTCTTCCGCCCCGTGTCCACAGCCTCTTTCTCCCACGGTTCTCTGCACGGGCTTTCACCCCTCAATGCACAGCTCCTTCCCGGCTTCCCTGGGAAGCCCCGTGGAGGTGCCAACCGTGAGTGTGTGAATGGGGAAGGCACTGATGATGAAATCAGTGAAGGTCATGGTGAGCCCTGCTCACACCCCAGCCTCCCCTGGGGAGAGAAGGGGGCACAGCCCCTCCCCACCAGCTGCTGTGGGCCGGGGCGGCCGTGGGCCGGTGTTTGTGCTTGTGCTTCTCCAGCGGGGGGTGCGTGGGAGCCTCCCACCTGCGGACACGCAGGGGCTTGCTTCTCCTAGGGCCCAGTGTGAGGGTGGCCAAGGTGGCTGCCAAACGGCGGGGCAGGGAGGCTCAGGCCAGCGACAGACCCCCGCTCCCACCCTGACCAGGCCTGGTCTGACTCCCAGACTGCCCTGCTGCCCCCAGACAGAGTCCCATCTGGGCAGGGGTGGGCATCTGTGTCAGTCTCGAGGTCCCGCAGGCATGTGAGGGACTGTGACCCAGGACCCTCTCCTGTCCTCACTGCCGCCCCAAGGGACCCAGCATGCCTTCATCTCAAACCTTCAGAAACCACACTGGTCATCTCAGAGGCAGCACCTGCAGAAGGTCCTGGGCCCTTTGCCAGACACGGGGCAGCGTGCTGGACGCAGTGAGCAGGGGGCAGGAGAGTGGACAACCAACAGCAAGCTGAGGCGAGACACGTGCACGAGGACAGAGGAAGAGCCCAGCTCCGAGGCCCCCTGGACAGGCCAGGGTCACCCACCACCAGCCTCACACCTGCAGCACCAGCCCGGGCTGAACCCAGGGACATAGGGTGGTAAGAACCATGGCCCACTAGTGGAGGCTCCAGGCAGAATTCTGAAGTGCACAGGCTGGTACATCTGAGGCTGCAGGCACGTGCACACACATGCGTGTACACACACACACAAACACATGCACACACGCAGGCCACACAGCTGGAAACAGCCGGCTGCCTGTAGGACACAGCACGCCCCTTCTCCCACGCCTCTGCTCCGTGGGGGGACTGCAGGAGGAGGGGGCTGGGAGGGGCCGTCTCCCTTTCCCAGGTCCTGCTGTGAGCTGCCCCTGGCAGGGGGCCTTCCTCAGAGGAAGTTCCCAGGATCTGTGCTGGGGGGAGAGGCCCCTTCGGGGGGGCTTCCCTCAGTGCTGCAGGCTCCGCTAGAGACCTGCCTCATTCCCTAGATCCCAGCCACAATCTTGCCACAGCCTGAGGGGCGCACAGGACTGCTCTGAGCCCCAGTGCAGCTCCCAGCAGCTCACCCAGCAGGCAGGAGGTGCAGGGGTACAGAGCCTCCTCCTCCAGCGGGCGACTGTCCATGGGGTGATATCTCAGCCCTGCACTTCCTTTTTCTCATCTCTGAGGGGCAGGCACCTCCTGGGACCCCGGGGTTCCATCCTGAGGTGGGCAGGCCACCACGGTGTTTCCGTCTGCAGCCCCAGCCCCGCTGGGCTTCGGGGGCCCTGGGGAGCCCAGTCCAAGTGGGGAGGGGGTGCCAGAACCAGGACTGCAGGGAGGGGGTCCGTTCCTGCCCCACCCAGGCCGCTGGTGGGGCTGTGGACCTGGGTCCCACAGGTGGAAGCAAAGCCCTGGGCGTGGGGCGTCTGCTTCTGCAGTTGTTTTCCACCCTCCTGCAGTGATGGGGGCAGAGTCAGCCCTTCAGGAAGGAAGCTGCATGGGCCTGGCTGGAATGACCTCTGGCCGGACCTGTGGCCCCGAGGCACGGGCACCCCCTTCCCTGGAGCAGCCCCATCCCGCCTTCTGCAGGCTGTGGGGCTAATGATTCCCTCTCCTGATCTTGCAGGGACAGGAACCTGTCCTCACCCTAACCTCCTTCTCCCCTACCTTGGCCTGGAGGCTGCAGCAGGTGCCATCCCCACCACCACCCACAGAGGCCCCACCAGAGCGGCCAGTGTGGACAAGCGGGAGCGAGCCCAGTTCCAAAACAACCTTCCCTCTCTAGTCTGCAGGAACAATGGAGCCAGGGCTGTTCTCTGGGTGGGGAGTGAGGGAGTGGGGTGGGGTCTGGAAAAAGCCAAGAGTTCCTTCCACCAGCTCAGCCCGGCCCTCTCAAAGAGGTCATCTCCACAGAACTGACCAACCCGATTCCCCTACCCCTCCCACCACCTCACTCCCTTTGGTTTCAGCCAGCAAAGCCCCCCCCCAGGCCAAGGCAGGGGCAAGCCCAGGAGAAGTCAAAGACGGGACAAGTCCATTCACGCAGGCGGGAAGCACCGAGCCCCGACTTCCCACCAGGAGCCCCGGGGTTGGGATGGACAGAGGTGGGCCCTTCACCCGGCAGACCCCCCTCCCAGCTCCAGGAGAAACAGAGGTGGGGCCCCAACTTCCTACCAGGAGCCCCTGGGTGGGGAGACACAGAGGTGAGTGGGGAGGGACAGAGGTAGGCCCTCCGCCCTCCCACCCGGCAGACCCCCTCCCAGCTGCAGGAGGGAGATTGGGGCAGCAGCCTCGAGCCCAGACCTGCCTGGGGGAGGGCCAGAGAGGGGCTCATGGGGTGGGGGTGGGGGAACCAGGGGGCAGGATGAGAACCTGGAGTCAGGAGGGGGCAGGAGAGGGTGGCAGGAATGCGGAGGAGTTGGGGGCAGGAGCTGAGCCCTGGGCAGGAGAGGGGGCTGGCCCCAGCCCTATGGGAGGTCCTCCTGCATCCCAGAAACCTCCCCCAACTCCTAGACTGCCCCACACTGAGGGGAGCCTGGTCTGGGGCTGTCGGGCCCCTCAACCCCAGCACCGATGCTGTCCCCGGTGCCGTGGGACTCTGGGCTTCCCCTAGGACTGCCGTCCTGAGGCCTAGGCAGCTGGCCAGGCAGGGAGGAAGGGAGGGTGCACACGCCGGAATACAGGCGGGCCCGGGACTAGGCCGCCGGGACCCCGGGCTTCAGAGCTGGGCAGGGCCGGGCTGGGAAGGCGCCAGACTCACTCTGACCCTGGCCCCCTGCCCTGTCCCTGTGCCAGGCCCCGGCAGGGGCAGACAACACTCCCTTTCTCTGCTCCTGGCTCCTAGCAGGGAGGGATGGGCCCCGGGCGGCCTGGCCGGCCCTCAGCCAGGAGTCCCTCCTGGGGGCTTCAGGGAGGCTCTAGGACCAGCCTTTGTGAGGTGGGCTGGGAGGGCATGGGCAGTGCCCAGACAGGACAGGGTGGCGAGGGCCGGAGGAGTCGCCCGCTCAGCCGCCAGCCCTGGGCAGCTGGCACTGCGGAGGCCAGGCCACTTCCCTGACAAAGCAGGGGCGGGGGTCTCCTTCCGGAGGGAGCAGCGGGCCTCCCCCGCCCAAAGGTGGCGCAGAGGGAGGGACACATACCTGTCTTAGTTATGCCAGGAATGTGGCTCCCTAGGCAGAGAAGGGGGGAGGAGCCTTTCTGAGGGTTGTTGACTGGGGGAGGGGCCTTGGCTGGGCAGGGCCAGGAAGATCTGGCAGGGCCAGGTGAGAAACTGAGGAAAGGAAGTCCTCAGTAGAGCTGAGTCCAGGTGTGGCCCAGCAGCAGGTGCACCTCAGGCGGTGTCCGGGCAGGGGTGGTGAGGGGCGTGGCCCTCCCCGACCTGGGGAGCTCGGAGGGGCCTTTGTCTCCAGGATGGGGTTCCCATACAAGGTGGGACCCTGTGGTCTCAGGGGTAGCTTCTGAAGACTAGGGGCTGCCCAGACGCCATCCTGTGCCCTGGGAGGTGGGGTCGGAGTCAGATGGGGAGAGGTCAGCTAGGCTCAAGCTCCCTCCATCCATCCCCCTCACTAGGGTGAGGCCTTGGCTACCAGAGGGCCCAGGGTGGGGTTCAATGTCCTTATCTCCTACAGAGCAGGAGATGGACCCACCTCCCACACCACCCAGTGTGAGGGGAGGGGTGGGCACACAGAATTGTCCCTTCTCCAGCCAGACTGGCTCCAGAGACCTTGTCCCTCAGGGCTCACCCCAGGCTTCTGGGAGGCATTTACCCTGTCCCGGCAGCCAGGGACCCCAGCCACCCGAGATATCCCTGGTCTACTTCCACAGCAGAGCTCCACATGTCCCACCGGAAGCTCCTGGGCTCCCCCACTCCTCATGCTGTTTCCCTCCTGAGGCTCCCCTTGGCCCCTGGCTCACCTGCAAGGCCCCTCCCATGACAGTCCTCCCTGGCTAACCCTCCCCTGGCCAGCCCCACCCCAGGGGGTCCGGTGGCCACAGCCCCTCCCGGGTGCTCCCCAAGCTGCATACTGGCTGTGGGTCCCAGGCTCCCCACCTGGAGCTCGTCCCTGAGTGCGACTGCCCACAGCTGGGCTAAGCCACACCCACCTGGCAGGGGCTCCCCACGGACCCTCCTCCCAGCGCTCTGCTCCGCCTGGGCACTCGCTCCAGAGCCAGTGCCTGGCACCCGTAGAGCGGCTTCGGTAAGATGCAGAGCCTCGTTCAGCCGGGGTGACTCTCCTGCCATGTGCCCTCTGACCCTAGAGCAAGTCCTCAGCTACTAAGTCACGGACTCTCGGGCTGGACCCACCTGGCTGTGGGGTTAGTGACCCCCTCTCCTGATCTTGCAGGGACAGGAACCTCTCCTCGCCCTAACCCCCTTCTCCAGCCCCTCCTCAGCTCCTGACAGCCTATCCTGAGTCCACGATGCCCCCATCTTTTCCCCAGACCATGAGTGCCCAGAAGAGGACCAAGGTTATCATGTCCTCCCAGTGGGGGACCCAGGGGACCCTCCTCTGTGCTGCACTGAGGCCCTGGACCCTGAAGGCAGCTTGGGGACCACTGACCACAGGCTGGGGAAAAGGCCGCAGCGTTCCTTATTTTGGGTGCTGCCCCTCCCCCTGCATAGCCCCCAGGCATGCACAGAGAAGGCAAGAGCAGTGGACAGTCCAGGACCCCACAAGGACCCCTCAAGAGCCAGGCTAGTGTCAGGGCAGCAAAGTTTCCTGCCGGCCAACGGAGCAGATCGGAGAGACGGGAAGTCAGGACCCTTACCGTTGCCTTGAGGAGGAAGCACTCTCCAGACCCCCCCACCGACACATCCCTTCCCAGGCAGCCATGAGGGAGCAGACAGGATGTGGGGGCGACAGGGACCTCCTATATTTTCCCTGCCACATTCCCCAGCCAACGATCTCAGTCCCCAACTGGGACTTGTCCTGCGGGGGCTGCCATGGGATTTCTGCCCCCACCAGGCTGGGGTCAGGGAGGGCCACTCCTCGGCCCTTCGGCAGAGCCATGGGAACAGCAAGCAAGACCTCACGATGGCAAATGCCACACCCTCCACATCCGCAGAAGCCCTCGCCGCACAGCCTCGCCCTCCCGCCCGATCTCCACGGCGAGGAGTGCTCGACACGCGGGCCCGTCTAGACGGAGGTCTGGGCTAACACAGGGGCTTGAACAGCTGGGGACATTCACCTGTCCAGCTTCTCCCTAGAAGGGGCCTCCAGAAGGAAGTATGGAGAGCTGGGAGGAGGGGAGGAGGCAGGAGGCCATCTGTTTGCAGGGCTGGGACTTGCCTTGGGCCCCAGGGCCAAAGATGTCTAATGTGAGGGCTTGGAGATGCAGCTGGGGAGCCAGGGACGGAGAAGCAGAGAATGAGGTTGGACCACAAGACACCGTGTGCTGCAGCCTCCGGCACAGCACGAAAGGACCCCGCACAGCGACCCCTGCAACCTGTCCCCCTTGGCCACTGCCCTGACCCCCACAGGCCCCCACACGAGCCCCCCACCACGCACCTTCCACACAGAACTCCACCTCCTCCAGGTTCCGCAGGGTGATCCGCATGAGGCTGGAGTTGAGCATCAGCTCGTTCTTGTGGGCTGGCCACAGGTATGGGGGTGCAGGGTTCACAAAGAAGATCCTGGTGTCCCCAGTGGACACCTGGTTGTCACAGATGAGGGGGTCTCCAAAGCCGCTGATCACCACCTTGTTGCCGCCGTCCAGCAGGCTCTCCCGGGCCACCAGGTCTTTGCCCTTCAAGTACCGCCAGACCCGAACCTGGGGTGGACATGGCGGTAGGTGTCATTAGTCCTCTCCTGGGGAAGGGGCTAGACTGGGGGCTTTAGGTGTTTAGGGCAAATGTCCACAGTAGACTCAAGCCCTGGGCAGAGATGTGGGGAGACCTCTGAGTCAGCCCGCTGGGCGGAAGCTGGGGGAAGCCCACACTGGCCACCACAGCCCATGCGGGAACGCTCAGAGATGCGTCACCTGTGAACACATCCCCTCCCCCAGGTCTAACCAACTTCAGCCACCCCAGCTCCAATAACGTCCCTATCAGCTAAGGCCGAATTTGGGAAGGGGGCCCACCTGGCTTGGGGTGCCTGCCTTCCACACTTCTCCCCACCTGCCCAGTGCTCAGGGCCCACCTCCCAGCAAGCTTGGGCAGTGGAGGAGGGGGATGGGGCGTTGGGGTAAGGGGCCAGCTTGGCCCTGTGGCTGGGCTGAGACGCCCCTTCCTCGGGCTTCTACAGTCTGTGCACTCAGGGCAGCCTGTGAACCACGAAATCAAGTTTGGGCAGTGCAGGGTGCCCCACCCTCCACCTTCTCAGCTCCTGGGGCCCTGAGGGCAGCTGCTCTGACGGTGGCCTGTGGTAAAGGCTACAGCCGACCTGGCGGCCCTCACGGGGACAGGGACCCACGCACTCACGCACTCCCCTGAGAACAAAGCCGGGAGAAGCAGCCCCTTCCTCAGATCTGGGGGGCTGGGGCTGCCGGATGGGGGGAGAGACAATGGTTGGCCTGTCCACTGCGCAGCCCCTGCTGGGAGCCTCAGGACTGCGGCATCCGCAGGGACCCCCTCCAGTTGCGCAGGCAGAGCCTCTTCCACGCCCCCCAACAGTAGGCTCCAGGAGGCAGATGACCCAGGCAGGGGGAGGGCCTGGTGGCTTTCATCGCCTTCCCCCACCCCAGCCACACCCAGGAGCAGCGGGGAGGAAGTCGGGAAAATCCTGCAGGGGCCTGGCAAAGTGCCCTGGCCGCTGTGGAGGAGACTGGGCCGGCGGGGGAGCCCAGCTGTAGCCCGCACCGGCCAGTCTGAAAGAAGCTGCCACCTTCTCCACCTCCGTGGAGGGAAATGAGTGGATTTCTGGTCCCAGGAGATGGTTTTGGGGGTACACGGGCGCCGGCTCTGGGTCCCCCGAGCCCCTACTAGGAGAAGATGGTGGGGGTCCCAGCGTACCTACCCCGGGGGCTCCCAGAAGCACCTGAAGGAGAAACCAGGGAAACTTCCCCTCCCCGGGGTGGGGAGCCCCGGTTCCCGCAGGAGCGCGATGGGGCACCGGCCCTGCCCCCAAGCACACGAGGCCCGGTGACGGCCCCGCCCACCTCTCTGCTCCTGCACGCCCCCCCCCCGCACCACTGCGGCACCCCCCACCTGGCTCCCGGGGTTGGGAGCTCAGGCTGTGCGCCCCTTTTTCTCTCCTGACCAACCCCTCTCGCCCCGGGAAAGGCCTCTGGGGAGGGGAACAAGCGGATCCCAGGCCCAGCCCCCGCTCCCCGCCCGGGCAAAGGCCCCCCCTCCCCAGGCCCCTCTCCTTCTCGGCCGGTAGGGAGGGCGCGCGGCAGCCGCAGTCCGTGGGCGAGGTGCACTTGTCTCCGCGAGGAGGGAGGCGGCGGCGGGCGGAGGACGGCGGCGGCGCAGCAACTTTCCCCGGCGCCCGCGAGTTTCCCGGGACCCGGCGACCCCCCCTCCCGGGGCTTGGCGGTCGCCAAGGGAGCCGGAGCGGGGGCTGCGGAGCGACCGGGGCTGGTTCCCACGGCCTGGGGCGGGGGTCCCGGCGGGGCGGCAGGCGTCGCGAGGGGAGGCCGGGGTCCGGGTGGGCGCACCTTGCAGGAGTACGTGTGCTGCACCGGGTCCACGTTGAGGATCTCCTCCACCGTCCCGGTGAGCACCACGTTCGCCTCCTCCTCGCGCCGCTCCAGCGCGCGCTCCGGGCATGTCCCGCCGGCTCCGGGCAGGACGCACGCGGCCACCACAAGGAGCGGCAGCAGCGGCCGCAGCGGGCCCGGGTGGGACCGGCCGGCCATGGCGCAGGCGAGAGGCGGCGGAGGAGCGCGCGGGCCGCGCCGGGGACGGGACTGGACAGGACGGGACGCAGCTCCGGAGGCGGCGGAGCGCGGGCGGGCGGGCGGGGGGGGGCGGGGCCAGGGCGGCGCCCCTCCCCCTCTCTCCTCCCCGCCCCCCTACCCCCTCCCCGCGCCCTCCTCCTCCCCCTCCTCCTTCCTTCCCCCTCCCGCCCCCTCCCTCCTCCCTCCCCCGGCCCGCCCGGAGGCCGGCGACCCGCGCCGCCGCGAACAAAGCCCCGGGACGCAGCGCCCGGCGCGGCCGTGGGGCGGGAAAGGGGCGGCCCGGGAGGGGGCGGGGAGAGGAGAGTGGGGGGCGGGTCTGGATCCCGCAGGCGCCCCTCCCCCGCCGCGGCCCCCCGGAAGTGCGGCTGCACCCGAGTTAATGCCTAATCTGGAGGAGACGTGACGGGACTGCCGAGGGGCTCCGGGCGGCGCGGAGCCGGGCGGCAGGGCTCGAAGGCCGCCGGGAGGGGCCCCAGACCCGGCCCCGATCCCGCTCCGCAGGCCGCGCCCCTCCCCCGCGGGGCCGGACACCGAGGCTCGGCCGGGCCGGACCCCCCGGGAGCTGCGGCGCGGAGGCGGGTCCCGGTGCCGGGGCGGGCGCTGATTGGCCAGCACGGGGCGCGGCCCCGCCCCTCCCGGCCCCGCCCCCCCAGGCCCCGCCGCGGGGAGGTTCGCGCCCCCTTCCGTCCCGCGGCTGCAAGCGCGGGTCCCGCCACGCCCCTTCCCAGCTCTGGGCCGGGCGCCTCTGCAGCTTGGCCTGGCTGGGTGCAGGGGGAAACTGAGGGCTGGAGGACCCAAGTGGGAGCCTGGCCTAGCTGAAGATTGAAAGGAGGGAGCGGAGGCCCCCTTTGTCCCTTCAGAACTGTGTCTAGGCTGGGCGTGGTGACTCACGCCTGTCATCCCAGCACTCTGGGAGGCGGAGGCAGCAAGATCTCTTGACACCGGGTGTTCGAGACTAGCCTGGGCAAAATAGCAAGACCCCATCTCTCAAAAAAATTAAAAATTAGCTGGATGGGCCGGGCGCAGTGGCTCACGCCTGTAATCCCAGCACTTTGGGAGGCTGAGGCAGGTGGATCACGGGAGGTCAGGAGTTCGAGACCAGCCTGGCCAACATGGTGAAACCCCGTCTCTACTAAAAATACAAAAATTGGCCGGTGTGGTGGCAGGCGCCTGTAGTCCTAGCTACTTGGGAGGCTGAGGCAGGAGAATCGCTTGAACCCAGGAGGCGGAGGTTGCAGTGAGCTGAGATGGTGCTGAGAGGTGACAGCGTGCTGGCAGTCCTCACAGCCCTCTCTCGGTCTTCACGCCTCCTCTGCCTGGGCTCCCACTTTGGTGGCACTTGAGGAGCCCTTCAGCCCACCGCTGCACTGTGGGAGCCCCTTTCTGGGCTGGCCAAGGCGGGAGCCGGCTCCCTCAGCTTGCAGGGAGGTGTGGAGGGAGAGGCATGAGCGGGAACCGGGGCTGCGCGCGGCTCTTGCGGGCCAGCTGGAGTTCCGAGTGGGCGTGGGCTTGGTGGGCCCCGCACTTGGAGCAGCCGGCCGGCCCTGCCGGCCCGGAGCAATGAGGGGCTTAGCACCCGGGCCAGCGGCTGCGGAGGGTGTAGTGGGTCCCCCAGCAGTGCCAGCCCACTGGCGCTGCACTCGATTACTCGCCAGGCCTTAGCTGCCTTCCGGCGGGGCAGAGCTGGGGACCTGCAGCCCACCATGCCTGAGCCTCCCACCCCCTCCGTGGGCTCCTGTGCGGCCCAAGCCTCCCCGATGAGCGCTGCCCCCTGCTCCACCGTGCCTAGTCCCATGACCACCCAAGGGCTGAGGAGTGCGGGTGCACAGCGCAGGACTGGCAGGCAGCTCCACTTGCAGCCCCAGTGCGGGATCCACTGGGTGAAGCCAGCTGGGCTCCTGAGTGGTGGAGACGTGGAGAACCTTTATGTCTAGCTCAGGGATTGTAAATACACCAATCAGCACCCTGTGTCTAGCTCAGAGTCTGTGAATGCACCAATAGACAGACACTCTGTATCTAGCTACTCTGGTGGGGCCTTGGAGAACCTTTATGTCTAGCTCAGGGATTGTAAATACACCAATCGGCACTCTGTATCTAGCTCAAGGTTTGTAAATACACCAATCAGCACCCTGTGTCTAGCTCAGGGTTTGTGAATGCGCCAGTGGACACTCTGTATCTAGCTACTCTGGTGAGACCTTGGAGAACATTTATGTCTAGCTCAGGGATTGTAAATACACCAATCGGCACTCTGTATCTAGCTCAAGGTTTGTAAATACACCAATCAGCGCCCTGTGTCTAGCTCAGGGTTTGTGAATGTGCCAGTGGACTCTGTATCTAGCTACTCTGGTGGGGCCTTGGAGAACCTTTGTGTGGATACTCTGTATCTAACTAATCTGGTGGGGACGTGGAGAACCTTTGTGTCTAGCTCAGGGATTGTAAATGCACCAATCAGCGCCCTGTCAAAACAGACCACTAGGCTCTACCCATCAGCAGGATGTGGGTGGGGCCAGATAAGAGAATAAAAGCAGGCTGCCGGTGCT
This sequence comes from Homo sapiens, assembly GCF_000001405.40. Classification (NCBI taxonomy): domain Eukaryota; kingdom Metazoa; phylum Chordata; class Mammalia; order Primates; family Hominidae; genus Homo; species Homo sapiens. Next base: position 1,017,590 of record NC_000001.11, on the reverse strand, counting down.
AGCAGTGGCAACCCGGTCAGGTCCCCTTCCACACAGTGGAGGCTTTGTTCTTTCGCTCTTTGCAATAAATCTTGCTACTGCTCACTTTTTGGGTTCACACTGCTTTTATGAGCTGTAACACTCACCGCCAAGGTCTGCAGCTTCACTCCTGAAACCAGCGAGACCACGAGCCCACCGGGAGGAACAAAAAATCCAGACGCGCTGCCTTAAGAGCTGTAACACTCGCCGCCAAGGTCTGCAGCTTCACTCCTGAGCCAGCGAGACCACGAACCCACCAGAAGGAAGAAACTCCGAACATATCCGAACATCAGAAGGAACGAACTGAAGACGCGCCGACTTAAGAGCTGTAACACTCACCGCGAGGGTCCGTGGCTTCATTCTTGAAGTCAGTGAGACCAAGAACCCACCAATTCTGGACACAGTGCAACTGCACTCCAGCCTGGGTGACAGAGCGAGACTGTTTCAAAAAAAAAAAATTAGTCGACGGGCCGGGCGTGGTGGCTCAGGCCTGTAATCCCAGCACTTTGGGAGGCCGAGGTGGGCGGATCACTTGAGGTCAGTAGTTCGAGACCAGCCTGGCCAACATGGTGAAACTCTGTCTCTACTATAAATACAGACAGGGCACGGTAACTCACGCTTGTGATCCCAGCACTTTGGGCAGCCAAGGGGGGAGTGGATCACAAGGTCAGGAGTTCGGGACCAGCCTGACCAACATGGTGAAACTGCCTCTACTAAAAAATTAGCCGGGTGACACGCACCTGTAATCCCAGCCAGTCAGGAGGCTGAGGCAGGAGAATCGCTTGAACTCAGGAGGTGGAGCTTGCAGTGAGCCGAGATCACACCACTGCACTCCAGCCTGGGCGACAGAGCGAAACTCCATCTCAAAGAAACACAAAACAAAACAAATACAAAATTAGCCAGGTGTGGTGACACGCACCTGTAATCCCAGCTCCTCGGGAGGCTGAGGCGGGAGGATCACTTGAGTGTGGGAGGTGGAGGCTGCGGTGAGCGGTGATTGTGCCACTGCACTCCAGCCTAGCTGAGAGTATGACCCTGGGAAAAGTAAGTAATTTTTTTAAAAAAAGGACTGGGTCAGTCAGGCCCAGTGGTTCACACCTGTAATCCCAGCATTTTGGGAGCCCGAGGCAGGCGGACCACTTGAGGCCAGGAGTTCAAGACCAGCCTGGCCAACATGATGAAACCCCATCTCTACTAAAAATACAAAAATTAGGCCGGGTGCGGGGGCTCACACTTGTAACCCTAGCACTTTGGAAGGCTGAAGCGGGCGGATCATGAGGTCAGGAATTCGAGACTAGCCTGGCCAATACAGTGAAACGCTGTCTCTACTAAAAACACAAAAAAAAGTTAGCTGGGTGAGGTGGCGGGCACCATTAATCCCAACTACTTGGGAGGCTGAGGCAGGAGAATTGCTTGAACCCGGGAGGTGGAGGTTGCAGTGAACCGAGATGGCGCCACTGCACTCCAGCCTGAGCGACAGAGTGAGACTCTATCTCAAAAAAAAAAAAAAAAGCACGGGTGCGGTGGCTCACGCCTGTAATCCCAGCACTTTGGGAGGCCGAGATGGGCGGATCACGAGGTCAGGAGATCGAGACCATCCTGGCTAACACGGTGAAACCCCGCCTCTACTGAAAATACAAAAAAAAATTAGCCGGGCGTGGTGGCGGGCGCCTGTAGTCCCAGCTACTCGGGAGGCTGAGGCAGGAGAATGGCGTGAACCCGGGAGGTGGAGCTTGCAGTGAGCAGAGATCGCGCCACTGCACTCCAGCCTGGGCGACAAAGCGAGACTCCGTGTCAAAAAAAATAATAATAAAAAGGACTGGGCCTGTGGTGCCCCTCTCACCCCAGGCTAGCTACAGATCTCTGAGCCAGAAGCCACAAAGGAGGCCCTGCCCTGCCCTGCCCCCGTTGGGGGTTCAGGAAAGGCCCCTGGCTAAGTGCTTCACTCGCCCATTGTGACACAGGGGTGAGGTGGGGACCCGGACACAAGGCTGGAGCCAGGACACCCCCTGCTGGGCACATGCGGGCACACACAGTGGTCCTGGTGCAGCCAGATGGGGGTCTCCCCACCTGGATATGGACCCCCACAGACCAGGGGGGACTCTGTGTCTCCAGCCGGATCCTCCCGAGGGCTCTGAAAGCTGAGGCCCAAGTGCCCAGAGTCCGGACTCTGCATGTCCCTCTGTGCCCCGTCCTCGCTGCATCCCAGCCGACATCCGTGCCCCGTCCTCCCTGCTTCCCGGCCAACAGCTGGCTTCTAGGAGACTCATTTAGCAAATTGGAATAGGAGAGACAGAGAAGGGTGCATGGGTGGGGGAAGGGGTGTAGCTTGTAGCTTGTACTGAATTGGGGGCCCCCCACCTGGGACAAGCTCTGCTTCCTGGACGGTGTCAGCCCCAACTCCAGGTGCCCTCCACTGCTGGCCACGGCCCCTCCTTCACGCACAGCCTTGAGGGGGTGTACTTAGCCACCCAGGCTGTCTTCTGCAGCTGGCCCCAGTGGTGATGTGAGTGCTCAGGACCTGTCTCTACCCCTCCCTAGCCCAGCCCAGGCAGGTGGAGCAGGCTGTGTAGGCTGGGCTAGGGACGGCTGAGGTCCCCAGCCCCCAGTTCCTATGGAGAGCCTGCCTCACAGCCCACCGGGCAGGCCCCAAGGACTCACCCCTTACTGCTCCCAGGGGCCCACTGGGAGCCTCCCCTTTTGATCTGATCAGGCGGGTCCCTGCCTAAGCCGTCTGCTGTCCCAGATGGAGGACAGGCAGGATGGGCTCCAGCAACTGTGTCTCTTTTTCTTTTCCTAGAAGTTAATTTCCCAAAGGGTGGGGAGAGCTGTCTTACTTCAGTTTCGGGGTGGGGGGCTCCCTATTTTGATCCCTCGAAGCTGTAACTGCAAACCCTTATCCCTTCACTTGGCAGCCCAGGCCTGGTCACCAGGATGGACCCTGGGTTCTCCCTCCTGACTTCTCCCGCCCCATCACCAGGGGTCTGAGGCGGACGCTGGAGGAGGGGCAAGCACAGACACAGAGGCGGCCATTTCTCTTTACAACAGCCTTTATTTCCGGCCCTTGATCCTGCTCGGATGCTGGTGGAGGCCCTTAGCTCCGCCCGCCAGGCTCTGTGCCGCCTCCCCGCAGGCGCAGATTCATGAACACGGTGCTCAGGGGCTTGAGGCCGTACTCCCCCAGCGGGAGCTGGTCCTCCAGGGGCTTCCCCTCGAAGGTCAGCCAGAACAGGTCGTCCTGCACACCCTCCAGCCCGCTCACTTGCTGCTTCAGGTGGGCCACGGTCTGCGTCAGCCGTACCTCGTAGGTGCTGCTGCGGCCCTTGTTATTCCTCACCAGGATGCTCAGAGGTTCGTCGCATTTGTCCACCACCAGCAGGACCGTGCTGCCGGGGCCCAGGCCCTGGCTGGCAAGGGGGACCCTGTCCTGCAGCGCCACACCGCTCGGGTGGACAGCCAGACGCTGCTGGAAGGCGTGCACGCCGATCTTCTGGGTGATCTGCGCCTTCAGCTCTGACACCGACATGGAGCTGCTCAGGGACACCTGGAATTCGTTGCCCGCCAGCATCTTCACCGTCAGGTCCCAGCCCTGCAGGCGTCACACAGGTTCAGAGACTGCGGCGCCAGCCCCAGGCCCACCACACACAAGGCACTGGCTGCAGGGCGAGCTCCTGTACCCAGGGACAGTGCTCCCTCCTGTCTGTCCTCTACATCCCGCCGGCAGGGACCCCAGGCACAGAAGGCACTGAGGGCTCGTTACTAGAAGGCCAGCTGCCCACCGCCATCCCGTGGCCTCCCTTTACCTGCTAGGGTGCCCCTCTGTGCCCCACCCTGAGGATCTCAGGGGTGACCTGCTTTCAGGAGCACACTTAGAACCTGGCCAAGCTCTGAGCAGCTCCGCTCTCCCTGCACCCCTGGGAGACCTTGGCTGGGGGAGGGAGACGAAAATTGGCTGGCACAGAGCCCACCTCCCCCCACCTGTGACATCTGCCTTACCATGGCTGTGGGCTGTGGGCTGTGGGCCACGGCACAAGCTCCTGTACTGGCAAAGATGAGTTCGCTGCCTCTCAGCCGCCGGCTTCGGCAGGCAGCACCGGCCCTATTATAAGCCTGAGGCACACACGTCAGGGGGCGTGCCGCCGAGCCTGCGCTGGTGGCCAAATTTGGCTTCAGTTTCGGTTTCCCTTTCCCGAGGCATGCCCCAGAGTGAGCGGAAGAAACAAAACCGAATGACCGAAAGACAGGGAAAAGCAAAAGTGGCGGGGACTCCGGACAGCGGACGGCATCCCCACCCCCACCCAACACCCTGGAAACACCTAAATATCGCGCATTCCAGATCCTTCACAGGATGCACTAAAGCTGTCATCACATGGACTAATGGTTTCATTTTCCATTTACCAACTTGCAAAATTAGTAAACTTGGAAAACATCCCCATGGTTAATTGAGAAACAAGAACTCCAAACTACCCAGAGATAACAACACTCGGTTTAGGGCAGTATTTGCTCAGATTGGTGTTTTTTTGTTGTTGTTTTTGTGTTTTTGAGACAGGGTCTCTCACTCTGTCGCCCAGGCTGGAGTGCAGAGGCACGATCTCATCTCATTGCAACCTCCGCCTGCCAGGCTAAAGCGATCCTCTCACCTCAGCCTCCCACGTAGCTGGGACCACAGGGGTGCACCACCAGGCCCGGCTAATTTTTTGTATTTTTAGTAGAGATGGGGGTCTCGCCATGTCGCCCAGGCTGATCTCGAACTCCTGGGCTCAAGTGATCCACCTGCCTCGGCCTCTGAAACTGCTGGGATTACAGGCGTGAGCCACTGCACCCGGAGCCTCAGATTGTTTTTTAATAAAAGAGACCTATCTTTTATTTTCTACAAAAATGAACTCTGGGACACTATTGAGAAAGTGAAAAGACAATCCATAGAATGGGAAGAAATATTTGCAAATTATCTATCTGATGAGGGCATAGCATCCAGGACATATAGAGAACTCTTACAACTCAATAAAAAATAAAAATAAAAAAAAAAGGCAACTCAATTTTCAAATGGCCAAAAGACTTCAATAGACATTTCTCCAATGACATAGAAACGGCTGTAAAGTGATGTTCAACATCATTATTAATTGGGGAAATGCAAATCAAAACCCCAGTGAGATGCTATTTCCTGCTGGTATGACTGTAATAATAAAAATAAAGGCCAGGCCGGGTGCGGTGGCTCACGCCTGCAATCCCAACACTTTGGGAGGCTGAGGCGGGCGGATCACCTAAGGTCAGGAGTTTGAGACCAGCCTGGCCAACATTTTTAGTAGAAACCCCATCTCTACTAAAAATACAAAAATTAGCTGGGCGTGGTGGTGCACGCCTGTAATCCCAGCTACTTGGGAGGCTGAGGCGGGAGAATCCCTTGAACCCAGGAGGCAGAGATTGTGGTGAGCCAAGATTGCACCAATGCACTCCAGCCTGGGCAGCAGAGCAAGACAGTCTCAAAAAATAATATAAAATAAACATAAAGGCAGTAACAAGCACTGGGGAATACATAGAGGAACTGGAATCCTGGTACATGCATTGCTGTTGAGAATGTAAAACAGTGCGGCCGCCGCGATGCTCAAAACGTTCAACAGAATTATTGGGAACCCAGCAGTTCCACTTCTAGGCATGTGTCCAAAAGAATTGAAAATAGGTGTTCAAATACTTGCATACAAATGTCCATGGCAGCACAGTTTACAATAAACAAGTAGCAGGAACGGAGCACATGTCCATCAGTGATGGATGGACACACAAAGTGTGGAATGTCCACACAACGGAATATTATGCAGCCATGAAAAGGACTGAGGCACTGATTCATGTGAAAGAACCTTGAAAACGTTATGCTAAGTGGAAAGAGCCAGACACGAAGGCCGCAGAGTGTTGGTTCCATTCACCGCAGGGGAAACGACCGGAACTGGTAGAGCCGCAGCACAGGAAGCCGACCCCGTTACCGGGGGCCAGGGAGGGGGAGTGGGGGGTGATTGCTTCAGAGCCACAAGCCCCTTTGGGGGTGACAATGTTTCAGAACTCCACAGAGGTGATGGTTGGACAACGTGGTAAATAACTAAACGCCACTGGATTTCATTCTTTAAAATGGTTAGTTTTATGTTATATGAATTTCACATCAATAAAAAGCAAAGGTGAAAAGGCCTCACCATACTTTCACTGTTTTGTAACCTGCTTCATTCATGCAACAGTGTATCATAAACATCTATCCAGGCCAGGCGGCTCATGCCTGTAATGCCGGCATTTCGGGAGGCTGAGGCGGGAGGATCATTTGAGATCAGGAGTTCGAGACCAGCCTGACCTACATGGCGAAACCCCATCTCTACTAAAAATACAACAACAACAAAAAAGGCCAGGTACAGGGGCTCACGCCTGTAATCCCAGCACTTTGGGAGGCCGAGGCAGGCAGATCACCTGAGGTCAGGAGTTCAAGACCAGCCTGGCCAATATGGTGAAACTCCGTCCCTACTAAAAATGCGAAAAATTAGCTGGGCATGGGCCGGGCGCAGTGGCTCACCTGTAATCCCAGCACTTTGAGAGACCGAGGCGGGTAGATCACCTGAGGTCAGCAGTTTGAGACCAGCCTGGCCAACATGGTGAAACCCCATCTCTACTAAAAATACAAAAATTAGCTGGGCGTGGTGGTGGGCACCTGTAATCCCAGATACTTGGGAGGCTGAGGCAGGAGAATCACTTGAGCCTGGGAGGCGGAGGCTGCAGTGAGCCGAGATCGCTTCACTGCACTCCAGCCTGGGTGAGAGAGCGAGACCCTGTCTCAAAAAAAAAAAAAAAAAACCCAAAAAACAAAAACACGCATCTATCCGTGTTGGTGGACGCATCTGTGCAGGTTGTTTTAACAACTGCATGTTTCCCATGGAAGAATGAGCCTGTTACAGTACAGAGTTAATTTAGTTAAAACCCATCCCACATCACTGAATACTTAGGCTGTTCCCAAATTGTTGTTGTTACACACAGCACATAACAAGAGAAGGATAGCTAAGACTCAGTAATAAACAAATAAATAAAATATTTAAATAAGATTCAAATAAATAAATAAATAATTTTTAAATAAACAAGTGTAAGAGTGAAAAATCAACATATTCTGAATATGAATCCTGGCCCTTCCCCGTCTCCCAGCAAATCTCAGGGGTCACCAAAATTGTCAGCATCTGAAAACCAAAGAGGAGGCGGGGTGGCGGCTCACGCCTGTGATCCCAGCGCTTTGGGAGGACGAGGCGGGCAAATCACTTGAGGTCAGGAGTTCAAGACCAGCCTAGCCAACATGGTGAAACCCCATCTCTACTAAAAATGCAAAAATTAGCTGGGTGTGGTGGCTCACACCTGTAGTCCCAGCTACTCGAGAGGCTGAGGCAGGAGAATTGCTTGAGCCCTGGAGGTGGAGGTTGCAGTGAGCTGAGATCGCGCCACTGCCCTCCAGCCTGGGCGACGAGAACAAGACCCTGTCTCAAACAAACAAACACCACAGTCCCAGGACTTTGGGAGGCCGAGGCAGGCAGATGGCTTGAGCCCAGGAGTTTGAGACCAGCCTGGGCAACATGGTGAAACCCTGTCCCTGCAATACATAAAAAAATTGGCCGGGCGTGGTGGCGCACACCTGTAGTCCTGGCTACTTTGGAGGCTGAGGTGGGAGGATAGCTTGAACCCGGGAGGTGGAGGCTGCAGTGAGCTGTGATCGCACCACTGCACTCCAGCCTGGGTGACAGAGCGAGACCCTGTCTCAAAACCAAACCAAACCCAAGCAAAACAAACAAAAAACCCAGGATTTTCTATTTATTTTTATCATTTTAGATGCCCTGTTAAACATGGTATATGTTTCCTGATTTCTTTTCTTTTTTTTTTTTTTGAGACGGAGTCTTGCTGTCGCCCAGGCTGGAGTGCAGTGGTGCCATCTCAGCTCACTGCAAGCTCCGCCTCCAGGGCTCAAGCAATTCTCCTGCCTCAGCCTCCCGAGCAGCTGGGACTACAGGCGCCCACCACCACGCTTGGCTAATTTTTTGTATTTTTAGTAGAGACGGGGTTTCACCGTGTTACCCAGGATGGTCTCGATCTCCTGACCTCGTGATCCGCCCACCTCATCCTCCCAAAGTGCTGAGATTACAGGCGTGAGCCACCGCGCCCGGCCCGTTTCCTGATTTCTTAATGCTGACGTACGGTGCTAGAATCTTCCTTTCCTTTTGGTTACTTCATCCCATCTCTGCCAGTTGTCTTCCTGCTTCGACAGAACCAACCCCAGGCACAGGCACCGAGGAAGGTGACCAGACCTGCAGTCACTTGCTTTAGTTTCCTGGGGTTGCTGAACAATGTACCACAAACTGGGTGTTAAACTTCACACCACAGAAATGTATTCTCTCGTAGTTCTCCAGGCCAAAAGCCCAAAATTCATGTGGACTAAATGACCAAGATTGTCAGATGGTGGCTCACATCTGTAATTTCAGCACTTTGGAAGCAAAGCCTAGAGGATCGCTTGAGCCTGGGAGTTTGAGACCAGCCTGGGCAACATAGTGAGACCCCACCTCTAAAAAAAAAAATAGCCGGGCGTGGTGGTGGGCGCCTGCAGTCCCAGCTACTCGGGAGGCTGAGGCACGAGAATGGCTTGAACCCGGGAGGCGGAGGATGCAGTGAGCCGAGATTGCGACACTGCACTCCAGCCTGGGCGACAGAGCAAGACCGTGTCTCAAAAATAAAAATGAAACAAAACGCCGGGCGCGGTGGCTCACACCTGTAATCCCAGCACTTTGGGAGGCCAAGGCGGGTGAATCGCCTGAGGTCAGGAGTTCAAGACCAGCCTGGCCAACACAGTGAAACCCCGTCTCTACTAAAAAGGCAAAATGAGTACGGCGTGGTGGTGGGCACCTGTAGTCCCAGCTACTTGGGAGGCTGAGGCAGGAGAATTGCTTGAACCTGGGAGGCGGAGGTTGCAGTGAGCCGAGATCGTGCCATTGCACTCCAGCCTGGGGGACAAGAACGAAACTCCGTCTCAAAAAAAGAAAGAAAGAAACAAACAAACAAAACAAACAACTGGCTCTGTGTGGCTTCCAGAGACAAGAATCATCTGAAACATAAAGACACAGCAAGTTTGAACATCAAGCAATGGAAAGAAGCATACCACACAAATATTAAGTAAAAGGAAGCAGGTGTGGATATATTAACAAAGTCATTAACATACTAACAAAGATCATGGAAGAAAGCATAATAGACACAGGAGGTCCCATAACGATAAAAGCTTGAGCCCCCTCCCTTACCTTCCCTTCTCCGCTGTCGCCATCATCTGTGCTGGACCCCGATTCTCGCCGTGTCTTCTCACCAGACTTTCAGAATTAAGCGATTCCTGGCCAAGAAACAAAAGCAAAATCGTCCCATTCCCCAGTGGATTCAGATGAAAACTGGTAATAAAATCAGGTACAACTCCCAAAGGAGACACTGGAGAACAGCCAAGCTGGGTCTGTAAGAATTGCACAGGAGCCGGGCGCGGTGGCTCACGCCTGTAATCCCAGCACTTTGGGAGGCCGAGGCGGGCGGATCACGAGGTCAGGAGATCGAGACCATCCCAGCTAAAACGGTGAAACCCCGTCTCTACTAAAAATACAAAAAATTAGCCGGGCGTAGTGGCGGGCGCCTGTAGTCCCAGCTACTTGGGAGGCTGAGGCAGGAGAATGGCGTGAACCCGGGAGGCGGAGCTTGCAGTGAGCCGAGATCCCGCCACTGCACTCCAGCCTGGGCGACAGAGCGAGACTCCGTCTCAAAAAAAAAAAAAAAAAAAAAAAAAAAAAAAAAAGAATTGCACAGGAGATGGCACACGTATTTATGCTGAAGGTCATACCTGAAGCTCACAATCACGTTACCACATCAAGCTGGAAATGTCACCACGATCTGGAGAGTTGAACGTGTTTTACTGGGAATAAACTTTTTCTTTTTTCTTTTCTTTTTCTTTTTGAGACAGAGTTTGCTCTTGTTGCCCAGGCTAGAGTGCAGTGGCATGATCTTGGCTCACCATAACCTTTACCTCCCGGGTTCAAGCGATTCTCCTGCCTCAGCCTCCCGAGTAGCTGGGATTACAGACGCCCACCACCACACCCAGCTAATCTTTGTATTTTTAGTAGAGACGGGGTTTCACCATGTTGGCCAGGCTGGTCTCCAACTCCTGACCTCAGGTGATCCACCCACCCCGGCCTCCCAAAGGGCTGGGATGGCAGGTGTGAGCCGCCGCGCCTGGCGATAAACCGAAATGTTTTATTCCGTGTGCGTTTGAATTTAGAATCTTGAGGCGCAGCTGCTAAAACACCCCCGAGTGTAAGAACTCTGAGTCTGATTTTCTACAACTTGAATTAGGGGAGCTTGACACACACACGTGCATCTATTTAATGTGTAATTTAATGAGCTCTGATGTAGGCACCTGGCAACCCGTCAAACACGGGTCTTCGTGCTTCGTCGCGTCTCTACACGTCTCTACGTGATCCTCGCCCGTGGAGGATCATGCCAAAGCTTCCTGCCTTCCCGCAGAGCCAGGGTGATCTCAGGTGGGTGAGCCCCGTCGGGGTCCGAGGCCCGGGCCAGGTGCAGGGCTGACTTGGCGCCCTGGACTCTCAGGGAGGCTTGAGCCTTGCTCGGGATGGCTGTTGCAGGGGTCTGGCCTCATCCATCTGGAGGAGTCTACCAGCCTGCAGCCCACTCCCTCGCTCTCATTCAAATCCAGACCCTTCCCCGCCTTCCCATCTGGCCAGTCACCACTCCTCAGCCGCCGCCCTGGATGGCACCTGAGTGACTCATGGCTCCTGATGACACGTGGACTTTGGTTAGAGCTCAAAGGTCACTCCGATGACACGGCTGGGCCTCTGCCTGTCCCACAGGACAGGATGGGCTGGGAAACCCCACAGGGGCACCATGGCGCTCTGAGAAAGTCACACCGAGCCTGTGATTCCCTGTGGCCACCGGATGATGACCCGGAAACGTGTCACTGGAGACCCTGGGTTGGCCGCCTTTCCTAAGAAACATGGATTGTTGACGTCCGAGGCTGGGCTGATTACACAGGCAGCCCCTCCCCTCCAGATCCCATGGGGAGGAGCCTCACCCTGTCTCTCCACCTGGGACCAGGAAGGCCGAGCTGCCACCATCTGACCTGGGCCACAGTCTCGCACTGCTGGATCCCATCTTACCGGGCCGGAGCCTCCCCACCCACTCGGCAGGCATGTCACCCCCCAGCTGCAGCCCCCTGTAAGGGCTTCCTGGGACAGCAGGACCTGAGACAGGGCGGAGGGTCCCACTCCACACAGTGGACCCAGTGGGCCACTTAGAGTTGCCTGGTGTCTGGTGGGCTTGGCCCCTGGGGAGGGCATCTGCAGGTTAGAAGCATGCCACTGGCTGCGTCAGGGAGGATAGAGTGGAGGGGCAGGCCCATGAGCAGGGAGGGCTGCCGTTCCAGCCAGGGGGAGGCACCCAGCTGGGGAGGGGTTGGGGGTACGTGGAGCCTGGTGCGCTGGACAAGAGGGACCCTCTTAGACCTAAAGGACCTGGCAGGGGACGCGGGAGCTGCACACCTTTGGGGAGCAGGGGGCCCAGAAGCCCCGAGCCGGACACCTGACCCCACACGGCCACGGACAGGGCCCCCGCGCTGGGCCACGCATGCCCCTCCGCCTGGGGCAGTCACCGGGTGCGAGGTCGACCCACGGCCGGCTTCAGAAAACTCCGACCCACTGGAGACCCAGGCCCAGCTGTCCTGGGGGCACTGCTGCGGGGGGAACTGCTGCGGGGGCACTGCTGCGGGGGCTAGGGCTTGACCATACCAGGCTCCCTAAAGTCCCTGCCACTAAATGACACTTTCATCCCAGCCTTCCCAGGGCCAGCAGGGCAGATAAACCCAGGGGGCTCATCAGGCAGCCCTGCCCCTGCGAGGGGAGGGCAGAGGCAGGCGGTGGAGGGGAGGAGGGGTCAGTGTGTGCTTCGACTCCTCTGGAATCTGGCTGCTGTGACTTGCTTTGGCCGATGGAGTGTGGTGGAGATTTTACTATGTGCGTTCTGGATCCTGGCCTCAAGAGTCCCTAGGCTTCCACTTCGCCCTCCTGGAACGCTGGCCATGTGTTAGGAGGAAGCTGACTGAGAGTGGGTAGGACTCCAGGCTGCACGGCTCTGGCAGAGAGCCCGGCAGCTGAGGGACAGCAGCCCCAGGTGTCCAGCATGGCTACCCTTGGGCCCTTCCCACCCAGCTGACCTTGGCCCAGGGCCGCAGGCTGTGAGAGGCCCCAGGAAGCCACTGGCACTGCCCTGATCCCCACTACGGAAAGAATAGGCAGGTGGTGCTTAAGCCACCAAGAAGGTAGGGATTCCACACGGGCTGTGGTCTGCCCACATGAACAGGAAGGAGGGAGGGTGAGGGGCAGACACAATGGCCGGCCAGATAGGCTTCTCTTGATAAGGAGAGAACAGACAGGGGAGGAGGAAGCCGCAGATGCAGGCTGTGCATCTGCCCGAGATCTCAGGGCTGGCGGACAGCAGAGGCGGGAGCTGGGAGGGGGGCAGAGAGAGTGGAGAGGCTGGACCGTGGAGGGGTGCAGTTGGGAGAAAGGACCCAGTGGGGTAAGTGGGGAGGGGACAGGACCCCTGAAAGAGAGGAAGTCAAAGTTGGAGAATTGCTGGTGTGGATTTTGAAGGCATGGCCGGGAGAGTGACAGGGAGCAGGTGTCCCCTCCTGCAGGAAAGGGGTGCCGATGACTTCAACACAGTGAGGTCTGGTCACAAAGCGGGGGTGGTTTTGGTGGAAAAGGAAAGCAGTCTGGGAGTGCCAGTGAGGAGGGACAAGGGCACCCACCTCGTCCTGGTACAGCAGAGAGAAAAGCAGCGCCTGCCGGGAGCAGGAACAGGCTGGGAGGGCATCCCAGACAGGCAGGGTGGGGAGACTCCAGTACCATCCTGCTTGGAGACACAGCTCCCACCGCTGCTGAGAAGGCATGCAGGTGGGGTGGCAGTGGCACCAGCCTGGTGCTGCTGCTTCTGCCTGAGTCCTGGTCTCTCTCTGGCAGCCTGGATTCCTGCAGCCCTGGCCTTCTGTCACTACAATCCCAGCAAACACCCAGGAACAGCTCTGCGCCCACCTCGGCTCTCCGGGAGAGAAACCCACCCCCACCCCAGCCTTGGTTCCTCGGTGGCTTTGGCCCCAGCTGCCTGAGTGCACAGCCCGCTGCCCTGGGCAGGAGTTGGGGACCATGCTGAGGACCACCTGCAGGGGGTGGCTACAGGTCTCTGATGTCAGGAGTCAGTGTGTGAGGGGGGTGTTGAGGGCCGTGGCGAGATGGCAGCCGCCACCTCTGGGTCAGAGGTTGGGAGGGGAGGTCACAGCCAGCACCTCACAGGCCTTTTGGGGACACTGGCTGTGGTCATGGAGTGCGGCCACAGTGGCCCAATGTGAGGAGACCCCCCAACAAGGCTGAGGCCCCCCCAGGTCCAGCCTAGAAGACACCCCGGTTTTCCCCACAGTCTCCCCACTGGCGTGTGAATGTCCTCATCAGTCACCCCCCTTAGCTAACAGGGGGCTGTGCAGATGCCCCGGGGCCACCCGCCATTTGGAGCTTGACCCACTCAGGGCCAGGAGGTCGGCTGGATTTCAGTGGCTCCCAAGAAGCACCCGTTAGATGGGGGGGAGGGGTGGGGAAGTCGCTGAGCCTCTGCCTCTGTGGAAGAGAGGAAGGGATCAGCGAGGAGGGAGCAGGGGTGAGGAGGGAAGGGTCACTCTCCCTGGGTCAGGGCCCCAGCCCACCTCCACTATTCCAGTCTTGAGTGCCGCACCACAAACCACCCCAAAACAGCACGCTCAGCAACCACCCTACTGTGTGCGGGCAGCCTTGGAACGGGGCGCGCTGGGACCTGCGCCGGAAGCTGCTCAGGAGTCTGGAATCCAATGCTGATTCCTCCACGGGGCCTCTCCTTGAGGCCAGGGCGTGCTCCCTCCCAGCACGGCAGCTGGGTTCCAAGAGCGACTGTCCCAGGACAGCGAGGTACGCATGGCGTCTTCCAAGTCAGCCTCAGAAGTCATGTCCTGCCAAACACCCCATTCTTCCCAGCTGAGACTGTCACAGAGTCTCATGTAGAAGGCATTTCAAGATATGGGGATGGGAGATACTATCACGGCCGTCTCTGAAAAACGCAACCTGCCCCCAACCCAGGTGTCGGCACCATCCTGGGCTGCAGCCCAGGATCCACCCCCACACTCAGAGCAAGGGAACCCCAAGGCCCTCAGGAACCCTGAGGCCCCTACCACAAATCGAGGCCAGATTCGAGAGGCAGGGAGGGGACCATCAGAGGCCAAGGGCACAGACCCAGAGAGACAGACACACAGATGGGAGCTGTCCTGTGGCAAAGAAGGTGGGAGGAACACAGTCCCCGGAGATCCTGGAGTGGGCTCCCTGGCAGGGGGCAGGGAGCAGGGGGGTCTCTTCCTCTCCAGAAGAGCAGAGGCAAGTGCTGGTGGCCCCTCCTGCCTCTGCTCAGCAAGGACCCCAGCTGCTGCCCAGGGGCAGGAACCCTGGCAGATGGGCGTGGGTGCTCACTATGAGTTGGACGCCGTCAGTGGCTTTAAAAGTAGAATCTCCTGGCCAGGCACGGTGGCTCACACCTGTAATCCCAGCACTTTGGGAGGCTGAGGTGCGTGGATCACCTGAGGTGGGGAGTTTGAGACCAGCCTGACCAACATGGAGAAACTACATCTCTACTAAAAATACAAAAATTAGCCAGGTGTGGCGGCACACGCCTGTAATCCCAGCTACTCCAGAGGCTGAGGCAGGAGAATCGCTTGAATACAGGAAGCAGAGGTTGTGGTGAGCCCAGATCGTGCCACTGCACTCCAGCCTGAGCGACAAGAGTGAAACTCCGTCTCAAAAAAGAAAAAAAAAAAGTAGAATCTCCTATTAAGACCAGCCTGGCCAACACAGTGAAACCCCATCTCTACTAAAAATACAAAACACTAGCCGGGCGTGGTGGTACATGCTTGTAATCCCAGCTACTTGGGAGGCTGAGGCAGGAGAATCGCTTGAACCCGGGAGGCAAAGGTTGTGGTGCCACTGCACTCCAGCCTGGGCAACAGAGCGAGACGCTGCCTCAAAAAAAAAAAAAAAAAAAAGTTAGCTCCCTTTTACAGATGAGAAAACAGGTACAAGGAGGGGAAGTGAGCCCATCTAAAAACCAGTGAGGGAATGATCAGTCCCAGCCACGCTTGGCAGGGAGGAGACTCACGCCTGTAGTCCCAGCACGTTGGGAGGCCGAGGCAGGAGCATCGTCTCGGGCCAGGAGTTCGAGACCAGCCTGGGCAACATAGGGAGATCCCCATCTCTACAAAAAAAAAATAAATAAAAACGATCCTCAGGCTCCTCCTTCCATCCCGAACTCCCTGCCTGTCTAGGGACTGGGGGAGGCCCAGAGCCCCCCCAAATTTCTTCCCAAGCCGGGGCCCAGGGGCTGGGGAGATTCAGGCCGGCAGCTCCCCTGGGATGACCCCCAGCAGGAGGCGGCGGCGACTGCGGCCACTGGGGGCGCTCGCGGGCTTTCCCGCCCGGGCCCAGCGCTCAGGCCGGGGAGGGACGCGGGACGGGGACACCATCCACACCACCTCCTGGGCTACGGGGCCGGTCCGAGCCTCTCCAGCGCCGAGGCGCGCGCAGAGAGGTCGGGGCAGGAGAGCCGGGGCTTAAGTGCTCGCGGGGCCACCTCCGAGACGCCCGCCCAGCCCCCGCGGCTTTCCCCAGTCGGCGAGGGGCGCGGACAGCCTCTCGGCGGAGAGGGCGCCACCCCCGCTCCGGCCTCGCAGCCCCCCGCGCCCCTGTGCAAGCGGCGGGGTGTGGGGGGCGCCTCAGGGGCACCGCGGAGGGCCGGGGTCAGCGCCGCGAAGAGGGCGCCTTCCCGCGTGGGCCGCAGGACTTTGCTTGGGGCCAGATTAGACGTGGGGTCCGAGGGGAGGGGAAGCTTCCGCACAGAAACCCTGGGTCCAGGTGCCCGGGCAGGGGCGAACCTGCCAATCAGCCGACTCCCTGGCTCAGAAAAGCTCCCCAAAAAGTTCCCCGACTCCCTCCCCGACCAGAAGCTCCCGGTTCTCGCTGGCCCAGCTCCCCCTCCCCACCTCCCTCGTCCCTGCGCCCCCTTCGCACCCTGGGAATGCCACGCCCTCCCTTGAGGCTTCCCCCCTGAGGACCCCCCACCCCGCAGAAGCCTTTGGGACCACCCGGCGTCAAGAAGGCTTTTGTCCACCCAGGCCACCCACCTAATTCGGTTCTCTTACGTGACTGCTGAGTCTGCCATCTGCCTCCTGCCCGGATTGAAAGCCCGGGAGGGTCTCCACACCCGGGCCCAGGCCAGGCTCTCCAGGGGGCTCAGGAAGCCTCCGCTGCACGGACGCGTGAGGCCGCCGGGGACCCCGAGTGCGGAAAGGACCAACGTGCCCCGCAGCGGCATTCGAAATAAAAACAGCAAACACGAAAATAACCACAGCCCTGTTTTACGCAACCTGCCCCTTTGCAGTTATATTAACAGTGGCCCCTCATTTTTCTGTGAGCCCCACTTTGCTGCTGCTGAGTTCGCCAGCGGGTCACCTGGAAGCACGTGGCGACACGGGCCACATGACGTCATCCCAGCAGGCTTGCGTCATCGCCCCGGGTGCCTGGTGACGTCACCAGCCCGCTCGCGTCACGCGCACGTTCTGCTCCTCGTGGTCCGGCCCGGCCCGCGCCATCACCGGCCCTGCTCTGCGGGGCCACCCGTGCGCCCCTTCGCCGTCCGCTGACTCCGCCCTCCCGCCTGCCGACCCGGCCGCCGACCTTCCCCCGGCTCTGTCGCTCCCAAGGCTTTCTGCAGCCCTCCGTGCTCCAGGCCGCACACCTGAGGGTGGGACCCCCGGAGGCCGAGCCGGTGTCGGATCAAACTCGGAGACCGAGCAGGGCCCAAACCGGGACCGGAGTGGGGACGGGCGGAGGAAGCCAAGAGGCTCGAGACCGAGGCTCGCCCACCCCTCGGCGCCGCCGGACCCTGCGCCACTGGGGGAATTTCCTTCCCGACTTCCCGCGCGGCCACAGCCCCAGCTCCGTCCAGCCCCGGCTCCCGGCCCCCTGGGCGGGAGAGTGAGCCCCGAGACTCCGCCCAGCCCCGGGGGTCCCGGGCCCCGTTCGCCCCCAGCGGCCCCTCCCGGCGCGTTGCTCGGCCCCGGCTGCATCGGGGAGCGCGGGATCACCCGGCCCTGTCCCCAGCGGTGTCGGAGGGGGGCGCGGGCGGGGGCCCCGCATGCCATTGTCGCCCGCGGAGGCCGCGCCCGGAGCCGAGGCGTGACTGACAGCGAGCGGGGGAGGAGCGCGGCCGTCGATTGGCTGGGGCGAGTGTGGGAAAGAATGCGGAGCCGGGTTCACACACCCCGCGGCGGCGAGGCCTTAAATAGGGAAACGGCCTGAGGCGCGCGCGGGCCTGGAGCCGGGATCCGCCCTAGGGGCTCGGATCGCCGCGCGCTCGCCGCTCGCCCGCCAGCCCGCCCGTGGTCCGTGGCGGCGCGCTCCACCCGGCACGGGGAGGCGCGGGGCGCACCATGGCCGCAGACACGCCGGGGAAACCGAGCGCCTCGCCGATGGCAGGAGCGCCGGCCAGCGCCAGCCGGACCCCAGACAAGCCCCGGAGCGCGGCCGAGCACCGCAAGGTGGGGTCCCGGCCGGGCGTGAGGGGGGCGACCGGGGGGCGGGAGGGACGCGGGACTCAGCCGGTGCCCGACCCGCAGTCCTCCAAGCCGGTCATGGAGAAGCGGCGCCGAGCGCGTATTAACGAGAGCCTCGCTCAGCTCAAAACCCTCATCCTGGACGCCCTCAGAAAAGAGGTAAGTCGGGGGCGAAGGCCCGAGACCCGGAGTCTGGGTCGCAGCTGACCTGGACCTCCCGCCTATCCCCGCCCCCAGAGCTCCCGCCACTCGAAGCTGGAGAAGGCGGACATCCTGGAGATGACCGTGAGACACCTGCGGAGCCTGCGTCGCGTGCAGGTGACGGGTGAGGCGCGGGCGGCGGCGGCTTGGAGGCGGGGGGAGGGCGCGGGACCCCCGGGACCCGGCACCGACCTCTCCTCCTGTGTCGCTCCCGCAGCCGCGCTCAGCGCCGACCCCGCCGTTCTGGGCAAGTACCGCGCCGGCTTCCACGAGTGTCTGGCGGAGGTGAACCGCTTCCTGGCCGGCTGCGAGGGCGTCCCGGCCGACGTGCGCTCCCGCCTGCTGGGCCACCTGGCAGCCTGCCTGCGCCAGCTGGGACCCTCCCGCCGCCCGGCCTCGCTGTCCCCGGCTGCCCCCGCAGAGGCCCCAGCGCCCGAGGTCTACGCGGGCCGCCCGCTGCTGCCATCGCTCGGCGGCCCCTTCCCTCTGCTCGCGCCGCCGCTGCTGCCGGGTCTGACCCGGGCGCTGCCCGCCGCCCCCAGGGCGGGGCCGCAGGGCCCGGGTGGGCCCTGGAGGCCGTGGCTGCGCTGAGGCTGTGGCCCTGAGACTGCATCGGAGGCGGCGCCCCGTTCTAGGGCCGTGGCCTTTGCCGAGACTGTAGCAGAGAAAACGTATTTATTATTCCAGAGTCTGCGTCACGAGTTTTCTTTCTTTGTCTTGGTGAAGAGTTGACTTTGGGAGCGCCCCGCAGCCACGCCGCGCCGGGGTCCCGCCCTCCTCCCAGGGCCGCGGTCTGCAGGTGGCTGGGGGCGTCGGGCGGGCCCGGGGGGGCGGGCTGGGGGCGGGACCGAGGACTGAGGGCGACCCCTCCGCTCCGCGCCCTCCGCTCCGCGCCCTCCCCTCCGCATCCCTGCAGCCCCGCATGCGCACCCGCCCTCTGCCCCCGCGTTGGGTTTGCCTCGCTCTGCGGTGGCGGTTGTGAGGGGTCCCCCCGGAGGCTCAGGTGGGAAGCTCAACGTCCCTGAGTGCCCAGAATCTTCCCGGTGCTGGAAGGCGGTCGCGCAGCATCGCCGGGCAAGTTACTTTTCGGAGGCCCCTTTCCCGACTCCCAGTCCCCGGACCGCGGAAGGCGGAGGCTGCGGTCCTGAGCGGCGCTGGGATGAGGGCGGCCGCCCTTGGCCCTGAAGACCCCCGCTGGGTTCTCCTGTTAAGTGCAGAGCTGCCCGTGCCCACCGCAGACCCCTCCTCCAGGCGTCTGTGCGGGGGGCGCCCGGCGGGAGCGCGCGGGTCCGAGCTGGGCTGTGGACACCGAGTGCCGGGGCCAAGGACGTCGCTCACGAGGGCGTCGGCCCTGCCCGCAGCCTCCCCTGCCCCGGTAAGGGAGGTTCCGCCTCCCCAGTGGGTGAGGACTGGGGGCTCCTCCCTCATCGTCCCGAGCACGTGCCGTTGTCGACCACCGAGTTACCAGGCAGCGCCGGACGTTCCCCTGAACCAGCGCCGCGGTCGCCATCCCGGTCCCGCGTTCGGGGGGGTCCGGCGCAGTTCGAGGCACTCAGCCGAGGCAGAGGGTCTCCCCCTGAGCCGCACCCAGGGCCATTTCCCAACTGGGGCCGAGTTCACCAGGGCCCACGGGAGGCGAGCGAGCCCTCCCACCAGCACTGGCCCTCCAGGCCCCAGTCTGTGCCTCCATCAGGAGCCCCCCTGGGCCCTCCAGGACACAGCCGTGCACAGCTTGTAGGAGCCTCCCAGGCCCAACAAGCCAGGCCACCCCTGGCCCCTGGCTGCCCTGCCCCCTCCCTGAGCTCCGAGGGCCAGGCCAGTGACCCTGGGCGGGGTAGCATTGGGCTGGGGGTCCCACCCTTGGTCCCCCCAGCAGTCCTACTCTGGGGGTCCTGGTCCCAGGAGAGCCTCAAAGTAGCCCTTCCCCTTGGGAGCCTGAGACCCCATGAGGGAGGCCCCCTTCTCCTTGGGAGCTTGAGACCCCGTGAGGGAGGCCCCCTTCCCCTTGGGAGCTTGAGACCCCGTGAGGGAGGCCTCCTCAGCAGCACAGGAAGGGACGGTCTTCTTGGGGGCAGCTGGAAGCTCAGCGTGGCCGGGGGAGGGGAGTTGCTCAGAGAAGGCATCAGTGCAGAAGGGGAAGGAGGGCCTGGGGCAGCGAAGCTGGGAGTGTGGGGAGGAGCTCAGGGTAAGAGAGGCACCCCACAAAGTCACCCGGGCTGTGGGTCCCAAGAGGGCAGGGCATCTCTCCACCAGGCTCTGGCCTTGAATGCCCTCTCCACTGTGGCGAAAGGGCCCTGCATAGCTGCCCAGGGACCACTCAGGTTCTGGGGGAATCACAGTCCTTGGGCAGTCCCTTCGCAGTCTGGGTTCCTTTGTGCTCCACACCACCTGCCCCCTGGCTTTTCCCCCTTGTTTCCTCCTAACTTGTCGTCCATCCCATCTGCCGCAGGCTGGGTGGTGCATCATCCGGGCCCAGCTGGACGGGGCTCCAGAGGGCGAGGGCTGAGTCTGTCCAGAAGCTCTGTCCTCAGCACCCAAAACAGGGAAATGGACCCACGGGGACCTAATCCATCCCTTTGAATGACAGAGCTGGGAGGTTTGGGTTAGACTAGCGAGGTCTCAGGAAACACAGCCTGAGGGGCCGGGCTGGACGGGGGCAGCATAGGGGCTGTCCTGGGCTCCCCCTCAGGCCGCCCCCTTCTCAGAGCCCCCCTCGGGCCTCCGGGAGCCAGCCTCTGCCTACACCCAGCCAGGACGCCCACCAGAACCTGCTTAGGCACGCGGGGGTTCTTTCTGCCCTCCCCACCCTGCATCCTGTGGCCCCAGACGTGAGGTGCCCCCTCCCGCGGGGGGTCCTTTCTGCCCTCCCCACCCTGCATCCTGTGGCCCCAGATGTGGGGTGCCCCCTCCAGCGGGGGTTCTTTCTGCCCTCCCCACCCTGCATCCTGTGGCCCCAGACGTGAGGTGCCCCCTCCCGCGGGGGGTCCTTTCTGCCCTCCCCACCCTGCATCCTGTGGCCCCAGATGTGGGGTGCCCCCTCCAGCGGGGGGTCCTTTCTGTCCTCCCCACCCTGCATCCTGTGGCCCCAGACGTGAGGTGCCCCCTCCAGCGGGGGGTCCTTTCTGCCCTCCCCACCCTGCATCCTGTGGCCCCAGATGTGGGGTGCCCCCTCCAGCGGGGGGTCCTTTCTGTCCTCCCCACCCTGCATCCTGTGGCCCCAGACGTGGGGTGCCCCCTCCAGCGGGGGGTCCTTTCTGCCCTCCCCACCCTGCATCCTGTGGCCCCAGATGTGGGGTGCCTCTTCCCGCGGGGGGGCCTTTCTGCCCTCCCCACCCTGCATCCTGTGGCCCCAGATGTGGGGTGCCCCCTCACGTGGGGGTCCTTTCTGCCCTCCCTACTCTCCAGACATTTCCTGCCCCTCCCCACCTCAGGTGGCGGCTGCTCAGCAGCTGGGGTCTGGCCCGGTCCCCCATCCCTGCCCCTCCCCAGCGATTTTTATCTTGGCTTTTGGTTTTCTGCTGAATAGTAGGTGAAAGTCATCTTCTCGGTGGAGGGGGTGTGGCTGGCAGCCCCTGGTCACTTCCAGTTCATCTCTCACTGCCTCCTTGATGAGGACCAAGGGTCAATAAATGTTTGCTGAATTCCTTTGCCTCTGGGGTGTCTGGGCCGTGTGTGTCTGGGCTTGTCTGCCGCGGGGGGAACGGGGCAACACAACCGCAGATCACAGGCTTTTGAAATCTGGAGAACCTCAGTCCCTGTGGTGACCGAAGTCTAGGCCAGGCCCATGAACTCCGGGCGCCGGCAAGTTAGGGATGGGGGTGGGGTTGGGGCTGCCTGGAGCCGGGGCTTGTGAGAGGTGAGGCTGAAGCTCGCCCCGCCGGGTTCTGTGGTCACCTGGGTCCAGGACTGTCTCCTCACCATGCCTGGCTGCTGCCCCACGGCCCCCTGGAGCCCCAGGGTTATACCCACCTCGGACGCAGCCGGGGCAAGGGCCCTGGGGTGGCAGCCTCCCTGATGTCCCACTGTCCCCTTCTGGCATTCACACCTCAGTGTCCTGAGGGTCCAGTGATCTGCAGGATCAGCAGGGTTCTGCCCAGGTGATGGGCTGAGAGTGAGACCCTGTCTCAGAAAAAAAAAAAAATCAGTTGACTGTAAATGTGAGGACCTATTTCTGAACCCTCAATTCTTTTCCATCGATCTATACATCTATCCTTGTTCTATTATCAATCACACTGTCTTCTTGATGACTGTAGCTTTGTAGTAAGGTTTTCTTTGTTAGATTGGGTTTTCTTTTGTTTTGTTTAGACAGAGTCTCTGTCGCCCAGGCTGGAGCGCGGTGGCACAATCTCGGCTCACTGCAACCTCCGCCTCCCGGGTTCAAGCGATTCTTCTGCCTCAGTCTCCCGAGTAGCTGGGATTACAGGCACCCACCATCGTGCCTGGCTAATTTTTGTATTTTTAGTAGAGACGGGGTTTCACCTTGTTGAAGCTAGGCTGGTCTCGAACTTCTGACCTCAAGTGATCTGCCTGTCTTGGCCTCCCAAAGTGCTGGGATTACAGGCTTGAGCCACCGCACCCAGCCCACTGTCAGGCGTTTCTTTATAGCAATGTGAGAATGAACTTACAGTCAGCCTATAAGCTCAGCATGGAGCGTGGAGAGAGGAAGCTGGTGGGCAGAGGAAGGCAGCGGCATCTGAGCCGTTGGGCTCACTCTGACCTGGACAGGGCAACGGGTGTGGGGGACCCTGGGGGTAGGGACAGGTGGAGCTGGGGCAGCTCTCCTCTTCTGGGACTGACTCCAGTTACATGTATATCAGTTGAAGTTGTCCCACAGCTCACTCTTCTATTTGTCAGTTGCTTTTTTTTTGAGATGGAGTCTGGCTGTGTTGCCCAGGCTGGAGTGCAGTGGTGTGATTGTTAAAGACCATTCTTTCCTCCATTGAATTGTCTTGGCACCTGTGTTGAAAAATCGGTTGCCTGTAGGCCAGGCACAGTGGCTCACGCCTGGAATCCCAGCACTTTGGGAGGCTGAGGCGGGCGGATCACCTGAGGTCAGGAGTTCAAGACCAGCCTGGCCACCAAGGTGAGACCCCGTTCCTACTAAAAATACAGATATTAGCCGGGTGTGGTGGCGGTGCCTGTAGTCCCAGCTACTCGGGAGGCTGAGGCAGGAGAATCGCTTGATCCCAGGAGGCAGAGGCTGCAGTGAGCAGAGATCTTGCCACTGCATTCCAGCCTGGGGGACAGAAAAGAGGCTCAATTGGCTTGTGCTTCTGCAGGCTACACAGGTAGCATGGTGCTGGCACCTGCTCAGCTTTTTTTTTTTTTGAGACAGTCTTGCTTTGTTACTCAGGCTGGAGTGCAGTGGCATGGTCTCAACTCACTGCAACCTCTGCCTCCTGGGTTCAAGCAATTCTCTTGCCTCAGCCTCCCGAGTAGCTGGGATTACAGCTATGTGCCACCACGCCAGGCTAATTTTTGTATTTTTAGTAGAGACGGGGTTTCCCCATGTTGTTCAGGCTGGTCTCGAACTCCTGACCTCAAGCAATCCACCCACCTTGGCCTCCCAAAGTGTTGGGATTCCAGGCGTGAGCCACTGCGTCTGGCCCTGCTCAGCTTTTGGGGAGGCCCCAGGAAACTTCCAATCCTGGCAGAAGGAGAAGAGGGAGCAGGCAGGTCACATGGCCAGAGCAGGAGCGAGATGGGGTTGGGGGTGGGGTGCCACCCACTTTTAAACACCAGCTCTCCTGCGAGCTCACTTACTAACCCAAGGACTGTACCACGGCGGGGGGATGGTACTAAGCCATTCATGAGAAACCCACCCCCATGGTCTATACCTTCCACCAGGCCCCACCTCCAACACTGGGGATTACAGTTTGGCATGAGATTTGGGTGGGGACACAGATCCAAACCATATCACTGACTGGCATGTGCCAAACACACCAGATGGCAGGGCGGGCTGTGCTCCAGCATGGGACCCTCCAGCTGCCGATCCCCCCCAACCATGGCCTCTTAAGCCCCAGGCCCAGTGGCCCCCTTGGTCTTGGCCCCCCCAGCCCCGGTCAGGGATGAGGTCTGCTGGCTCTGGCCAAACTTCCTCCTTCACATGCACCGGGAGGAGGCCCAAGCTGTCGGCGGAGACGCCTGGGGGCCAGGACATCGTGTCGTTGTGCACCTTCTGTTTTTCCAGTTCGGCTTTAGGAAGAGGAAGCTCCATCAGCACGTCCCCAGGAAGCTGGTTTGTTGGGAAAGGGGTGAGAGCAGCACTCCAGGAGGTGGCCAATGAACCTACTATGCGGGATTTCGGCTGGACTTTTCCTGACCAAGCCAGGGGCTTAATGTTACCAAGCAGGTTGCAGGCAGGAGGCTGTCACCTGCTTGACAGAAATCCTTGGGGCAAATGCCATCTCCATGTGGAGGCAGCAATGAAAGCATGAAGGATCTGAGCTGACGTTACAGTGAGAGTGTCCCCCCTTCCTGGCACTCAGGCAAGGATGCTCCCCAGATGATGGACACGGGGACCCTCCCCAGATGACAGACACGGGGACCCTCCCCAGATGACGGACACGGGGACCCTCCCCAGATGACGGACACGGGGACCCTCCCCAGATGACGGACACGGGGACCCTGCCAGATGACGGACACATGGACCCTCCTCAGATGACGGACACATGGACCCTCCCCAGATGACGGACACATGGACCCTCCCCAGATGACAGACACATGGACCCTCCCAGATGACGGACACATGAACCCTCCCCACATGGACAGGAAGATTCCAGCAATGTTAGAGATGATAGAATTCATAGACAAGGATATGAAAGCTGCTGCTACAACTTACTCCAAGAAGCTATTCCAGGTGTGGTTGTGTGTGCCTATAGTCCCAGCTACTCAAGATGCCAAGGCCAGCCTGGGCAACAAAGCGAGATCTCATCTCTAAACAAAAACAGAAATAAACTAGAAAAGTGGAAGCTAGAGGAAATATCGAATGTGTTAGGGACTTTGAAGTTACAAAAATCCCAACGGGGAACTTCTAGAGATGAAAATTATGATGTGTGATTTGAGAAATGCACTGGGGGGAAGTACCAACAGGTTAGACACTGGAAAGGAAAACAGTAGTCAACTCGAAACTATAACAATAAAAACTATTTAAAATAAAACAGATTTTAAAAAACAGAGAGGCTGGGCGCGGTGGCTTATGCCTGTAATCCCAGCACTTTGGGAGGCCAAGGCAGGTGGATCGCCTGAGGTCAGGAGTTCAAGACCAGCCTGGCCAACATGGTGAAACCCCATCTCTACAAAAAATACAACAACAACAAAAAAATTAGCTGGGCGTAGTTGCAGGCACCTGTAATCTCAGCTACTTGGGAGGCTGAGGCAGAGAATTGCTTGAACCCGGGAGGTAGAGATTGCAGTGAGCCGAGATCGTGCCATTGCACTCCAGCCTGGGTAATAGAGCAAGACTCTGTCTCAAAAAACAAACAAACAAACAAAAAAACTGAAAAACAGAGAAATAGAATGGTGAGCTGTGAGACAACGTTGAGTGGCCTAACATACGTTTAATTGGAGTTGGTCCCAGAAGAGGGGAAGAAGGTAAAATAGCTGAAGAAATAATGATTGGAGTTTTTCCAAGCTTGATGGGAACCATAAACCCACTGATCCAAGGAGCCTCTCAGCACAAGAACCTGGACAGAGACTCCCGGAGCGTCGCAATCACGTCAACAAAATGCCACGATAAAACAGCAATGCTCACTCCTGCCTCTTACTTTTGACACTCCAGGAAGTTCCTGCCAGAGCAATTAGGAAAGAAAATGAAATAAAAGAGGCTGAGCATCATGGCTCACGCCTGTAATCCCAGCACTTTGGGAGGCCGAGGCAGGCAGATCACCTGAGGTCGGGAGTTCGAGACCAGCCTGACCAACATGGTGATCCCTGTCTCTACTAAGAATACAAAATTAGCCAGGCATGGTGGTGCATGCCTGTAATCCCAGCTACTCAGAAGGCTGAGGCAGGAGAATCACTTGAACCTGGGAGGCAGAGGTTGCAGTGAGCTGAGATCGCGCCGTTGCACTCCAGCCTGGGCAACAAGAATGAAACTCCATCTCAAAAAGAAAAAAAAAGAAAAGAAAAGAAAATGAAAGTGAAATAAAAGGTATCCAGGGCCAGGCTCAGTGGTTCACACCTGCACGTGATCCCAGCACTTTGGGAGGCCAAGGCGGGAGGATCACTTGAGCCCAAGAGTTCAAGACAAGCCTGAGCAACATAGTGAGACCCTGTCTCTACCAAGAAAAGGAAAAAAATGCAAAAATCAGCTGGGCATAGTGGTGTGCACCTGCAGCCCCAGCTACTCTGCAGGCTGAGGTGGGGCGACTGCTTAGGCCCAGGAGGCAGAGGTTGCAGTGAGCAGATATTGCACCAGTGCATTCCATCCTGGATGACAGAGTGAGACCTTGTCTCAAAAGAAAAGAAAAAGATGTGAAACTTTTCAGATGACATGATCTCATATATAGAAAATCCAAAGGAAGCCACTAAAAAAGTTATTAGAACTAATAAACAGGTACAGCAAGGTATAGAATACTTGGAGGGCACAAGATCAATTTTTCAAAAATCAATTGTATTTGTTCACACTGGCAATGAACAATATAAAAATGAAACTTGTTTTTTTGAGATGGAGTCTCGGGAGGGCAGTGGCGCAATCTCGGGTCACTGCAACCTCCACTTCCCGGGCTCAAGCGATTCTTGTGCCTCAGCCTCCCAAGTAGCTGGGACTACAGGCACCGGTCACCGTGCCTGGCTAATTTGTGTATTTTTAGTAGAGACAGAGTTTCACTATGTTGGCCAGGCTGGTCTTGAACTCCTGACCTCAAGTGATCCTCCTGCCTCGGCCTCCCAAAGTGGTGGGATTACAGGCTTGAGCCACTGTGCCCGGCCTACAGTCAACTGATTTTCAATACGGGTGCCAAGACAATTCGATGGAGGAAAGACTCATCTTTAACAAATGGTGCTGAGACACCCGAACATCCACATGCCCGTGAGGGAAGCTGCTCACATTATTCACATCACACACACAGAGAACTCAAAATGAATGACAGGCCAGGCATGGTGGCTCATGCCGAATCGCCTGAGGTCAGGAGTTCGAGACCGGCCTGGCCAAGATGGTGAAACCCCGTCTCTACTACAAATACAAAAATTAGCCAGCGTGGTGGTGGGTGCCTGCAGTCCCAGCTACTCGGGAGGCTGAGGCAGGAGAATCGCTTGAATCTGGGAGGCAGAGGTTGCAGTGAGCCGAGATTGTGCCATTGCACTCCAGCCTGGGCGAGAAGAGTGAAACTTCATCTAAAAAAAAAAAAAGGGCCGGGTGCGGTGGCTCACGCCTGTAATCCCAGCACTTTGGGAGGCTGAGGTGGGCGGATCACTTGAGGTCAGGAGTTTGAGACCAGCCTGGCCAACATGGTGAAGCCCTATCTCTACTAAAAAATACAAAAAGTTAGCCGGGCATGGTGGCAGGCGGCTGGAATCCCCGCTACTCAGAAGGGTGAGGCAGGAGAATCGCTTGAACCTGGGAGGCAGAGGTTGCAGTGAGCCAAGATCACGCCATTTCACTCCAGCCTGGGCGACAGAGTGAGACTCCGTCTCAAAAAAACAAAAACAAAGCAAAACAAAACAGAATGGATGACAGACATAAGAGCTAAAACTATAAAACTTTTAGAAGAAAATATAGCAGTAAATTGTCATGATCTTGGGTTTGGAAAGACCTTGGGCAAAAGTCTTCTTAGGTAGGATACTGCTGTGGTTTGGATATGGCCCCAAAAGCTCATGTGCCGGGAGCTTGACCCCCATGTGGAAGTGTTGGGAGGTGGGACCTTTAAGAGGTGTTTAGCTTATGGAGGCTCTGCCCTCACGAAGAGATGAACGCTGGTATCGTGGGAGTGGGTTCCTCATGGAAGGGGGGTCCAGCCCCTCCTGCTCTCCCACTCTGTCTTCTTTGTCCAGGGATGACACAGAAGGAAGGAGCTCATCAGACGCCAGCACCTTCATCTGCATTTCCCAGCCTCCAGAACTGTGAGAAATAAATTTCTGTTCATTATAAATTACCCAGTCTCAGATATCCTATTAAGGCAGCACAAAATAGACTAAAACAGATACCAGAAGCATAAGTGACCAAAGAAAAAAATTAGACATCATCAAAATTTAAAACTTATGTTTCAAATGGCATTATCAAAAAGTGAAAAGACATCACATATGGGAGGAAACGTTGGCAAAATATATATTGACAAGGAAATTACCCAGAATTCCAAACACAATCAACCCCGAACTTCAGAAAACATTCAATCCTGAACTCCACAGTCAACCCAGAACTGCAGAAACAGTCAACCCCGAATTCCAGAAACAATCAACCCTGAACTCCAGAAAAAATCAACCCAGAACTCCAGAAACAATCAACCCAGAACTCCAGAAACAATCAACCCAGAACTCCAGAAACAATCAACCCCAAATTCCAGAAACAATCAACCCTGAACTCCAGAAACAGTCAACCCAGAACTCCAGAAACAATCAACCACGAACTCCAGAAACAATCAACCCCAAACTCTAGAAACAATCAACCACGAACTCCAGAAAGTCAACCCCAAACTCCAGAAACAATCAACCCTGAACTCCAGGAACAATCAACCCAGAACTCCAGAAACAGTCAACCCCAAACTCCAGAAACAATCAACCCTGAACTCCAGAAACAATTAACCCAGAACACCAGAAATAATCAACCCTGAACTCCAGAAACAATCAACCCTGAACCCCAGAAACAATCAACCCAGAACTCCCGAAACACTCCACCCAGAACTCCAGAAACTATCAACCCTGAACTCCAGAAACAATCAACCCTGAACGCCAGAAACAATCAACCCTAAACGCCAGAAACAATCAACCCCGAACTCCAGAAACAATCAACCCAGAACTCCAGAAATGGGCCAGCCCATGGATGGATGGTCAGCTGCTTTTGACAAAGACAATTCAATAGAGAAAGGAGAGTCTTTTCTTTTCTTTTCTTTCTTTTTTTTTTTTTTTGAGATGGAGTCTCCCTCTGTCACCCAGGCTGGAGTGCAATGGTGCGATCTCGGCTCACTGCAACCTCCACCTCCCGAATTCAAGGAATTCTCCTGCCTCAGCCTCCTGAGTAGCTGAGATTATAGGCGCATGCCACCACACCCAGCTAATTCTTGTATTTTTAGTAGAAACAGGGTTTCACCATGTTGGTCAGGCTGGTCTCCAACTCCTGACCTCATGATCCACCCACCCCAGCCTCCCAAAGTGCTGGGATTACAGGCTTGAGTCACTGCGCCCGGCCGGGAGAGTCTTTTCAACAGTGGTTCAAAAACAACTGTATATCCATATGCAAATAAATTAACAGATTCTTACCTCACACCATATACACAAATTAACTAAAAATAGATCATAGTCCTAAATGCAAAATCTAACCATAAAACTTTTTGGAGAAAACTTTAAAAATCTTTGTGACCTTTAGGCAAAGATTTCTTAGATACGACACCAAAAGAATAATACATCAAGAAAAATGGGCAAATTAGACTTCATTAAAAGGAAGAACTTTTCTTTTTCTTTTTTAAAAAAATTTTGTGTATCCTCATTGTTAAGCATGAACTCTTTTTCAAGACACAGTGTTAAAAACATGAAAAGACTGGGCGCGGCGGCTCAGGCCTGTAATCCCAGCACTTTGGGAGGCTGAGGTGGGCGGATCACCTGAGGTCAGGAGTTCGAGACCAATCTGGCCAACATGGTGAAACTCCATCTTTACCAAAAATACAAAAATTATCCGGGTGTGTTCGTGGGTGCCTGTAGTCTCAGCTACTCAGAAGGCTGAGGCAGGAGAATCACTTGAACCCGGGAGGCGGAGGTTGCAGTGAGCTGAGATCATGCCACTGCACTCCAGCCTGGGCAATGGAGCAAGACACCATCTCAAAAAAAGACAAGAAAAGACAAACCACAGGCTGGAAGAAAATAAATCACATATCTGATAAAAGACTTACATGCAGAATATGTAAAGAAACCTGGGCTGGTGCAGTGGCTCAGGCCTGTAATCCCAGCACTTTGGGAGGCCGAGTTGGGTGGATCACCTCAGGTCAGGAGTTCGAGACCAGCCTGGCCAACATGGTGAAACCCCGTTTCTACTAAAAATACAAAAAATTAGCCAGAGGGCGTGGTGGCACGCGCCTGTAATCCCAGCTTCTGAGGAGGCTGAGGCAGGAGAATTGCTTGAACCTGGGAGGCGGAGGTTGCTGTGAGCTGAGATCGTGCCACTGCACTCCAGCTTGGGCAACAAGAGTCAAACTCTCAAAAAAAAAAAAAAAAGAATTCTGCAAACTCAAAAATAAGAAAACAACCTAATTTTTATTTCTAATTTAATTTTTTGTAGAGACAGGGTTTTACCATGTTGGCCAGGCTGGTCTCAAACTCCTGACCTCAAGTGATCTGCCTGCCTCGGCCTCCCAAATTGCTGGGATTACAGGTGTGAGCCACCGCACCAGGCCACAAACTAATTTTTAAAATGGACAAAATAGGCTAACCACAGTGGCTCACACCTGTAATCCTAGCACTTTGGGAGGCCGAGGCAGGCAGATCACTTGAAGTCAGGAGTTTGAGACCAGCCTGGCCAACATGGTAAAACCCCGTCCCTACTAAAAATACAAAAATTAGCCAGGTGTGGTGTCAGCACCTGTAATCCCAGCTACTCGGGAAGCTGAGGTGGAACAATCACTTGAACCCAGGGGGTGGAGGTTGCAGTGAGCCAAGATCTCACTGCTTCATTCCAGCCTGGGCAACAGAGTGAGGCTCTGTCTCAAATAAAATAAAATGGACAAAATATTTGATCAGTCTTTTTACCAAAGAAGATACATGGATAACAAATGCACACGTGAGAAGATGCCCAGTGTTGTTCATCATTAAGGAAATGCAAATTAAAACCAGAATGAGCGCCTACTGGGATGACTGAATTACAAAGCTGTCCCGCGCTGAGTGTGGGTGAGGACGAGGACACGGAGCCTGGAACCTCTAGTGGGAATAAATAATTGTACAACCACACTGGAAGACGGTCTGGCAGTTTCTCAAAAAGTTAAACATATACCTATCATATGATCTAGCCACTCCAATTCCGAGTATGTACCCAAGAGAAATGAAAGCATGTGTCCACACGGTCAACCCCAGGTATCTGAGACAGGTCTGAATCCATTTAGAAAGTTGATTTTGCCAGGCCGGGCGCGGTGGCTCACGCCTGTAATCCCAGCACTTTGGGAGGCCGAGGCGGGCTGATCACGAGGTCAGGAGTTCGAGACCATCCTGGCTAACACGGTGAAACCCCGTCTCTACTAAACATACTAAAAAATTAGCTGGGCGTGGTGGTGGGTGCCTGTAGTCCCAGCTACTCGGGAGGCTGAGACAGGAGAATGGCATGAACCCGGGAGGCGGAGCTTGCAGTGAGCCGAGATGGCGCCACTGCACTCCAGCCTGGGCGACAGAGCCAGACTCTGTCTCAAAAAAAAAAGAAAGAAAGTTGATTTTGCCAAGGTTAAAGGTTAGGGACGTGCCCGTGACACGGCCTCAGGAGGTCCTGACGACCTGTGCCCGAGGTGGCCGGGGTACAGCTGGGTTTTCTACATTTTAGGAAGACATGAGACTTCAATAATATGTGTAAGATGTACATTGGTTCAGTCCCAAGAAGCGAGACAATTTGAAGAGGGGAGAGGGCTTCCAGGTCACAGGTGATAAAACAGAGGGTCGCATTCTTTTGAGTTTCTGATTAGATGTTCACTCATCTCAGCAAGCAGAGGAACGGCTTTGAATTCTGCTCATCCTGTGTCTGCAAGGAGTTCCCCTGTGAACACGTCCTGAGGGAGGGAGGCAGCTGTTTATTATTTAAATCTTAGAAGCTGTCTTTTTAAAGAATAGAACGGGAGGCAGGTGGGCCCTAAGCAGTTGCCAGCTTGACTTTTCCATTTGGCTCAGTGATTTGGGGGGTCCCAAAATTCACTTTCCTTTCACAGTACAAACACTTGTACACAAATGTTCGTAGCAGTTTTACCTGTGATAGCCCCAAACTAGAAATAATCCAAATGTCCATCAAGAGAGGCATGGATACAGAAACTGTAGTGTATCCAACAATGGAACACTTTGTATGAAAAGCAACAATTGACATATACCACAGTGTGGGTGAATCTCTAAGAAACGCTGTCACAGAGGACAGGCGTGTTGTACTTTTCTGTCCTGTACGAAGAAGGGCCCAGCGGACAATTCTAGCCAATGCAACTTACTCTGCAGGGACAGCGGATTCGGGGTTGCCTGAGTGTGGGGAGGGAAAGAATCACCAAGGGGCCAAAGGAACGTTTGGGAGTGTTGGAGACGTTTGTGGTGGCTCCCGGGGGTATATGTGTCCAAACCTAGCGAACTGCACATTTTAAATACTTGAAGACCGGGGCGGCTCACACCTGTCATTCCAGCACTTTGGGAGGCCAAGGCGGGCAGATCACTTGAGATCAGGAGTTCGAGACCAGCCTGGCCAACATGGCAAAACCCCATCTCTACTAAAAATACAAAAATTCTCCGGACACGGTGGGCGCCTGTGGTCCCAGCTACTCAGGAGTCTGAGGCAGGAGAATCGCTGGAACCCGGGAGGCGGAGGTTGTAGTGAGCCGAGATGGAGCCACTGCACTCCATCCAGCCTGGGCGACAGAGTGAGACTCCGTCTCAAACGATAGATAGATAGATAGTTAAATAAATAAATACTTGAAGTGTATTACGTGTTAATTATACTTCAATAAAGCTATAAAAAATGAAAAGGAGGCCGGGCTTGGCGATGGCGACTGTGATCCCAGCTACTCAGAAGGCTGAGGCTGGAGGATCACTTGAGCCTGGGAGGTGGAGGCTGCAGTGAGCTGGGATTGCGCCACTGCACTCCAGTCTGGGCGACAGAGCGAAACCCCATCTCAAATAAATAAATAAATAAATAAATAAATAAATAAATAAATAAATAAGAAGGAAAAAAGAAAGAAAAGAAAAAAGAAAGAAAAATAATTCCGCAGCTGTGTACATTGTTTGCGGCTGTACCCGGCATGCGATGGTTGCTCATGGATCAGCTCCCCGACTGTCTCAAGGTCCGGGACTTTCACCCGGGCCACATGGCTTCAGGAAAGGGAGCCGAGCAACCGCCCCCAGAATCGCCCTTCTCGCCCCCCGCCCTCCCCAGGAGGGGCAGGACCTGGCGCCCCCTGACCAGGGCAGGAGCCGCTGAGCCGACCGCAGTGGTGTCCTGGTGCCCTCTGGTGGCCGCTAGGGGCACAGCACGTCCCCATCCTCCCAGGGGACCCTGCCCGACCTCCCCCCGCCCCCCGACTTGCCCCCCAGGCCCGGGTCTGGTCTCTGCCTCCACCGTAGAACTGGGTTATTCCTCCTCCCTGGACTGAGGGGTGCTGCTGCCTGAAGTGCAGGGGGGCCCTGACTATTCCTCATCCTACAGCCACCCTCCCACCAGGAAGGGTCATGACTGGGCTGGATACAGGGAAGGGCTTCCCCTGAAGCCTCAGGCCAACTCCAGTGACAGCTCGTCATGAAAAGGCCTCAGGGTAGGGCCCCTCCCTCCGCCACCCTAGACCTCCTCGCACAGCTCCCTGGCCACAGCCTTGCCGTCGGCCTCCCTGCCTCTCCTGTCCCAAGCCCCAAAGCCTTCTCATCTCGTGATGGTCCACGTGGGGCCCGGATGCCACGTGCATGCCACCCAGGATGTGCTGCTGGGTCAGCTGAGCGTCCACGTGAAGACAGGAGTCCCGTGCCCCCCACCTCCCACCTCTCACAGAAGTCAATGCCAAGTGTGTGGCAGAGCCGAGCGTGAAAGGCGACACAGTGAAGTTTTTTTTTAAATGAAGGAATAGGCCGGGCGCGGTGGCTCACACCTGAGGTCAGGAGTTTGAGAGCAGCCTGGGAAACATGGAGAAACCTGGTCCCTACTAAAAATACAAAATTAGCCGGGCATGGTGGCGCCTGCCTGTAATCCCAGCTACTCAGGAGGCTGAGGCAGGAGAATCTCTTCAACCTGGGAGGCGGAGGTTGCAGTGAGCTGAGATTTTGCCATTGCACATCAGCCTGGGCGACAAGAGTGAAACTCCGTCTCAAACAAACAAACAAGCAAAGAAAGGTACCGTTATGAGGGTGGAAAGAGGAGGCAGAGAGGGAGAAGATTCCCCAGTACAAGAGTTCAATGAAGAGCTCGTCCAGAATACGTAAGGACTCCTACAGACCCACAGGGAGGAGGCACAGGGAGGCGGCCGCAGCCGAGAGACGCCACACAGAAGCAGATGCGCAGCTCCTGGGAAACTCCAGCCTGGAGCACGGCCACGCAGCCACCTGGGGAACGGGGCGGCACCTTCTGACGCTGACCCCAAGCGTCCTGGAAATGTGAGAGGTTCGCCGAAAGGAATGTTCCCAGATATTCACAGCCGCACCGTGTGTGGTAGCTGCAAACTGGAAACGACCCACATCGCCACCCACGGGAAACGGCACAGCCGCGTGGCACGTTCACACAGGACAGCCTCACCCGCCCGGGCAGTCGCCCGCGGCCCTCATGGCAGCTGTCTCCAGAGCACGGCGTGGGCCCGAGGACACAGATGCAGAAAGGGATGCAGGGTGCGATTCCACTTGTGAAAGCTCAAGTCAGGCCGGCCCTGCGTGGCGGGACGCCTTGTCCTGTGGTCTCGTGGCAGCTACTTTCTGGAAAAGCATCGTATGGCACCAGGCATGCACTTTCTGCACGCCCAGCTCTCACTGCCACCCCTCACGGCGCACACCCCAGTCTCCTAGTATCGTGCCCTGAACTCTCAGGAGCTTCTCGGTCCAAGCCTCCTCCTTAGAGAGGTCTCCGGCCCCTCCAGCCACGCCTCTCCCTACTTCTTTCTCAGGACGTGCTGCCATCGGAGCTGAGCTCACCTGCCTGTTTGATCGGATGTTTATTGTTGGATCCCTCGCCCTGTCCTCTTGTCCCCTCTGGCTCGGAACCTGCCTGGGAATGGGCACCGTGAACCCCAAGGTCAGGACGGCCTGGAGGGTGCAGCTGAGCGGAGCCAGGCGTGGGGGCTCTGACGCTGACGCTCCCTGGCGTCACTCACCCTCACATGAGCCCCAGAGGTCAGGACCGGGAGGCACAAGCCCTGGCCGGGACACAGAGGCCATCTCAGAAGCAGGCCAGGAACATTCCAGGGGCGGCAGGGAGGGCAGGTCTGAGGTTTCACCGCGGGTGGCGGAGGCACGGGAACTGAGCGGTGCTGCCTGCTGGTCAGCGTCCTCCGGCCCGTGTCTGACCCCACCTCAGCCCGGCCCCGTGCCAGGAAGTCGTCCTCATGTACTGTAGCTGGAGGGCCCTCAAATGCCATCTATTTGTGGCCTGGACCCTGATGGCTGGCACGAGTCTCATGTGGCCACAGGGACGTGGTATTTTTGGCACAGGGGGAGGAGCCTGTGCAGCCACAGCCTAGCACCATGCCGACCCAGGACGGGCAGCTCAGACGCCCAGCTCGGCCGCCGGGACCCAGGTAGGACATGGTCAGCTGCTGGCTCCTGACCCAAGGGGCCCCAATGGTAACAACCCCCACAGAGGCTTCTCAAGAGACCAGAGAGGAGGGCGAAGGTCAGTGGGTGGGAAGCCACCATGCCCTGGCCTCCGTCTCAGGACCGTCCCCACCAAAGTGACTTCCCACCCCTGGGTCCAGAGGGGCTGACCTGAGGCCGAGGGCGGCCCCCTCTAGGGGTAGACCCGACAGCTGGCTAGGGTCTCCTTGCTTCTCTGAGACGGGGCAAAGGAAGGCACCCCGGGCAGCCGGGCAGGCCTGGATCGTGGTGCAGACCTCGAGGACGGCCCGAGGTGGCTGCTGGGTCAAGAGACCCACCGCAGCCTGCACCTCCTGCCCAGGCTCTCCGTGCTGACTTGGGCCAGCTCTGGCCAGCACCACCTGGTGAGCTCAGAGAATAGCCTGGCCCAGCCAAGGCGATCGGAAGGTCATCGCCGAGGGCTGGGCACCTGCTGGGCCCTGTAAACCTTTCCTGTGGCCGGCTGCCAGCTGGGGCGCACTGGGATGGACCAGGGCTGCCCACCCCCGAGGGCACTGGTCCCATCGGGTGGACCCTGAAAGGTGCTTTGCCGTGCAAAGACAGCTCTGGCAGAAGGTGGAGGAGGTGAGGCTGCCCCAGCTGAGGTGTGATGGGAAAGAGCATTCAAACCTGAGGACGGCTGGTTTTATAGCTTCACTGGTAGAAAATCATCCTTGATTCTAGGAATGTAACACCGCATCATCACACAGCTATCATTTGGGGTGCGTTGGGAACTAGGGTCATGGGAGCTGGGGATCTTCTAACTTGGAAATCGTCACCACTAGGTTTGAAGGAAGCGCGGCCCTCCCCTCGAGATGCTGTTCTCTTCCTTTCAGGGCATGGATGGAGCCCCGAGGCGGTGGGAGCTCCCAGGTCTCGTGGGGCAGGGGCGGCATGTGCAGGGTGGTGCCCGGGGCCTGAACCCATGAAGACCCCACCGGACCCATTCTGCTACCCTCCAGTGCCTCTGCTGACTCCACATGGAAAATTTCCAGTACAGCGTCCAGCTGAGTGACCAGGACTGGGCCGAGTTCTCAGCCACCGCCGATGAGTGTGGCCTCCTGCAGGCCGGCCTGGCCTCTGGGGACGAGCTCTTGTCCAGTGACATTGACCAAGGGGACAGCAGTGGCAGCAGTCCCCCCAGGGCCCCACCTCTCCCAACTGGGCAGCTAGCTGCAGGAGGGCGGAGCCGGCGGGGCTGCGAGGAGGAGGACGTGGCCACACAGCAGCCGGTCAGCAGGTCTCAGGGTGAGCCTGTCTTGGCCCTGGGGACCGGTCAGCAGACACCCAGCACGTCCGCACGGGCAGAAGCTCCACCGTCCCTCGGCCCCGGCGCCAGCCCTCCCAGCCAGTTCTCATCCTGCCCTGGTCCGGCGTCTTCTGGAGACCAGATGCAGAGGCTTCTGCAGGGCCCTGCCCCACGGCCCCCTGGTGAGCCCCCTGGGAGTCCCAAGTCCCCTGGCCACAGCACTGGCTCCCAGAGGCCCCCCGATAGCCCTGGAGCCCCACCACGGAGCCCCAGCCGAAAGAAGAGGCGAGCTGTGGGTGCCAAGGGGGGTGGGCACACAGGAGCCTCTGCTTCTGCCCAGACGGGCTCCCCGCTGCTCCCTGCGGCCAGTCCTGAGACGGCAAAGCTGATGGCCAAAGCCGGGCAGGAGGAGTTGGGGCCAGGTCCTGCAGGAGCTCCTGAGCCTGGCCCCAGGTCCCCTGTGCAGGAAGACAGACCAGGGCCAGGTTTGGGCCTGTCTACACCTGTCCCTGTGACAGAGCAAGGCACAGACCAAATCAGAACCCCGCGCCGAGCCAAGCTGCACACAGTGTCCACGACTGTCTGGGAAGCCCTCCCAGATGTCTCAAGGGCTAAGTCAGACATGGCTGTGTCTACACCTGCCTCCGAGCCGCAACCTGACAGGGACATGGCTGTGTCTACACCTGCCTCCGAGCCGCAATCTGACAGGGACATGGCTGTGTCTACACCTGCCTCTGAGCCGCAACCTGACACGGACATGGCTGTGTCTACACCTGCCTCTGAGCCGCAACCTGACAGGGACATGGCTGTGTCTATACCTGCCTCCAAGCCGCAATCTGACACGGCTGTGTCTACACCAGCTTCTGAGCCTCAGTCCAGTGTGGCTCTGTCTACACCCATCTCCAAGCCACAATTGGACACGGACGTGGCTGTGTCCACACCTGCCTCCAAACATGGCCTGGATGTGGCCTTGCCTACAGCAGGCCCAGTGGCTAAGCTAGAGGTGGCTTCATCTCCACCTGTCTCGGAGGCTGTGCCGAGGATGACCGAGTCCAGCGGGCTTGTGTCTACACCTGTTCCCAGAGCCGACGCCGCTGGCCTCGCCTGGCCTCCCACCCGCAGAGCTGGGCCTGATGTGGTGGAGATGGAGGCGGTTGTGTCTGAGCCCTCAGCAGGGGCCCCCGGATGCTGCTCTGGGGCACCCGCACTGGGTCTCACCCAAGTCCCCAGGAAGAAGAAAGTGCGCTTCTCCGTGGCTGGGCCCAGCCCCAATAAGCCAGGCTCAGGACAGGCCTCAGCCCGGCCCTCAGCCCCCCAGACAGCAACTGGGGCCCACGGGGGGCCCGGAGCCTGGGAGGCTGTGGCTGTCGGGCCCCGGCCCCACCAGCCTCGGATCCTCAAGCACCTGCCTCGCCCCCCTCCCTCTGCCGTGACGAGGGTCGGGCCCGGGAGCAGCTTTGCCGTGACCCTCCCGGAGGCCTACGAGTTCTTCTTCTGTGACACCATCGAGGAGAACGAAGAGGCTGAGGCGGCAGCGGCCGGTCAGGATCCGGCAGGCGTCCAGTGGCCGGACATGTGCGAGTTCTTCTTCCCAGACGTTGGAGCCCAGAGGTCGAGGCGGCGGGGGTCCCCGGAGCCGCTCCCGAGAGCTGATCCTGTGCCGGCCCCCATACCTGGAGACCCCGTGCCCATCTCCATCCCTGAGGTCTATGAACACTTCTTCTTCGGGGAGGACAGGCTTGAGGGCGTGCTGGGGCCGGCTGTCCCGCTCCCACTGCAGGCCCTGGAGCCTCCCCGGTCGGCCTCCGAGGGGGCGGGGCCTGGGACCCCCCTCAAGCCAGCCGTGGTAGAGCGGCTCCACCTGGCTCTTAGACGGGCAGGTACGTGCTCTCGGATCCCACAGCCCGTCCAGATCCCAGGCACACACTGTCCAGGGATCTTGGCCAAGCAGGGGGCCGCAGGGGCCGGGCAGGCCGGGCTTGGGTCATCCCCTAGCAGGGGAGCCTGGGGACCAGCCCCCAGTCATCCCAGCACACAGTCCAGATGGGGCGGCCCAGTCCAAGCACCCGGGTTGTTCAGGGGGTTGGCTCTGCGCCGCCGTTGCCCTGTGTTCGGGCCCATGTGACGGCGGCGTCCCTCCCCCAGCCTCTGGCAGGGTTCCCGCCCAGGCCTGGCTACCTTCAGGGTCAGGCACTCTACGAGGCCCATCTCACACTGATGTCCTCTGGGAGATGCTTTACAGACCAGAACACGGGGCCTCCACTGGCAGTTCCCCCAAACTGGCCCAACTCAACCAGGTCACCCAAATCTCAGGCAGAAGAAGCACGGGGGCGATGTGACTCCGACAGACGCGTCCAGGGCGGGCGGTTCCCGGGGCAGGCGGTTCCCGGGGCAACCAGTTCTCAGGAAGACGTGTCCATGACAGAGGGGTTTCGGGAAGACGTGTCCAGGGTAGACGTGTCCAGCACAAATGTATCTTAGGACAGACATGTCCCATGATGGATGTATCTGGGGCAGGCGGTTCCCGGGGCGGGCGTGTGCGGGGCAGGCAGTTCCCAGGCCAAGAGTGTGCAGGGTTAGGGTGGGGCAGGCGGTTCCTGGGGTTGGAGGGGGAGGCAGGCGGTTCCCGGGGCGGCCGTGTGCGGGGCAGGTGGTTCCCGGGGTTGCGGGGGAAGCGGCTCCCGGGGCAGGCAGTTCCTGGGGTTGGGGGGGGTTGGGAGGCGGTTCCTGGGGTTGGGGGGGGTTGGGAGGCGGTTCCTGGGGTTGGGGGGATTGGGAGGCGGTTCCCGGGGTTGGTCGGTGGGGGCAGGCGGTTCCCGGGGTTGCGGGGTGGTGGGAGGCGGTTCCCGGGGTTGCGGGGGGAGTGGGAGGCGGTTCCCGGGGTTGGGGGTGGTGGGAGGCAGTTCCCGGGGTTGGGGGGATTGGGAGGCGGTTCCCGGGGTTGGTGGGGGTGGGAGGCAGTTCCCGGGGTTGGGGGGATTGGGAGGCGGTTCCCGGGGTTGGTGGGGGTGGGAGGCGGTTCCCGGGGTTGGTCGGTGGGGGCAGGCGGTTCCCGGGGTTGCGGGGGGAGCGGGAGGCGGTTCCCGGGGTTGGTGGGGGGAGCGGGAGGCGGTTCCCGGGGTTGGTGGGGGGAGCGGGAGGCGGTTCCCGGGGTTGGTGGGGGGAGCGGGAGGCGGTTCCCGGGGTTGGTGGGGGGAGCGGGAGGCGGTTCCCGGGGTTGGTGGGGGGAGCGGGAGGCGGTTCCCGGGGTTGGTGGGGGGAGCGGGAGGCGGTTCCCGGGGTTGGTGGGGGGAGCGGGAGGCGGTTCCCGGGGTTGGTGGGGGGAGCGGGAGGCGGTTCCCGGGGTTGGTGGGGGGAGCGGGAGGCGGTTCCCGGGGTTGGTGGGGGGAGCGGGAGGCGGTTCCCGGGGTTGGTGGGGGGAGCGGGAGGCGGTTCCCGGGGTTGCGGGGGGAGTGGGAGGCGGTTCCCGGGGTTGGTCGGTGGGGGCAGGCGGTTCCCGGGGTTGGCGGGGTGGTGGGAGGCGGTTCCCGGGGTTGGTGGGGGGAGCGGGAGGCGGTTCCCGGGGTTGGTGGGGGGAGCGGGAGGCGGTTCCCGGGGTTGGTGGGGGGAGCGGGAGGCGGTTCCCGGGGTTGGTGGGGGGAGCGGGAGGCGGTTCCCGGGGTTGCGGGGGGAGCGGGAGGCGGTTCCCGGGGTTGGTGGGGGGAGCGGGAGGCGGTTCCCGGGGTTGGTGGGGGGAGCGGGAGGCGGTTCCCGGGGTTGCGGGGGGAGTGGGAGGCGGTTCCCGGGGTTGCGGGGGGAGTGGGAGGCGGTTCCCGGGGTTGGCGGGGGGAGTGGGAGGCGGTTCCCGGGGTTGGCGGGGGGAGTGGGAGGCGGTTCCCGGGGTTGGCGGGGGGAGTGGGAGGCGGTTCCCGGGGTTGGCGGGGGGAGTGGGAGGCGGTTCCCGGGGTTGGCGGGGGGAGTGGGAGGCGGTTCCCGGGGTTGGCGGGGGGAGTGGGAGGCGGTTCCCGGGGTTGGCGGGGGGAGTGGGAGGCGGTTCCCGGGGTTGGTGGGGGTGGGGGCAGGCGGTTCCCGGGGCGGGC
Source organism: Homo sapiens (assembly GCF_000001405.40). NCBI lineage: Eukaryota > Metazoa > Chordata > Mammalia > Primates > Hominidae > Homo > Homo sapiens. The sequence goes on along the minus strand of NC_000001.11, from coordinate 976,681 downwards.
GTGTGCGGGGCCATCTCTGAGTGCAGCCGTGGGGCTGAAGGTGAGCTTCTGTCCTAGGGGAGCTCCGGGGGCCTGTCCCATCATTTGCCTTCAGCCAGAATGACATGTGCCTGGTGTTTGTAGCTTTTGCCACCTGGGCTGTGAGGACGTCAGATCCGCATACCCCAGACGCCTGGAAAACAGGTTTGGGTGCCTGGGGGCAGAGGGAGCTGCGCCTAGAAGCCAGACCGAGGGGCGCTGGCAGGACGAGGGGTGCACGGGGGCCCCGGGGCTCACCCCTGACCTGCTCCCCCCAGGCTGAGCTGCGGCCCTGGCCGCACCGACCTTGCCCGCCCTTTGAGGGCTGGGTCTTGCGGGCAGACGGTGCCGACAGCCAGGCTGGCCCTCAGAAGAGCCTGTGCTTCTCTTGCAGCCTTGCTGGCCAACGTCGGCACCATCTCTGCCATCCGCTACTTCCGCCGGCAGGTGGGGCAAGGGCGCCGCAGCCACAGCCCCAGCCCCAGCTCCTAGGAGCCAGGCCCGGGCCAGGGAGATGCAGGATGAGGAGACGACCACAGGCGCCCAGGGCAGGACGAGGTGCCGCCCTCGCCCGGGCCCTCTGACCCCTCTCTTCTACCGCGTCCAGGAGGGGGGCGTGTCCTGGTGCTGCTCCCTCCGACTCACCTGAGGATCCAGCCAGTGACCACGGCCACTCCCCACGCCTGGGAGGGAGGTGCTAAAGTCTGGGTGGGTGGAGGGCAGGCAGGTGGCTGGGTAGGAGGGTGGCCAGATTCACAGATGAGAACACAGGGCATTCGGTTAATTTCAGACAGGCAATAGTGGGGAGGTCATTTTACTAAGAAGTTGTTGTTTATCTGAAATCAAATGCAACCGCACCCTGCGTTTCTTCTGGGGTGCAGGGGGAGCTGAGTGGCAGGACAGGACTTGGACCTCGGAGGGGTCTGAGCAGCAAGACACTCCGGCTGGAGCTCTGGGCAGAGGCAGGGGAGAGGACACAGGGTGGCCTCAAAGAGGGGATGGGCAGCCTCCTCACAGGTGGGCTGGGCTGGCAAGGGCTCCAAGGCCCATCACTCTTGATCCTCAAAGGACTGTGGCCAAGGCCTCTGCGGGCTCTGGCCTGAGACAGCGAAGGCTCTGCCTGCCCCTCCCCAGTGCAGCAGCCCCTGCAGGGTGGGGGTCTGTGGCAGAGCCGCGAGCCCCTCCCCGGGAGCCCTGGGTGCAGGTGCAGAGGGAGAATTCGGTGGCCTCAGATGGAGGGCTGGGCTCCTGGGGTTGTCCCGGGGGCTCCTGTGGGGCAGCTGGGGACCCACAGCCAAGAGGAGTCAGAGATGAGGTGGGAAGGTCGGTGAGGGGCCCGAGGTGGCAGAGGAAGGGGGCTGCCTGGCTGGGTGCTGGGTGGGGGTCCTCAAGACTGTGGGAGACCCTGGCTGCTGAGCAGAGAACACATGGATGCAGCACCAATAAAATTCTATCTTTTCTTTTTCTTTCTTCCTTTTCTTATTCTCTCTCTCTCTTTCCTTCTCTTCTCTTCTCTCTTCTCTTCTTTTCTCTCTTCTCCTCTCTCTCTTCTCTCTTTTTTCTTTCTCGTCCGGTGGTGTCAACGTCTCCCGTGCTGCCCTGTGGTGCGCGCCAGGCCACACAAGGACCCACCCACCCTCCTCCTCGGGGCACCCTGGCTTGTGCTCCTCACACCTTGCTGACCTGTGACCCTCATGCCCTCTGACCTCACATACTCTGACCCTGCTGACCTTTCTCTGTCCTCCGACCTTCACGCCCGTGCTGCCCTCCCACTCCCAGCGAGTCTCCTCCCTGACTCCTGGCGGGCTGAGCTGAGGGCCGACCCTGTGGACGGCCAGGACCTCCCTGACCTGTGACCCAGCCTCGCTGGCCAGGGCATCCTTTGGATGGGGCCCCTCCCACCCTTCCCTGCCCCAGCTGCTGGCACCAAGGAACAGGAGCTGAGGGACGGGCTCTGAACTCAGGGCCCCAGAGACTCCCCCCATCACACTGGGTTCAGACCCTGACTTGTAATTTGAAGTGGGTTAGAGGGGCAGGTACCCTGGAGCTTGGCGAGGGTGGTCCTGAGAACCCACCTCACCGCGGCCATCAGATCCACTGCACAAGCCCCCCACTGGCCTCAGGCCCTCCAAGCTGGGGGCACTTCTGGTGGGAGGAAGACAAAGTCTCGTCCCAGAGGTGGTCGTAGCCGGGGTCCCGGCTCCTCCTGGGGGACCGACCATCTGGTAGGGAAGGCAGAGATGTGTCAGCCTGTGGGAGGCAACAGGCACTCACCTCAGGAGGCAGGATCCTTACTCACCTGTCAGAGGCAGCCAGGGTTCGGGCGAACCTTCCCTGGCAGAGGAGACCTGGAACCCCAAACCGCAAGTCTGAGAGCCGGGCACAGCCCCAGGCAGGGAGCTTGGAGGCGGCCTGTCACTGTGCAGCCCCCCATGTCCCCCTGCTCTCCCTCCCCAGTCCCATCTCCCCAACTCCCTACTGGCCCCCCTGGCCTCCATCTGCCCCCGTCCTCCTGTTTCCCTCCCTGCTCCCTCAGAGTCCCAAGAGGCCCCACACCAGACCCCCGGCCAGCCCGGAGCCCGGGGCACACGGGCGTGGGGGCTGCTACTCACAAGCTGAGGGGCGTCTGGGGGCTGCGGCCCCCCATCCTTGGCTGAGCCCCGGTGTCTCTGAGCGGCTCTGGACTGCAGGGCTCCCTTCTTGGAGAGCAAGTAGGGGCCAGCGGGGCCGGAGGAGCAGGAGCGAGGGTCAGAGGCAGGCACAGACACAGGCACCGAGGGGAGTGGGCTCGAGGGCGTGGGTCCACGTGCACTCTGCATGGCACTGAGGAACTGCAGGGAGAGCCAGGGCTGGGGCCTGGGTGGCAGCCAGGGGCCCCCAGAACCTCAACCTCCCATCAGAGCCTGAACAGACCTCAGGCTTGGGGCAGCCCCAGACCCCAGGGTGAGACGCACGGTCTAGACCTCCCCAGCCTCAGGCTGCAGGCACCTCCCACCCTTTCTGTCACCCAGCAGGGGCCTGACCTCCTCCAGGCCCCGGACATCTGTGACCCTGCGGTGGGAGGTGGCGGGTGGTGTGTAGGGGTCGGCATAGAGGGGCGAGTGTGATGTTTCCGAAGTGTGGTCAGGGGCATCTGGGCTGCTCTCCAGGCTCAGCCTGTGCAGCTGCAGGGCAGAGGTGGGAGAAATGGGCTTCTCGGCTAGAAACAGCCTAGGCCACCCCTTCTCTGTGCAAGAGGCCTCTGGGTGGCTCCAGGACAACTGGGCCCAGAGACAGAGACCAGTGGTGCGGAACGGTGGGAACCAGGCCAGGGGCTGTGTGGGTGTGCTGGGCCCACCTGGGTCAGGTCCAGGTGCAGTGGGGTGACAGGGCCGCGGCCCTCTGCCCGGGCCTTGCTCCCGGGTGACCGGCTGCTGCCACTGCGTCTCAGCTCGGTCCTCCGTCGGCCAATGCTGGCACGGTCAGAGTTGGCCTGGTCCTGTGGGGACCACAAACCTTCCAGGAAGAGCCCTTTGGCCCCTCTCCCGTGCAACTCTCTGAGGCTGCAAGGGGCTCCCTCCAGTCTGAGTTCCCCTGAGGAACCAGGGTCCCCAACACACACCTACCCGACAGCCTTCTGCCCCACTTTCGTCTGCCACCCCGTAAGCGCTCACCGGTGTGTGCTGGGAGGAGCAGCCCACGGTGGATGGCACTGAGGACTCAGGCAGGGAGTGGCTGGTGCGGGTGGAGGGGGGCGCCAAGCACCCCGAGTCCCAGCTGGTCTGTCCGCCTGAGGAGAGTGAGCCTCGGCCACTGCCCATAACCTGGATGGGCAGTGAGTGGGGGTGAGTGAGGGCTGGACCCCCTCCCCACCCGCCCCTGCCTGGACCCACCGTGCTGTCCCCCCTTTTATCTTTTTGGGACGAAGTCTTATTCTGTCGCCCAGGCTGCAGTACAGTGGCACGATCTCGGCTCACTGCAACCTCCGCCTCCTGGTCAAGCGATTCTCCTGCCTCAGCCTCCTGAGTAGCTGGGGTTACAGGGATGTACCGCCATGCCCGGCTAATTTTTTTGTATTTTTAATAGAGACAGGGTTTCTCCACGTCGGTCAGGCTGATCTCGAACCCCTGACCTCAAATGATCCGCCCGCCTCAGCCTCCTAAAATGCTGGGATTACAGGCGTGCGCCACCACGCCCGGTCTGCTGCCCCCTTTTTACCACTGCCCAGGACCTGGGCTGTGGGGCCTATTGACCCCTCACCTGCGACCCTGGGAAGCTCTCGGCACCAGGCAGCGGCGGGGCCCCCTCCCTGTGGGTGACAGCGCGAAGGCACAGCAGCCAGTGACCGTAGTCCTCGTAGCTGGCGCACACCACGCGGATGGTGTTGATGAGGGGGCCTGGCATACAGATGCTGTGAGGGGCTGGCGGGGGGGTGCACCCCTCAGCGCCCCCACTAAAGAGTCGGGCGTCCCCCAGGCTCCCGCCCCACCATGGCCTGGCCAGGCGGGAGGCAGAACCAGGGTCAGGGCCCTACCTTCAATCAGGAAGGAGCGGATCTGCTTCTCCTTCTCCTCCAGGTTGATGTGGACGGCACGGAGTGGGAGCTCCCCCTGCGGAGCAGAGATTGAGGGCCAGGCCTTTGTAGGGGCAGCCCCGGGGCCCCGCCTGGCCTCATCCCACCCTCTTGCCCTCCAGAGCTTGGCTGGGTACTTGGAGAGCTGGGCACCGAGGCCACCACCCTGAGGGAGGCCAGTGGGTCCCATGTCTCCTGGGGCTACCACCAACCCTGGCGCGGGGGCCTTCGCCGGCTAGGGGCAGACACACAAAGCCACAGGACTGGCCTCTTGGGGTCCCCAGAGAAGAAGTTGGGCCGGGTGAACCATGGGGAGGGCCCTGTGTTTGTTCCTCAGTGACTGAAGGTTACCGTGAGTGCACACCCCCTTCCCGGAGCCCGCCCTGGAGGACACACGCACACGCACGTGTGCACACACACGCCTCACGGGCAGGCACACACAAGGGAGTCCCCGGGAGGGGCTCTCAGCCCCATGCTGCCCGCCCCAGGGTGACGGTCAAGAACCTCAGGGTGAGAACCTCAGGGCGGGCAGGGGCTCCTCCATGTCACAGCGGAGACCAGACTGACCAGGACCGCGGGCTGGGTGGGCAGGGCCCTGCGCTCTGTCTCAACAAGCCCCGAAATACAGGTTCCTCCTGCATGGCTGCCCCCTCCCACCCCCACACAGCTGCCTCCCTGGGGCGGGCCCACAGTGGGGAGGGGCCCACCTTGAAGCAAAGCCCGTCCAGCTCCTCGGAGAAAATGGCCAAGGACGTTGGGTACAGGACCAAGAGCCGGTCCCACTGCTCCTGGGTGGGTGGGGGTGGGGTCAGGCGATGAGGGAACTGAGCTGCTGTTGCACCGCCCTGCCCACCACCATGCACCCCTCCCATCCCCCTACAGCCCCACGCACCTCCCACCCACCTGTGCGGGCAGGTGCTGCAGCTTGACCCTCGAGGCACAGACAGCACTGCCGCCGGGTTCGTGCCCTGACGCCGTCCGCAGCCGGGTTAGACGGCGCTGCAAAGTCCAGGGGAGTTCGTCTCCGCAGGACCCCTGTGAGGAGGAGGTCAGAGCCGGCTGCGAGGATCAGGGTGGGGAGGGGGGTGGGGTCCCCGGCACTGACCTGTGGGGGTGCCGAGTGGCAGCGCCGCGGCCCCCCGAGGAGGGCCGTCTGCTTCTCCAGGTGGTAAAGCCAGCGGTCCAGCTCGGCCCGGCTGGGGCAGAGCACCAGGAGGGGTGCGGGCAGTGGGCCTGCGGGCAGGGCAGAGAGGGCACACACATACACACACGTGCTCCGCAGCCACAGGGCAGGCCCCTCTCCAAGTCCTGGGTCAGGAGTGCCTCTGGGGGCCCGGGAAGCATCCCAAACACCTGTGATCTGGAAGGCGTGCTCTCGGGACCCCTCGAGCGGGCAGACACTCAGCTCCGTCAGCGGTAACAGCCCCTGCCAGGCACAGGGTAGGAGGAGCTTCAGGGATCCATGGAGGGAAGGGCGGCCATGGCCCCACCCCATTGCCCACCGCCTCACCTGAAATGTGAGTCCTTCCGAGCCGTGGGCCTGGAAGTACAGGTGGGCGGGGAATAGCTCCAGGTAGCAGTCGCTGACATCCTGCGCGGGGAGCAGGGTCGTCAGTGCGGAGTCTGGGGAGCCCCAGGCTGATGGGGATGCTGCACCCTTAGCGTGCTCCACCCAGCCCGGCCCCCACCTGGCTGTGCTGGAACCGCAGCTGGACCTTGGCGTAATGCACAACTTTTCCCAGGTTCCTCACAGGCACCCTCCGCCGCCCCTTCTTGAACACACTCAGGAATGGCTGCTCCAGGTTTTCTCGCTGGTTCTCCAGGTCCAGGATGTCCTAGGAGGAGTAGAGCTCAGGGGAGGGGGCCTCCCCTGGGCCCCCCACCCCCTCCGCTCGCATCCACACAGCTACAGGACTATAGCATGGTCTGCCTGTGCATAGCCACACAACACATATGTGAAGAACAGCCCCCCACAGGCACAGAACCTGTGCACAGCCACACAACACATACGTGAAGAACAGCCCCCCACAGGCACAGAACCTGTGCACAGCCACACAACACATACGTGAAGAACAGCCCCCCACAGGCACAGAACCTGTGCACAGCCACACAACACATACGTGAAGAACAGCCCCCCACAGGCACAGAACCTGCACACTCAGCCTTTCCACAGGAAAACAGTCACGGCAGAATTTACACACACGTGCATACATATATGCATACATGCATATTCGTGTACACGTACACGCACACACACCCGATACGTGCACATGCAGGCAACATGCATGCATCCATATATGCGCACACATACACATGTATAAATGCATACACGCACACATGCATACACACACAATAGACACATACATGCCACACAATACAGACACAGATGCATACACACGGGAACACACATACGCACTTATACACACATGTACACACACGCACACATATGCATGGATACACACGTGCACACATACACAGTTGCACATACACAGATATGCACACACGTGCATACATGCATACATATCCACACGCAAATACACCCATACACATGTATACACATACACACGTGCACATACACACGTGCACACATACACATGCACACCTATACACACATGCACACACATGCATGCACACATGCACACTGCATACATGCATACATTTCCACACACACACAAATACACCAACACACACGTATACATACACCTGTGCATATACACACAGATGTGTGCACACATATACACGTGCAAACACATGCACACATACACACTTGTGCACACACACGCACACACAGACACACTTCCCCACACAGAGCTGCCTGGTCTAGTGGTAGAGATGGTGAGATCTGGACTCAGTGGATTAAACCCATCTTCATTCTTTCCTAAGCTGTGTAACATGGCTTGGGTTATTCAACCTCTGAAGACTTGTTAGAAGAATTTGGGGGTGTCTGGGTAACACTCAAAACCCTCCCACGTCTGCAGTATTGTATGGTAAATGCTTAACACCTGGTTCTACAAAAAACAGACACAGAAACACACCGATGCCCTGATTTGTAACGTTTGCCAATCTCCTCGGTGTCAGTGTCCTCACCGTTGCCCATTTCCAGCCCCCAGCCTGAAATATGTGAGGAGATTTCTGGGGTCGATCCTCTGTGTGTTGGCCGCTCCGTATGCCTCACTCAGGGGACAACGGGGTCCTGGCAGTGCCCCGAGGGGTCTCCCCCGAGGGGTCTCTGTGGCTGCCCCGGCCTCACTGTCTCCTCACATCAGACCCATGCTCTCTGGCTGCTGCATGTTCTGTTCCTGCTTTGGGGACCGCTCAGTCCTGACCCCCCTCCTTACCCGCTTTGCAGCTTTGCTCAGACATTACCTGCTCCAAGAATTCCTTTTCTGAAAGCCTTTCTAAAATTCCAGCCTTCCCTGATCCTCTGCACTCATCCCCTCTGTTTTTCTCCTTAGCACCGACCTGACCCCGCTCACTGGATCTATTGATTTGTCCCGTCGTGTGTCTCTGCCGTGGGAATGGGAGCACTAGCAGAACAGGGGTTGTCTATTCCGTTCACTGCTGTGTCCCCAGAGCCTAAGACAGGGCCTGGGATGTGCTGTGGGTATCACTGCATGTGCTGAGAGGGGAGGGGACTCCACATCCACGCCACATGTAGTCAATCCTGGCACACACAGTCCTCTACAAATGCAGGCTTTGATCACCAGGTTGGAAGTCAGAAAAGGGACGGGTGTGAACCTGGGGCTGGAGACCTCTGTGATCCACAGGCTCAGGGCCAAGTGGGAAGGTGTCCTCCTCCTTCTAGGAGCTGGCGAGAGCTACCTGCAGAGCTGCTGTGCCCTGGCCAAGCTTAGCTGCCCCTGAGCAGGCCCAGGAATGTGAACAGACAGACGCATGGCTTTCCCGGCCTTCTGCCTCTGGGTGGGGCCTCCTGTACCCACACCCAGCGTGGGAACTGATGCCGGGTTGGCACCCATGAAAAATAGGCCACAGACCAGGAAGGGCCACACAGCTGGCCCTGCAGCGCAGCTCAGCCTCGGGGCCCCGGGGAGGACTCAGCTTGGAGCCGTAGTAGAGCCAGCTCACAGCACTGGGTGCAGAGCCCAGGTACAGGGCCGCGGAGCACTGGCTCTAGGACTGGCCCAGAGCTCCTCCCCCAGCCCCATTTCCCGAGGTTCAGCAGGTTGTTGCCTCTGTGGCTACCATGTCCTGGCAAGGGAGGACCACTACGGCCACCCACCACACCTCATAGGACCCCCCAGGGTCACACTGCATGTCCTGGGCCTGGACAGAGGGAGTGGTGTCTGAGATGCAGCCACAGGGACCCCACCCCTAACCCAGCCCGGCTCCCTCTCCCTGCCCACTCCTCTGAGGCAGCGTGGTTTCCGAAACCAGTACTTGTCTGCAGGGAGCCCTGAAACTCTGGAGGTCAGGAGAGGGTATGGCACGAGCTTCCTGCCTGGCGGGGGCATGTTGGCAAAGGGGTCTGCACGGCCATGCCAGCTGCTGGACCCAGGAGTGCAGGGCAGGCGTCCTCTCCCGCAGATGCTCCTAGGGCCTGCACATAGCGGAGCCCACCCATCCAGGCTGCCTGACGGGGGTGCAGTGGGGGTTCCTGTCTGCCCTGAAGCCCAGGTTCCTGGTCCTGTTCCCTCATCCCAGCACCAGACACATCTGAAAGGGGCTGGGATCTACCCTGTGAAGACCCTTAGTCCCACAGGGGCTGGGGGGGGGGTGGGCATGGGGGTGGTCTTCTGCTCCTTTGACGGAGAGGTGGCCTAGTGTGTGCTTGGGAGACACCTCCTTGCTGCATGGCCTTGGCAAGCTGGGAGGAGGCCGGCGCGTGCACAGAGGGATTGCTGTGGACCAGGCGGCCATACCCAGCGGCAACTTCCTGCGGGACACCCAGGGAGAAAGGCCGGTGTAGGTGACCGGCTGGCTCGCTGCTCATCTGAGGCCCCTTACTCTCAAGTGACACTACCTGCCGGCACGACCCCAAGCCCCACTGCAGCGACAGAGACACGTGCGCTGGTCCCCTGCGGGAGGAGGTCCCGGGAGGCCCCGCCCGCGGCCCGCCCCGCCCAGCTCTCTCCCGACTGACTCAGTCCTGCGTCGCGGTTTCGCTCTCCGCTCAGACTTTCGGCCGGATGAGCTCCCCAGGGCGGGGCAGTCAGCGTCGGCTCCTCACCTACCGGGGTCTGAACGCCCCGGGGGCGAGGGGAAGACCCTGAGCTGCACGGACACACGGCACACACGCGCGGGCAGAGCCACGCTCCCAGACCACAGCCACCGTGCACGCCGCGCTCACCGTGCCCGGGATGTAGTGGAAGAGCTTGTTGGCGGCGGCGTCCCCGCTTCGAGCAGCCTCGGGGCCCGGCAGGCCGGCCGACATCCGCGCGCTGTCCTCTCTGGGGACAAGGCAAGGGGTCTCGTGGCTTGGCCCCGGAGCGGGTGGGGGAGCCCTGCGCCCAGGTGGCCGCACCCACGCCCCGCTCACCTGTTTCCCTTCAGCGAGGGCTTTCTGGAGAAGGAGGCCCGGAGCCTCCTGGGGGCCTGAGGGACACAGTGGCTGTTCCCCATGGCCAGAGTCGTACAGGTCGGCAAGTCTGGGTCCCTGTCCACAGCCTCCTGCCCCCGCCTCCCGCGGGCAGGCGGGGCTCCGGGACGTCCCGCCCGGCACCAGGGCCTGGGCGAGGGTGGAGCCTTTCTGGAAGAGGCCTGGCCCCTACCTGAGCCGTGCAGGTCTCTGCCCTGGGCCCTCCACTCGAGAGGCCAGCCTTGGGGCAAGCACCCCTCTGGCCCAGACGAGGCCTCCAGTGTGCAGAGGTACCCCACCTGCTTGTGCTCCGGCTTGGTGAACCCGGGGCGACCTTCCAGGCCCCCCGGGACAACGTGCCCACACATCCTGTTTCCATCTAAACTCTGGCCGGCCCGAGTCACCGGTGACTGCAGGGAGGGCTGAGGCAGGAGTTCCAGCACAGGAGACGGCGGCCAAAGCCACCGCAGCCTCCCCTCCTGCCTGGGCCCCCTCGCCACAGACCCGAGTCAGGGTCCCCAAGGCTTAAGGGGACTCAGGGAGGCCACATGCCCCCTAGACGGCCAAGACAGTCAGCGCACTCGGGGGCAAGGCTGTCCTCCCCAGCCCTAACCCCAGAGCCCACGATGTGGCGGGGACCTCGGCCTCAGTACCCAGCCCAGGCAAACGCCACCCACACTGGGACGCTGGTCCACAGGAACTGCACGGCCCCCACCCTCCCTGGACGCACAGCTCTGCCTTGCAGCTCCCAGATGCCTGCGCATCTCAGGGCACCCCCCCACACCCCTCACCCTGGACCCCAGACAGGACCCAAAGTTGCGCAGCTGCCCCACATGCCAGAGAGAGATGCTCAGCCTGAGGAACCCCAGAAATGTGTTTATTAAGTTGGACTCGTATTGCTGTGTGGGGTCCCAGTGCACGCGTGTGCACCCACTACAAGATCCAGGAAAGATGGCACACGGCAGACGACGACAGGAAGGACAACTGCTCCCCACCCTTCCCGGGACCCCGCCATGTGCAAAATTCGAGCTGGGGTCTGCAGCTGCTTGGAGAGACCCAGGGCCTCTTGCTCCACAGCCTGCAAGGTCTGAGCAGGCAACGGCCCTGGGGCGGTGAGGCCCCCGCCTGGTCACTCCCCGCGCCCCCCATGCAGGCAGTGGAGGGGAGGACACGCAGGAGGACCAGACGCTAAAGGTGTAAACGGGCAGCCGTGGCACTCCTCACCCCTCAATAAATAAGATAAATAACTAAATAAATAAACAACTAAATAAAGACATGAAGGAATGGATGCAGAGACGTGAACGGATGGCGCAGGACGTCCCTGGTGGGGGCCACGGTCCCCTTAAGGCATGTGGGAGGCTGCAGGCCTCTGGTGGTAGGTGGGTCAGAGGCTGGTGGAGGACACGGACAGCGTCGGGGAGGATGGCGGCGGGAAATTGAGCAGCTCCAGCACCGCCACACCCACACTGCTGCGCCGGGTGAACATGCAGGATGCGGCCACCCACTTGTTGGTCCTCGGGTTGTACTTCTCGATGGAGTTGAGGCTGGAGCTACCGTCGTTACCCCCCACGGCGTACAACCATCCGTCCATGGCCACCAGGTCATGCGTGCTCCTGGGGGGAAGGCGGGGTGAGCCCCTGGCTGCAGGAAGGGATGCGGGGGGAGGGGCTGCACCACAAAAAGGGGTGGTGGCGGGACATGCTCGCTGAGGTTGGGAGAACTCCCTTCTCACAGCACATCCCCACTGCGGACCCGCGCCCCCCTCCCGGCAGCACATCCCCACTGCGGACCCGCGCCCCCCTCCCGGCAGCACATCCCCACTGCGGACCCGCGCCCCCCTCCCGGCAGCACATCCCCACTGCGGACCCGCGCCCCCCTCCCGGCAGCACATCCCCACTGCGGACCCGCGCCCCCCTCCCGGCAGCACATCCCCACTGCGGACCCGCGCCCCCCTCCCCGCAGCACATCCCCACTGCGGACGCGCGGACCCCTCCCACAGCCCCACTGCGGACCCGCGCCCCCCTCCCCGCAGCCCCACTGCGGACCTGCGGATATTCATGGGCGCCACGCTTTCCCAGGCTCCAGCCTTTGGACTGTATCTCTCTACCGAGTTGAGGCAGCTGGTGCCGTCGTTGCCCCCTGCCACGTACAGGGCACCCTCCAGCACGGCCACGCCCGCTGAGCTGCGTCGGCTCAGCATGGACGCCACGGGCGACCACACGTTCACCTGGGGGCGAGGGCGTGGGCTGGACGCAGACCCGCCACTGGCATCCCTCCTCTGCCGCAGCCCCGACTCCAGGGTGGGGTGTCAGGAATGGGGGGGATGTGGGTAAACAGAGGGAGGAGGGCCCCGCGGCGCACGGGAGGGGGTGGCCAGGAGGGGTGCACTATGCACCTGGGGCTCATACTTCTCCACAGTGGCCAGGTGTGAGGAGCTGTCGTAGCCGCCCACAGCATACAGGTTCCCATCTGCCGGAAGTCAACACACCCGTGGCACTCCTGCTGGGAGTGGGGTCTCCACGGTGGGGGAAGGTGGGGATGCCCCCCAGGCAGGCCCCATCACCCACCAAGCGTGGCCACTCGCACATAGCGCCTCCGGGTGCTCATGGCAGCGACGGACGTCCACGTTCCGGTCAGGGGGTCGTAGCGTTCAGCACTGTGGGCACCAGGACCGCAGCCACAGCTCAGCAGAGACAGAAAGGCGTCCCGGCCCCAGGACCTGCCCTCCCCAGCGGAATGGCTGAAATCTTACCCTAGGAGTCAAACTCAGACCGCAAAGTCCTACCAGGCAGGGCCCGCTGGTGGGCACAGGACCCTGGCTGCCTGAACAACCCTGGGTGCACACCCACCTGGGCCCAGCCTCTGGACTGGGGGTAAGGACCCGAGAGAGGAAAGGGCACTGGGGCAGCAAAGCCAAGAGTTCAGGCCCAGTGTGGCAGTGGCCTGGGGTGAAACGGCCTCGCGGATCACCTCCTTTAACACCCCATCAGATACGACCCCTGTGATGGTGACACAAACTTGCCTCTTGCAGATGGACTGTACAAAGCCACTGGGGCCCCAACCCCAACTACCTGTTCAGGCAGGAGGCCCCGTCATAGCCGCCGGCCGAGTACAGGAGTCCATGCAAGGCGGCCACACCCAGGCAGCTTCGCCTTGTGCCCATGGACACCTCCGGCTGCCACGTGTTAGTCACGGGGTCGTAGGACTCCACGGTAGCCAGGTCTGAGGTCCCATCATAGCTAGCGGAATTAAGCCACTGCAGGTCAAGACTGGCCTGGCGGGCACGTGCCAGACCCGACCCAAGTCCAGCCTCCAGGCTTACCCGCCCACAGCATAGAGCCGGTTCCCCACCGCAGCCACTCCCACCCGGGCCCGGCGCGTGGACATGGAGGCCACCACGTGCCAGCGGTCGGTGCGCGTGTCGTAGGCCTCACAGTCTCCGTGGATGGCAAACAGGCTCCCGCCGCCTGGGGAGGGCAGGTGGAGACGGGACTCGTGAGTGGATCCCACTGCTGGGCCACACCCCAGGCTCCTGGAGAGGCCCCTGAATGGAGGGGCGGAGGGGCAGGTCAGGACCTGACCGGCACAGGTGGGGTGGGCTTGTGCTGGTGGGGAGTAGAAGGCACAGGGCAAGAGGGAAACGGGCGGGGGGCCATACCCACAGCAAAAAGCACAGGCCCGGCCCCCTCGCAGCGCCGGGGACGTGTGCGGCTGGTGCCTAGGACGCCCCTCTGCTCAGGCAGCAGGTGGAACTTCAGGGCCTCGATGAGGAGGTCCTTGCAGTCAGGGTGGTGCCTCACCAGGCTCTCGGCATCCACGTGGCCCAGCAGGAAGTCGCGGCTCAGCAAGGGCAGCCGCACACACTTCATGAGCTGGGGTGCAGGGAACGCCAAGGTCAGGCGGGACCCTCGGGCACACTGGGCGTCAGGGCTGAGACAACCCCCCAGATGCCCGTACCACCTGTGTGATGGATTCTTCTTCAGACAGGTGGGGGCACCACCCCCACGGAGTCCCTGAACTCGGGGAAGGTCAGGGTGCACCAGGCCCTCAGCCACCTGCATGCCCTCCTGGATGCTGTGGGAGCCCCCCGCGGCCGCGCCTCACCCGTGGGACATGCTGCCTGCGGGCGTCCACGTCGTGTTTCACCCAGCTCAGGACGGCTCGGTAGACCTCCTCCTCTGAAGGCACGTTCAGGCTGTCGCTAGAGACCAGTTCCAGAACCTGGGAGTGGGGGTCCTCAGACCTGAGATCTGGGGAGGGTCCTGTGGACCCAGGGAGCCCTGAAGATGCCTAGGAGGGAGGGTTAGCAGGTGGGGGCTGAGTGTTCATACTGGGAGGGGCCGAGCAGAGTCAGGAGCCACAGACGAGGCTCCTGGGGGGCCCAGATCCAGAAAGGTCTCGGGGACACACAGCAGGCACTAAGGATTGTGGGCAGGGCTGTGTCAGGAACAAAACGGGGTCGGGAGTCAAAGACAAAGACTGGGGTGGGGTGGGGTGGGGGGCGAGGGCTGGGCCCGCCAGCTGTTACCTGTTTCAGGGGCAGCAGCATAAACTCCTCGGTCTTGGCCACGTCCACGAAGTGCTGCAGCACGTACCTGTGGGCGGCCTTGAGCAGGTCGCTGCAGGAGTGCGCATCGGCAAAGCCCCGGATACCCAGGCAGTTGGAGGGGTCGAGCTGACTCAGTAGAAACTTGCAGCAAGCGTCTCGGACGCCATTCAGCTGCAGGAGACTGGCGGCTGGGAGCAGAGTCTACGGGGCACCGAGAGGCAGGTGAGGGAGGCACAGGGTCGGGGGACACCGGGATCCGGGTGAGGGAGCCCTCACCTGCACATTGCCCTCGCCCACCACAATCTCAGCCGTGTAGGCAAACTGCACCAGCTGGTCCAAGGCCTGAGGGTCGATGTCGTGCAGCGTCACGTGGGTCTGGCGGCTCTCGCTCATCTCATCTGCGGGGACAGCGGGTTACACGAGCTGACCCGAGGGACCCACGGAGCCCCCAGCGCCGCCCAGGCGGGTACTTGCTTGTGAACATGGCGTGGAAGTAGGGGCTGCAGGAGGCCAGCACCACTTTGTGCGCACGGATCTCCTTGGCAGCCACGTGCAGGACGATGTCGCACAGGAGGCCGCGCTGGCGCATGCGGCTCATGGCCACGAAGGCATCGTGGTAGTGCCGCTTGGAGTTGTGGGCCACGCTGTGGCCCTCGCGGCTCAGCAGCTGCACGGCTCCCTCCATGGGGGCTGCGGGCCGAGCCTGCCGGGGCCGCGTGCGCTCTGCCTCGGGGCTGCAGGAGGCGGGCGGGTCAGGCTTCGCCCCGCTGGAGCCGCCCGCCCGCCCTGGAGCCGCTGGGGGGCCCGGGCAGCCCGCGGGGACCCAGCCCCTGGTGCGACGGGGGCGCCGGCAGCCCTCGCCTGACCTCCGCCAAGGACCCCCGCCCCGGAGCGCGCCGTGTCCAGGCCTCCGCTGCGCCCCTGCTCCCCTGGGGCGTAGTCAGAGCCGCGAACAGAGCCCCGCGTCCGGCCCCGCTTCCCGGCGCCCCCACGAGCTCAGCTCCTCCGCGTCCCTAGCCGCCCTCTCGGGACCGCAGCGGGAGTCGCGTCCTGGGCGCGCGGGGCGCGGGTGGGGAACCTACTCCGGGCCGACCCCGCTCCGCACCTGAGTCCCGACCTCCCCCGGCCCTCGGAAGCGGCCCCCGCCCCTTCTGCGAGCGGACGCGAGGGCGGGGGCCGCGCAGGTCCCGAGGCCGCCCCCCGCGCCCCGACCCCCGCCCACTCACGCCGGCGGCTGCGGCGGTGGAGGCGGCGGCGCCTCGGGCCCGGGCCCCGGGCTGCCGTGCTCCGGGCTCTGCGTCCTGCCGGCCGGGCGCTCGCTGCGGGGCTGCATTCGGCTGCCGGACCCACCGCCGATTCGCGGAGGACCCGCGGGCTTAACGGACGCGGAGACTGCCGGAGGGCTGCTCGGCGGTGGCGGCCCGCTCTGTGTCGCTCACTCCCGCCGCTCCCGCCCGCAGCCGCTGTTTCTCGGCGCCGCCCGCCCCGCCTCCCGAGAGGCTTCGGGGACTAGACGTTGGACGCGGATTCTTCCAGCGCTGCGCCCCGGGTCCGCCTCCTCCTCCGAGAAGCACCCCCAGACCCCGCCATCCTCCTCCTCCGGGAAGCCCCCCACCAGGCCTCGCCCTCCTCCTCCTCCGAGAAGCCCCCCTAGGCCTCGCCATCTTCCTTCTCCGAGAAGCCCCCCAGGCCCCGCCATCCTCCTCCTCTGGGAAGCCCCCGGCCTAGCCCTCCTCCTCCTCCTCCTCCGGGAAGCCCCCCTAGGTCTCGCCTTCCTTCTTCCCCGGGAAGCCCCCCACAGGCCTCGCCCTCCTGTTTCTCCGAAGAGCCCTCCTAAGCCTCGCCCTCCTCCTCCTCCAAGGAGCCCCCCTAAGCCTCGCCCTCTTCCTCCTCCGAGGAGCCCCCCAGGCCTCGCCCTCCTCCTCCCCCGGAAGCCATCCCCGCTCCCCCGACCCCCTAACTTGCTCTCCTCCGGGGAGCCCCGGGGCCCCGCGGCACCAAGAAGTCGAATGGGACCCCGAGGCCAATCCGCCCGTGTTCGCCTCACGCGCCCCCTCAGCGCCAGGGCTGGGGGAGCCGTGCCTGCGCCCCGCGGCGCCCTTGTCGCGGGGTCTGGCTGTCCAGGCCCGGGGGCCCGGGTGTCAGGCTGGTAGCGGGAAGGAAGGCGCCGGCCTCCCCACCGTCTTCGTCCCGTGCGGCGTCCCCGGGAAGAGCCGCGGTCGGCACCCAGAGGGCCATGGACGGGGAGCGCCCTGCGTGGTGTTCGTGGCGCTGGCCCGGTCTCCGCGGATCGGAGGCGAAGCCAGCCTGGCCCTCGGGTCGCCCGTCTTTTGTCGAGCTGGCGACATCAGTGCGGTTCCCACTGCCCCTCGCGTTTTCCACTGGACTCCCTGCTTTTTATTGTTGATTTGTGGGAGCTCTTTGCATAGGAGCCCCGCCGTTGCAGTCTGGCGTCCTCGCAGGCGCGTGCCTTCGGAGCGCCGGGTGGGCTGCGGGCGCGGCGGGACTCCCGGTCTTCCCCGGGGCGGACACCGGCGTCACCGCGTCCTACGGAGCCGGGCGCCGAGCGGGAGGCGCATCTGGGCCCCACCGGGGCTGCCCGCACCGAGCACGCGAACGCGCCCTCCCGCCCTGAGGCCGCCGGCGTTGCGGTCGGAGAACCATAGAGCCACTCGGCTGGGCGTGGCGCGGCGGGGCGGGGAAAGGGGCGGGGCCTGGGCGGCGGAAGTGCGCAGCCGCGCGGCATTCTGGGGCCGGAAGTGGGGTGCACGCTTCGGGTTGGTGTCATGGCAGCTGCGGGGAGCCGCAAGAGGTAAGCCGCGGGTCCGAGGGCCGATTTGGCCTCCCGGTGGGTGTCTGTATCCAAGGGGGCTTTTCTTGCTCCTCTCAGCGGGGCTGGGGCGAGCTGGGCGTGCGGGCAGCTGTGACTCCTGCGTGACCCGCAGGCGCCTGGCGGAGCTGACGGTGGACGAGTTCCTAGCTTCGGGCTTTGACTCCGAGTCCGAATCCGAGTCCGAAAATTCTCCACAAGCGGAGACACGGGAAGCACGCGAGGCTGCCCGGAGTCCGGATAAGCCGGGCGGGA
Source organism: Homo sapiens (assembly GCF_000001405.40). Taxonomy (NCBI): domain Eukaryota; kingdom Metazoa; phylum Chordata; class Mammalia; order Primates; family Hominidae; genus Homo; species Homo sapiens. Next base: position 958,941 of record NC_000001.11, on the reverse strand, counting down.
GCCCCTCGGCCAGGTTAGTGGGGACATGCGTGAGCAGAACCTCTTGCTCGTCCTGTCCCACCCCGGTTGGGTTGCTGACCTCGCCTGGGGTCTCAGGGCCAAGGCCTAAGGATCGCCGACCTCTGCCCCCCAGTCCTTTCAGCTTAACTTACTCTTTCATCCGATGTTTACTGAGCTCCTGTTCCGTGCCAAACTCTGTCCTAGGCAGGGAGCGTATGTTGGTGAGTTGTGCAAAAATCTCTTCCCGATCTAGGAGAACTCTCACGTTCTTGGGTGAAATCACCGCCTGCAGTTCGGTAGAAGAGAGATAAGTGCTGGGGAGGGAAAGGAAGGACAGAGGGGCTGAAGAGAGAGTTGCAGGGGAGCCGAGTTGCTCTGTTAGAAGGAGCGGAGGCTGTGCTCGGTGGCTCACGCCTGTAATGCCAGCACTTTGGGAGGCCGAGGCGGGCAGATTACCTGAGGTCAGGAATTCGAGACCAGCCTGACCAACACGGAAAAATCATGTCTCTACTAAAAATATAAAAATTAGCCGGGCGTGGTGGGCACCTGTAATCCCAACTACTCGGGAGGCTGAGGCAGGAGAATCGCTTGAACTTGGGAGGCGGAGGTTGCAGTGAGCCGAGATGGCACCATTGCATTCCAGCCTGGGTGAGAGAGTGAGACTCCATCTCAAAAAGAAAAAGAAAGAAATCAAAAGATACAAAAATTAGCCTGGCGTGGTGACACACACCTGTCGTCCCAGCTACTCGGGAGGCTGAGGCAGGAGAATCGCTTGAACCCGGGAGGCGGAGGTTGCGGTGAGTGGAGATTGCGCCACTGCACTCCAGCCTGGGCGACAGAGTGAGATTCCGCCTCAGGAGAAAAAAAAAAAAAAAAAAAAGCGGAGGTGGTTGTTTGAGAAGATGACGTCTGAATAAAGACCTCGAACAAGGAGGCCACACAGACAGTAGGGGAAACGTGTCTTAGGATTTCAGGCAGCAGAAAACAGCAAAAGCCTTGCAGTGGGAGCATTTGGGGAGAGTACAGAGGTAAACGTGGCTACGGCAGGAGTGAGGGGGTGAATAGGGGTAGATGAGCCCAGAAGGGTGATGAAGAGCCAGGTGCCGTAGACCGTCATAAGATTGCCTCGTAAAACAGGGAGTTACTTCTGGGTTTGAGCGGTGGAGTGCCTTGTAGGTGACAAGGGTGGAAACAGAGAGACCTTTAGGTTAACTGAGAATTGAACTATGTGGTGGTTTGAGAGGAGGCACGAACGGTTTTGAAGGTGTTGCTGATGAGATCTGATGACAAGTTGCGTGCTGGGTATTAGAGACAGAGATTTGCCTTTAGTCTGAGCCTCTGGAAGGGTGAAGCCACCATCAGGCAAAAGTAGCGCAGGGCACAGGCACAGCAAGTCCAGGGAAGACCGCGGCTGGGGGCCTGTGTAGCGCAGGGCGCAGGCACAGCAAGTCCAGGGAAGACCGCGGCTGGGGGGCCTGTGTAGTGTGTTTGAGGGTATGTTGTAGAGGTTGTTGGGTAGGAGACGTGAGTCTGCCAAAAACGTACCTCCTGGCAATCCTGTCTTGCTAGTTGGTAACCCTTGTGAAGGGAGTAGACTGACCCTGTAGGCCACTCCCCGCCCCCTCTACTTCCACTTCCCACTGGGGTCGCTGACTTCTGCCTCCTCAGCCGGCGTAAAGGCCGTGCCTCTGAGCACAAAGACCAGCTCTCTCGGCTGAAGGACAGAGACCCCGAGTTCTACAAGTTCCTGCAGGAGAATGACCAGAGCCTGCTAAACTTCAGCGACTCGGACAGCTCTGAGGAGGAAGAGGGGCCGTTCCACTCCCTGCCAGATGTGCTGGAGGTGAGGGCGTGGGCCAAACCAGAAGGGGGGCACTTGTCTCTACACTCTCCTTCAGCTCAGCCTTTCTGTGCAGGAAGCCAGTGAGGAGGAGGATGGAGCGGAGGAAGGAGAAGATGGGGACAGAGTCCCCAGAGGGCTGAAGGGGAAGAAGAATTCTGTTCCTGTGACCGTCGCCATGGTTGAGAGATGGAAGCAGGCAGCAAAGGTGAGCAGCAGCCAGGGGCGGGCAGCTGGGTGCCCAGGCAGAAATCTGGCCTTGCCTCACCTGAGGTGAGCAGCAGCGAGGGGCGGGCAGCTGGGTGCCCAGGCAGAGATCTGGCCTTGCCTCACCTGAGGCGCCTGAGGCTGTGCTGGTGGGAGGGGCTGTTCTCCACGCAGGGGACGCTTGGAGCCTTCTTCAGCGCAAGTGACAACACGTTGCTCCTCCTGCTTGCTTGGTTGCCCCAGGACTGTGTGTTCACTTTTGGGTAGATTCCAGGGGCTCTGTTGGCGCCCCACTCCCCAAAGTCAGTCCCGCTGTGGGTGGGACGGACTGTGCCTTTGTTGGTTGGTGGAGCTGGGGTCCTTCTGAGCCTCTCACAGTGTTTTTTTCCAGGGACAAGGATACGGAGAGCTCCAGATACCACCTGGAGGTGGCCATAGTCCAGGATCTGGAACTCCCAGTCCTTTTCCTGGGGCTCCTGAGCCAGACTCCCTCCTCTTCCCAGAGAATTCTAGACTTTGTTTCCATTTTTGTTATCAGTATGGGGCTCTGTGCCTCCCCCCAACCTCTGCCCTATGTCTGAGGGTGAGGGTGAGGGTGCCTTTCTCTGGGGCTGCCGTTTCCACTCTGCCAAGTGCAGTCTCAGCTCCCCTGACGCCCCTGGTACTCTTGCTCCTTCAGCAACGCCTCACTCCAAAGCTGTTCCATGAAGTGGTACAGGCGTTCCGAGCAGCTGTGGCCACCACCCGAGGGGACCAGGAAAGTGCTGAGGCCAACAAATTCCAGGTCACGGACAGTGCTGGTGAGCTTGGGGGGAGCCTGGCATCCAGGCTGTCTGTTGCGTTCTCTGTCCCGTGAGTACATCCAGGCCTTTTCGTTGCAGCATTCAATGCTCTGGTTACCTTCTGCATCAGAGACCTCATTGGCTGTCTCCAGAAGCTGCTGTTTGGAAAGGTGGCAAAGGATAGCAGCAGGTAAGAGGGGAGGGGGTGAAGGGGGGTAGGGTGGAAGGTGGGTCGGGACCACACACAGGAGAAGCCAGAGGCCTTGTGGCTAGGACAGAGACATGGCAACAGAGCCAGCGTCTTCTTGGGGACCCTGAGAAGGCAGCGGGGCACGAGGGACCGTTGGGAGAGGCTGGGCACTTGGGGCCAGTTGGAGCGGCCCCACCTTCTTTCCTTCCTGAAAAGGGAAGTTGTCTGCTCAGAGTCTCAGAAGGTGTGGCGTGTGCAGCTGCCTTTGCTCTCAGATTTTCCCAGGTTAGGGTTCTTGCTCTATTTCCCTTTGTAAGAACTTGTAAGTCCTGTCCATACTCCTTGATCTCTGCACTATGACTGGCCTGTTTCCTGGAGCTGTGTGTGTCTGTAGACAGGGGCCTCATCAATGCTGAGAACCTGAGGGCCTCAACTTCCCCTTTAGAGAAAGATTGGGCAGAGAAGGCCGTGGAAGGTTTTCAGAGAAGAGAGACGCACGGCCAAGCATTTGGTAGAGCATGGAGCACGTTGGGGTTCCGGGGCTGTGCAGCCATGTGACCTTGAGGCAGTGGAGGCCTAGAGTTGGAACTGCCCCAGGACACCTTCAAAGGAAGAAAGGAGACCCACAGGAGAGGTCTCGCCGACAGCGGCTCAGGAGACAGGGGCACTGTTGCTGGTGGTAGTGGTCGGGGCTGGACGGATAGAACAGAGCCATGTCCACATGGAGGCAGTGCTGTCCGAAGGGGACAAGGAAGCTGGCAGATGGGGGTGGAGGGACAGGCAGCGATTGGGAGGCAGCACGCACTGCAGCCTGAGCCACCAGGTCAGGGACCCCTGTCGAGGCAGCAGCTGTACCGGAGGGAGTCAGGCCGTGGGGAGCAGAGCTGCCTCCTGGGTCTGGGTGGGCAGCTGCAGGTGCCCAGCAGCCAGTGTCAGCACAGGTGTGAGGAGGGTCGAGGACGGGGGGCCTTTCTGGGGCCCTGCCCTTTGTCCTTCCCATGCTTCAGCAGATTTTAGTGAGCGCCTACTGCGTGGGCTCTGGTAAATGTTTTGTTTTGTTTTGTTTTGTTTGTTTGGTTTTTGGTTTTTTTTTTTCCTTACGAGATAGGATCTTGCTCTGTCGCCCAGGCTGGAATGCAGTGATCATAGCTCACTGCGACACGTACCTTCTGGATTCAAGTGATTCTCTCACCTTAGCCTCCCAAGTAACTGGGACTCCGCCACCAGGCCTGGATAATATTTTGTATATTTTTGTAGAGACGGGGTCTCACTGTGTTGTTCAGGCTGGTCTCAAACTCCTGGGCTTGGAGTTTGATCCTCCTGCCTTGGCCTCCCAAAGTGCAGTGAGTACTGGCATGAGTCTCCACACCTGCCCTCTGATTTTCTTTTCTTTGTGCAGCAAATGTGGGCCAAAGGAAACCAGTCTGCGGCAGTTGGTGGTGCCTGGGCGACCCCAGAGGTGCTGAGTACCAGCTGCTGGGCTTAGGGACCTCGTGTGGTCTCACGGTGGGGATGTGATCAAGGGGACCTAGAAAAGGTTTATGTCTGAGAGGGAGTTGGAGGCTGGGACTTCCGGGGACTCTTAGGGCGGTGGCCAACCCTGGGCAGGGCAGACAGGAGTTCAAGGCCACTGAAGGAGGAGCTAATGCACTTGAGAGGGTCCTCCTAAGCCCCTGTGTCTGTCCAGCTGTAAGGGGCCCTGAGCTTTTTTGAGTGGAGAGACGGGGGGTCTCTGCAGAGTCGTAGAGGCTATGCTGGCCAGGGCACGCGCCAACATGCTGAGCAGCCTCGCGTCCGAGCCGTGGGGCCTCCCAGCCAGGGGTGGGTGGTCTCTCTGCAGGATGCTGCAGCCGTCCAGCAGCCCGCTCTGGGGGAAGCTTCGTGTGGACATCAAGGCTTACCTGGGCTCGGCCATACAGGTGCTATTCTGGTGGGGAGGGCACGGGGGCCTGGCTGTATCTGGTGGTCGGTCCTTTTTTGTATCCCAGAATACATGGGTTTGGGGCTTCACTGTCCCCTCCTGCCCCCAGCTGGTGTCCTGTCTGTCGGAGACGACGGTGTTGGCGGCCGTGCTGCGGCACATCAGCGTGCTGGTGCCCTGCTTCCTGACCTTCCCCAAGCAGTGCCGCATGCTGCTCAAGGTTCGTGGCCCAGTCCCCTCCCTGTGTCTGTCATGGGGTCGGGGGGCCACACGGCTACCCCCACCACATCCCACTCCTGGCCAGGGCACAGGTGGTGCCCACACTCCACTGGCTCCGCTTGGCTAGAGAGGCCACAGAAGCACCTGGCCCCCACCCCCACCTGGGGTTTCTGTCTCAGGCAGTCCCTGCCTGCCCGGGCAGCGCGGCTCAGTCCGTGAGCAAAGCCACGGTGAGGTATCTTCTTCCCGGTGTGATCTCACATACGTCGGCGTGTCTGACGTGGTAAACTTTTGTGGTCCTCTTCTCACAAGGAGCAACACACCTGTTCTGTTCACTTCTGTAACTGAGCACCTAACTCACGGCTCCCCCGAGGTGCTTTGGGAAGAGCTGGTGGCCATGGGAGCCTTTGCCTGGCTGGGGAGGGCTGTGCTGGCCCTGGGGCATCCCTGCTGAGGAGGCTGGGGGGCCACCAGTGACGTCTGACCTTCTGCAGAGAATGGTGATCGTATGGAGCACTGGGGAAGAGTCTCTGCGGGTGCTGGCTTTCCTGGTCCTCAGCAGAGTCTGCCGGCACAAGAAGGACACTTTCCTTGGCCCCGTCCTCAAGGTAGTGGTGGGCCCTGCGTCTGTGTCCCTCAGCATCTGCATTGGAAATCTCGGCCTAAGGGCAGGGCGGGCTGCCTTTGTGGTTGGTGCCCCTCACTGGACCCTCACTGCAGCTCTGAGCAGACCTGGGCCCTTGGATCACGAATGTCTCACAGAGCACCTGGGGGTGGTGGGCAGGGAAGAGAGCCCTCGGCCTTCTCAGGGCCCCACCTGGACCCTGCTTCACACAGCTTCCCCAGGGGAGGGCCTCTCTGGCTGGAGGAGGACACTGGGTGTTGGGACCTGAGGCCATGGCCAGGGTACAGTCCTACTGCCCGTCCCCAAGCCATGGGTGGCCTGCATGTGGGGACCCTCAGCCCCCAGAGGGGCCCAGTGTGCAGCAGGAGCTTCTGCCCCAGCTTCTCCCAGGCCTGAGGCTGGTGGGCACTTGGGGGTGGGGGCTGTGCAAGGGGCTACGGCTCTTCCTCGAGGCCCAGCTCTGAGGGAAAGGCCCAGGTGTTCACAGGGGCCCTGGAGTGGGCGGTGGAGGTGCATGGCCCTGATCCCAGGTGGCTCTGACCCGGGTCTCTCCGCAGCAAATGTACATCACGTATGTGAGGAACTGCAAGTTCACCTCGCCTGGTGCCCTCCCCTTCATCAGTTTCATGCAGTGGACCTTGACGGAGCTGCTGGCCCTGGAGCCGGGTGTGGCCTACCAGCACGCCTTCCTCTACATCCGCCAGCTCGCCATACACCTGCGCAACGCCATGACCACTCGCAAGAAGGTGTGTGGTGGGGCCCTTCCAGGCTCATGCTGGGCATGGGGTGGGGCAGCCCAGGTGCCCGACCCAAGGCAGGGCCTGGGGCCTCCCCGAAGCCCCTGTCTGGAGACAGCCCAGCACCCTGGTGCAGTCGGTCCTTGCAGGTGGGGGAAGGGTGGATGGGTTGAGACCCCGTGTGCAAGATGAGGAAATGATTCCTGTGCCGGCCCAGGAGGAACGTGCATCAGCCTGACTTGTCAGCCTGGCCAGTAGCTGACGTGGTTCTCTCTGACCAGGAAACATACCAGTCTGTGTACAACTGGCAGTATGTGCACTGCCTCTTCCTGTGGTGCCGGGTCCTGAGCACTGCGGGCCCCAGCGAAGCCCTCCAGCCCTTGGTCTACCCCCTTGCCCAAGTCATCATTGGCTGTATCAAGTGAGTTGTGGGGTGGGCAGGGTTGTGCGGGAGGGTCAGGAGAAGCAAATTTGCTGGGACTGTGTGGGCGGTGCCTCTGGCGTTCAGGGCCTTGGGGCCTGAGTCTGTGTCCTGGCCGTCCCTGAGGAAGGGCTGGGGTCCCTGTACCTGCTACGGGGAGATGCTCTGGATTCTGGAGAGCTAGGGCTGGTGGGCACCTGTGACATGAGCTCCTCCAACAGCGGTTTAGCCGCCTCGGGTGCCACCCAGCGTGTGTTCTGGGGGCTTGTGTGCAGTTTGCAGTGAGTTTGGTTCATTACGTGGGGTTCTTGGGTGGAGCACATCTGATGCAGTGAACTGCATTTTGGGTGTGAGCGCTTAGGAGGGTCCAGGCACGGTAGGGGCTGCAGCAGGAAAAGGTGGGAGCAGTACTGTGGCCTCTTTGGCCAGGAGGGGGCATCTGTCTGGCTGAGCCTTAGAAACTCAAGGCTGGGAAGGGAGGTGGGAAGTCCAAGGGAAGAAGTAGGAAAGGCGGGAACAGGGAGGAGAGCAGGCAGGAACAGATGACCCCTGCCACCGTGTTGAAATAAAGCTGAAAGCTGGGTAAGGTACCTGCAGCCCCATAGCTGGGCAAGGGGTGCAGGTCCCTGGGGTTCAGACGTGCCTTGTCCTGCTTTAGGGGTCTGATGTCGGTGAGTGGGGGAGGAGGTCCAAGACAGCAGGGGGAGGGGCAGGGGCTGCCAGAGCCGGGGCCTCTGCTCACTCGGCCTTCCCACCCCCAGGCTCATCCCCACTGCCCGCTTCTACCCGCTGCGAATGCACTGCATCCGTGCCCTGACGCTGCTCTCGGGGAGCTCGGGGGCCTTCATCCCGGTGCTGCCTTTCATCCTGGAGGTGAGTGAGGCTGTGGTGGGCGTGTGGCACCTCTGCCTGCTCCTGTAGGGAGCATCTGCTGCTCCGGGCGTCTGTGCTGAGTTGTCCGGCGACTTCCCGGAGCCCTGGCCGCCTCCTTGTCACGGGTGTCACGAGGACAGTGCTCCTCCGTGTGCTGGGGGCAGTGTTGGGGAACGTGGGACCACTGGGGATGAAGGCGGCTGCTGCTAGGGCTGTGCTTGAGGATGCCGGGACCTGACCCTGTAGGTGCTTGCCCAAGACTGGAGTAGGCAGGAGGCGAGATGGGCCAAAACCCAAGTCTGATTGCTGAACTGTACACTGAACAGTGCCCTGCCCTGACAGTTGTGTGCATGTGTATGCATTTGTATGGGGGATGTGTGTACATCTGGGTGGGTGCGTTTGTCTGTGCATGCATGCGTGTGTGTGCACCATCTGGGTGCATGGGTCTGTAAATCTGTGTGTGTGTGCATATCAGTTCATGTGTGCATCTGTATGTGTGTATGCACGTGTATCCATGAATGCCTGTGTGCCTGCAGGTGTGTGCATCTGTGCGTGTGTACACCTGTGTGTATGCATGTGTGTACCTTTGCGTGTACCTTTGCGTGTGTGCACCTGTGCATGTGTCTTTGTATACCAGTGTGTACCTGTGTGTACCTGTATGCATGCACATGCGTGTGTACCTGTGTGCACCTGTCTGCATGTGTGTACCTGTGCGTGTGTGCACCTGTGTGCATGCATTTGCGTCTGCATGTGTCTACCTGTGCATGCATGAACCTTTGCATGTGTGCATCTGTGTGCATGCATGTGTGTCTGCGTGCATCTATGTACCTGTGTGCACCTATGTGCATACACACGTGTCTGTGTGCACTTGTGTGCATGCATTTGCATCTGCATGTGTGTACTGTGCGTGTGTACCTGTGCGTGTACCTGTACACTTGGGTGCATGCATGCACGTCTGCTTGTGTGTGCCTGTGCGTGTGTGCACCTGTGTGCATGTACGTGCGTCTACGTGTGTGCCTGTGCATGTGTGCGCCTGTGTGTACCTGTGTGTATGCATCTTTGCACGTGCACATGCCACTCAGGTAGGGAAAGATTGGAGTCCGAAGTTTCAACTTTCAGTGGGTGGGTTAGGCCCCACCCCGCTGTAAATTTAGGAATTCACGATCTCCACCCTGTTTATCTAATGAGTTCTCAGCCTCATGAAGGCCCAGAGTCGTGTCACAGCTGTCCTTGGGGCTGGGTCCCCAGGTTGCTGGGTCCAGAAGGTATGGAAGCCCCAGGCACGTTCTGATTCCCCTTCCACTGAGGCAGGGATGCTGAACATCTTTAGGAAGCCATGTTCACTCCCATGGCAGCCAGCAGTGGTCTCTGATTGCCCAGCCCTTGGCCTGGCCCCTGTGTCTGTGGGCCTCCAGCTCTGCTGCCCAGCTCCAGGCATGCTTTGTGTCTGTTTCCCTTGTCCAATCTCCTTGGCTACGTGCTTTCTTACTCTCTTGCAGTGTCTGTTTCTTCACTTGTGCACTGCCCTGGTTCACTGCAGCCGCACCCTGTAGGCCCCTCTCACGCAGGGATGCAGGCCTCTCCTCTCCGGAAAAAGCAAACCCTAAAAGCTAAAACAAAGCCCTCAGCTGTAGGCCGTGCCTGCCCTTCCCCGGTGCCTGGACAGGAAGCCAGTCGCCTGCCCATACTTTTGGCCCAGGCTAGAGAAGGGCAGTGTCCTCCCAGAGGTTCATCAGTACCAGGGCGTTTTCCCATCTGGACCTGAGCTCAGCTGTCTGGCAGCCACCCCTGCTGAGTGGGGTGTCTTGCTGGGGCCTCCACCCTTGGGCCCCCCATAATCTGCTTCTGTCCTCTGGTGCCCCAGCATGTACCCTGGATCTCTCTGGTTCACAGCCTGAGGGCTCCTAGTGGTTGGGGAGGGGTCACAAGACTGAGAGGCCAGGCTGACTCTTTCTCTGCTCCTCCTGGCATGTCCTACGGAGGTGCATGGCCTGTGGCTTCTGTGGAGGGTGTGGGAGGGGCCCCCCAGGCCTCCCGTGACCTCCATCTGTCCCGTCCTGTGTCTGGCACTCTTTGCTGTTGCTGCTGCGTCTTCTGGTTGCTCGGGACGGAGCCCCATGTGGCATTGCTGTGCTGAGGGCCAGGATGGGCCTCAGTGCCATGTTGTCAGGAATGGGGGCTGTCCTGGTACTCTGTGTGGCAGGGACCTCTAGGTCTCCAGACGTGGGTCCTTAGTGCTTCCCAGGATTTTGGGAGAGGGCCCGTGTTCCTGATCCTTCCCTGCTGATCAGAGCCCCACTCGGGGACACGCCAGGCTGTGTGGGGCCATGGGGCTGGGACCGTGCCTAGCTGCTTATCTCTTGTTTCGGGTTGGGTCTCCTCGTGCTGAAGCCTGAGGACCAGGGTGACCAGGGTGCAGCCAGGTGCAGGGCCAAAGGGACCAGGGGGACCAGGGTGCAGCCAGGGTGAAGCCAGGGTGACCAGGCATGGGGCCGAGAGAGCCTGACACGGCCCTTGGGGCAGATGTTCCAGCAGGTCGACTTCAACAGGAAGCCAGGGCGCATGAGCTCCAAGCCCATCAACTTCTCCGTGATCCTGAAGCTGTCCAATGTCAACCTGCAGGAGAAGGCGTACCGGGTGAGGCTGGCCTCCTGGGGAGGGGCCTGGGCAGTTCCCAGGGTGGGGTTGGGGGTGCTGAGGTGGATGGGAGGGGGCTGGCATCCTCCAAGTTCAAGCATGGACCTTCATGGTCTCCCAGGGCTGGGGCCCAGGAGCCCCTTCCTTGCAGTCCGTGCCCTGGAGATGGCGCTGCCCTGACAGCCTGAGGGGAAGGGGCCTGAGTGCCCAGCCCCAGCCTCTCCCTGATGCACTCGGCCCTCTCTCCTGCTCTTCAGGACGGCCTGGTGGAGCAGCTGTACGACCTCACCCTGGAGTACCTGCACAGCCAGGCACACTGCATCGGCTTCCCGGAGCTGGTGCTGCCTGTGGTCCTGCAGGTGTGTGTCCTGCCCACACCGGCTCGTGGCCGACTCAGACTGTCTTATAACGGGCTTGGCTGCCCCAGGCTGGTAGGAGGTGCCCTTGTCCCGGGTACCTGGGACTGGGGTGGAACCTGACTGCTGGCAACGCGCCCCGTGAGGCCCCCTTGGAGGGGCTGATGAGGGGTTCTAAGCCATTCAGGAGGTTTGGGGGCAGGCCTGGGCAGTGGGCTGAGGACCCTGGGAGCACAACAGCCTCCTCCCCAGGTGGGAACCACAAGGCTGATCTTTGCTTCGGGGTTGGGACTGAGCATGCCGACCCTGGCTCAGGCTGGTACGCTGATCGCACACTTCCCCAGGCCATCCCGGGTGTGGGGAGTGGGTGGAGTGGCTTCTCAGGTGGCAGGAAGGCCTGGCCTGCCCCGCCAAATACCCCACATCAGCCTCATAGGAAGGCCCAGCCTGCCCCGCTAAATACCCCACGTCAGCCTCATCTTAGGCAGGAGTGGGGTGGAGGAGGGGGTTCTCCTTATCCTCAGAAGGTCCTTCTGGGCCCCCACGGGAGGTCTGTTTGCTCTCAGCCGTGATGTTTCCAGCCTCAGGGAGGCCTGTGCCTAGTGGAAGGGGTGGGGGCCCTGCTGTCTGGCCCTGGTGGCTGGAATCAGATGTGCCGACTATAGGTCTGTGCAGTGTGGGGAGGAGGGATCTGCTCACATGAGCCACAATTGGTCAGAGGCTTATCCAGATAGAGGTGTGTGCATGTGTGTGTACTCACACACGGCCACACATGTCACATGCACAGAGCCGGGACCCCCTTTCTGGGGGGCACTCACAGCAGGGGCCACAGCCTCTGTTCCTCCCATGTCCTCTTGGGTGGTGATACCTGGCATTGGGGCATCTCTGCTTCTGGACTCAAGGGCCCAGGGTCGGGGTCTGGGGTAGGGGTCAGAAAATGTTTTTGGTGAGGGGCCAAATGGTAAACGTGGCTTCCTACGGATGTTCAGCTGCACAGGCAACTGCAGAACCATGCAATGCACACGTGTGGCTGCACGTCAGCGAGACTGTATTTTATTAGTAGTAGTAGTATTGTTTGAGATGGAGTCTCGCTGTGTTGCCCAGGCTGGAGTGCAATGGTGCGATCTCGGCTCACTGCAATCTCCATCTCCTGGGCTCAAGCGATTCTCCAGCCTCAGCCTCCCAAGGAGCTGGGTTTACAGGCGCCCACCACCACACCCAGCTAATTTTGGTATTTTAGTAGAGACGGGGTTTTGCCACGTTGGCCAGGCTGGTCTTGAACTCCTGACCTCAGGTGATCCACCCGCCTCAGCCTCCCAAAGTGCTGGGATTACAGGCGAGAGCCACCACGCCTGGCATAAAACTTTATTTCCAGAGGTGAGTAGTGGGCAGGGTTGGCCCAGAGGGTGGGCTGATTCTGCCTCTGCCATCCCAGCTGCAACAGCTATGCACTTGAGCCCTGAGATGGGATCCATGTCCCCTCCTGGGGTATCCCCGTGGCCACCACGCGTGGTTTTGCACAGGACCTGGGCCAGCTGTGCACATGGAGCGGTCCTGGGCTTCAGTGGCTGACCCCTCCCTTCCGCAGCTGAAGTCGTTCCTCCGGGAGTGCAAGGTGGCCAACTACTGCCGGCAGGTGCAGCAGCTGCTTGGGAAGGTTCAGGAGAACTCGGCATACATCTGCAGCCGCCGCCAGAGGGTTTCCTTCGGCGTCTCTGAGCAGCAGGCAGTGGTTAGTGGGCCCTGGGGGTAGTGCCACCTGAGGGCACCTGCCAGGGTATAGCCCCAGCTACATGTGGGGGTTTGCCCAGGGTGAGGCATGACCCTGAACTCCCCCAACCCCCCAGGAAGCCTGGGAGAAGCTGACCCGGGAAGAGGGGACACCCCTGACCTTGTACTACAGCCACTGGCGCAAGCTGCGTGACCGGGAGATCCAGCTGGAGATCAGTGGCAAAGAGCGGGTGCGGCTCGGCGAGGGGACCTGGGGGTGTGTTGTGACTTCCTGGGTTTCAGATCTAGCGCACTATGACTTGAGACCAGGGCGAGGGTTTGGAAACAGTGCCAGGCGGCCAGGGCCGTGCCCGGATGATTCGACTTGGAGAGGGGGTAGGTGTTGGAGAACTGGCCAGAACCAGGCGTTTCCAGGGAGGGGAAGCCCCAGGCTGCACTAGGTTGGGGAGGCCATGCCCCCTCAGGCCTGATGGGCTGGAGGCTCCGGGCAGGTGGAGTGGCTGGACTGACCTCGTCACCCAGGCCAGTATGTGGGCACCAGGGGCCCGTGAGGAGAAGCAGGAAGGGCTCTGCCTTTGACCTTGGACATGGGATGGACAACTTGGAGGATGGCTTTGTGATTTGGGAACAGAGGGGACTAGAAATTGGCCACATGGGGCCCTGGTGGTGGGTCTGGCGATGCCTGGCCCTGCTGTGGCCGCCAGCCCCTGCCCTCTCTCACCTGAGCCCCTGGTTCTTTGGCCTTCCAGCTGGAAGACCTGAACTTCCCTGAGATCAAACGAAGGAAGATGGCTGACAGGAAGGATGAGGACAGGAAGCAATTTAAAGACCTCTTTGACCTGAACAGCTCTGAAGAGGACGACACCGAGGGATTCTCGGAGAGAGGTGGGGCCTGCGTGGTGCTCCCAGGGGAAGGGTGGGCCTGGAGGGCTCTGCTGGACTTCCCAGAGCCACGAGGGCCACCTGTACCCATCCTGCAGGGGGCTCACCAGTCTCTGGCCCAGCTGGGGCCAACCTCAGTGTTGCCAGGCTTCTGGTGCCAGCGCCTTCCCTCCTTGAAGTGAAGGCCTACTGGGATTGGTAACTCTGTCCCCAGGCCTGTGACCTCCCAGTTCCTCCCCAGGGCTCCTCTCCACCTGCTGGAAGTCAGCGGAGGGAAGGGTGTTGGGAGCCTGGCCACCCTCCTGCCCCCACTGTGACTTTGCTGGTGGACCCTGTGGGTGGGAGTCATATGGACTCTGCTTCTTGTTCCTCAGGGATACTGAGGCCCCTGAGCACTCGGCATGGGGTGGAAGACGATGAAGAGGACGAGGAGGAGGGCGAGGAGGACAGCAGCAACTCGGAGGGTGAATGGTCTTGGGGTGAGAGGGTGTGGCCCTGTGAGCCCATCTGGCGGGAGGGCAGAGCCACGTGGGCGGGGGGCGTGGGGCTCTGGGCCAGGCTTTTCCCTCCCTGGGAAGGCCAGGCCAAATGCTCTGTTCTCTGGCAGCCAGCAACAGGGATAAATTAATTAGTGCCGTGATTAATTAGTGATGAGTAACCTCTAAGGCTGGCTTCTTCCTGATAAAGCAAAATTTATGTAGCCTCCATCTCTCCCCGCAGATGGAGACCCAGACGCAGAGGCGGGGCTGGCCCCTGGGGAGCTGCAGCAGCTGGCCCAGGGGCCGGAGGACGAGCTGGAGGATCTGCAGCTCTCAGAGGACGACTGAGGCAGCCCATCTGGGGGGCCTGTAGGGGCTGCCGGGCTGGTGGCCAGTGTTTCCACCTCCCTGGCAGTCAGGCCTAGAGGCTGGCGTCTGTGCAGTTGGGGGAGGCAGTAGACACGGGACAGGCTTTATTATTTATTTTTCAGCATGAAAGACCAAACGTATCGAGAGCTGGGCTGGGCTGGGCTGGTGTGGCTGCTGAAGCCCCACAGCTGTGGGCTGCTGAAGTCAGCTCCGCGGGGGAGCTGACCCTGACGTCAGCAGACCGAGACCAGTCCCAGTTCCAGGGGGAGGCCTGCAGGCCCCTGGCCCCTTCCACCACCTCTGCCCTCCGTCTGCAGACCTCGTCCATCTGCACCAGGCTCTGCCTTCACTCCCCCAAGTCTTTGAAAATTTGTTCCTTTCCTTTGAAGTCACATTTTCTTTTAAAATTTTTTGTTTTGCATCCGAAACCGAAAGAAATAAAGCGGTGGGAGGCAGGGCCATTGTGTTGAGTGGTGGCTCCTGGAGATTTGTGTGGCCCCACCCCTACCCCCGGCAACCTCAACACAGAGGCTGGGAAGGGTCGGGGGCCCCTGGAAGTAGAGCCAAGGTCCCATTCTCCTGCTTGGGTGAAGTTTGACCGGCAAGGGCGTGGCCCCCTCCATAGGGGGACGTGGCCGTCGTGGGGGACAAGGGCTGCTCTCCTGTGCCGAGTTCTCGCTCCGGGGCCCGCAGGGTTGGTGGCTGCAGTGGCAGAGCCACGGGGAAGCTGGCCACGTAGAAAACTCGGCCCAGGCGCCTGGCCACCTGCAGAGAGATGGCCTGGTGGGGGCTGTCGCACACCCACCCAGAGCTTTCTGCCCAGCTGTGGTCTGGAGACCCTGACCTCACTCCCCAGCGTCTCACCTGGGCCCGGATCTTGAGGGCGGGCCCCAGCTTCAGCCCCATGTTGGTCAGCAGGTGCTCCTCCGTCAGCAGTGGCAGGGTCTCCCCGTCGATCCCCTGCTCCCTGAAGACCTGGAAGGGGGAGGGAGGGAGGGTCAGGACCCGGGTGCTGCTCCATCCTCCAGCCCAGCAGAGCCAAGAGGAGCTGTTTGTGCAGCTCACGGAAATTTTTTAAAAACAGTGATCTGTTGGGTTTGAGTGTCAGGCAGAAAACACCTGGCAAAAAAAAAAAAAAAAAAAAAAGGTGGGGTGCACAGTCCAGTCCCTGCTGCGCACTGCTTTTGGGGAGGGAGAGGGCGTTGGGGAATGGCCCTACCCCACCATCCTTTCCAGGGAGGTAGTGACTGCCAGCCAGCTCCAGCCCCGCCCCAGGAACTGGGGCCCCCCCTTACCCGAGTGTACTCTCCACAGCCAGACAGGCCCCCCACGAAGCTGCAGACGTCATCCACGGTCCACTTGGTGACGTCCTCAGGGGCTGGGGCCTCCTCCCCATCCATGGAGAGTCCCCCTACCGCGCCTGAGTTGTGGGGCGTGTTACTAGGGCTCTGGCTGGCTTTCCCATACCCGCCCGTCTCCTGACCGTCGTGTGCCCCAATTGCTGAGGTGGGGGATGGGTGCCTAAGGGGAATTTTTCCTCCCCCCAAGACCCTTCCACAGGCGGCCTGCCAGTCCTGTGCCCTCTGGAAGGATCTAGAGTGTGGGGGTGCCCACCTGTGTGGAAGTAGGGGCTGACGGCATAAGGGAAGCCCAGGGGCAGTGTGGACCCTGGGAAAAGCCCCTTCCCCTCGGCGCCGGCCCCTCCAGCTGGAGCTTGGCCCGGAGTGGGCCCCCTGCACCCAACAGCTGCCGTCTCGGGGTCCTCTCCGTCCGAGTCTTTGGGGGGCTCGTCTTCCGAGCCATCTTGTGCCCAGAGCCTAGCCCCCGTCATCTCCTTGGACTCGCTGGGCCGCGCTGAGGCAGGGCCGGGACCCCCCTTCCGGGGGGCTCGCCGGGCAGAGTCCCGGGACGGGGTGGGGGGTCCGGAGCCCGGGGGCCCCTGGGGGGGCAGGGCCAGCAGTGGCGCCGCGCCGTGGTTCAGCACCAGCAGGGCCCCGCGCCGCTGCAGCTCCTCGGCGCCGTCGTTGGGGCGCAGGGCGGTCTCGGGCGCCAGCAGCTGTGGGCGCGCGCTCTCCAGCTCCTTCTGCCGCAGGAGGTCGGCGGGCAGCTCCAGCCTGGGCCGGGGGCAGACGCGGGTCAGCCGCCTCCCGGGCCGCGCGGCCCCGCCCGCCTCCCCGCACCTACCGGGCCAGGTTCTGCTTCCGCAGGAGCTCCTGCTGCCAGGCGAACATCTCCGCCTGCGCGGGGGGCAGGAAGCCGTAGCCTGGTGGGGAGGGGGACAACGCGGGGTCGGGGGGTCCGAGGCGGTCCGAGCCGGCCCTTTGCAATCCCCTACCCGGTCCGTCTCGGCTCCGACAGGGGCAGGGCCGGGTCCGCGAGCCTCCACGCGGGCTCCCAGGGGATGCGCACCCGCCTCCTCACCTGGGGTCTGGCACAGAGCCGAGGGCACCCCCAGGAAGGGGGGCCTGAGATGGGGGCCCAGGGCGACGTGAGGGGCATTCTGCGGCGACAGCAAGGGGGGCGGCTGAGGCAGCTCCCTGTGGACGGCAGCGCAATGAGCGGCGTCCCCCCCGCCCCCGTTCCCGTAAAGGCCCCGGCGCCCCTCCCCCGCCGCCTCCGCTAATTGCCGGCCCCGCGGGCGGTCGATGCGCAGCTCGTTACGGCCCCAGGTCGCGCGCCATCCCCGCCCCCGCCGGCGGCGCCAATTAATCTCGGCGGCGGCGCGGAGGCGCTGACCCGGCGGGCGGCGACGGCTGCAGCGGTAATTACTGCGCGGGGCGCCGGCCCCGCCTGCTCCCCTCCCCTGCGGACCCGAGCGGCGGGGGAAGCGGGGGCGTCATTAGCCGCAATCCGGGCGGCGGTGGAGGCAGCTGCAGACGCCGGGCTCAGCGGCCGGGCAGGGACTCGGGCCTCAGGCGGCCCCTCCCTTCTCCAGGCGCCCCGCCCCGCCTCGTGTCCTGGACCCGAGAAACCCGGGTCTGTGCCGGAGGCCTTGTCTGTGCCGGGAACAGATCCGGCGCCGGCGTCTACATTTGAGCGCCAGCCAGGACCCCCCCTCCGCCTCCAGCTCTGAGTCCTCTGGCCGACCCCTCCCGACTGACCCCGGGGTTCCAGACTTGGAGCTCTCCCCTTCTCTGGCTTCTCCTCCAGGGAACCCCCTGATGGGCCTCAGCCTCCCTCACGCACCCCAGTGGCGCCCTCAACACTGCAGCCCAGATCGGTGTCACCCCCGAAACGCTCTGCCCGGACCCGAACCTAGAGCTGAACACAGTGCTTGGCACTCTCGGGGCGCGTGCTGGTGGCTGAGAGCGCGGGGGTGCGGGCGGCACCCCAGAAACAAGCAGAGAACGGCAGCCACCCCAGTACCTCTCCGAGAAGGACGGGGCGGCAGCTGGGGCGGCGCCCTCCCGGTGCTGAGCCAGGCCCTGCTTCCGACGCTGACCTGCCGTGGAGGAGGGCAGGTGGGCTTCCAGGCCACTGGGGCCCCTCAGAGCTGCAGCCGCCACCTCCTGCCGGACCCTCAGGAGATCTGGGTGGGGGACAACAGCAGTGATCCCCCCGGCTATGCGCCCTCATCCTCCCCAGCCCGCGTCCTGGCGTAGAACACTGAGGTGGGGAACTGACCACACCACTCGGCCGTGCTCGGCCCCTGGGCTGGTCTCGGGCACGGGGCAGGAGGATGGGCGGCCACAGGGCCGAGACGGCAGACAAGATGCTGGGCGAGGAAGTGTCGGGAAAAGCTCTTCCCCGAAGGGGAGCCGGGTGCCTGGAGGCTTCCGGCCTGAGAGGCGGCTGAGCCTTGCGGGGAGGGGGCTGTGCAGACGTCCCGAGGCCACAGAGCCTGCGGGGCAGCGAGAGAGTCCAGAAGTGCCAGCCAGGGGCTGACCGCCCAGGGGACCCCCTCTTCGGTGGGAGGCAAGAAAATCTGAGGTCCCCATAGTAGACGCGGCTGGCCAAAGCTTGTCACAAAGGCAAGGCAGCGCCCGCGCACGCACGCCACACTAGCACAGGGGTCGCCCAGTCCCGGCTGCGCAGGGTCACTGTCCCGCGTGGCCACACTCGCCCCAATGCGCACGCAGCGCCCGCGTCTAAGGCGCCGCGTCCCAGGTCTCTCGGCCTCTCCCTCCCGCCCGGGCCTCCCGAGTCCCCGCAGCCCCCACTATGCAGGCTCCGCCAGCTCCACCGCCGCCTCTGTTTATAAATTAATTACCCGAAAGCGGAGGTGGGTCCCGCCCCGGGCCGGGTGCCAGCCCGCAGAGCCCAGCCGGCGCGGCCGCCCGCATCGATCCCAGCGGGGCCCAGCGCCCCCGCGCTAGCGGCCGGGTTAGTTACAGGGTTATTTACGGCCGGCTCCGCGGCGGGGCGGGGGGGGGGGGCGGCGGCGCGGCCTGATTGACAGCGCGCTCCCCGGCGGCCGGCGCCCCTCCCCCGCGCGGCCAGCAGAGCGGCCCCAGGCAGAGCAGGGAAAGCAATTAAAAAGGAGGATTTTTACATTATTAACATTTGGTGAATTATTCAGGCTCTTGGTGCCTGAGCTGCCCTGGGGGACGGTGCCTGGTGTGAGGAATCCTGCCTCCTTTCCCGGCGCCCCCACCCACCTCTAGCCCGAAAAGCCAAGCTCCCCTGCCAGGCGGGCGGCTGGGGCCTGGGAGGCTGAGTGCAGCGGGCAGGGGGTCCGAGTGCATCCCGGAGGGACCCCTGGAGAACGTCCTGAGGTGGGGTGGACAGGGTCAGGGCCGACCCGGGGGAAGGGGCAGCCCCTCCAGCTGGCGTCTCTTCAGCACCTGGGGAGTCCTGGTGGCCAAGTGCCCACTGCACCCAGCCCGGCCTTTCTGCTCACTGCCCCTCCCCAGGCTCCTGGGGCAGGCGTCTGGCAGGTCGGCGTCCACTGGCTGCATAGACGACTCACAGACCACAGGGTCCAGGAGCTTGCTCTCCTCGGGGGGTGCTGCTGACATGCCCACTGCCCACCCTCACCTGGGTCCACCCCAGACTCCATTTCTCTCTATATAAAATGTGAGCTAGTCATGACCCTGGGGACCTAGGGGACATGGAGGTGTGGCCCGCCCCAGGGGGCATGGGGCAGGACGTGTGGCAGAGGGACCTGCATCCAGCCTGGCCTTGGTGTCAGCAGGGCCTCAGCAACAGGAATGGCCGAGTACATGTGGCTGGGGAGGTGATGAGGGGAGATCATGCCAGGGTGGGTCCTCACCGTGGCTGGGGAGGTGATGAGGGGGATCATGCCAGGGTGGGTCCTCACCGTGGCTGGGGAGGCCCAGGTGGTAGAGGCGCTGAGGGTCCTCAAAGGTGCTGGCCTCGCTCAGTGCTGACACAAGCCGGCGGTAATGGTCCTCCGGGGCCATGCTGGGCCCCAGCTCCCGCGGCAGCAGCAGCGCCTCTGCTGGGGAGGACCCGGGGTGAGAGGTTTCTCCAGGCACTGCCGAGGACCACGCCCCTCTAGAGTGCCTGCTCGAGGTCCAGGGGACCCTCAGGGACTGCCCCCTCCCCTGGTGACCTGTCTCTCGTCCCAGCCACGCTCTTACCTTGAGGCGATTCGCTTCGTGCCCTCTTCTCTGAAAAGCAGTCGCTGCTGATACGGGGGGAGCGGCCCAGCCTCTTGCCCAACAGGTCACCTGCGGGAGGGTAGTGAGTGCCCACCTGCATCTCAAGGAATGGAAGGGGAACCCAGCCCCTGCTCCAGCTCAGCCTGGACCGCACCCACCATCTCTCAGGGGGCCCTTGGTCCTGGTGAGTACAGGCCTTGCCCAGCCCTGGCAGCCCCAGCCTTCAGCGCAGAGGACATCACGCCTGGCTGTGGCGGGACAGGGGCACAGGGGAGCTCTGACACTGGCCCTGGTGCGTGTGTGCAGAAGAGATCCACAGCAGGCACCCAGCTGCCCCACCCGCCATCTAGCCTCTTGTGCAAGTTAACGAGCCCCCCTCTCATCCCCCTAGAGGAGAATAAAAAGCTTTTGGTTTGACCAGGCACCACCTTCCCCTCCTGGACAGGAGTGAGGGCGGGCTGTGCAGGGTCACATGCCAGCGTGGGGTGAGACAAGCCGGGAAGGACCTCACACCTGACCTCTTGCTGCTCTGTGAGTCACTGGGCTGTGGGCCCCCCAGGCCGCCTCGAGGCGCCTCCACTCCCAGGCCTCCTACTTGGTCATACCCATCCCTGCCCCCAGAAGGCCCACGTCCTCCTCTCTGGCCCAGTCCTGCCTGAGCTAGCACCCTGGCGTGGCTGTCATGCCCTTGTCCACCAGCCCAGCCAGGCTCTGGGCTTCTGGGGTGCACCTCCCAGTAGCTTCACCCACCTCCTCAGCCACGAGGCCAGCCCAGCCCTAGCCCCAAACACAGCCCAGCAGGTGGCAGAGGGGAGGCCCAGGCCAGGTCCAGCTTCAGCCCCAAACACAGCCCAGCAGGTGGCAGAGGGGAGGCCCAGGCCAGGCCCAGCTCACTCTCCTGAGGTCCTCCCTTGGGTCCTGCCGACCGCACCCATTCCAGACCACACCATCCATGTACCCATCTCCGACCCACCCCGAGCTCCTCCGAAGCCCCTGACTCCACGCCCTGGGGGTCTCCCAGGCCAGCCAGTGCCTCCGACTCTGGCCCTTCCTCATCCTCATGAGGGCTCTAGCTGGGTGGAGTGAGGGGCCACTCCCCTGTGACCCAAGACCTCCATGAGGCCTAGGCAGTGGGGCTCCCAAGCCCGTCCCCCCACAAGCCCTGCCGTCAGCTCCAGGCCTAATTCCTTTTTCTTATTCCCTTAATCTGTCATTTTTATCAGGCTGGGGAAGTGCGGCGGCCACACCGATCAATCCCACATTACAGCTGACAGAGTGGTGCTAATAACTTATTGATCCTGGCCCGGCTGCTGTCAGGCCCGGCCCCAGAGAGAGGGTCAGTCCCACGGTCTGGTCCAGGGTCCCCACCTCGGTGACAGATCGGGTGGCTGGGCCCGGCGGGCGGCGGGGGGCACCTGGCCACACACGGATCCAGGCACCACTGCTCAGGCCCCTGAGAAGCCATCGTCTCCCCCACAGCCTCCCGTGCCAGAGCTCGGTGGGCTGGGAGGGGGTGGGCCAAGGCTGGGGGAACCTGGCTCTTTTCCACACCTGCCACCTGGCCCACCATGCACATGCCCTCAGGGTTAGCAAGGCCTCTCACCTCCTGGCAATCACTTTTCCATTGTACACAGTGGAAACTACCCTCTCCGTTCTGTGGGGGGCTAAGGCCTCCTCCTAGCCTGGGGGAGGTGACTGGGTGGGGGGGGGGGCAGGTGGAAGGGGGCCTGCAATGAGACCGCAGGAAGGCCGATGAGGCCATGCTCACTCCTCACTCATGGACCCCAGCGGGTCTCACAGAGGCAGATGCAGGACCTGCTCTGAGTCCCTCACAGCCCAGGGCCCAGGGAGGTGCGGCTTAGCGGGAGGGCCCGGGCTGGGAACAGGATGGATGTGTGGTTCCTGGGGTCACAGGAAGGGAGAAGAGGTGAACGCCCCCCAGGGTGAATGCCCCTCCAAGAGGAGGCTCCGGGGAGCGGGCCAGACCCTGACACGGAGTGCGTATGGGAGACCTGGACACGGGTCCAGGACACGTGAGGCCCCGTAGAGCCTGTGAGCCCGGAAGTGCACGAACACGTCCTGACTCCATGGGTGAGAGCTGCCGGGCAACCCCCATCACGTGCACCCCACAGGACCCCAGACACAGACATGCCGGCACACGCACACGCGTGTACCTGAGGAGGTCTCCCTGTGTGAAGGCACAGGGGAGGGCCTGCTGGCTCAGAATATCTCAATCATTGTGGGGCTCCCTCCGCTCTGCTGGATCGATGGGGCAATTAGATTTTATCAACCGCCTCTCAGCTGTCTCCAACGCGGCATCAGAAGCTGCCCCCACCCAGCCCCACAAGGGCCTTCCTAGGTGCACGAGGACGCGGATGGGGGCCATGGATGGGGGACACAGATGGGGGTGGGCCTCCCCCACCCCTCCTTCCCAAGAGATGCAGGCCCTGCTGGGAACACCCCTGCCTGGGGTCCACAGGGCCTCGGGGCGCCCCCGCCTCCTTTCACGGCCTGCCCTGGGGCTGAGGCTCTGCTGTGCCCCTCTCTACAGCAGTGCCCTCTGAGGGGGGCCTGGTCCCCCCACAACTGTGACCAGGCAGCAGCACCTCCCTCAGGCGCCGGATCCCTTCCCTCCCGAGAACCCCATCCTTCCCGGAGCCCTAGAAGGCGGGACCGACCGGGGACCCCCTCCGTCCAGGAGCCCTAGGAGGCGGGACCGGGGACCCCTTCCGTCCAGGAGCCCTAGGAGGCGGGACCGGGGACCCCTTCCGTCCAGGAGCCCTAGGAGGCGGGACCGGGGACCCCCTCCGTCCAGGAGCCCTAGGAGGCGGGACCGGGGACCCCTTCCGTCCAGGAGCCCTAGGAGGCGGGACCAGTCATGCGTGCGCTGCGGGAGTGCGTGCGTTCCTCCAGGGTGTGCGTTTCTGAACCTCTGAGGCCACGCCTACGTCTGCCCTGTGGAAAGGGGGTGGCAGGGCCCCGGCTACTCCAAGCCCACCCCAGCGGCAGCCACAGCGGAGCCACCGCCTCTGCCTCCTGTCTGCCCCGCTGGCTGGGATTAACACAATTACCATCCCATGCAGCCCCTGGGGGACAGGCCGCTCCTCCTGCCTCTCTGGCTGCCTGCCAAGGCTGCTGGTGCTGAGTGGAGACGCCACCGTCCTCTGGCCCCACAGCCCCGACCCCGCCCTCAGGCCCCCTGTGCTCCTCACCGGCGGGTCGCAGGCCAATCTCCAGGCTGCCTCTCTGGAATTCACAGCGGCTCTGATGCTCGGGCATAACGAGGTGGCGGCTGCGGTGGACGCTGGATATGAGGGTGGGAAGGTTGCCGTCCTGGCTGCAGAACGAGACCGGGAAAAGCTGACCCCGTGGGCAGCTGCGAGGCTGGAGCCCAGCCTGGGCACAGGGAGTGCCTAGCTCTGTGTGTGAGCGTGGGGATGACCTCTGAGTGCCACGTTGCTGTGCCCACGCCTCGGCATGTGGCCCGTGACGCCACTGTGTGCACACCCACGCAGCACCCGAGTCAAAGCGACACAGAACCTGGCACTGGGACCTGGGACCCCACGGCTGCTCCAGGGAGGGTCTATGTGGAGCAGCCAGCCGGCTCTGCCTTCACGCCCTCCACAGGGAATCACAGTTATCTCACTCCCTGCCTCAAAGGGGGTCGAGGGGCCCACCGGGCGCCCGGGAAGAGGCCGATCTGCTCAGGGGCAGTCCTGCAGGACAGGCCCCAGGAGAGAATGTGCCACATGTGAACCATCCCCTGACCCCCGATTTCTGCACACGAGGAAACTGAGGCCCAGACCACAGTCCTGCAGCTGATGAGACGCGCCCCACGCACACACGGCACCGGCAGACACGTGCAGCTCGCACCAGGCACCAGGGCTGCGTGCTCCAACCTCCCGCTGTCCCCCCGGCAGGCGGGGGCTTGGAATCAACATGCATTTAACTCTTTTCTTCCCTCATTTCTCCTCTTCTTGCTAATTCAGCCCAATCCCACATCCACAGAGTCCCAGAGAGCAATGAGACGAACTGTGTGGAGCACGGCCCTCCACCCCTTCCCGGTTCCGTGAGCCTCTCCCCAGTCAGCAGAGAAGGGGCTCAGGGTCCAGGCGCCACTCCCTGAGCAGTCCTCCTGCAGCACCGCCCGCCCACCTGTAACGCAGCCGCCCCCCCCGCCCACCTGTAACGCAGCCGCCTCCCCCGCCCACCTGTAACGCAGCCGCCTCCCCCGCCCACCTGTAACGCAGCCGCCTCCCCCGCCCACCTGTAACGGAGCCGCCTCCCCCGCCCACCTGTAACGCAGCCGCCTCCCCTGCCCACCTGTAACGCAGCCGCCTCCCCTGCCCACCTGTAACGCAGCCGCCTCCCCCGCCCACCTGTAACGCAGCCGCCTCCCCCGCCCACCTGTAACGGAGCCGCCTCCCCCGCCCACCTGTAACGCAGCCGCCTCCCCCGCCCACCTGTAACGCAGCCGCCCCCCCCGCCCACCTGTAACGCAGCCGCCCCCCCCGCCCACCTGTAACGGAGCAGCCTCCCCCGCCCACCTGTAACGGAGCAGCCTCCCCCGCCCACCTGTAACGCAGCCGCCCCCCCCGCCCACCTGTAACGCAGCCGCCTCCCCCGCCCACCTGTAACGCAGCCGCCTCCCCCGCCCACCTGTAACGGAGCCGCCTCCCCCGCCCACCTGTAACGCAGCCGCCTCCCCCGCCCACCTGTAACGCAGCCGCCCCCCCTGCCCACCTGTAACGCAGCCGCCTCCCCCGCCCACCTGTAACGCAGCCGCCTCCCCCGCCCACCTGTAACGCAGCCGCCTCCCCTGCCCACCTGTAACGCAGCCGCCTCCCCTGCCCACCTGTAACGGAGCCGCCTCCCCTGCCCACCTGTAACGGAGCCGCCTCCCCTGCCCACCTGTAACGCAGCCGCCTCCCCTGCCCACCTGTAACGCAGCCGCCTCCCCTGCCCACCTGTAACGCAGCCGCCTCCCCTGCCCACCTGTAACGGAGCCGCCTCCCCTGCCCACCTGTAACGCAGCCGCCTCCCCTGCCCACCTGTAACGCAGCCGCCTCCCCTGCCCACCTGTAACGCAGCCGCCTCCCCTGCCCACCTGTAACGCAGCCGCCTCCCCTGCCCACCTGTAACGGAGCAGTCCTGCGCAGTGACCTAGGAGCCTACCCTAAACCTCGTTAAATAGCTCCCGGCTCCCCTGACCTGGGCTGGCTGGAGCTGGGCTAATCCAAGGCTGCCCCTAAGCAGATCCGTTTCAGCACCAAAGACTCCCAGGCTGGGCTCTAAACCTTCCAGGAGACCTAGATGACGGCTCTCCCCCACCCCCACCGGCTCCCAGTGGGAAAGGAAGCCCCCCCCAGGCACATAGGAAGGCAGCTGGGTGGGAGTAAGTACTTTATGGGATTAATCGGCAGCGAGACTCATCCCTTCCATGATCCTAATCGACGCGGGGGTGTCAGGAGAGGACTGCTGGCCTCAGCATGGGGTGGGGGCTGAGGGCTGGCCTGGCAGTAGCCACAGCTGCCATGGAGTTCTCCCCAGGGGTCCCCCCTCTGGTGTCCCCAGGACGCCTGCAGGAGGAGAACTAGTTTCCCAGAGACTCCAGAGGTTGGGGGCTGGCAGTGAGCCCCGAGCCTGGCGCCCAGAAGGAAAGTGAGGGAGGGCCTAATAGCTGGGTGGAGGGGCTGTGGCTGGGCAGTGGCACCTGGTGGGGAGCTGGGTGCCACCTGCCCTCCCCGCCCCTGGTCTCTGCCTTGGAGTTTGCTCCTGAGGTTCCGACACAGCCTGGCCTGGCCCGGCCCCTGAAAACCTGTTCTGGTCACTTGGCCACTCAGTGAGCCAGTTATGCCAGTTTTATGTAAAGAAACACGCCCTGGACGTCCCAGAGTGGAGAAGCAGGAACCCGGCCCGGGCACATCAGCGCATGGTCCTCGAACCACAGAATGCCCTCTGCACCCTGCTTCGCACAAGGGACGAAGCCCCTGAGAGTCTCTGTGGTGGGGCCGGGCTGCAGGTCAGGAGGTGGGGAAGCTGGGAGAAGCAGTCAGGGCTGGGGCAGGAGGCGCAGGAAGGAGAGGGGGAGGGGGAGGCCAGAGCCTGGCAGGTGTGACCCCAGCTGCCCACGCATGGGCCTCCCGCCACCGCCCCTCATTGATGACCACACGGCCTAGCCCTTGCCCATTTTCCCACCAGCTCAGGGGCCCAGGAGAGAGGGGCCAAGCCCCCGCCTGCAAACAATGGCTCGAGGAGCATCTGCCACCCCGGGTTCCTGAGGCAGAGGAGGACGGCCTGGGGCTCCGCTGGCTCCAAAAGGCAGGTGGTCACTGCAGAGCCAGCCAGACAGGGCGAAGGGGATGGAAGGACAGACGGACAGATGGGTGGAGACCACTGGACGGGAGCAAATGAACACACAGATGGAGGTGGCCTGGCAGTGTGTTCTGTGGGAGCCTGCAGAGGCAGAAGGACCCAGGGACAGGCTGAAAGAAACACAGACATGGTCTGGGAGCCCGTGTGGGTTCAGGGACCACCACCCGCTCTGACCGGACACCAGGGTCAGGTCAACAGGCGGAGGCTTCAGTCCACTCAGGCGTGTGCTGGGCCTTCTCCTCCGGGGACCCCAGCACGCCCTCCCCTCTGACCGAAATCTCGCCCTTGGGAGATTCAGAAACTCATCCTAGCCCCTTCTAGGGCCCGTGCAGGATGGAAGACCTGGCCTCTTCCTAGGGCACCCCAGGCTGTCTGCCGTCAGTGCTGCCGAGGGACGCTGCATTCCCGAGGCCAGGCAGACGGAGGAGGGGGCTGCAGGCAGGAGGAGCCGTTACTGGAGCGGGGTCGGGGGGACCGCGGCTGGGTTTCCCTACAGGCCTCGCTGACAAATGTATTCTGTAGTGTCCCATGTAAAAGGCTCATAAAATGTCATCAGTGTTCATGACAGTTCATAAAAATGATCAGGTGAGCTGGCAACCCCAAAATGAGGTAGAAATAAGTTTAAAGATGTTTTTATTGTAATTCGGCTCTGAGATCCAGACATTCTCAGAGACATAAATAATAACACATCTGGCGTGGAGCCAAGACACGCAGGTCCCCTGGGCCTTCACGGCTCTGGCCCCAGGAAGCTGGCCTTGTGGCAGACGCCTCCTTCCTGCCTTGCTGCCCTGGAAGCCACAGGGTGAGACCTGACCCCATTGACAGAATCCACAGCTGGGCTCTGTTCACAGACTTACCACTCGCTTCCCCCTGGAGCCAGGAACTCGGGTCCCCCAACTCCCTTGACCTCTTCCCCGGGGCTCTTCATTTTTATCTCCTTTCCACATCCTGGAATCACACCCCCTACCGTCCTGCTTCCACAGCCTGAATCCAATCCCCTGTCTGCCAGGAAGGCCTCCAGAGGGACCTTCTCCAAACATACACCTGGTCACTGCCCTGCTCAAGAACTTTCGGTGGCTCCCGCCTGGAGGACGGTGCCCACAGGCCCAGCATCCATGACTCTTCAGCATCCAACTGAACCAGAGCTGCCAGGTTCACTCCTCGTCCCTCCTACACGCCCTTCCCTGTTCCTCTACTCTGCAGACATCCCCTCGCCTTAGAGCTCCTACACACCCTTCAGGGCCCCACTCACACATCAGCATTCTCACCTCCTTGTGGGTCTCTAGGAGGGTGGGAAGGGGGAGGTGACAGCCTCATTTTTGGGCTCAAATGGCCAGTCTCACATGGGAGGAAGTGCACTCTAACTCCAGGGCCGGGCTGCCCAGAACTCACACCTGAGCTGCTGCCGAGAGCTGCATCTGACTGGGTCTGGGGTCCCTCAGTCCCAACTGGGTGCAACACTGTCTGCCTCCCGGGATGGGGGACAACCTTGCAGCACATGTCAAACCTGGCAGACACTCAGCCAGCATCACAGCATCAGCTCACGCTGAGACAGCGGACAGCAGACAGCAGGGCACGGTCAGGGGTGGGAGGGAGGGAGGGGAGTCACGGCCCCCTCTTATGCACGCACAGCACGGCTCCTACCTGCAGGACGCCTCTCGGAAAGAGATGTTCACGTCCCAGTGGGTGTGGACTCTGCAGGAAGGGAAGCAGAAGGTCCATGTTGCTCTGGAGGCCCCTGACCCCAGCCTCAGGATAGCAGGGCGTGCGCAGACCTGTCTCGGGTCAGTGCCCCGCTGGGCCACAGCCCTGGGCAGTGAACGAGGGCGGCTGCCATGCCCAGCACCACCTGCTACTGGCTCAACATGCTGGGGCCTCCCACTAGGACAGGCCCATGGGCCAAAGCCAGCTCCTGGCCTCAGCAGACACGCATCAGGAAGAACAGGACCGAGGCCCCTTCTCCCTCTTGCTTGTTGCCGTGCACTCAGAGGAGCCCTCCTGTTGTACCGCAGGTGGGGGCCGAGGCTGCTTCTGCACAGCCAGTCACGAGCCTGAATGGAGCTCCCTGTTGCTAGAGCTGCTCTCTGGCCAGACTGGGACCCGGTCAGCAAGGGTAGCTGGAGCGTCGGCCCAGGAAGGTGCAGACCTCTGGGTCCCAACTGCTGCCAACCTGCCTCTGCCAGTGAGCGCCGCAGAGCAGAGGTGGGAGGGGACGCCAGACAGGGGGCAGATGAGGAAACAGCTCCTGCCTGCGACCCACACAGGACCCCAAAAAGACCAGCATCTGAGGGAAGGTGTGGGAGGCCGGTGTGGACACTCTCATCTGAGCAGCTGAAGGCCTGAAGCTCCAGCCCCATCTGAGCCTTGCGCCTTCCTGTCCGGCCCTGGTCCAAGTACCTTCTCTTCATGATACGGATGTGCGGACCATCCTCCTGCTTCAAGCCTGGCCGCCGCCCACAGGTGGGGCCACTCCCGTCGCTGTCACCATCGCTGGCAGAGAAGCTGGGAGTTCGCTCCTTCTTCAGGTTCCGGGCGGCAGGCAGGGCGACTGTCCTCTTGTCTGCCAGCCGCCCCCGGTTCTGGTGGGGCAGGAGGAGAGGAAGGTGGGGCAGGAGGAGAGGAAGGTGGGGCAGGAGGAGAGGAAGGTGGGGCTGGACCGGGCCGTTCCATCTCCCGGGGGTCTGCCCTGGTCTCGCACCCCAGGCCGAGCCCCAAGCACGGCAGAGGTGCCCTCAGAGCAGCCATCCTCCCTCTACCTGCCTCTGGGATGCGCCTGGGGCCAGCAGGAGCCACAGCTGGCCAGAGACCCAGAGGAGAGCCGAGAGACGGGGCCGCAGTTGGGCATCCCCCTACAGACGACGCCCACTGGCTCAGCCCTCCCCTGCCCCACCCCACGCCAGCCTGGTTGGCCCAGCCCTTGAGGATGCTAGAGGGTCCTGGCCAACTCCAGGGCCTGAGTCGGGGCCACCCCATGTGCGACAGGCCTCCGTCCCGGGCTTGTGTGGCCCCTCATTCCCAGCTCCCTTCTTAGGGCCCCTGCGTGTCTCCTGGGATCTGCCTGTGGCCTGGGGCTGGTGCTGGTGGACGTGCACTCAAATGCGCACGTTCCCTCCGTGTATCTGCCTGCCAATCCCACCCGTACTTTGTGACCCTTCTGCCCACCACACCCTGCCACCGATGCCAACGTTGACAAGCGAATGCCCTTTTCTATTTCATCAGCGCCACGCACAGCCCGGCTCAGGGGCAGCTGCAGCCTGGTGCAAGGCCACTGGCAACTGTCTGAGCTGAACCCTCGCAGACTGCAGGCCCCGGGGCTCACAGGTCACCAGACGAGGAGCCCTCACCAGCCCAGGTCCCCTGTTCCGCAAACCCTGCCCCGCATTTCTCACAGGGCTTCTTTCTCCCATCTCCTTTGCACCCACGGAACGAGCGTGTGGAGCTGTGGGTGCCTCGGGTGGGAGCACAGACACGCCCGCTGTGGTCCCTGCAGAGCACAGCCGAGCCCCGAGCTGACGCACACACGCGGCGGACGTGCCCGCGGCACCCTGCACAGCACACCAGCGCCGGCCCAGCCCCAGGCACTTCCGGACTCCTCCAGTGTTTCTAGGTCCTGCCACCCCCAGGGATAAAGGAAAGTTATTGATTATTTTCCAGTGGGCGGGAGGCTTTTTTAAATGTAGTAACAGGCCGCTGGCTCCGGGAGGTGGCAGAGCCCTTGAGAGCGTCTAACTCACTCCCTCCTCCGTTCAGTCACCAGGGTCTCCTCAGACTTCCTCCCTCCCATTGCCACAACACAGCCCGGAGCTTGGGGATGAGGCTGTTAGGAGGGTGTCCTCCTCAGACCTAGAACCACCATCACCTTCAAATGCACAGCCCCAGTGCCAGCTTAGTTTGGGCAGTGCCCCCTCCCCAAGGGTCTGGAAGCTGGAGCATCCCCCCACCCAGGTGGAGGCCCCCGTCCCAGAGCCACGTCTCCCCTCACCGGCCACTGGGCCTGCGCTGGGTCCCCTCTGCTCTCTCCACGACAGCTCACTGGGAAAACGCAGCACTGCTGGGCAAGGGGTGGGGCCTGGGGTCCGAGGCTGAGACCCTGCCCTGACCCTGGGCTGCCCCCAACACCAATGACCACAGAGTGCGGCCAAGGCCGAAGGTATGATGCCTGTCTGTGCCCGGGCCTCCGCGTGTCAGCTGGAGCTCGGGGGTCCCTTCAACAGCCACAGCCTGTCCGGAGTGTGCTGTGCTGGGAAGTCCCGCTTAGCTCTGCCCTTCTGCAGCCCAAGCACCAGGGCTTAGAGGCTCTGACAGCCTCTCCTCTCCCACCTCTCTTCTTTTTTAGTTTTTTGAGACGGAGTCTCACTCTGTTGCCCAGGCTGGAGTGCGGTGGCACAATCTGGGCTCACTGCAAGCTCCGCCTCCCGGGTTCATGCCATTCTCCTGCCTCAGCCTCCCAAGTAGCTGGGACTACAGGCACCCGCCACCACGCCCGGCTAATTTTTTGTATTTTTAGTAGAGACGGGTTTCACCGTGTTAGTCAGGATGGTCTCGATCTCCTGACCTCGTGATCCGCCCGCCTCGGCCTCCCAAAGTGCTGGGATTACAGGCATGCGCCACCACACCCGGCCTCCCACCTCCCTTCTTTTGAGGAGAAGACACAATGCTTTGCTCTCTGCTTCTTGTCTGTGGGATGGGGAAGAGAGGGAAGCAAGGACCAGAAGACTGCCCCTTGGAAGGAGGCCAGGGCTGGCTGGGAATGGAGCCCAGGCTGTATACCAGCCTCAGCCCCGTGATGCGCAGAGTCGGGCGTGGGGACACACCGGCACCCCAGCCACGCCCCAAGGCACCTGGAGGGCAGGTCTGGAGTGGCTGATGGGGGTGCTGAGGACCAGGACAGCTTCCCTGCCACCCACCCTGCCCAAGGACAGAACACACCTCCTCCACACTAGAGACCTCGGCCACAGCACACAGATCTGAAAACTCGGCCCCTGACAGCACCTCCTCTTGGAAGGTGCTTGGCCTGCAGGGCCCCTGTGCAGGGTCCCCAAGGCACATACACACTCATATTCTGCCCCGGAGCATCTGTGACCATGAGGTGCACATGCCTGCGGATTTGGCATGGGGCTTGGGGGAGACAGCCTCTGAGTAAGAAACATGGGGGCTGGAAAGAAGGGGCCCCTGGAGTTGCTTCCTAGGGGAAGGGTGTGGGACAGGCCTGGGAGGGACTGGCAGAGGCAGGCCTGGATCTGAGCCGTCCCTCACGCAGGGCAGGGACCTGGGAGCCCCAGGTGGGGGGGCATCTCCTGGCTGTGGCCACGGGGTGGGGAGGAGATGCTCACGGAAGCACTGTCGGAAGAGACTGACGCTGGGCTCAGGCTGTGTGCTCCCCACTCCTGGGGGAGCCCTCAAGGGGGCCGCTCAAATCCAAACAGAGACCCAAGGCTAGGCAGCGGGCTGCCCAGAGGAGCCCTCTCCAGCACCAGCTGCTTGAAAGGAGGGAACTGGGCCTCTTGCCCCGGGTAGGTCTGTGACAGCAGACAGGGGGCTGCCGGCTGTCTGCACACCTGCCTGGGAACTCTGTGAGCTGCCTGCCTGTGCGTGCAGGTCCATGTCGGATTGTGTGTCAGGTGGGCACATGGGTGAGGTGCGGCTGTGTCCCCTTCCCCTGCCCAACATGCTGTATGTCTGAGGGACCAGCCGTCTTCACAGGTGTGTCTGCAGCCGCCCAGCTCCCTGGCTACGGCACTCATGGCTCACAGGCCCCTGGGCATCCCCTCCCCCATCCTACCTCAGGCCCAAAGCAGGCAAGCGGAGGTACGCCCGGGACCCTCAGGCCCATTTTGCACCTCTGCCTCTCCTACCCTTTCCTGGAAGAAGGGGTTCCTGAGTGTGTCAGGAATTGCAGCCCCCACCCCCAGCAGCCATGGCCCTAATTGGCTCCAAACTAGTCCTTCCCAACAGGCATTCTTCCTTTTCAGATCAATCCTCTAACCCTTGCTGCCCAACTAGGGGGCTGGAGACTGGGTAGGGGGTGCAGGTGCCTCCCTGAGCAGAAGGCAGCTCCCAGCATCCCCGTCTCTCCTGCCTGCTCCCTCAGTGAGGGTGTCCATAGCTGTCTACCCTGGGTTGGGGCCTTGAACCAGCCTCCGACTCCAGTTCCCTGGACACCAAAGGCCCACACTGCAAAGACTCTGCCCCTGGCTAGCCTCTGCGTCCCTAGGACACACTTCGACGTCCAGGCCCTTGCACCCTCTGGCCTTCAGCACCCAGAGACACAAGTCACTCACACCCAAGCCTGTAGCTCCCCAAAATGCTGTCGTCCCAGAATCACACCTCACCAGCTGGGCCAGAGAACACGGTGACCCCCAAGCGGTGACAGGGCACAGTGCCAGGCCCACGTTGAATTACTCCTCCCAGGGAGAAGACCCTGACCCAGGACTCGAGGATAAGCAGCTAAAAGGCACCCAAGGGGAGGCTCTAAGACAAGCGCGGCCCCCCTGTCTCCACCGGGGAGGGCGCTCGGGTGCCCGAGGACTCCTCCCCCGTCCAGGTAGAAGGGCTGGGAGAGCACGAGGTAAAGCCGCTTCCCCCTGCCCTTCGGAGGCTCCCTCCAGCACACCCGCAGGGGTGAGGTTAGGACTCTCGATCCTGAAAACCCTGAAAACCGCAGGGACAAGCTCCGCAGGGGAGAGTAACTCCCAGCCCCAACCGAGCCCCGCATCTCACCACCGGGGAGGATATTCGGCAGCCCGGGCAGTCGCAGATCGGAGGATGCACCTGCAGGATCCCCTTGGACATAAGCGTCTTCAGACTTTTCCCTGCGAGCAGAGCCGAGGCAGACCCTGTGAGGGAGCGGCACGCTTCTGCGCGCAGTCAGCGGCAGGGCCAGTACCCCCTCCCCGGCTCGTGGACGAAATACACCCCGAACCCCACACCCACCTCGGCCCGACTTCCCAGCCCGCTTCCCGTCCCACCCTCGCGAACGCCGCAGGGATCTGCTGGGCTCTGCAACTCCAGCCCGGGTGGAGCGCCCTCCCCCGACGAAGGGCCTGGGCGTCCCCACCCGGCGCCCCTCCTCCCGCGCTCCACCCTCTCCCCGGCCCCGAGGGAACCGCAGGCCGGGCCCAGAAAGGCTGAGTCCCGGAGCGGTGAGCGGCGCCGTCGGGACCCTCGGCCTGCGCGGCAGGAAGAGGCGGCCACCGCGGAACCACGCACCGCTCAGGTCCCGAACTTTTTAACTCCCCGCGGCGCCTGGCGCTCACCGCACCCCCTGTGTCCCGGCTCAGGCGCCCCCGCGTCGCACCCTTGGGCCCAGGCGCCCGCAGGCGCCAAAACAGGTTGTGTGACCTGGCGCCGCCGCTCGGGCTCCGCGCGCGCCCCCGCGCCGCCCCGCAGCCTCCCCCGCCGCGCGCTCGCACCCGGCCGCACGTGCGCCCCTCCAGTCTCCCCCGAACCCGGGGCTCCGCGCCCTCCCAACCCGCCTCCTGCCCGCTCTCTCGAGTCCCCGTAAACTTCCTTCGGGCCTTAAGGCCCAGGAGCCTCGCAGAGACCTTCCGAGCGGAGGGAGCGGCCCGCGAGCCCCAAGCGCTGTGGCCCAAGCTGGGGGGAGGTGCAGCGGGGGGCGATCTGTCCGTGTTCACCGAGGCCTCCGCGCGCGGCGGGGGTGTCCCCGCGCAGCCCTGGAGCTGCAGCGCCCCCTCGGCCGAGCCGGAGGCTCCCGGGTGTCCGAGTCGGGTAGGGGGTGGGGTCGGGGCCCGCGGGTCCCGGCAGCGAAGGGAGGGGCGGCGGCACCTTTGTGGCGGATGCTGCGCTTCCAGTCCTTGGCCGTCTCGCGGCCGCTGACGAACTGGAACTCGTTGGGCGTGAGCCACTCGCCGCGGTGGCGGATGGACGGGCCCTTGCTGCCCTGGCAGAGTTTGCGCACGTAGAGCAGCGCGCGGTTGGCGCCGCACTCCACCTCGATGCACGGCTCGCCGTTGTCCAGCAGCGGCTGGAAATCCGGGGCCGCGGCCGCGGTGGCCGAGAAGCGCTCGAGGGCCAGCGGGTCCCTGGGCAGGTGGAGGTGCGGGGCGGCCTCGTGCAGGCTGAGGTAGGCGCGCGGGGGGCGGAGCGGCGGGGCCAGCAGAGCCTCGTAACCGGCGGCCGAGGCGGGCAGCGAGGCGGCCGGGGGGAGGGCGGCCGCCGCGGGCAGTGGCGCCAGGTAGCCTGGCAGCGGCGGCAGCGGCAGCGCGGCCAGGGTCGGGTGGAACGTGGCCAGAGCCAGGGCCAGGTCCTCGCGGCCCGGGAACTCCTTCTTGACCGCCGGCATGGCGCCCCGGTGGCTCCGCAGCCCCGCTCTCCGCCGGCGGCAGCAACTTATTCCGGCCCGGGCTGGAGTTGGGTCGCGGGGGCCGGGGAGGCGCCTGGCCGCGCGCCCACGCCGTCCGCTAGTGCGCCCCGGCGCCCGCAGCCGCCGCCTACGCGCCGCCCGCCAGGCCTCCCCGGACTGCCCAGCCGGCCGGCGGGGCCTCAGAGGCCGGAGACATGGAGCTGCTATCGATCCCGGATCGACTCGCCGAGCGCCGCAGTTCCAGGGCCTCGGGGCTCCCCGGGGCGTCTGGAGTCCCGCGCCCCGGCCACCAGCGCCCGCGCCCGGGGCAGTCCCACGCCCGGCTCGCCGACCCACCCGCCAGGCCGAGCCCGGCAGCGAGGAGTCGCGGAGTCCCCGCCCCTCTCGGGGGTCCCAAGCCCCCGCCCCGCCGCCCGGGCCGCGTCAGTCGTGCACCCGCGTCCACTGGCGCGCGCCCGCCCGGCGGGGACTTGGGAGACTCCGCCGCCGACGCCGCCGCCACAACTTGGCCCATTTAAACGGCCCCGGCGCGGCGGGCGGCGCGGGCTCCCGCGGGGGGTGCGTGACGGCCGACTCGGGGCATCCGGCGGCGGCAGCGGGACAGGGCTGCGGCCCCCGGCACTATCCCGAGTACCGAGTCACTGCGAGCGGCTGGAATCCAGGACTCCGCGCGGGACTGGGATGGGCTGGGCTGGTCGCGGACCGGGCTCCTCTCGGAGGGAGGGAGCTGGGGGCTGCTCGCCGGGGTGTGAGCGTGCGCCGGCGGCTCTGGGACTTTGCGCAGCGAATCTGATGGTGGGCGTTGGTGTCCGGGAGGGCGTGGGTGGTCTCAGTGCACCTGCAGGGAGCGAGGTTGTGGATTTGTAGTGTGTTGCCTGGGCAAAGTGTTCTGTGAATAACAGGGCAGCACCTCCCCGCCCACTCGTGCCCCTTCCTATGCACTTGACAGGAGTGAGTTCGCCCGAGCCACGGAGTTCCTGTTCAGTCTTTTGCAGAAGACGCTGAGACAGAAAGGTCAAGTAACTCTCCTGAAGTCACACAGCTGTTTCAAATGCAGGATGTCTCACACCAGGACCGCGCCAGGACCATGGTGTGGGGCAAGAGCTTCCTGTCACCCCACACCTCCCAGCAGGAAGGTGGTGTGGATCCGAGGCAGGGTGAGGGTGGGGGATAGCGGGTTGGCAGAGTGCACGGCCTCCCACTAGGAGGAGCAAGGCTAGTGAAGCAGGACCGGCCACACCACGTCCACCTTGGTGCCTTCTGACAGGTCAGTCTGGGCCCCAGTCCCTGGTTCCTGGTGAGCTTCCCATCACCCCCCACCTCCCTGCGTGCCCAGATCGGCATTGCATCTGGAGCGTTCCGAAGAGAAACACAACCTGGGGGCGTTGGTAACAGCAGGTGAGACAGCCTTGTCCTGCGCTGCTGTGCGGTGTTGCATCCACTAGAAAGGGGCCTCCTGTTCTGACCCTGGCCCCTGCCCTTGAGATGCAGCTGGCATGTCCCTGTGGGCATCTCCCAGAGCAGGTCCAGGGGTGAGTGGGCCACAGGCCTGTTTGCACAGGTGCCTTCTTCGAGGGAGGGAACAGCCCACCACCACCTCCTGCCAGACCAGCTTCCTTGAGCATAAACCTGACCCTGGGTGACCACGCTGGGCTCCTTCACCTTATCTCACCAGAGGCTTCTGCTGGTCCCACAGCCAACCCGCGGAGTGAGGTCTGGGCCAGGAGTGCTCTGCTCAGGCAAGGAACATGCCCAGAAGCCTCCCCCGCTATCCTGGCCCTGTTCTGTGGGGGCTCGTTGGTCTGTTGGGGTCTGGGGGGCCAGGTAGGAGTGTGGGTGTGAGTGTCGGTGACCCTTCCTTATGTGGCCACCCTTGGCCCTATCAACCTGTCTGCATCCAGGACACCAGCACATCCCTGACCCCAGCTGTGGCTGCCAGTGAGTTCCTGTGCCTTCCTCTCCTGAAGTCTGTGTCTTCTCCCAGGTCTGATACCATGTGGAAAGTCTGCTCCTGGGGCCAGCTGGAGGCCATGTGGACTGGCCCTGAGTGCCCACTGTCTGGATGCAGCCCTGACCCTACTGCCCGTGTGTGGGCTACTAGGTTCACCTGCACCTGACCCTCCTTCTAGGTTCGCCTGCACCTGACTCCCTGATGTTCACACAGTGATTTGGAGAGGGAGGCTGGGGAGGCGCAGGTCTGCATGGCAGTGCCTCTCAGGGTCTGAGGCCCTTGGGCCAGGCCTCTCCTCTGACCTGGGCCAGCAGAGGGGCCTCCTTTCCCTTCCAAGAGCCCTCCCCTGTTCACCAGCATCTCATCATGCTCAGGCCCACAGTGTGGTTAAGGAGGGGCATGGGGCTGGCCCTGGGTTTCTGGCTGGGTGTGGGGGCCTACCCGGGGCCCATGGTGTCTTCCAGAAAAGACCCTGACTGGGTCCAAAGCTGGAGGCACCCCTCTATCCTCACTGTCCACTCCCTGATGTTCTGGAGGTCCCTCCAGGGGCTGGGTGAGGAGGCCTTCCCCACCACCTCCTTGTCTTCCTGGGAAGCAGGCACCCGTTCAGAGGCCACGTTCCCACAGGACCAGGCTCCTCACCCCCAGCATCACCCTTTTCCACGGGGTTGTGCCCCTTCCTTGGTCCTGTCCACTCACACACACCCGTGTCCGTGTCCATGTTCACACCTGTTCTGTGTCCACTCCCACACACCTGTGTCCACTCCCACACCTGTGTCTCGTGTCCACTCGCTCACACCTGTACTGTCCGTGCCCACTCACACGTGTCCCGTGTCCACTCGCTCACACCCGTGTCTCATGCCCGCTGGCTTACACCAGTCCCGTGTTCACTGGCGCACCTGTGTCCCATGTCTTGTGTCTGCTCGCACATCTGTGTGATGTGTTCACTTGCTCACACGTGTCCTCCACTACCACACCTGTGTCCCATGTCCACTCACACACCTGTCTTGGTCTGGGACACCTGGGCCCCACTCTCCCCTGCACTCCTCAGGCTGGCGGCAGAGGCCAGAGGAACGGAGTTCTGGCGCTGGAATCATCCTGAGCGAGGCAGGGACCTGGCGGTGTGGACTCCACCGCCCCTCCTCCGGCCCACCGAGCCCCGCCTGCCTGGGCCTTGGTGCCTCTGTCGCTGCTCCGGGTCCCCCTGCTGGGGCCCCTCCGCCGCTGGGCTGAGGCTGGAGCCTGCCTCCCGCCGCCAGAGGGAGGAGGTCATAAATAACCCTGGGGCTGCCATGGAGCAGACGGTGACCCCAGACGTCCTGGGGGAGTGTGGGGGCGCCAGGGGCCGCTGCCCCAGCCCGCATGCCGCCTCCGCCATCCGGGAGTGCCTGCCCAGGCTCCCCAGCATTTCTCTTAGAGCCCTTCTCATCCATCCCCTCATCAATCAATCAACCATTTATTGAGCCCAGATGTGGTACAGCCCCAGCCGGAGATGACCCAGAGGTGGGGTGGGGAGGAGAGAGATGGGGAAGCTGAGTCCGGGGCCACAGGTGCAGCCAGGAGGTGCAGGTGAGCAGCGCTCAGACCAGCCTGTCAGCCTCAGTCCTGAGCTTACTTCTGGTGATGGAGGGAGATATACAGAAAAGATCCTGCAGCCTGCAGGTGTGGCACAGCTGATCTTGGGCCAAGGATGCACAGCTGTGTGTGTGCCTGGCCACCGGCAAGGGCACGTGGGCTCAGAAGCACAGGTGTGCCCACACCCTGCGTGCCTGTGTGTGGCGCAGCAGCTCCCGACGCGCGCAGGACACACACACAGCACAGACAGACCCTCCCATGGCCACACGGACAAAGATGGCTTCACTATAGACACCGGTGCAGACAGGATGTGCACTGCTTTCCAAGGCCTGTGCGCAACACAGACTCAGGGCCTGTGGGCATCAGCACCGCCCAGACCCAGGCACACGTGATCCTCAGCCAAGGTGGCCTGTCCAGTCCTGGTGCTGTTGGATGGAAAGGCTAACCTGGGAGGTCAGGGGCTGTGGTATATCAGCTGGGCTCCCTCGGACGCTCCTGCAGAAGTGGCCAGGACCTCAGGAACGCACCTGCTCCTGGTCAGACAGGAGGGGCTGCCGTGATGCAACTTGCCCGTGCCTTTGGGTGCTGTGAGCTGGCTGCGTGCCACGTCGTTTCGAGGACGCAAGAAGGTGTTTCCAAGTCCAGTCTGTCCACCGACCTGAACCTTTACCATTGAAAGAACAAAGGGGTGGGGCCCGAGGGACCCTTCCCTGCCGTCCCGTGGTGTGTAGTCAGGGATGCTCCTGCAGACACACAGGTGGGCTCTGACTGCCAGATCGCAGGGGCGGTGCCGTGGTCCTCACCTGCCATGTCACTAGCGTGCTGACGCAGACACCGGCGAGAGCTACAGTGCTCGGCCCGGCACATCCCAGACAATTCCTCTGTAAATGCTGCAGCAGCCAGAGGCCCCAGCACCTTGAGGTTAAGCAAAGAGAAGGAATAGAGTTCTCCAGAGCCCCAAGGAGCGGGAGGGTCTGTCCCAATGGATGGGCTCAGCCAATTTCACCCTCTCCTCCCCCTGCCAACACTGCGGCCTGCAGCCTGGACCTGGCCCGGGTTGTGGAGGGGACCGGGGATGCAGCTGCCACCTGCTGGGCGGACGTGGGCCTAGGTGGTCCTCAGCCCTCATGACAGGAGCCCCCGAAGCACTGTTGCGGCACCCTCTCTGACATTGGGTGGGAGACTCTGGGAGCCGAGTGCAGAGCCAGGGCCCAGCACGAAGGCCTTGGGCTCCAGTCCGTGTGCCCCACATCCCTACATGAGTGAGGGTGGAGGGATGGTGCCTCTGCCACGGCCACGGTGCCGCCGTCCACGTCAGCTCACTCTCAGCACAGGTGCTGTGTGACGGCCTCGGGCCACACCGCTTGTTCTGAGGCCCCTAGCAGGTCGGGCTTGTGCTGGCTGCACATTGGCTGGTGAGCTTGGCGGGTCTGTGGGCACGGAGAGACCAGAACGTGCGTAACAGGCCCGATGAGGGTGCCAGGCTGTGGCGACCCCCGAGCTTCAGAGGAGAGGGGCACCAGCCGGGGGCCCTGCACAGGCAGCCTCAGGTGCGAGGAGCTGGAGCCCAGGCCAGCTGGGGAGGGGTGGGGTGCCGTGGCTGGAAGTTGCTGTTCTCAGACCTGGTTCTGAGACCCTCTCCAACTGCATGGGGGGGTCCAGGCTGGACCCCAGATGTGACGGTGTATGTGCTGGGATGGGAGCCCCCTGAGAGCAGGGCTTTTGTTAATTCACCGGCAATCCCACATGTCTGGCACGAGATAGGTGCTCAGTCAGTGAAAACCACACACGGGGTCCTCCATTGTGTCCAGGGGAGGGTGGGCCCTGCTCACAGCCAGACTCCTAGCCCTGGGCAGCCCTGCTGCCTGCCTGCTCCTTCCACTCCTACCACCTGCCCAGGTGGGACTCTGCCTGCCTTCCTGTCCCCAGTGCTCTGTAGGAGTTTGACCACAGGTATCCTCTTCATCAGAGAGAGGAAAGCTCACGATCTGGGAGAACTCCAGGCCTGGCCCAGTGAAGACGTCCTTATCTTCAGCAGACATTGCCCAGTGCAAGGGGAGGTCAGTCTCAGGAGACAGTCTCCTGGACAGTGGCGTGGCATCTGTCCTAAGGCCTTGCCTGCAGCACAGGGTGCCACAGAGGTCCCCTGTGACAGAGCCTCATGGCTGGGGCAGGCGGGGGTCGCACCTGCTCCTGCATGAAGAGGCAGATAAAGACCCACAGCATGGTCTCTGGGGTCCCACATCCCAGGTAGAGAATGACCCAGGTCGCTGGCGTCTGTGCCATCTCTGCTCCACTGACCACTCATGGGGGTCCTGGAGATCCTGACACCGGTGGCCGGGGAGCAGCAGCCCAGGCACAGGCCCCAGTGCACATGCAGATCCCACCGTGTCTGCACAAGGCCTTGCCCCAACGAGGCCTGGGTGCCGTGTGAGGGCCGGGACGCTAACACAGCGGAGGGTACCCACGCGTGAGCTGCTCTGGGGTCCCTCCCCGTGTTTCTTCCTGTAATGAAACTTGTACCCAAATGGGATATGCAGGGTTGCACTGTGCAGTCGCTGTGTGTTTTAGGGTCTCATACCCGTGTGCGCCAGCAGGACCACAGCTGTGACCGGCTGCTCCAGAAGAAGTGGGTGGGTTGAGACCCCACCGGCAGGGTCACTGGGGGTAGCAGGCCCTCTGTCAGCACTGACTTCTGTATCATGTCAGGGATTTTTAGGGCGGCAAGCTCAGGTGGACAGGCAGTTTTATTCTGTTTCCCATGTCAAGTCCAGCCCCAGACTGACTTTCTGAGGTCACAGACGGAGCCTCACCCCATCCAAGGCGGTGTCCTGGACTCCCACTGTGCTCCCCAGAGGGCAGGGTGAGTGCGTGGCATCCTTTTGGCGGGCGTGGGTGCCTCTGTGGACCTGGCGTGAGGCTTCTCTGTTTCTGAGTCTCCTATGGACCATCTGTCTTCTGTGTGGCTGCTGAGGAATCACACTGGGGTGGCCGTGCCGGTGGCTGAATGAGAACAGGACCCCCATGCTGCACAGCCCTGCTTAACGCGGGGGTGGCCCCAGAAGCGGGTGGGCGAGGCTGGGCAGCAGGGATTGGCTGAAATCATATGCAGAGCCCAAGAGGCAGGGGAAAGGCGGCAATTTCAGGGTCCCTTTGTTCGCCAGGTACCTGGGGCCCAGCCCGGGCGGCAGGAGGGACTCAGCCCCTCGCCCAGGCAGGAAGGGTCCCAAGCAGAGGCCCCTCCCTCAGGCACTCCCCAGCCCACACCTGCAGCACTGGGACCAAGACTAATAAAACACCAGCCTCACGGAAGACAGCTTTATCTTGTTGATCGGAAGTCTGCCAGCCCAATTTATGATGGAACATAAGATCTCTAAATCTGAATTTACGCTCTGTAGCGTAACGAGAGGTCAATAAGATTAAACGGGGGCTCAGGAGAGGACCAGCGTCAGGCTCACTGCGAGGTGCTGCACAGAAAACCCACAGCCAGAGCCCCTGGGCCCAGCCCAGGCAAGACCAGAAAAGGAGGGGGCAGGTGGGAGACCAGCCTGGGGCTCCCGGGAAGCCCACGGGATGGAGGCGGGAGAGCCAGGAGGCCTGGGGCAACCCTGGGACGGTTCCTGGATCGAGGAGAGCAGGGGGGTGATGAGGGTTCCCTCAGGGCTGGGGAGCCTTCTCCTGGTCTCAGACCCACCCCCCTTCAGCTCCCAAGCCCTGGGTGCCCCTGGCTCTGAGGACAGTTGGGAATCTTCCCTGAGGCAGGTTCAAGGACAGAGCTCTGACCCTGGCCCAGGGCTGCTTTGGGTGCCTATGAACTCGGCTTCTGGCTCAGAGCAGTTCCCTGCACCCCTTCCTGAGCCCTCTGTCCTCTGGAACCCGTGGGCAGGGTGAGGGACGGGTGTTCCTTCTGGGTGGGGGCCTGGGCGCCCAGCCAGCACGACGCTGGCTTGCTGAGCTTAGGGCAGACCCCGACTTCAGAATTTATACAAATAAATGCAATGAAAAGTGCTGGCAACCTGATCTGATTACAGAGTCATTCATTCTCTGGTCGTTAATAATTTGTGCAATAAAGGACTGCAGCCGCTCAGTGCGGGGGAGGCTGTGGCCCAACCTTCCCTCGGCGCCGGC
The DNA here is from genome assembly GCF_000001405.40 of Homo sapiens. Taxonomy (NCBI): domain Eukaryota; kingdom Metazoa; phylum Chordata; class Mammalia; order Primates; family Hominidae; genus Homo; species Homo sapiens. The sequence continues at coordinate 916,756 of NC_000001.11, read as the reverse complement.
CCCGGGAGCTGGAAGCATAAATTATTAGTTTCTTATCGCTGGGCCTGCCATCGCTCATGCTGCCAGGGCCTGGCGGGAGCTGGTGGCTGTTCTGCTGCCCGCCCTGGCCGGCTCAGGGCCGGCTCTCAGCCGTCGCCTGGGGCCCTTTGTCACCCCCACCCTGGCCCCCCAGGTGTGGGAGCCCCAGAGCCTGCTCAGGCCTGGAGGCTGCTGCTGGAGCCGGCAACTCTGGAAGCCAGAAAGGTGGGGCTTTAGTGCCTGTCCTCAGACCCTCAGGTAACCAAAGCCAAATTACTCCCTGTTGGAAACACAACCTCACATACCGGGCCACAGCACGGACACCCACGACAGCAGGCCACAGCACGGACACCCACGGCAGTGGCCCACAGCACGGACACTCACAGCATGGACAGCAGCCCAGAGGGACCCTTGCCCAGACCCTGACCAGGGGGAAGAGACAGTTGTGTCTGGGTTTGTCAGTCCTCTGGTTGTGGCAGGGCCCCTCTGGGTGGGACTCGGCACCTGTACCTGGGAGCACCTGCTCAGATGAGGGAGTGGGAGCAGGAACAGCGCTCATGCTCTCTCCCTGTGTCCAGGGCTGGGGCCCTGGTCTGGCGGGTAGGCATAGGGCACCTCCTGCCCTCTCATGCCCTCATACACCTGCTGCTGGGGTTCCCTGTCCCACCCCAAAAGGGAGAAGCCAAGGCTGAGGCAAGGTTGGAAAATCAGGGTGGGGACTCTGGAATCCAGACATCCCGACAGAGGATGCAGGAGGAATCGGCGTGAGCGCAGGGTAAACTCACGGACCCGAACTCTCAGATGTGCTTCCTGGGCTCAGCTTCCCCTTTCTGGAGGGCTGGGGGTTCCAGAACCTTGCCTTGAATTTGTGAGGATGGTGGGACCTGGAGGGCAGGTGGCGCAGATGGTGTGAGCCCTCACCCCAGGACGCTGTGCCCACTTCTGGCTGTGCAGCCTTGGGAAGGCTTCTGACTTCTCTGAACCTCAATCTGTAAAATGGGAATGAGAATGAAACAAGATGAAATTAACATGCATTGAGCGTGTGGGGTGGGGCAGAGACAGCCACCTTGCAGCTGGTGAGGCCCTTACAGCATCTGGTCCTGCCACCTCGCAGCTGGTGAGGCCCTCACAGCATCTGGTCCCGGAGCCCACACAGCCCTTTGCAGAGACTGCCCTACCCACGTGCAAGCGTTTCGCCCTCTTCCCACGGGCGACCCCAGCTTGGCCGCATGCGTTTTTGCTCAGAACGTCCCCACCTATGTCCCACCTGCCCTCTGGCTTCGGGAGTGCTGGGCGCAGTGGTGGCAGGTGCCTCGGTGCCCTTGGACTTGCCCGGTCGTCTGTTGCTTCTGAGGCGGCCCCGTTGATGGGTGCTCCTTCTCTTCTGGGTGCATTTTCCTTTTCCTGCTTCCTCGCATGCCTGGTGATTTTTGAATGGGTGACAGGGATTGTGAATTTTGCTGGGTGCTGACTATTTTTGTAGCAAAGCTGAGAAAAGCTTACTTTGCTCAGGACTCCAGGAAGTTACTTGGAAGCTGTTTGGTCCTTTGGGGTCTTGCTTTTAAGCCCTGCTGGGAGGACCAAGGCAGCTTGTAGTCTGGGGCTGACTGTGCCCTCCTTTACCAGGGCACGGCCCTGCTTGGTGCTCTGCCCAGGGGCTGAGGTGCCCCAGCCTGGCTGGTGGACCACGGACCTTCCACGGTTCCCTCTGGTGATCTCGGGTGGTTCTCCTCACCTTCTGTAGTTGCCTTTCTTTTTTTCTTTTTCTTTCTTCTTTTTTTTTTTTTTTTGAGACGGAGTTTTACTCTTGTTGCCCAGGCTGGGGTGCAGTGGTGCGATCTTGGCTCTCCATAACCTCCGCCTCCCGGGTTCAAGTGATTCTCCTGTCTCAGCCTCCCGAATAGCTAGGATTACAGGCATGCGCCACCATGCCCAGCTAATTTTGTATTTTTTTTAGTAGAAATGGGGTTTCTCCATGTTGGTCAGGCTGGTCTCGAACTCCCGACCTCAGGTGATCCTCCCACCTCAGCCTCCCACAGTGCCGGGATTACAGGCGTGAGCCACTGCGCCCAGGCCTGTAGTTTCCTTTCATGTGAAAATGCTGATTGTGGCTCACTCTTTACCTGCTGTCACCTCACACCTCAGCCTCCCCAGACTCCCAGCTTGGTCTCCTTCCCTGAAGGAGACCCCTGAACACACCTGGGTCCCCACGCCTGCACCACAGCCTGGACACTGGGGGCAGTGAGCTGGGCAGTCGCGGGGCTCCGCCTCCATTGTTCCCCAGCCTTGCTCACCTGGTGACCCTGGCGGGATGGGGGTCTGGCTGCTCCCTCCTGCCTGGACGTCTGTCCCCACTGGTGTGCTCACGACAGTGCCCTGCATGCCTGCGGGGCTCTCACAGGTGTTTTCTGAGTGGCCTGGGTGGGGCCCGGGCAATCTGCTGGACAACAGACCCTCAACCCATCCCCTGCCAACCTAGCTCAGCCCTGAGCTCCTGGCAAGGGATGAGACAGCCTGAACTTCAGCCCAGGGAGGGGTGCGGGGGCTGCCGTCAGGTCCCTGCTGTTCCCTGTGCACCGAAGGTGGGCCACCTGGTTCTTCCTTCTCCAGGACCTCAGGCAGCCCCTGTTACCCAAGGTGGCGGCTCCACTGTGGGGGCCAGGACAGGGGCGGAGGGTGGATAGCATGCCCACTGTGAATGCCCCGGCTGGGTCCTTGCCTCTCCAAAGGCTTTGTCACCAGGGCCCAGGTGACAGGAGGCTGTCATTGTGAAGGAGATTTAATCTTAGAAAACTCTCAGGAGAGCAGTGAAGCCTCAGGGTGCTGGATTACCCGGAAGTGCACTCTGGGCTGGGGGCAGCAGCCGCGGTCATAACACGTGTGTGCCACACCAGGAAACCTGTCTGCTAACGTGTGCACATGGGCAGGCTGGCAGCACCTGGCTCTGGCTTGCTTGGAGTGGACGTTGGATCAGGTGGCCCGGGTCTCAGCCTGACACTGCCTGGCACTGAGGACAGGGCGTTGCTGACACTGCGGGCTCAGGGTGGGGGTTTGTCTCTACGGCTGACCTTCTGGCCGAAGGAGTGTATGGGGCATGGTCTCAAGCAGGTCCCAGGATCCCTGACCCTTGGCCAGGCCCAGGCCTTGGCTCACGGCCCTCAGATGAACAGGCAGAGGGGGTCAGGACGGGGTGGACCAGAGCAGGCAGGGGGCCCTGGACAGAAGGGGAGATAGAAGGGGGCATGAGGGGCTGTCTCCTTGGTTTGGGTCTTAAACAGCGTGTGGTTTTTCTCTGTTTGAGGGGCAGCCTGCACCCAGAGCCTCCAATGGGCATGGCGTGTTTTGAGGGTGCAGGTGAATCTCTTTACCAGAGGCTCCCCGGGGACAGGGCCCATTCAGAAGGCCACCTCTCTCAGTGCAGCCAGCAGCAGGGCAGAGCTCTGGGGACCCCAAGCCGGAGGCCCACATGGGCGGGAGACACTGCCTCCAGTCACCCCTGGGGAGCCAGCGTCTAGGGTCACTCCCGGTGTGGCTCCCTCCCTGCCAGGCACAGTTCACAGAGGCAGCTGCTTTGGGAAGTTTGGTGCCAGACCCCGCCAAGCCCCTGCCCGGGGCATCTCCTCCCGCACCCTTCGCCGCCATCTTTCAGACGGCTGCTCTCCTGAGCCAGGCCCGCGCGCCATCTCCTTTAGGCTCCTGCAGTTCCTCCGCTGGCCTCCACGCTGCCCCAAGCAGGAGCGTTGGATCTGTCATTTCCTGACGTTAACGGTTAACCCGAGGCTCTGCTGCCTGCAGGATGAACACACTTTTCATTATTTCTCCGATTCCTTCAACCGTCACTGAGCCTGTCTCTGTGCCAGGCGCAGAGCTGCAAACCCAGGAAGACAGTGGTGAGCAGTTCACACTGCCCTTCTTCCTGCTGTGGAGTGCAGAAAAGGAAGCTCCAAGCTTGCACCTGGGGCGTGCAGAGCCACCTTCTGCCAAAGGCTCCCGAGCCTCATAGTTCAGGAGGGGCAGGAGGGGCTGATCGCCCTCACCCCAGAACAGCGCTTTGGCGATCCTTCACGCAGACACCAGTCCCCTCTCTCTATTCCTGTTCATCCTTGATGCCAATGTCAAATGCCACTTCCTCCACGAAGCCTTCCTGGATCCCTCCAGTCAGAATGAGTCCATTGTCCTTGAGCTTCTGAACCCACATCCTGGCCTTTCCAGAACTGGGCCTGCTGGCTTACACAGGAACCCTGCCTTCATAACTGGACTGTAGGCCCCACAGGGGTCTCATCTCTGCTCCAGGGGCCAGCCGGCACTCAGGAGGTCTTGGAAATATGTGTCCCGATGGCTCAGCACTTTGCAATCACCATCTCAGGTGACCCTGCAGCCACTGTGAGGTGGGTGCTGGTCCCACCTCCTTCACAGGTGCCAGCTGGCAGGTGGTGGAGGTTTGAGGCCTGATCCTCCGGACTTCTGTGGTTTAATCAAAGGAGGCCACAGCTGCTCTGGGCCATGGCTCCTCCAGAGCTCATCACTGTGATTATTCATTAACCCCTTAGTTATCAGCTAGGACTTCACAGAGATTCCCGGGCTGAAAGTGAAAGAAAGGAGGGGACCCAGGAGGACCTGGAGGAGGCGCTGGGTGCTGTCCAGCTGCCTGGGCCTGAGCCGAGAGCTGCTGATCTCTGGACATCTTAAGTTCCAGGGCTCCAAAGGCTGCTTTGTCCTGCGGACGCACGGCCATGGGTGCACTAGGTGTTTGATCATTGACAATGTAAAGTTCCTTATTCTCGGTTTTATCCTCTGTAGAAATGAGGATAAAATACTTGGCTTGTACAATTGTTGATAAATTCTAGATGTTGACCAGCATATAGTGGCTGCCCAGTAAATTGTAAACACGATTGTTTTTGATGATTTTAAATAACTATTGAAAATCTATACACTATACAAATCCAGCATTGAATCTGTAGAGAGTATGCCCCACCCGTGCACCCAGGAGCTGCCTGCTTCCCTCCCTCTGCACGAGGCTGAGCTCCCAGACACCCCATCTTCCCTGCACCCCACTCAGTGGCTCCCCCTGCTCTTCGATTCCTTGGGTCCCTTCTCCTGGTGACATACCTTCTCCACTCTGCTGCCTGCCTAGCGCCCACCCTGGCCACCACATCCAGACCCCACATCCCAGATGGCCTCCCTCAGCCCCCAGCCCCCGCAAGCACATGCACACAGAATCGTGCACACGTGTGCTTTTACCAAGGGCACACATCAGACACGTACAAATCCACTGACTTGCCATTGCCAGCTGCGTGTGAGCACAAAGGCGCAGCTCACCAGGTTTATCTGGCCCAGGCCTGGGAACCCTGAGCAGGGAGCCCCACCCCCTGCCGCGGGCTGGCTCTAGACTGATGCCATTTATCACTGGCTGAGGATGAGTAATTTTACCGTGAACACAGTTCAGGGTGATAGATGAGGGAGTGGGGGCAGGTGATCGCCGTGCTGCCTGCCCGCCCCAGAGGGAGGCTGGAAGGAAGACTCCTGCCTGTTTATAACGGGATAGTGGCCCAGGAGGGGCACGTGGACGGAAGAGCCCCTGTCAGGGAGGCTGGCACAGCCACAGTGGGGCGGGGAGGCAGAGGACGCAAGCCTGGTCTCATCCATGTCCCGGGCCTTGTGAGGACCATGAGCAGAGCCCACTCAGAGAGACGTGGCCATCCCCCAAATCCTGCCCAGGGCCGAGGTCCCAGGAGCCCTATGCTGTGGGAGGATGGGGACAGGCGAGTGTGTGGCTCCAGTGTCCAGACAGAAGAAAAGGAGAGTTTCCCCTGAAGACCGCTGCCATCCTCTCCCGGAGTCCTGACCTCACCTTTGGGTCATAGTCAAGCTCTGTGAATTGACATCTCTTCAGCAGTGCCGGCCTCACCGCAGGTGCAGCTACGCTGCCCACAATAACAAGGAAGACTTTATCTGCTGGCCACGCACGTGTGCAGCGGCAGGGCTGGGTTTTCTGGAGCCTCTTCCACACTGTGGCCTGCTCAGCTGCCCACGGAGGGACGGCCTGGCAGCCTGGCGGGCACGCCCACCTCTAAAGTCCTGGGCCTCAGTGGGGAGGCTGAGGGCAGGCACAGGGTGCCCAGGGGGCGAGTTCCATCCCTGGCTGTCTGTTCAGGGCCTGCCGGGAGGGAGCCTGAGGGGCCCGGCTGGTTACCAGACACCCCCCTAGCTGCTCAACCAGGACCCCTCCAGATGCCGCCGCGAAACTCCCCAGGTGTGGCAAACAAGTCCCGGGCCCTCAGGGGTGGTCGACCAGTCTCCCCGCCCCCGGTGACTGATCAAAGCACGACTCCCACCCCAGCTCCAGGGACCAGGCAGGTCGGGACCGACAGAGGCAGCCCCGGGAGACCCCGCTGGGGCCGGGAGGGGCCCCCCGGGCTGGCGGCGCCGTCAGGCACCCGCAGTCACTGCGGCTGACAGGAGATGGGGGCCCCCCTCTCCGCGGGCGCGGCCTCGGGGCCGCCGTGGGCAGCAGAGGCGCCAGGGCGTCCGGGAAGTCTGGGCCCGCAGCTGCCCCCGGGTCCCGCGCGCGCCGAGCCAATCCCGAGCCCGTCAGTCGCGCCCCCGCCAACCCCCCCACCCCCATCCCCGCCGTAACCCTTCCCTCTCCGCGGCGCGGCCGGGTGCTGGCGCGGAGCGTGGGGGCCCCGGTCTCTGCTCAGGCAGAGGGCGCAGCTGCGGGTCCCAGCGCCAGGACCAGCCCGGCCGCGCCGCCGCCCCTGCCCAGGACCCCCACCCGCGCCGGGCCCACCCTCGGTCCTTCCTCCCGGCCTGGAAGATAGCAGTGATGACACCACAAACGACCCCCGCATATACCAGCAACGGTGCGCCCGGGGGGCCTGACCCCAACCCCCGCATATACCAGCAACGGTGCGCCCGGGGGCCTGACCCCGACCCCCGCATATACCAGCAACGCCCGGGGGCCTGACCCCGACCCCCGCATATACCAGCAACGGTGCGCCCGGGGGCCTGACCCCGACCACCGCATATACCAGCAACGGTGCGCCCGGGGGCCTGACCCCGACCCCCGCATATACCAGCAACGGTGCGCCCGGGGGCCTGACCCCGACCACCGCATATACCAGCAACGCCCGGGGGCCTGACCCCGACCCCCGCATATACCAGCAACGGTGCGCCCGGGGGCCTGACCCCGACCCCCGCATATACCAGCAAAGGTGCGCCCGGGGGCCTGACCCCGACCACCGCATATACCAGCAACAGTGCGCCCGGGGGGCCTGACCCCGACCACCGCATATACCAGCAAAGATGCGCCCGGGGGCCTGACCCCGACCACCGCATATACCAGCAACGGTGCGCCCGGGGGCCTGACCCCGACCCCCGCATATACCAGCAACGGTGCGCCCGGGGGCCTGACCCCGACCACCGCATATACCAGCAACGGTGCGCCCGGGGGCCTGACCCCGACCCCCGCATATACCAGCAACGCCCGGGGGCCTGACCCCGACCCCCGCATATACCAGCAACGGTGCGCCCGGGGGCCTGACCCCGACCCCCGCATATACCAGCAAAGGTGCGCCCGGGGGCCTGACCCCGACCACCGCATATACCAGCAACAGTGCGCCCGGGGGGCCTGACCCCGACCACCGCATATACCAGCAACGGTGCGCCCGGGGGCCTGACCCCGACCCCCGCATATACCAGCAACGGTGCGCCCGGGGGCCTGACCCCGACCCCCGCATATACCAGCAAAGGTGCGCCCGGGGGCCTGACCCCGATCACCGCATATACCAGCAACGGTGCGCCCGGGGGGCCTGACCCGGTGCCCTTCATGAATCCCGTGGCCCAGGAAATGGGCTGAGCAGAATCCCACCTGCTGCAGGGCCAAACCCCCCTCCCTTCCCCCCTGCCCCTCATCCCTCCCTTCCCCCCTGCCCCTCATTCCCTCCCCTCCCACCTGTCCCCTCATCCCTCCCCCATCCCTTCCCCTCCCACTTGTCCCCTCTCCCCTCCCACCTGTCCCCTCATTCCCTCCCCCATCCCCTCCCCTCTCCCCTCCCACCTTCCCCTCATCCCCTCCCCCTACTCCCCTCTCCCCTGTCTCCTCTCCCCCACCCCCTCCTCCCCTCCCACCTGTTCCCCCATTCCCTCCCCCGTCCCATCGCCTCCCCCTTTTCCCTCCTCTCCCCCGCCCCTCCTCCCCCTCCCCTCCCTCTGTCACCTCCCCTGTCCCTTCCTCCTTTCCCTCTTCACCTTCAGTATCTTTGCCTCCTCCTCCCTTTGCAGACACACTGCACACAGGCCTCTCCCAGGCCCTGCTTTCCTTTGAACCATATCTTGTCTCTTTTCCCTTTTTCAGGGAAACTTCCAAAGAACTGGCTGTGGCGGACACCCTATCTTTCTGGCTCTGTGACCTTCCCCTTCCAGCTGCTGCCCCCACCAGCCTGCACCCCTGTTCTGAGAGGCCATCCGCACCTCTCGGTGCCTGCCCTCCTGCCCGCCCTCCTGTGGGCCTGGCCTGCTCCACACCTGCTGTCCACGAGGAGGACCGGCTTGTGCTGCCCTCCGACTTGGCCACACTGGTTCCTGCTGCCTGCAGCTTCCATTCTAACAGGTGTGGGGCTGATCACGAACAAATCCACTAATGAATAAATCAGAAAACTTGTAGGTAGTTATCTGTGGAGAATTAAGGTGATTGTCACTGGGTCAGTCTGGGTGTCTAAGGCCCCATCCTGACAGGGGAACTGTGAGCCTCGCCTTGGCCAGAGGGAGACCCTTCAGGTGGAAGGAACAGCCTGGGAAGTCCCGGGGGGCTTGGCGAGCAGGGGGCAGGGAGCCAGTGATGGGCCCTCCTCCCAGATCGGGGAGGGTCTGTACTCTCTCGGCTGGTCAGAAGGACCGGGCAGGAGGGAGGTGAAGAGGGTGTTTCTTAGCCCTGCGGGATCCCCGAGGAGGGGAAGTTTTCCTGAAAAAGGGAGGGTCCCATGGAGGAAGAGTCAGCTCCAGATGCTCCCTAATCCCAGAGAACACAGACTCCAGCAGGTAAAATCAGGTGCGCCCACAGCCTCACCTCTCCTCCTTGTCCCTTGAGGGTGGGCAAGGAAACAGACAGTGACCCCAGCCCCTCTGGCCAGTGCAAGAGGCTGCAGGGCCTGACATTCTCATCATGGAAAGAAGACTTTTTTTTTTTTTTTTTTTTTTTTAGGAGACACAGTCTCCCTCTGTTGCCCAGGCTGGAGTGCAATGGTGTGATCTCGGCTCACTGCAACCTCCACCTCTTGGGTTCAAGCAATTCTTTCACCTCAGCCTCCCCAGTAGCTGGGATTATGGGCATGCACCACCACACCATGCTAATTTTTGTATTTTTAGTAGAGAGATGGGGTTTCACCATGTTGGCCAGGCTGGTCTTGAACTCCTGACCTCAAATGATCCGCCCACTTTGGCTTCCCTAAGTGCTGGGATTACAGGCGTGAGCCATCATGTCCAGCCAATTTTTTTTTTTTTTAAGATAGGGTCTCACTCTGTCACCCAGGCTGACGTGCAGTGGTACTGTTTTGGCTTGCTGCATCCTGGGAAAGGAGAGTGTAACAGCACTTTAAGGAACAGAAGCCTTTCAATGGCCAGAGAGTGACAGAAAAGTCTTAGGGAGGTAGGGGAAAACGAGAGGCCTGGGAGCCGGGCTCCCGGGACGGCGGTGGCTCAGCCTTCTCTCCTGCGGAGGTGCACCCAGCCCATGCTCCCTGCACTTCTGGCCTCCTCGGGTGTGGTGAATGAGTGTGCTTAAAGGGGAAGCGACAGCCCATGCTCCCTGCACCTCTGGCCTCCTCGGGTGTGGTGAATGAGTGTGCTTAAAGGGGAAGCGACAGCAGACTCTGGCACTGGCTGTTCTGTCTGTGGCTAAGGAGAATGCCCGGGACGTGTGCTGCCTGCAGGGGTGGCAGGACACCAGCTGCAGAGACACCTCCTGTGCTGCCCTCCGGGGTGGGCTCCAGACTCTCTTCCCGGCTCCTGTGCACTTCAGGTGCGGGGGGCCAGCTGAGTTGAAGGGGAGAGGCAGCTGAGTTTCCGGCACTGTCCTAGCCGGCTCTCCTTCATGACCACAGAGACCACCTTGCTCAGAGAGCTGCCCAGGGAGCTGCTGACTAGGGACCCCCACAATTTTGCTGAGTGAGAAAGGGCTGAGGGTGAAAAGCAGGCAGGTCTGAAAGCCAGAGGGCATCTCTGGTTGCACACAGGATGCTCTCACCTCCAGCAGGAGGGTAGCAGAGCCCAAGGGACTAAACATGGAAGAAGGTGAAATACTCAACCAAGGCCAGAGGCCAGGGTCCTGGTTAGGAAAGCTGGAGGCCCTGGCGGACGCGGTGGAGACACCTGGGCAGACATCTGAGTCCCCACTCTTCCTGGAAACTCTGAGCCTATGCAATCAGCTCCTCCTTGGGCACTGGGCCTGAGAAAAGGCCAGCTCAACGGCACATGCTGGGCTGCTGCAGGACACAGCTAGTCCTGGCAAGAGGGTGGGTAGTGAGGAGGGCTTTGACCCAAGAAGATGGCCCTCCCGGGGCTGCCACTGAGGAGACTGAACATGCTAAAGGCCAAGGTCTGCTGTGGAGGCAGGGGTTGAAGCTCCAGGAGGCCCAGAAGGAGCGGGGCCAGCCTGGCAGCAGGCCAAGGGCAAGAGTGCCTGGTGGTGTGGATCTGGGTGGGGGCTTGGTGGGCCGGGTCAAGGGCAGGGCTGGGGGCCAGAGGGGTCCTACCCGTAGTTCAGGGAGATGGGAGGGTGGGCTTAGTGAGGATTTCAGACGTGGGCCTTCATGGTCTCCTGGGGGGTGGACGAAGCTGGTCGTGGTGGAGCCTGGGTGAGGGCAGAGGTGGTACACCCCAGAAGACCCTGCTCCAGGCCGCGGTGGGGTGGGCCCTGCAGCCAGCTTGACCTATTTATTCTATTGAGATGAAATTCACATAACAAAATTAATGACGTTAAAGCAAACAATTCAGTGGCATTTAGCGCTTTCATCTTGTCCTGCAACCCTGACCTCGACCTCGTCCCAGAACACGTCCTCACCCTGAAGGGGAACCATACACGTTAAGCAGTCGGTCCCTGTTGCCCCCTCCCGCGAGCTCTGGCAACCACGATGTCTTTTCTTTATCTGTGGATTCCCTGTTCTGGACATTTTCACGTTTCCCAGGCTCGTCCCTGTCGCAGCGACCGCCTGGGGCTGATGTTCCAGCTGCGCACTGGGCCGCCCTTTGCTGTGAACATTTGCCGCCGGCACGCGCCCAGTCTTCAGCTCTCTGGGGAGCGCCCGGGAGGGGAACTTCCGGGCCTGTGGGAACTTCGTGCTCAACTTTCTGAGGAAGGTCCTTTTGCACCGCGGCTGCACCCGCCCCGACAATGCGCGAGGGGGTCCAACGCCTCCATCTCCTCGGCAGCACTTACGTCCGCTTTTCTGAAATCACAGCCATTCTAGTGGATGTGCCTGGCTGGGTTTATGTCTGTTTTCTCGGTGAACGTGAACGGGGGTTTCGGGCACAGGCGGGGACAGCAGTGAGGAATGGGCGGACGCCCGGGCCCCCCTCACTGGGTGCCCTGCCGGGGTTCCCTGGGACGCGGTGGGGCGGGGAGGGGACCCAACAGCCTCCCCCGCCACGAACGTCCCCAACAGCCTCCCCCGCCACGAACGTCCCCAACAGCCTCCCCCGCCACGAACGTCCCCAACAGCCTCCCCCGCAGCCTTCCCGCACCCCCCGGCACCCCCGACCCTCCGGCCCCCTCCCCTCACCCGCCTCCCCGCGGCGGAGTCCGGCGACGCTCAGAACCGAATTTCCGCGGACAGATCCTCCCGGAACGTGAGCTCTTGACTTTGGAGCCCAGGAAAGACCCCGGCGCTCCGGGCACGCGGCCGTCGTGGCCGCGCGGCTCTTTGTGTTTGCGGGAGGCGGCGGCGCGAGGAGCTGTGGCGCCCCCTGGTGGCGGAGTGCGGCCTGCGCCGGGCGCTGCGGAAGCGGCCACGTTCGGAGGAGGCGGCGGCCACGTTCGGAGGCGGCCACGTTCGGAGGAGGAGGCGGCCGCGTTCGGAGGAGGAGGAGGCCGCGTTCGGAGGAGGCGGCGGCCGCGTTCGGAGGAGGCCACGTTCGGAGGAGGAGGCGGCCACGTTCGGAGGAGGCCACGTTCGGAGGAGGAGGCGGCCGCGTTCGGAGGAGGAGGCGGCCGCGTTCGGAGGAGGCCACGTTCGGAGGAGGAGGCGGCCGCGTTCGGAGGAGGCGGCGGCCACCCGGGCCTGGCGGTGGAGGGGGAGGAGGAGCAGAGGGCGGGGCCGGGGCCGGCGGCCTCTTTGGACCCCGCGGCTTTGAGGGGGCCCCGGCACTCACGCCCTGACCCTGGCGTCCTGAGCCTGCGTCCAAGGGGTTGCCACCTGCCCCGATGCCGCCCCCCACCCCCCCACCCTCTGCTGCGTCCTGGGCTCTACACCCACTGGGGTGGAGGGCTCGCTTCTAATAAAAACGGCAGGACCAGGAAGACCAGGACCCCGGGCCCCTGGGAGTCGCGCTGTCCTCTGCACTGGCCCCTTGTGCATCCTTGTCCCCCTCAGCCATTCCAAAGCCCCGGCCCTCCGCCCCAGGCCTCCCATCCTCCACTCTGAGTGCAGCAGGAACCTCGTGAGATGAGCATGTGGAGGGAGCTCCCCGGGATGCTGGGCTGGGCACAGGGTCTGCAGGGGCCGACGGCCCCTAGGCTGACCTTCCAGAGCTCCCTCTCCAGCCACCCGGGCTCGGCCTGCTGGGAACAGAGCTGCCCCAACCTTGTGCCCGCTGGGCCTCTGTGCAGGGTTCCCAGGACTGCCTTCTGGACACCTTCCCTGCTGGGGTTCTGACAGCGGGGTGGACAGCCTTGCCCAGCCTCAGGGCCGTGCAGCGCCAGGGGTAAATGTGGCTCTCCTTGCACCGCTGCGCCTAGGGCTGCCCTAAGGAAACACAGTCGGTCTCCAAGGCTGGGGCTGCCTCCATGGATGCAGACGGCTCACTGGGGGACTTGAACATCTGTGGATTTTGGTATCTGTGGGGATCCTGGAATCAGTGCCCCACAGATACTGAGAGATGACTGTACCACAGACTGGGTAGGTTAAACAGAAATTAATTTTCTCACAGTTCTAGGGGCTGGAAGTCCAGGGTCAAGGTGTGAGCTGGGCCTTTCCTGGCGAGGGCTCTTACCTGGCTTGCAGATGGCCGCCTGTTCTGTCCCCACACGTCGGAGACAGGGAGTGGGTGCTCTGGTGCCTCTTTTATAAGGACACGAATTCTATCAGATCAGGGCCCCACCCTTAGGGCCTCATTTGACGTTAATTACTTTCTTAGAGGGCCCGTTGAACACTTGTTCAATGAACCAGTTGACGAAAAAGATCACAGTCACACAAGCTAAACCGCAGCACACACCACGCAGTGGTGGGGAGGTGGTGCGAAGTCAGAGTGTGTGTCCCCCCGCCCCAAATTCCTGTGCTGAGGCCCTAACCCCCAGGACCTCAGAATATGGTTGTTTGGAGATGGGGTCTTTAACGAGGCGATTAAGGTGAAATGGGGTCATGGGGCGGGCCCTGATACAATGTATAAGAAGAGGAGATGAGGATTTAGGGAGAAGACGGTGTCCACAAGCCAAGGAGAGGCCTCTGGAGAAGTCAGTCTGTGGACACCGTGACCGCGGACCTCCAGCCCCCAGAATTAGCAAATAAACGCTTGCTGAAGACGCCGCGCAGCCGGCGGGGCTCGGTTATGGCGGCGGCACTGACTAGCACAGGGGCAACTCTTCAGCCCCTCACACGGACCCGCATCCCGGGCCCCCTCGTCCCCTCACGCATGGGCACCCTCTGTATCCAAATCCAGTCTACCTTTCAAAGGAGGAATCTTGAACCTGGATTGACCTCCCAGAACTCAGGTGAGGGGGGATTATTATTATGACGATTTTTTTTTTTTTTTGAGACAGAGTTTCACTCTGGTTGCCCAGGCTGGGTGCAATGGCGCGATCTCGGCTCACTGCAAGCTCCGCCTCCCGGGTTCATGTGATTCTGTCTCAGCCTCCCGAGTAGCTGGGACTACAGGCACCACCACGCCCAGCTAGTTTTTTTGCATTTTTAGACGGGGTTTCACCATGTTGGCCAGGCTGGTCTTGAACTCCTGAGCTAAGGTGATCCACCCACCTCGGCCTCCCAAAGTGCTGGGATTACAGGCATGAGCCACCGCTCCCGGCCTATTATTACTATTAATTAGCCCCACAAACGCACCCCTCTCTCCTGTCTGGGAGCCCAGCCTAGGTTCTCCTTCTAGGCAGTGCAGGGCAGTGTGGGCTGGAGCATTGGTCAGTGTTGGCCAGAATGGCCGTCCTTCCTCTGAGACGAGGGCCCAGGAGATGAGCGGGGGGTGCTCTGTCCACTTCCAGGTTTTGGGCTCTGTTGGGAGACACCCAGGAGTTGCCCCTCCTGTAGGTGACCCCGAGTGCTCCTGAGCTGTACAGTCGCATGGCACCTCCGGAGGGGAAGTCACCCTCCTGGGGCCGCTAAGTCACCTGGTGTCACACACCCACCTCCAGCCGCCTCGCTCTCTCCACCCAGGGTCTAGCATGAAGACTGGCCTCAAGATGAGGTGCTCATGGGCACCTCCCAGACCCACACCGCACCCTGATGTTTCTTGGTAAACAGGGTTGCCTACATTTCATGCCTAATTTGTGTTAACCGAAGAAATTCATATTTTAAACATTTTGCATAACTGGAAATGTATTCCAAAATGTTTCACTTTTGACATAGTTTTGTGAAAAGGTGAAAACAGGACACGCTTGTGTACACACATGCCTACATGGAGGTAGGGAAGCATGTAGTCAGCACTCCTAAAAGCAGCCCTCGAGTGTCTGCTCCGTGTGGGCATTAGGAAAGGGAGGAGCAGGTGGGGTGGCTGTTGCCACCCTGAGTGTCAGGGAGTTTATGCACCATCTTTACCGCTAGACTGTGAGCTCCTTGGGGGCACACCGAGTCTCTGTCACGATGGATTTGCCTAGCAGGTGCTCTGTAAACACTTGTTCAATGAACCAGCTGACGAAAAAGATAAAACGCTCCATTTACAGGCCCAGCAATAGTAAAACGAACACTGCTGTGGCTCCCACTTTGAGAACGCATGTTGCAAATGCGTCATATGTCCTGTGAGTGACACACACTCTCTCCACAAACTCCAGCCTGGCTTCTCAAGGCCTCCTCTGGGCAAAGCCCCGTCTTTGGTCTGTGAAGACTTGGATAAAACAGCAACATAGTTTCTCACAGCCCAAGGGTCTGCCATCGCCACATGCCCACCTGAGCAAACTGAAGGCTGTGGAAGAAACTCCTGTTCCGACACCTGAGGAGACACCTGGGCAGCTGCCAACCAGGTGGGCTGAATGCACATGGACCAGCCCCTGCCCACCTCCACTGAGCCCCTGGTTTCCCTCTTTTCTTGTACTCTCTCTGTTTTCACTTTACATACACTCTTTTTTTATTTTTTGGACACAGCGTTTCACTCTGGTTGCCCGGGCTGGAGTGCAGTGGTGCAATCTTGGCTCACTACCACCTCGACCTCCGAGGCTCCAGCGATCCTCCCACCTCAACCTCCCAAGTGGCTGCGACTACAGGTGTGCGCCACCACACCTGGCTAATTTTTGTATTTTTAGTAGAGATGGGGTTTTGCCATGTTACCTAGGCATGTCTCCAACTCCTGAGCTCAAGTGATCCACCAGTCTTGGCCTTCCCAAGTGCTGGGATTGCAGGTGTGAGCCACCATGCCCAGCCTACTAAATAAACTCTTTTTAAAGAACGGTTTTAGATTCACAAAACAATTGAGAAGACGGAACAGAGTTTACAAACGCCTGGCACCCAGTTACGCTGGTACTAACGTGTTACATTAGCGTGGCACTTGTTACAACTACTTGTTACAACGAATGCACCAATATTGATGGATTCTTATTAACTAAAGGCCACATTTTATTCAGGTTTTCTTAGTTTTTACATAATGTCCTTTTCTTTTCCAGGATCCCAGGATATATTCCATTTAGTAATCAAGTCTCTTTAGGTTCCTAAACTGTGAGTTTTTCAGACTTTCCTTTTTCCATGACCTTGGCAGTTTTGAGGAGGGCCAGTCAGGTATTTTGGAGAATGTCCCTCAATTAGGATTTGTCTATTTTCCTCACGATTATACTGAGGTTCTGGTTTTTTTTGGGGAGAAAGACCCAGAGTCAAGTGTGCAGAGGTCAAGTGATCACTGCCGATGTTAACCCTGGTCCGTCTTCACTCCACCACTGACCTCCACTCTGCACTCCTGAGAAGGAGGTCACTGCGATGAGCCACGTTGGAAGAAGGAGGTCGCTGCGATGAGCCGCGTTGGAGAGGTGGGGAGTTAGGCTGGATCTCCTCAAGAGTGGAGCCTCCACTTAGGTTATTTAGAACTATTCTGCACTGGAGATTTGTCTGTTCTCCCCCATGATAGATATTTAACCTCACGTTTACATATCAGGATGGACTCAAGTTCCCTTTAAAATGTGGGGTGACTGTGGGGGCAGGGAGGTCTGTGAAGGGGCAGGGTCACCTGTTGCCATGAGGAGGGTGCTGTTTGTGTATGTGACGCTGTGTGTGGGAGGCCTTGGGCCTGGGATGGTGTGGAAGGGCCAGCGCAGGAGTCTGAGTGGGCTGGCATCTCTGGCCTCAGCCAGCAGGACCACCCCCTGCTTACTTGCCCAGATTTTATCTCCAGCATCTCCTTTATCCTCATTCCTCACACTGGTTTGGTCTCCCATCCCACCCCATCCCTGCATCCCATCCTGTTTCAGCCAGTGTCCCACTTCCTGGGCTGGTACCCATCTCCCTGCAGCCGGGGTGCACGTGCTGAGCCATCAGTGGACCTGTCTGGCCACAGTGTGGGCCTCTGTGAGCCATGGGATGAGCCAGGCTCCCTGGGGGACAGTGGGGCAGGAGTACAGCTGACGATGCCACGCTGTTGTGCTAAACATCTTCTGATTTTTTTCAGAAGAAGCCAGAAATCCAGATTTTTAAAACATGGAATCTCCTTAATCGCCCTTTCAGAATCAGCATCCTGGTGTGCCAGGCTCGTCCTGGGTCTCCAAGCGATTTCCCCCTTCGTTCCCCACTCTCTCTCATGTCCCTGAAACCCCTCGGACACCTGAGCTGATGTATTGGCCGCTCGTCCCCATATCTGCCACGGGGCTCCATGCCACGTGCTTTCTGCTCAGGCCCGTGTTATTGGACTGCAGACCTGGGGTGAGTGCCCGTCATCCAGCACTGATTTGGATCCATCTGTGGACGCCGTGTCTGAGCACTTAGGAGTATTCCGTGCAGGCACCCCCCATTCTGGTTTGCTTATTCCCTCACTGTGGGCCAGAAGGTGCCCCCAGCCGGGCGCGGTGGCTCATGCCTGTAATCCCAGCACTTTATGGGAGGCCGAGATGGGCGGATCACGAGGTCAGGAGATCGAGACCATCCTGGCTAACATGGTGAAACCCCGTCTGTACTAAAAATACAAAAAATTAGCCAGGCACGGTGGCGGGCGCCTGTAGTCCCAGCTACTCGGGAGGCTGAGGCAGGAGAATGGCGTGAACCCGGGAGGCGGAGCTTGCAGTGAGCCGAGATCGCGCCACTGCACTCCAGCCTGGGTGACAGAGCAAGACTCCGTCTAAAAAAAAAAAAAAAAAAAAAGAAGGTGCCCCCAACTCCCAGGATCTGAAGCAAAGCTGAAATGAGCGCGCCCACAGCTGTTCCCTCGCAGTTCCGGAAGTGGCCTGGAGCAGAGGCTGCATCACAGGACGTGAACACTTCACGTTGCCGAGTGCCTGCAGAGTGCGTTCTGGAAGACGCCCATCCGCTCACAAGCTCCCAGTGGTGCCTCAGGACCTCCACCTGTCACATGTTTGCCGACCGCTGTGTACATATAAGGGGTACAGTGGTGTGTGACTTTTGTTTTTTAATGCATTCAGTTGGAAGAGTTTAAATGTTGAAATGAGAATGACTTAATATTGGTTACTGTTGGGAACAGGCCCCCCAAAATCTGGCCATAAACTGGCCACAAAACTGGCCATAAACAAAATCTCTGCAGCACTGTGACATGTTCATAATGGCCCTAACGCCCACGCTGGAAGGTTGTGGGTTTACCGGAATGAGGGCAAGGAACACCTGACCCGCCCAGGGTGGAAAACCGCTGAAAGACGTTCTCAAACCACAAACATAGCATGAGCGATCTGTGCCATCAGGGCATGCTCCTGCTGCAGATAACTAGCCAAACCCACCCCTTTATTCCGGCCCATCCCTTCATTTCCCGTAAGGGATACTTTTAGTTAATAGAAACAATGCTAATGACTGGTTTGCTGTTACTAAATATGTGGGTAAATCTCTGTTCGGGGCTGTCAGCTCTGAAGGCTGTGAGACCCCTGATTTCCCACTTCACACCTCTGTATTTCTGTGTATGTGTCTTTAATTCCTCTAGTGCCGCTGGGTTAGGGTCTTCCTGACCGAGCTGGTCTCTGCAAGTGGCGTCCATCGTGGGGGCTCGAATCCAGGTCGAAGGGTCGCCAGAGCGACGGTTGGAGAACGTGGAACTAGCTGGAGGACACCTGAGTACTCTTAAAGCCATCCCCGTGGTGAGTAAGAAGGGGAGCTCGGAAGCATCAGGGTAACAATGGGACAGGCGTGGGGTCTGGTTCGTTTCACCTTGGAACCTTTTCACACTGATGAGGAGGAGGAAGGAGAGTATAGCGACGTAACAGAAGAGGTTACAGACCAGGTTTGTTTGCCAGCTAAAGCTGAAGCGGCAAAGGAGGGAGAGGTTCATCCCTACCCTTCTGCACCCCCTCATTATTATTTTGAAGAAAATGACCCTCCAGGTATTTCTTTTCCAGAGGACTGTGGGCGAAAAGTAGTTGCCCCAGTGACTGAGCAGCGCCTGGAGCGACTGCTCTTAGTTCTATTCAGGCAGGAATTCAGCAAGCTAGAAGAGAGGGTGATTTAGAGGCTTGGCAGTTCCCTGTTAGAATACACCCCCCAGATCAACAGGGAGATATTATAGCTACATTTGAACCTTTTCCTTTTAAATTACTCAAAGAATTTAAAGAAGCTATTCATACTAAAAAAGAATGTAGAAAAAAAATCAGTGAGTCGGCTGTCAGATAGGGGAAAAAAGAGAACTGCTAAGCTGAAATATGTCCAAAATGTAAAAAAGGAAATCATTGGGCTAACCAATGTCACTCTAAGTTTGATGAAGAACGGAACCCGATTTCGGGAAACACCATGAGGGGCCCATCCTAGGCCCGTTCTAAACCGGGGCATTTCCAACTCAGGCCATTCCCTCCCCACCGTACAATGTCTGTCCCCTGCCACAGCTGGTAGTGTTGCAGTAGATTTATGCTGCACAAAAGCTGTGAGCCCTCTGCCTGGGGAACCCCTGCAAAAGGTCCCAACAGGAGTCTGTGGACCCTTGCCAGCAGGGACGATAGGATTACTTTTAGAAAGGTCTAGTTTAAGTTTAAAAGGGGTACAAATACATACAGGAGTCACTGATTCAGATCACAATGGGGAAATTCAAATTGTTATATCTACTTCTGTTCCCTGGAAAGCAGAGCCAGGAGATCGGCTCCTGATTGTGCCATATGTGGGAATGGGGAAAAGTGAAATTAAATGAACAGGAGGATTTGGAAGCACAAATAAACAAGACAAAGTGGCTTATTGGGTAAATCAAATTACTGATAAACGTCCTACCTGTGAAATAACTATTCAGGGAAAGAACTTTAAAGGTTTGGTAGATACAGGAGCAGACATTTCAATTATTTCTCTACAGCAGTGGCCGTCCGCGTGGCCAATTCAACCCACTCAATTTAACATAGTTGGAGTTGGTAAAGCCCCTGAAGTATATCAAAGTAGTTATATTTTGCATTGTGAAGGGCCCAATGGACAACCTGGGACTATTCAACCAATTATAACTTCTGTACCTATAAATTTATGGGGGAGAGATTTATTACAACAATGGGGAGCACAAGTTCTAATTCCAGAACAATTATATAGCCCTCAAAGTCGACATATAATTCATGAAATGGGGCATGTTCCTGGTATGGGACTAGGAAAATATTTGCAAGGTTTGAAAGAACTGCTTCAAGTGGAAAGACAAAGTTCCTGCCAAAGATTAGGATATCATTTTTGACGGCGGCCGTTGTTAAGCTTCCAGAACCTATACCTTTACAAATGGTTAACAGATAAGCCAATATGGATAGAATAATGGCTGCTAAGCAAAGAGAAACTGGACGCTTTAGAGAAATTAGTTACTGAACAATTAGAAAATGGGCACATAGCTCCAACATTTTCCCCTTGGAATTCTCCAGTTTTCATAATTAAGAAAAAATCAGGTAAATGGAGAATGTTAACTGACTTAAGAGCCATCAATTCAGTTATACAACCTATGGAAATATAACAGCCAGGATTGCCTTCTCCTACTATAATTCCAAAAAATTGGCCTTTAATAGTCACAGATTTAAAAGACTGTTTCTTTACTACCCTTTTAGCTGAGCAAGACTGTGAACGATTTGCATTTACAATTCCTGCAGTAAACAACCTGCAGCCTGCTAAGCGTTTTCATTGTTTCACAGATGGGTCCAGTAATGGTAAAGCTTCTTATTCTGGATCAAAAGGTAAAGTTTTCCAGACGCCCTATATTTCAGCTCAAAAAGTGGAGCTTGTAGCTGTAATTGAGGTATTGACTGCTTTTGATATGCCTATTAATGTGATTTCTGATTCTTCATACATGGTTCATTCCACACAGTTAATTGAAAATGCTCAGTTACGATTTCATACAGATGAACAACTGATAATAAAAACAAAAAAGGGGGGAAACAGGGATTACGGGACAGCCCAGACACAATTGAATCTTGCATTATTAACTTTCCATTTTTCGAGCCTTCCCAAAGGCCAGATGTTACCAGCAGCTGAACAGCATCTACAGAAACCAGCTGCAAAGACACAAGCAGAACAACTGGTTTGGTGGACAGATCCAATAACAAAAAGTTGGGAAATAGGTAAAATAATAACTTGGCGTAGAGGTTATGCTTGTGTTTCTCCAGGACCGAATCAACAACTGATTTAGATACCATCAAGACACCTGAAACTTTATCATGAGCCAGATGCCGAGAAAGAGATTAAAAGCACAATCATCATTGAAATTACAGAGCTTCTGGCTGGGCGCGTGGCTCACGCCTGTAATCCCAGCACTCTGGGAGGCCGAGGTGGGCGGATCACAAGGTCAGGAGATCGAGACCATCCTGGCTAACACGGTGAAACACCGTGTCTACTAAAAATACAAAAAATTAGCTGGGTGAGGTGGCGGGCGCCTATAGTCCCAGCTACTCGGGAGGCTGAGGCAGGAGAATGGCGTGAACCCGGGAGGCAAAACTTCAGGTTTTGCCAAGAATGACACTGTAAATGTAACAAAGCTTCCGTGCTTGTTAGTGAACACCAACTCAGCTACTCTCCTGTATTCGGACATCAGGATGAAATGAAAAGAACAAGCGGGCCGGGCGTGGTGGCTCACGCCTGTAAACCCAACACTTTGGGAGGCTTAGGCAGGCGGATCACCTGAGGTTGGGAGTTCGAGACCAGCTTGACCAACATGGAGAAACCCTGTCTCTACTAAAAATACAAAATTAAATGGGCGTGGTGGCACATGCCTGTAATCCCAGCTACTTGGGAGGCTGAGGCAGGATGAGTGCTTAAACCCGAGAGGCGGAGGTTGCAGTGAGGCGATATTGCACCATTGCACTCCAGCCTGGGCAACAAGAGTGAAACTCCGTCTCAAAAAAAATGAAAAAATAAAAATAAAAAAAGACCCCCAACCTTGTCTAGACTGTGGGTTTCAGTTTCACCCCAGGGGGATCCTGGTTGGGTTAGAACCCTGAATCTGGTTTGAGTTCAAATCCTAAAGAATAAAGGGAATAAAGGCTGCAGCCACTGAGATACTCAATCTGGTCTGGTTCTGGCTTTTGTGTGTCTATCTGTATTTTTGGTCTAAAATATTTGGCCCAACAGAGGTTAAAGGCTTTGATGGTCTCAGCAAAAGCCTTGTGAGATCTCTAGTTTATCTGTGTGCTCAACTTGAACAAAGAGACTCCATAAACTAGAAAAACCTAAAGAAAATGGCACACGTGAAAAACTGAGAGCCAACTCCTGTTTGTTGTTCTGTCCACCTCCCTCCCTCACTCCTCCTCCTGCCTTTGCTGTGGTCCCATGGTGTTTCTGTCTTTCTGGGGACCTGAGATTCAGTGTAGGAGTGAAGTCCACGATTTTAAAAATTCTTCCTGTCTCTGCTTTTTAACTCTGCCTGCTTTGCTGAGCCCTTATAATGAGAAATAAACCATTCAGAACAGAAACAACAGGGCATCAGAAAACCAACTTTAGGCAGCGCTCCGGCAAGTACTTCCCTAGAGGGGAGGGGCCTACTAAAGGAGATTTAATCTTGAAAAGGCCAAAATGAGAAGCTCTAACCTTAAGCTTGCTAGGTTTTCTGGGACTCGAGCTGGCTATATATTATAGACCATTCTAGTCACACACACACACATTTTTTTGAGACAGAGTCTTGCTCTGTTGCCCAGGCTGGAGTGCAGTGGTGTGATCTTGGCTGACTGCAACCTCCACTTCCCAGGTTCTAGTGATTCTCCTGTCTCAGCCTCCTGAGTAGCTGCGATTACAGGTGTGTGCCACCATGCCCGGCTAATTTTTGTGGTTTTAGTAGAGACGAGGTTTCACCATGTTGGCCAGGCTGGTCTCGAACTCCTGATCTCAAGTGATCCACCCGCCTCGGCCTCCCAAACTGCTGGGATTACAGGCATGAGCCACTGCGCACAGGCCTATATATATATATATATATATATATATATATATATATATTTTTTTTTTTTTTTTTTTTCTTTTTGACACAGAGTCTTGCTCTGTTTCCCAGGCTGGAGTACAGTGGTACAATCTTGGCTCACTGCAACCTCCACCTCCCAGGTTTGAGCAATTCTCCTGCCTCAGCCTCCCGAGTAGCTGGGACTACAGGTGCACACCACCACACCCAGTTAATTTTTGTATTTTCAGTAGAGACGGGTTTTTGTCATGTTGGCCAGGCTGGTCTCGAACTCCTGGCCTCAAGTGATCCACCTGCCTCAGCCTCCCAAAGTGTTGGGATTACAGGCAGGAGCCACCACGCCTGGCTTCTAGTGCACACTTTAAACCTGATGGCCGAATAACATGAAAGAAAATTCAGAACTCAAATAGTTTATATTTTTAAAAACCCTAAAATGAAAAAATCTCAGTTCTTTTGCCTGTCTATTTTTTTTTCCCTGCCTATTTTGAATCTGCTGACTTGTCTACTGGTGTTGAGATGAAACTTACTGTCTGTGGTATTACCAATTCAAGGTTACTTGGCTGAAGAAAAACAAAAGAATGAAATAATTCTTTATTTTTTTCTCTTTTTGAGACAAGGTCTCTCTCTAAGGTCTCACTCTGTTCCCCAGGCTGGAGTGCAGTAGTGGGACCAGAGCTCACTGTTACCTCAACCTCCCAGGCTCAGGTGATCCTCCTGCCTCATCCTCTCCAGTAGCTGGGACAATAGGCATGCACCACCATGCCTGGCAATTTTTTATCTTATTCTTAGTAGAGATTCGGTCTCGCTATGTTGCCCAGGCTGGTCTCAAACTCCTGAGCTCAAGTGATCCTCTTGCCTCAGCCTCTCAAAGTGCTGGGATATAGGCATGAACCACTGTGCCCAGACAAAAGAGTTCTTTTATAAATACAAATAATTTAAAAAGTATGGATAAAAGGAAAATAGAAATGTCTTCAGAATTGTCAGCATACATTTTTGACTGTGTTTTATATTTACATTTGCTAGATATTTTAAGGTGCTAGGGTTTGGCATGAAGGTTATAAAGCTATAAACACAGGAAAAAAAGGAATATTTGTTTTTGTGATTTTTTTTAATACATAAGACCAATTTAATACGGTTTGTTGAACAAAAGTAATGGAATTTTCTGAGTTATTGGTAAAATACCCATGTATTTAACTTTGAAGTCCTCACTTACGTGAACACCTGATATTCACAGGCTATAACATGGTTAACAAGAAAATAACCTAGAAATGATGACTAGCTTTGTCTAATACCTCAGTTCTCACAAATACTCTAGATAAACTGTTAAAAATAAGTAAATGTAAATGGATACATGTCTATCCAAGACATCTTAATGTATTTTTGAAATTTTTTTGAGATAGTGTCTCTGTCTGTCACCCAGGCTGAAGTACAGTGGTATGATCACAGCTCACTGCAACCTTGACCTCCTGCCCTCAAGGGATCCTCCCACCTCAGCCTCCCAAGTAGCTGTAATTACAGGCATGCACCACCATGCTCAGCTAATTTTTATTTTTTTTGTAGAGTTAGCATCTCACTATTTTGCTCAGGCTGGTCTCATGATACTCCTGCCTTGGCCTCCTAAAGTGTTGGGATTACAGGTGTGAGCCACCATGCCCAGCCTATTTTTGAAATTTTAGTTATGTTAAATTAAATAATAGATACTCATTAACTATCTGGGTTATTTCCAATTTAAAAACTTATGTTTTAGCCCAGGCGTGGTGCCTCATGCCTGTAATCCCAGCACTTTGGGAGGCTGAGGCAGGTGGATCACCCAAGGTCAGGAGCTCAAGACCAGCCTGACCAACATGGAGAAACCCCATCTCTACTAAAAAATACAAAAAATTAGCCAGGTATGGTGGCGGGTGCCTGTAATCCCAGCTGCTCGGGAGGCTGAGGCAGGAGAATTACTTGAACCCGGGGGGCGGAAGTTGCAGTGAGCCGAGATTGTTCCATTGCACTCCAGCCTGGGCAACAAGAGCGAAACTCCATCTTAAAAAAAAATGTTTTAGGAACACATATTTCTAAATTATGAAATTATTCTCATCTGTAAGATACTGCTATATGACAATTCAAGATTTCTTGCTTCCTAGGTTTTTTATTAAAATAAAGGTTACTAAGTATTAATATTGTGGTAGATATATGTGATTAAGACTACTAGGTACAAGAGAAACAATTCTGTATGCAAAATGTATACCGGTTTTTGTTTCAGAGAAAGTAAATTCGCTTAGAGATTTTTAAGGATTATTTTAAATTGAAGGAATAAAAAAGATAGATAAAATGTGTATAAAAAGTTGGAAAAGATGGAAAAAATTATACAAGGTTATTAAAAGTTTACGTAAATCTTACCTCGAGGTCAAAACTGATTGAGATCAGATAGATTGTTTATAAAGTTTATTTAAATTAGGTATAATATTAAAAACATAGTGATACAAAACTAAAAATTTTGGTTAAAACAACAAGGTTTTCTTAAAGTATTTATTTGCTCTTAATGAAGTAATAAATATTGACTTTTAATCCTGAAATCTGTTACTATAAAAACTTTTCAGATTTGTGTATCAGAAATTCAACTTTTCCTGTACTTTCATGTTACACATGACTCACAGATCACATCATTGTCTTCTGTTCCTTCTTGAGAAGGGAGAGAAGGCTTGGCTTTTCTGCATGGCTGGGATGATAACTCCTGCTTTTTCATCAGGTCTAATTTTGTACTCTTGGCTTTTAAATACGTCTTAATTACTTCATGTAACCAGGAAACTTCCATGCTATCACTGTGAGCTATGGATCCCCACTGCTCTATGCTATGGTTTTCCTGTTTACATTCCTCTGTAATATCATGCTCACTCATGACCCTGGACACACTCTTTGTATGTGGGTACAAGAGGAGGTCTGGGCAACTTTTCAGGAACCTTCAGATCACATGGGCTCTGCTGCGTTTTGGTTTCCGTGTCGAGATGTTGCTAGCCAAGGCTGCAAGGTGGCTGAGGGACCATGCCTAGGTCTCTGTGGTTGGGGCTTGAACAAGGCCCAGCCAGAGAGCTCCTGCCCCCTGCAGTCTCTCCATCCTCTATCTAGATGCCTGCAGAATGTTCACTTCCAGAAGGTATATTGAAAAGTGCTTCCCAGTTTATCACAGTGCACATATTGAAAGGTGCACTAGAAGCTGGGAGACAATAGACTGAAAACTGACACAGGAGACGCTGGGTCATAGCAACGAAGAGAAGCTGAAAAGGAGTGGGAAGGAACTAACTGTAATTTTACATCAATGATCTGCATCTTTGTTTCGATGGTTTGTGGCAACCAAAATGACTATTCTTTCTACCCTCCTAGTTCAGACATAGCCTGAGACTTTTTTTTTTTGAGATGAAGTCTCACTCTGTCACTCAGGCTGGAGTGCAGTGGCATGGTCTCGGCTCATTGACTACGACCACCAGAACCCCCTTGTTGACCCGTGATGGATGTGAAATCAATTGAGAAGTCAAGGCCGGGTGCAGTGGCTCACGCCTGTAATCCCAACACTTTGGGAGGCTGAGGCAGGCAGATCATGAGGTCAGGAGATCGAGACCATCCTGACTAACATGGTGAAACCCCATCTCTACTAAAAATACAAAAAATTAGCTGGGCCTGGTGGCTGACATCTGTAGCCCCAGCTACTCAGGAGGCTGAGGCAGGAGAATCACTTGAACCCAGGAGGTGGAGGTTGCAGTGAGCTGAGATTGCACCACTGCACTCCAGCCCGGGTGACAGAGTGAGACTCCATCCACCTCCCCACCCCCCCAACAAAAGAAAAAATAGAAAAAAGAAAAGAAGTCAACTTTGCTGTTGACGCCACTGAGGTTTAGGGGCTTGTTACACAGCATCACCTGTCCTGACCAATGCGTGACTCATTTCATCCTTGGCACAGCCCCTGAGAGAAGGGGCTTTATCCTCATTTCATAAATGAAGAGTCAAGTCTCAGAGAGGTTAGCAGCATGAGCAAACTCACACAGCGAGGGGTGGAGCTTGGATTTGAATCCAGGTCTGTCTAACCTCAAAGACTGAAGTGGGGATGAAAATAAGTTGTCATTGTTGTTTGCCTGTCACCCAGGTGATGTAACTCTTGTCTAGGCTCTGCCTACAGGGGCTTTGTGACATATCTCTGCACTGATCGCCCAGGTGATGGGACTCTTGTCTAGGCTCTTCTATCCTTGGATTGTAACCTTGCAGGATCTTGAACCCATATCCTTTCAGGGATCATAGAAGTGAGCACATCAAACCTGCCATGATAAAGTTGTGGAAAAGTCGGCAATATTGCCAAATGCAAAATATCTGGGCTATATTTTGGTCTGAAATCACCATTTGCGATTCCGGGAAGATAGGGAATATGGAGGTCAACTCCCATAGGGATGTTGTATAAGACTCCAAGCCCTAAGTCAATGATCTGAACCCTGTGGATCAGCACTCTCCATGTAATGGGGCATCTTAACCCATTTTGTGCTGCTATAACAGAATACCACAGACTAGGGAATCTATAAAGAAAAGAAATTTATTTCTTAGAGTTCTGGAGGCTAGGAAATCCAAGGATGAGGGGTCTGCATCTCGTGAGGGCCTTCTGGCTGTGTCATCTCATGGCTGAAGGCAGAAGAGCAAGAGTT
Source organism: Homo sapiens (assembly GCF_000001405.40). Classification (NCBI taxonomy): domain Eukaryota; kingdom Metazoa; phylum Chordata; class Mammalia; order Primates; family Hominidae; genus Homo; species Homo sapiens. Next base: position 889,172 of record NC_000001.11, on the reverse strand, counting down.
TGGGAAAGAAAGAGAGCAAAAGGGGCTGAACATGCTTTTAATACAAGCCCACTCCCAAGATAACTAACCCACTCCTGAGATAATGACATTAATCCATACATGGGGGCAGAATCTTATAACCTAATCACTCTTATTAGGCCCCGCCTCTCAACACTGTCATATAGAGGATTAAGTTTTCAACACGTGAGCTCTGGGGGACACATGCAGACCATAGCATGGGGGATTGATGAGTATATGGGAGGGAACAGTCATGAATATTTTGGCTGAGGGTTGTGTTTGAGAGCTGAAGCCATGGTCCATCATGGCAGGGCACACATAGACCTTTGAATGCTCTGAGAAATGAATATTGAACAGTGTAACTCATGGCAGAAGGTGGAATATTTAAAAGGCAGAACTGCTTGGGTCAAGTAGAAGAGTGAACAAACAGCCTGTAGCCTTTGGCTGGCTCCTCTTCCCTTCCCGTCCCCACCTTTCACCTTTCTCTCTTTCTTTTCCTCCCTCCCTCCCTCTCTCCCTCCCTGTCTCCTTTCCCTCCCTCCCTCCTTCCTCTCCCTTCCTCTTTCTCTCCCTCCCTGCTTCCTTGTTTCTTTCCTTCCTTCTTTCCCTTTCCCTCTTTCTCTCCCTCCTTCCTTCCTCTCCCTTCCTCTTTCTCTCCCTCCCTGCTTCCTTGTTTCTTTCCTTCTTTCCCTTTCTCTCCCTCCTTCCTTCCTTCTCTCCTTCTCTCTCTCTCATTTCCTTCTTTCTCTCTTTCCATCTTTCTCTCCCTCCATCCTTCCTTCTCTCTCTTTCCTTGTCTCCTTCCTTCTTCCTTCCTTCCTTCCTTTCACCCTGCCTTCCTGCCTTCCTTTCTTCTCTCTTTCTTTGACTGATGTGTTCTGAGCCCAAGCACCCTGTGGGGTACAAAGTGGTACCAAAATTGACTCAAGAATCAAGAAGAAATAGAAAACCTAAGAAGTACTATAATGTGAAGAAAATAAAATCTCTAGTAAAATAAAATCTTTCACAAAGGAAGGACTAGGCCCAGATGGTTGTATGAGCAAATTTTACAAACTTTCAAAGAATGGATCATTCTAATTATGTCCCAAACAACTGTAGCTAGGAATATTAATGCTTGATTTTTCAAGAGCCTCATTTCCTAAAATCTATAGGTTCAAAGGTAGATTGGCATGTGTTGGGAATCCTCAAATGTTGTGCAGTTCCTTGGAGTGTTAGCATTAAAAAAGAAAGGTCTTGCCTGCATTAACTTTGAATTTTGTAACAGTTACCAGTTAATAGAGATATTCTATGCATTTCTACACACTCTGATTTTATAGGAATGGAGGCATATCAGACACATGGCTCTGCACCCAGGGTTGTTTTTACTTTGTAACATATATTGGACATCATTTTTGAGCATCCTTTTAAAATTTATTTTTTTAAATAGCTGCATAGTATGCTATCGTATGAATAACCATAATTTCAATACACAGTAAGGTGATAACCATTAATGTGACTGATAAACATTAAGGTGATTTCCAGACTTTTGTTAATGAAAAAGGTGGTATAATACTTTCTCCCATTCATACATAATTCCAGGCATCATGAGTATGTCTGTAGGGTAAATTTCTGGAAATGAAATTGCTGAATCAGAGAGTATTTCCACTGATAATTTTGGTATATATTGTTTAATCACATTAGATAAAGTTTGTACGAATTTATAATCCCAGTAACAAGATGTGAGTACCACTTCAAACTCCACAACTTCACTGGTAGTGCTTGAATTCATGATGCATATTGCCGGCCTCCCTTCAGGAAAAGTTCTATTAACTCTACAGAAATTTTATAAATGGCAGATGTTACATTTCCAGATAGCTTTGTGGTAACCAAAAATAATTGATTTGTTAGCAATTTTTATATGAAATTGAGATAAAATATTATTTGTGATAAATATCATTATTGTCATGTACTTAAAACATCTCATGTATTAAGAAATCATACTTTAGATGGGGCCAAGCTGGCCGATTAGAAGCAGCTGTGGCCCATGGCTCTCATGGAGAGCAATGAAAACTACAAGTGACTTCTGCACCTTGAGTTGAGGTATCCAGGTTCTTGCATTGGGACTGACTAGGCCCACTAGGCCCACAGGGAGTGAGGAAAAGCAAGTGGGGTGATGGCCCATCCAGGTGTGGCACGGAGCTAGGGAGCCCCCACTCGCAGCCAAGGGAGGCGGTGAGTGATTGCGTGACTGCCTGGGAAACCATGCTTTCCCCACGGATCTTTGCAACCTGCAGATTGGGAGGTCCCCCGGTGAGCTCAGCCACCATGGCCTTGGGTCTGAAGCACAGAGCTGTGTGGAGTCTCGGCGGAATGCTCGCTGGCTCACTGGGGCATGCGTGGAAACCCAGGAGTTTTGCATCCTATGCCCCGAGAATTCCAGCAAAGTGGGAGATACATCTGTGCATTCCCCTAGGAAGGGGGCTGAATCCAGGGAGCCAAGTGACATCATTCTGAGGCCCCACTCCCACAGCACCTCACAAAACCCATTGGCTTGGAATTCCAGCTGGCCAGAGGCAGCAGGCTGGAGACAGCCAGAGATGGACCGAGTTCCTGGAGGGAAGGGCAGCCACTATATCTGTGGTTTGAGTTGGCCACTCTAGCCTGCTGGCACCAGGGTCCAGGAGGAGTTTCCCATAACACAGCACAGCTGCTGTGCCTGATTGTGGCCAGGCTGCTTCTTTAAGTGAGACCAAAACACATCCCTCCTCACTGGACAGGGCCTCCCCATTGGAATTTTAGCAACTCCAGCCAGAGTTCTATGGACAGAACTCTGATTTCTCCCTGGGATGAAGTCCCCAGGGAGAGGGGTAGCTGCTATCTCCCCAGTTCAGCTGGCTGAGCCTTTCCAGCCTGCTGGCTCTGGAGACTCCCGGGGATCAGCACAGCACAGCACACCTGCTCTGCCAAAGGGCAGCCAGACTGCTTCTTTAAGCAGTTCCTGATCTTGTTTCCCCTGACTGGGTGAGGCCTCCCAACAGGGGTCTCCAGACACCTCCTACAGGAGCGTTCCAGCTGACGTCAAGTCGGTACCCACTTGGATAGTACTCCCAGAGGAAGGATCAGGCTGCCATCTTTGCTGTTTTGCAGCCTTCACCGGTGATACCTCCAGGTGCAGGAGAGACTGAGGTGACTAGGGTCCAGAGTGGACCCCCAGAAAACCACAGCAGCCCTAGGAAAGAGTGGTCTGACTGTTAAGAACAAACAGAAAGCAACAACAACAATATCAACAAAAAAGACCCCACAAAAACCCCATTCAAAGGTCAGCAACGTCAAAGATCAAAGGTAGATAAGCCCACAAAGATGAGAAAGCATCAACACAAAAACGCTGAAAACTCAAAAAGGCAGAATGCCTCTTCTCCTCTAAATGACAACACCACCTCCCCAGCAAGGGCACAGAACTGACCCAAGGCTGAGATGGCTGAATTGACAAAAGTAGGCTTTAGGAGGTGGGTAATATCAAACTTCACTGAGCTAAAGGGGCACGTTCTAACTTAATGCAAGAAGCTAAAAATCATAAAAGAACACAGTAGCTGATAAGCAGAATATTCAGTTTAGAGAGGAACATAACTGACCTGATGGAGGTGAGAAACACAACATGAGAACTTCACAATGCAACCATAAGTATCACTAGCAGAATAGGCCAAGTGGAGGAAAGAATCTCAGAGCTTGAAAACTATCTGATACAAGACAGGAAGAAAAGAATAGAGAAAAAAGAACAAAAAAGAATGAACAACAAAACCTTCAAGAAATGTGGGATTATGTAAAAAGACTGAACTTAAGACTGTTAAGGATAGCTTGGCCCACCACGATCAAGATGGCTTCATCCCTGGGATACAAGGTTGGTTCAACACAGGCAAATCTATAAATGTAATTCATCACATAAACAGAACTAAACATAAAACAACACGACTATCTCAATAGATGCAGAAAAGGCCTTCAATGAAATTCAACATCCCTTCATGTTAAAAACCCTCAATAAAATAGCTATTGAAGGATCACACCTCAAAATAATAAGAGCCATAAATGACAAACCCACAGCCAATATCATACTGAATGAGCAAAAGCTGGAAGCATTCCCCTTGAAAACTGGCACAAGACAAGGATGGCCTCTCTTACCACTCCTATTCAATATAGTGCTGGAATTTCTGGCCAGGGCAATCAGGCAGGAGAAAGAAATAAAGGTATTTAAATAGGAAGAGAGGAAGTCAAATTATCTTTGTTTGCAGACGACATGATCCTGTATCTAGAAAACCCCATCATCTCAGCCCAAAAGCTTCTTAAGCTGATAAACCACATCAACAGAATCTCAGTATACAAAACCAATGTGCAAAAATTGCTAGTATTTCTATACATCAACAACAGGCAAGTAGAGAGCCAAATCATGAATGAAATTCATTCACAATTGCTACAAAGAGAATAAAATACATCAGAATACAGCTAACAAGAGAAGTGAAGAACCTCTTCAAGGAGGACTACAAACCACTGCTCAGAGAAATCAGACAGGACACAAACAAATGGAGAAGCATTCCATGCTCATGGATACGGAAGAATTAATTCGTGAAAATAGCCATACTCCCCAAAGTAATTTATAAAAGAATTTAATGGTATTCCCATTAAACTACCAATGACATTCTTCACAGAATTAGAAGAAACTATTTAAAAATTCTCATGAACCAAAAAAGAGCCCAAATAGCCAAGACAATTCTAAGCAAAAATAACAAAGCTGGAGGCATCACACTACCCAACTTCAAAATATACTATAAGGCTACAGTAACCAAAACAGCATGGTACTGGTACAAAAACAGACACATAGACCAATGAACCAGAATATAGAACTCTGAAATAAGAGCATACACATACAACCATCTGATCTTTGACAAACCTGACAAACACAAGCAACGGGGAAAGGATTCCTTATTTAATAAATCATGTTGGGAAAACTGGCTAGCCATATGCAGAAATTGAAACTGGACATCTTCCTTACACCTTATACAAAAAAATAACTGAAGATGGAATAAAGACTTAAACATAAGACCTAAAACCATAAAAACCCTAGAAGAAAACCTAGGCAATACCATTCAGGACATAGGCATGGGCAAAGACTTTATGACTAAAACACCAAAAGCAATGGCAACAAAAGAAGCCAAAATTGACGAATGGGATCTAATTAAACTAAAGAGCTTCTGCACAGCAAAATAAACTATCATCAGAGTGAACAGACAACCTATAGATTGGGAGAAAATTTTTGCAATCTATCTGTCTGACAAAGGGCTAATATCCAGAATCTACAAATAACTTAAACAAATTTACAAGAAAAAACAACCCCATCAAAAAGTGGGCAAAGGAAACAAACAGACACTTCTCAAAAGAAGACATTTATGTGGCCAACAAACATGAAAAAAAGCTCATCGTCACTGGTCATTAGATAAATGCAAATCAAAACCACAATGAGATACCATCTCAAGCCAGTTAGAATGGCTATTATTAAAAGTCAGGAAACAACAGATGCTGATGAGGCTGTGGAGAAATAGGAATGCTTTCATACTGTTGGTAGGAGTGTAAATTAGTTCAGTCATTATGGAAGACAGTGTGACAATTCCTCAAGGATCTAGAACCAGAAATACAATTTGACCTAGCAATCCCATTACGGGGTATATACCCAAAGCATTATAAATTATTATACTATAAAGACACATGCACTGTATGTTTATTTCAGCACTGTTCACAATAGCAAAGACCTGGAACCAACCCAAATGCCCATTAATGATAAACTGGATAAAGAAAAGGTGGCACATATACACCATGGAATACTACGCATTTATGTCCTTTCCAGGGACGTAGATGAAGCTGGAAACCATCATTCTCAGCAAACTAACACAAGAAAAGAAAACCAGGCCAGGAGCATTGGCTCACACCTGTAGTCTCAGATCTTCGGGAGGCTGAGGTGGGGAGTTGAGACCAGCCTGACCAACATGGAGAAACCCCGTCTCTACTAAAAATACAAACAATTAGCCAGGCATGTTGGCACATGCCTGTAATCCTAGCTACTTGGGAGGCTGAGGCAGGAGAATCGCTTGAACCCGGGAGGCAGAGGTTGCAGTGAGCCGAGATCGCGCCATTGCACTCCAACCTGGACAACAAGAGTGAAAGTTTGTCTCAAAAAAAAAAAAAGAAAAGAGAGAAAGAAAAAAAGAAAAGAAAACCAAACACTGCATGTTCTCACTCATAAGTGGGAGTTGAACAATGAGAACACATGGACACAGGGAGAGGAACATCACACACTGGGGCCTGTCATGGGGTGAGAGGCTGGGGGAGAAATAGTGTTAGGAGAAATACTTAATGTAGATGATGGGTTGATGGGTGCAGCAAACCACCATGACACGTGTATACTTACGTAACAAACCTGCATGCTCTGCCCATGTATCACAGAACTTAAAGTGCAACAAAGAAAACTTTACATAAATGCATAAAGTCTAGAATAGCTAATATATTATAATGAAATGTCAACTATAATCCCAGCTCAAAGAGAACACCATGAAATTATGAAGGGCTCTCCACAAATCTCTAAATTTATGTCTTCATAAGATTACATCTCTATTTCTTCTTGAATAATTTCCTTATTTTAGCTATGATTTAGTGATAGTAAGATGGTAATTATGAGGAGAAAATTCTCCTAACACTGCATTGAGAAAATTCTGCCTCATTTCACCACACACCAGAGTCTTAAGCAGTCACTTCTAATGTAGCTGAACAATAGATCCTCACCCACCTGAGTCTATGAGTTGAATCCACGTATGTGAGATAAGGCACCCAAGGAGTGGTAGTAAGCTGGGAATGCCATCAGCTCATCTTCCTTCAGGCCTATATTTGTCATTGTCACTTGTAGAAGCAGGACAGCCCTGGCGTTGTGGTTGGTAGAAATACAGAGTATCAAAGGGAAAACTGAAGTTCCCTAATTTTTGGAAAACAGCAGATTGGAGACAGATGGGCTCCAGCGTTTTCCATGTGTGAGGTCATTGTCCCAGGGAGCCTTGCTCAGGACCATATTTCTTGTCAGCAAAACAGAAGTCAAACGATATTTCTACCTTCCAAGAGAATAGAACATAATGTCAGATTTTCTCATGGATTCCCACAGGTTCAAGAAAGTTTCATGGCCTTATTTAACTGCTTAAGCATTTCAACTAAAAAAAATTTGTCTTTCAAATACACAGGAATCTGTTTGGAAAAATTTTAACCAGAAAAAGTTGAAATTGTAAAGTGAAAAACGCATAAAGCCATAAAATTTTTTTCCAGCTTTTAATTTAGATGTCAACTGGGGAAAAGAAAACATTCTCTGAAGTTTGCTTTTATACCATTAAAGACTTATTTTTTATTACCAGCAATACAGGGTGACTTAGTAAACTTTAACTTAATTTTAAGTTTTGGCTAATTTTTAAGCATTTCTCAGTCACCTACCATGATTTCATCTCAGAAACCAAAAATCTCAATTTCATTTAGACCTTTGAAATATTAAAACAGAAGTTTAAATGCTTCAAAATAATATTAATGTAGAGACTTACATATGTGGACCAGAAATCTCCATGTATTACAAAGTTTATGAGAACACAACAAATGTTGATACACATATTTAATTCTGAAATAAAAACTTACAACAAATAAAACTGTAACAAATCAAGAAAATTTTGTAGGTTACACATTTTATGTCTAAAAATATAGTTATTAAACACCCAAGAATGGATAAAAGAAGAAATCACAAGAGAAAATAGAAAATATCTAGAGACAAATTAAAAATATGAAATACCAAAAGTTAAGAGATACATCAAAAACAGTACCACACGGGAAAAATTTATAGCTATAAATGATTATAAAAAATAAGATACCGAATCAACAACTTTACTCCTAAGGAAAGAAAAACAGAGGGAAAAAGAGGGACTATTAAAGAGGGACAACTAAAAGCTAGCAAAATTTTAAAAATGATAAAGATAGCAGTGGAAATAAGTGAAATAGAGAATAGAAAAAGATATCAAAAACCAACAAAACCCAGTTTGTTCTCTGAAAAAGATAAAAACTGACAAAATTTTATCTAGATTGACTAAGAAAAAAAGGGAATACTCAAATTACCAAACTCAAAAATAAAATGGGTACATAACTAACAAACTTTTGGAGTAAAAAAAGGATGTAGAAGAGTACCATAAGGAATTATACACTAAAAAAATTGAATAACCTAAATAAAATGAACAAATTCCTAGAAACAAAAAACCTACTAAGACTGAATCAGAAAAGTTGAATAAACCTATTGAGCAAGGAGATTCAGCAGGAAGATTGCATCAGTAATAAAAAACCCAGCAACAAAGAAAAGCCTGGACCAGATGGCTACACTGTTGAATTCTACCCAACGTTTAAAGCAGAATTAACCCAGTTTTTCTCAAACTTTTTCAAAACGTTGAAAAGGAGGTAACATTTTCTAACTTATTATATGAGGCCAGTATTACCCTGACACCAAGCCAGACAAAGGCACCATAAGAAAACTACAAACAAACATCCCTTACAAATGTTGATGCAAAAATCCTCAACAAAATACCAGCAATTCAAATTTAGCAGTACATTAAAAGGATTATACACTATGAATGAGTATAACTGACTCCTGAAATAAAAGTATGTTCTAACACATGAAAATCAGTGTAATATCACATTAACATAATGAAGGAAAAAACCTCATGTGATCATCTTAAAGAAAAAGCATTTGTCAAAATTTAACCCACATTCATGATAAAATGTACTTAATAAATTATAAAAAGAAAGAAAACACCTTAACATAATGTTATACAAAAAAAACCCCAAAAAACAACAACAACAAAAAACACAGCTAACATGGTGAAAGACTGAAAGCTTTTACCCTCAGAGCGAAAACAAGGATGCCTGCTTTTACTACTTCTATTTAATGTAGTACTGAAGGTTCTAGTTAGTTAAAACAATAAGGTGAGTAAAAGAATAAAGGATATTCCAATTTTTTAAAAAGTAAAATTATCTGTTTGCAGATGACATAACCTTATATATTAAAAATCTTTTAGTTTCTGTGAAATAAACTGTCAGATACAATAAATAAAATTCAGCAAAGTTGCAGGATACAAAATCAATACACAGAAATCAGTTGTATTTCTACAATAACAATAAACTATCTGAAGAAGAAATCAAGACAACAGTATCATGTATGATAGCATCAAAAGAATAAAATACTTAGAAACCCACTTAACCTGTACAGCAAAAACTATAAACATGGCAGAAAAGTATTAAAGATGACACAAATAAATGAAAAGACATCATGTGTTTATGGACTGGAAGACAAAACCTTGTCAAGATGCCATTGTTATCTATAGCGATCTACAGATTCAATAAAATCACTATAAAAATTCCAATATATTCAAAAATAGAAAAACCTATTCTAAAATTCAGATGAAATCTAAAAAAATCCTAAGTAGCCAAATCAATCTTAAAAACTAACAAAGTTAGAGGACAAACACCTCCTGGTTTCATACTTACTGTAATGCTTCAGTACCCGAAGCAATGTTGTACCAGCATAGAGACAGACATAAAGACCAATGCGATAGAAATAAAGAACCGAAAAACACGGTCATGATTTTTAACAAGGGAGTCAACACTATTCAATGGGGAAAGGATGGTATTTTTTAAATGGTGTTAAAAATGGATATTTACATATATCCATATGTATATATATGTGTGTGTGTATATATATATCCCAAATTAGCTTTTTGTGTGTCATGTATATTGCAGATCTATTTCCCCAGCCTGTTGACTTTTGACTTTGAGGCATTTTTCTCTCATACAAAGTTTTAATTTTTATGGAGTCAAATACATCAGTCTTCTATTCAGTGACTTCTTCATGGTTTTGGTGTTTCATTTTAGGATGATAAAGAAGTTGTAGATATGGATAAATTCGATGGTTGGACAACACTGAATATATTGGATGCCATGGAACTGTACCTTTAAACATGGTTAAAATGGTAAGTTTTATGTTATATATATTTTACCACCAAAAAAGGGCCAGGCTTAGATGTTTATATGTTAGGGGTTTGGAGTACCTCTAACATTTATTCCCCTCCAGGGGAATAATTTATAAACAAACACCCACACAAGAAAAGTAGATACTGACTTCACAAATCTCCTTACAAGTCCCACAGCAGGGGCTGTCTGGGAAAGCAGAGGTGGAAAAAGTCACATAAACTTGAGGTCAGTGTGAGACCTCCCATCCCCTACTCTGGAATCAGATGGAGGAAGGCAGGTATGCAGGCTGAGCTGGAGAGATGAGCTGGGGTGGGCAGAACTGTCCTCCCATGAGCCTAGACCTTAACTGCTCCCACATGCTCCCAGGCATGTATCAAACCAAGAAAGCGGCTAGGAGGGTAACACAGCTACCTGTATACAGGGAGCCATGAAATATCTGAGCTGCGCAGGTGATGCACAAGGAGACAGAAGCAGTATGACCTTTACACAGTGACCTGACTCAAATAATTTCAGGCTGTCATTAACCAGGCGAGCTCCGCTTTCTCTCTGAGGTAGGTAAACTTGAGGGGGTAAAGAGGGAGTTGGGGAAAATGGAAAAGAAAGCCTGGTAGTATTTCTTCTAACTCTGTCATAAATAAAAAGTAAAACATAGATGCCGTTTCTCAGGGCCCAAATGTTAGGTGAAAAAATGTCATCTCAGTCATGTGATGTGGACTTCAGCCGAGCAGGACACACATGGTCATTTACCCTTTCCCTCTGCATGTCGTGTGCTTTTTCAGTTTATAATGTACCTGATCCACTTGTCTCATCACACTAGCTGCAAACAAGGCCACTGAATGTCACAGCAGGTGGCTGGCATGTCTGTGAAGGGCAGAAACTGGGGCAGCCAAACAGCTGGCAGAGGCCAGCTAGGAAGTACCTGATGCCCACTCCATAGAGGACTCCACACTTAAAAGACAAGATAAGAAAGTGTCAGGCTGCCTCACTAGTTATCCCCCCAAATAAAAAAATAAAAGTAACCCCTCCAGGGAATGTGTGTGTACACACAAAAGTACATGCACACAGCTACATGCAAACGGGAAAGGCTGGGAAGGAACCAAATCCACCTCTGAACACCAGTTACTTGTGGGGAAGGGGCAGGTGAAGCCAACTGCCAGCATTACTCACCTTTTCAACGGATGAGCTTGCATCAGTTTTGGCAATTTCTCATAAAAAGGCAATTTTCACTCCTTGGGTGATCACCCAGGCCCTGCAAAACTGAGCCACCAACAACCACCTGCACCACTTCCCATGAGGCCAAATAATGGCTTCCCTCAAAGCTCAGCCCTCCCACACACCTCCCAGTCCTGTCCCATGCAGGGGGCTGCTGGCCTCCTGGGGTACATGGGTCCAGGCCAAACCCAACCCACAGATGGTTGGTGAAACCAGCATGTATCCAAGGGCCTTTCCCCAACCTGGGTCAAGTGCCAACTGCCAACTGCATAGATAGGCCTGTGCTTGCTCCCCTAGGACAGAGACTCCCTTTTCTTCCATTGGAATGAGGGATGGGGAGATTTGATGTCCTGTACAGGTTGGATGTTAATCTGATGTGGTGCTGTTGGAGAAGCTTGCCTGAGTTAGGCGCCTTCTCAGCATGTGGTGTGTGCTGCCCCTTCAAGCTGCAGGAGTCCCAGAAGGTAAGTGCTGCTGCAACCCCCATTTACAGGTGAGCAGAGGTCAGGTGATCTGCAGGCGGCCAAGCAAGTGCTAAGTGGCCAACAGGCTGGATCTGCATCTCACTTGCAGAGGCCCTGCCTGGCAGCTGGGGCTGCCCCGAGACTCCCTCCTCCTCCTCTTCCCTCCACAGCTCTCCCGGCTTCTATCCACAGCTGTGCTCCAGGTGGGGAACACCTATGGATGCACCAGAGTGCAACTACTCAGACCCCAGTGTGCAGAAGGGCCCTGGCTCCATGCCGTTTCCATATCCAAGCCCAAGCTCATCTAGAGCTTCAGCAAATCCAAGCCTCCCTGAATTCCCTGCAAGACCAAACTGAGCCCTACAACTCCCACTACACTGGTTAGCTGCCAGCCCCAGCCTCTGCTCCTTCCTGGGCCCCTGTCGGCACAGTTCTGAAGTCCTACAAGAATGTTGAGATCCTAAGCCGACTCTCACCCAAGAGGTAAACAACCAGGGGCCTCCAGGGGTAGAGAACATACCCAGACAGGTTCTGCTGCCTGTAGGCTTCATGTCCTTCCCCTACAACACGCCATGCTTGCCAGGCTGGAAGAGGGGCTCCAGAAACTTGGAAACCTGGGCCTGTAGCTGGCATATGGAAAAGAGGCCTGGAAAAGCACCACTCCTGTCCATGAAGCCCCCAGATGGAACCAGGTAATTGGGAAATACATGGGCACTAAGCCTGATCCCCCCTCAGACTCAAGTGGGAACTGCAGCGGTGACTTGCCCCCTCTGCCACTGGCTGTGCCACTACGGGAGGGAGGAACATCTAGCCCCACGTGTGAGTGGAGACACTAGGTGTGGGCAGGTTCCAGTGGTTGCTGTAGCTGAACCTTCCCAACCAGGTCCATGCAAGGCCATCTCAGATGGGTGCGCACCTGGGTTGGGCAAGGACACCCCTCAGACAGTGAGAGCCACTGAGTGGGGCTGTCACAGAGGCCCCTTTTCCTAACCTGAGAACAGTTTGGGGGAGTATGGGGGAGTGTGGGGGAGTATGGGGGAGCGTGGGGGAGCGTGGGCGAGTATGGGGGAGCGTGGGCGAGTATGGGGGAGCGTGGGGGAGTGTGGGCGAGTGTGGGGGAGTGTGGGGGAGTGTGGGGGAGTGTGGGCGACTGTGAGGGAGTGTGGGGGAGTGTGGGCGAGTGTGGGCGAGTGTGGGGGAGTGTGGGCGAGTGTGGGGGAGTGTGGGCGAGTGTGGGCGAGTGTGGGCGAGTGTGGGCGAGTGTGGGGTGTGGGGGAGTGTGGGCGAGTATGGGCGAGTGTGGGGGAGTGTGGGCGAGTGTGGGCGAGTGTGGGGTGTGGGGGAGTGTGGGCGAGTATGGGGGAGTGTGGGGGAGTGTGGGGGAGTGTGGGGGAGTATGGGGGAGTATGGGGGAGTATGGGGGAGTGTGGGGGAGTGTGGGGGAGTGTGGGAGAGTGTGGGGGAGGAGCGTGGGGGAGTGTGGGGGAGTGTGGGGGAGTGTGGGAGAGTGTGGGGGAGGAGCGTGGGCGAGCGTGGGCGAGCGTGGGGGAGCGTGGGGGAGTGTGAGGGAATGTGGGGGAGTATGGGGGAGTATGGGGGAGTTTGGGGAACCTCTCCCACCTCCCAGCTGCTTCCAGGAACCACTTCTTTCGAGATGAGACACTCTCCTGCCTGCCTGTCCCCATTTGGCTGCAATAGACCATTGACAACATTCAGAGAACAAGAAGGGGCCTCACCTGCTTTCCCGGACATGTCAGAGGCAGATGGGCATGCCTAGGGGACCTGGGGTAGCGCCTGTTCATCTCCCCACCCCTGGGCTATGCTGGCTTCATCTTATCTGTGTGATGGGGGTAGGGTGGGAATTACCAAGAGACCAACACACAGGCCATGGACAAGTTCTACAAGAGCCAGGGAGAAGAACACTGTCCGTGCGTGTTGCCCAGCACCCAGCTCACACACACAGCTCTCATTTGACAGCTTCCCCAAAGCAGGCTTTGCAGTCCAGGCTCCCCAAGAAGCCTGGGGAGGAGACTCTGCCAGGCTGAAGGGCCTATCCCCAAAGGTGCCACCCTCACCAGGCTCATCCTGACAATCTTGGATTATTTTTTCCCTGAAGTTTTGGAGTGGGGGACAGGGAGACAGCAGACACTGCACATCACCCACCTTTCCAGAGAGCATCAGCCCTCCAGAGTGGGGCAGGTCAGACCTCCACTCGGGCGTTTTTCCTCACTGGTTGCCAGTTGGGGGAAGCAGCACTTGTGAGCACCTGCCTGTCTCCCCAGGTCCTGTTCAGAAACCCCATCTGTGCCTTTGGAGAGACTGCCCCGAGCACACAGGCCCAGCAACCGCCATCTATGGCCCCCAGGACCTAATCCCTTCTACATAGGGTTCAGTGCATGTGAGTATACACCGGGCTTGATTCCTGCCTAGTCCCTGCCAGATACCCCATGCCCACCTGGTGAAGAGAATGAGGCCACACAAACACACCCAGGCCATCGTGGTGATGGAGTGCCTGGGGTCCTACTTGCCCACCCTTCCTTGCTGGTTCAGAGCCAGCTGTCTGACCACATTCCTACCCTGAGATGAGACTTTGGGGACATTGTCCACCAGGGTCACTGACCCCTTTTAAAATTCCAGAAACAGAGGGCCAGCTGGTCCCCTAGAAGTTTGGCACATGGGATAAGCCAAGGCTTGCCTTCAGGAACAGGTTTTCCACCACGTCGCTGCCCAAGGCCCAGGGCATCCCCAAGTTCATGTGGCACCTGCCTGCCATGTCCACAACCCATGCCGACCCCTCCTAGAGCCACTGGAATGCTTGTTCCTGGGCATGTGATAAACCCAGACAGCTTCAGCCTTGCAGGACAACTATGCACATCTGGCAGCAGTAGCCGGAGGGCCCATGGAAAGAAGTTGGAGGTGAAACCAGATGCTGTGAAAATATTAGGCAAAACTGCATACTATAAAAGTGCTTTAAAATGCAGCAGGAGGAGAGGTGAAGACACAAATGAATAAGTGCTTAGAGACACATGGCTGTCAGAACAGTTAAGAATCCACGCTGCTTCCCCCCTTTACCTAGAAAAGGAAAATTCTAGGCCACCTCCTCCTCAGCATACTCCTCAAACTCCTCCTCCTCAGCCGTGGCATCCTGATATTGCTGATATTCAGACACCAGGTCGTTCATGTTGCTCTCGGCCTCGGTGAATTCCATCTCTTCCATGCCCTCGCCCGTGTACCAATGGAGGAAGGCCTTGCGCCTGAACATTGCTGTAAACTGCTCTGAGACACGCTTGAAGAGTTCCTGGATGGCCGTATTATTCCCAATGAAGGTGACTGACATTTTTAGCTCCCGGGGTGGGATGTCACAGACGGCAGTTTTTAAGTTGTTGGGGAGCCAGTCAGCAAAGTAGCTGCTGTTCTTATTTTGAATGTTGAACATTTGTTCATCCACCTCCCTCATGGGCATGCGACCCTGGAAAATGGCAGCCGCCGTTAGGTAGCGGCCGTGACGGGGGTCACGGGCAGCCATCATGTTCTTAGCATCAAACATCTGCTGGGTGAGCTCAGCCACAGTCAAGGCCCGGTACTGCTGGCTGCCCTGGCTGGTCAGTGGGGCAAAGCCGGGCATGAAGAAATGCAGCCGGGGAAACGGGACCATGTTCACGGCCAGCTTCCGCAGGTCAGCGTTCAGCTGGCCCGGGAAGCGCAGGCACGTGGTGACCCCACTCATGGTAGCAGACACCAGGTGGTTCAGGTCACCATAGGTGGGTGTGGGCAGTTTTAGGGTCCTGGAACATATGTCATATAGCGCTTCGTTATCTATGCAGAAGGTCTCATCCACATTTTCTATGAGCTGGTGGACTGAGAGGGTGGCGTTGTAGGGCTCCACCACGGTGTCCGACACCTTGGGCGAGGGCAGGACGCTGAATGTGTTTATGATCCTGTCTGGGTACTCCTCCCGGATCTTACTAATGAGAAGGGTACCCATCCCAGACCCAGTCCCCCAACCCAGGGAGTGGGTCAGCTGGAAACCCTGCAGGCAGTTACAGCTCTCAGCCTCCTTTCTGACAACGTACATCACTGACTCCATCAGCTCGGTGCCTTCTGTGTAGTGTCCCTTGGCCCAGTTTTTTCTGGCCCCACACTGACCTGTAAGACAGTACAGCCAGTCACTCCACGGCCAGGTATACGGTCATCAGTGGTCACCACCATAATGCAAAAAGGACCAAGTGTCACGTGTGAGGTGAGAGCACCATTCGCCCTGCAGGTGGAGCAAATGAAACCCCCTCCCCCGGAGTTACAGGACAGCAGCTTCCCCTGTTAGAAATTAAGTCAGGAGTCAAACCTGAGACGGGCTAACCTCGCTGCAGGTGGAGCAAATGAAACCCCCTCCCCCAGAGTTACAGGACAGCAGCTTCCCCTGTTAGGAATTAAGTCAGGAGTCAAACCTGAGATGGGCTAACAGACCTCGCTGCAGGTGGAGCAAATGAAACCCCCTTCTCCAGAGTCACAGGACAGCAGCTTCCCCTGTTAGGAATTAAGTCAGGAGTCAAACCTGAGATGGGCTAACCTCGCTGCAGGTGGAGCAAATGAAACCCCCTCCCCCAGAGTTACAGGACAGCAGCTTCCCCTGTTAGGAATTAAGTCAGGAGTCAAACCTGAGATGGGCTAACAGACCTCACTGCAGGTGGAGCAAATGAAACCCCCTTCTCCAGAGTCACAGGACAGCAGCTTCCCCTGTTAGGAATTAAGTCAGGAGTCAAACCTGAGACGGGCTAACCTCGCTGCAGGTGGAGCAAATGAAACCCCCTCCCCCAGAGTTACAGGACAGCAGCTTCCCCTGTTAGGAATTAAGTCAGGAGTCAAACCTGAGACGGGCTAACAGACCTCACTGCAGGTGGAACAAATGAAACCCCCTCCCCCAGAGTTACAGGACACATTTTTAGGTCTTAGACTTCAATATTTAAAATATTTGTCTCTGGAATTTGAAAATAATATGTATGCCTTGTTTACTGGATTAAAAGGCTAATCACTTATTCATCTGATTAGTAATCAAAGTTTCTAAAATTTATTTAATACTTGATGTTACTTTGTTTTATATAAATGTGTATTTCTACGATAGTTTTAGTGTC
Source organism: Homo sapiens (assembly GCF_000001405.40). NCBI lineage: Eukaryota > Metazoa > Chordata > Mammalia > Primates > Hominidae > Homo > Homo sapiens. The sequence goes on along the minus strand of NC_000001.11, from coordinate 872,308 downwards.
ATCTAATATTATTTTCAATGTTGTAATTTTTATTTATATGAATCTTTGTGTTATACATCTTAATGTCACTGGTATTAAAACTATATGTGCAAATAGCTTGAAATAGCACCTAACACATCATGGATTCTATGTAAATATTCACCACTCTATTTCATCACATTTTAACCAATTCATACCATTCTTCATTTGCTAACATTTTATTTGTCCTCATTCAAATTTGTGTTGGTGTCCTGTCTACATATTAATAAAAGAGAGGAGGTAGGCCCAGACTTCCATCTCGATTAAATACTAAGACATTTTCCTAGTTCTATTTATACACAACATTACATTTGTCTCACACTATAAATATGAGTATTCAGTTAAGTACAGCAAAAAAAAAAAAAAAATCTTAACCTTCCTACAACAGATGTTGGGATATTCACAGATTGTCCACAACTTCTTTCTCCCAACATTATTTTTATTCTTACATCTCAACTGCCATGAAAACCTAGAAGCATGAAATACTACAAATTAGAAACAAATTCCCTGCTATACAGAAATTGTAAAAGTAAACCAAGAAGAAAGAGAATATATGCATACTCATACAGCAAGTAAACAGATTAGACTAATGAAAACTCTTCATCAGTCTAGCCCAGGCTCACAAAGCTTCACTAGTGAATTCTATTAAACACTTAATGAATAACCAATCCTTCACAAACACTTGCAAAGCAGAGAAGCAGGAAAACCTCAATTCATTTTTGAGGCCAGTATTACCCAGATAACAAATCAGACAAAAGCATCACAAGAAAATAAATGTGCAGACTATTATCCCTCATGAATGAAGACAGAAATCTCCAAAAACTCTAGTAAACTGGAAGAAGCAACACATAAAAATGTTAGATAAGCCTGGCATGGTGGTGCACACCTGTAGTGCCAGCTACTTAGGAGGCTGAGGTGGCAGGATCACTTGAGCCCAGGAGTTTGAGGTTATAGTGAGCTGTGACTGTGCCACTCCACCCCAACCTGGGTGACAGAGTGAGGCCTCATCTCTAATAAAAATTAAAGAAAATTAGAAAAAAGTTAGACAATATAACCAAGTGGAATTATCCTACCAATACAAATCTAAAAATCAGTGTAATACACCATATTAATAGAATAAAGGAAAAGACCATGATGATTTCAATGGACGTCTGACAATGTCTGACACTCATTCCTGATAAATCTTCCAGAAATCTAGCAATAGAAATAACTTCCTGAACCTCCTAAAGGACATCCATGAAAATTTAATAAATTCCACTAAGGTATATTGAAAGGCATATTGATACTTCCAACTCTATGGTTTTAAAAATTAACAATGAAATCAGAACTAATAACAGTAATCTAACCATCTGGAAAACATTAAACACCTTTCTAACAATATTTCTTTTGATGTGATAAAGGTAAAAATCCAAATTTAATAAGAGGAGTGCTTTTGAGACGACTGAAATTTGGTGTTCCTAATTTTTCTGACTTATTAGCAATTAGAATCGAATTATCAATAATGCCAAGAAGACAGGAGTACTCTCCAATGACATTAAAATGTATAACACGAAGATTTATAGTTAGGCATAATGTGTAACACAAAGATTCATTGTTTGGCATAACAGCATTTCATATTCGAATCAGTTAATAACATTGTCATCATTGCATATTCTCCTGGAAATAACACACAACACAGACTTCAAAAAACCAGAGCTTTTGCTGGGAATATATGCTCCTTCCAAAGGCGATTGATTGTGTGCAATATTCTGAGAATTAATTCCTCCAAAGTTAAAGTGTGGCCATCTGGGCTTCTGGGAATATCCCAAAAATCCACATATTCTAAAAATCTTTTCCACTACAAACCACCATAAATGCTGGACAACAGAACATGTGCTCAACTGCGCAAATTATACTTTGGGGCTTTTGTACACAGTTTTTGCACGGAAATGTTTAAGTGAATATAAATTAATTGAAATGTTTTCCAGGTGGATACTGAGGGAGAAATAGAAAAATCCAAGACAATCCCCTGTGGAAGAAAATTCTCCAACCCAAAACTCAGCCGAACTCAAAGCGCTGAACAGCGCGTCAACTAAGACCTGTCAAATATAATCACACGGGGCCCAAATATAATCACGGGGCCCGGGCCCGGCGTGGGGGTTGTAGGCCGGCGCCACAGCCTGAGGACACCGCGACCTCTGCCCCGCGGAGCGCGCCGAATGCCGGGTGGGGCTGCTGTTGCGGGCCGTGGAGCCGCGGCCCCGCTGGAGGGCAGGGTCCGGCTGGGCGTCGGGGTCCTGGCAGAGACCGAGGCGAGGGCAGGAGCAGGTGCACTGGCCGCTGCACAGGCGCCGCCAGGCTCCCGGACACCGCGGGCGCGCCCCCTGGTGGCAGCCGGCTCCGGAGCCGCGGGAGGGCGTGCCCAGTCCCCAGCCAGGCGGCAGCGCGAAGCTCCTTCCCCGCGTGGGGGAGTGGGCGTGGCCCAGCAGCGCGAGTGCCTTACTAGTGAAAAAGCTGGGGTTGGAGCTGCCACGGGGGGAGGTGTGGGGGCCTGGGGGCTCTGCCTGGACCTTCTGGGTGCCCTCCTGCGACCTCAGTTTCCTCACCTGTCTCAGAGGACTGATGGGCTGCTATGGCAGGGTTGTTTGGAGGATTAAGCCAGAGAGTCCCAGTAAAGCCCCATTAGCCCCCCGGACTCCGGATTTTTTTTTTTAATTATTTTTCTTGCTTTCTTAGGAAACTTTGCGGAATGTGTCCAGGTGTTGAAGCTCTTGATGGCGAAAGGTAGAAAAGATAGATAGTAAATAGATAGATAGATGATAGGCAGGTAGATAGATAGATGATAGATAAATACATAGCTGTTCCAGAAAACAGAAATGGATAACTTCATGAACCAAAAGCAGAGTAATATACTTTAGAAAGGAAGCAGGCCGGAAAACCCACAGTTGCAAAACAAATAGAATTTCCAACTGCCTCTTGTAGCCCCTTCCTGGAAGTAGCCACAGCCCAGGGTGTTTGACTTCTTCCTCTGTTTTTTGTTTGTTTGTTGTTTGCTTTTCTGTGGGGTTTTTGTTGTTGTTGTTTGCTTTTTTTTTTTTAAATTCCCTTTCCCTGCTTTTTTGTCACAGCAGCCTTTGTCACTTCAAACACCACAAGTGTTCTTTTAAAAAATTATATCAACCTTTCAATTAAAATGCAACATGTCTGAAACTTGGTATCTGGGGAGGTGAGATGGACAAAGCAGCCTTTGTTACTGCACGTTTTCATTCTTCAAACTTCACCTTGCACATAGTAACAGACAATGCACAAAGCCACTTCCTTATGGACCGAAATTCTGAAATCCTTTTATGCCTGGCCTTTCCATCCTTCATCTTCCCCTCTCCCATGCTGTGAATGATTGTATTGGACATTTTTGTTTTAATCTCAGTGACAGGGGAACACAGGCAGCTCTAATATAGCTGTGACCCAGATGCTTCTGTTTCTAGCATGTATTTATTTTGCAGCAAACATTTACATCCATGATGTTTCACTGTCTTTTGAAAATAATTAGGCAATATCTCATCTGAGGTAGGTTGTCTCTAGGGATTGTGTTCTGAGGGAGGAAAACTAATCTGTTCTCTTTCCACTGCATTCTAGGAACAGCAAGAGGACCTTGTGCATGAATAATTTGTTTCCATACTACAGAGTGGGTAATAAGCAGATTAGTAAAAACAATTCTGCTTCACTTCAATAACAGCCTCCTCCAACTCATTTTTTCTCAACAAACTTATTTTTCCAGCAGAAGAATCCCAGACTTCTTAGAGAACCCAGTGACTTTTTGCACCTTAAATCTGTGAAATCCTCATGTTTTCTTCTGCCGTATCCATAGTTCAAACAAAGATGAGGCAAAGCTAGACGCATTCCTGAAGGAACCCAAGAAATTCCTCTCTTTCTCTCTCTGGAATGAAATGAATTCTCTAGACCACCAGTTCTAACCTTCAAAAACCAAACCTGTTTGTGAGCTGTCCTTCAAATACTACTGTAGACCCCAGTGTTTATTCATTAAATTTTTTAAATATTTGTTTTATTTGGAATCAAAGTATTTGTAATTTTAGTATTTGTATTAATATCAGGGAGAAATGTTTAAATCTGTCTATGCCATATGTGCCTCTGGCTTATTGCCCAATTAATTGTAGCCTCAGGCTAAACTTTGGTTTCTGTCTTTAATTTTTGTCAGAAGAAATATAACTGATCTCAAAACATCTGCTTTTATTGTAGGGACTCGTGCTGCCGTCTCCATTCTTCTCTCTTTTCTTGCAATCTGGGTGGAAGTTCTTTAATGTGAACATTTCAACCACCTTCATTCTACCATGTCCACTATGAGCACATTCAAACTTATCCAGCCAAGGGTATCATCTTAGGCCAGGGATTTTTTAGGAATCTATTTTGCTGTGATGCAGCTGGCACCCCTTTGACTCACTGTATCACCCCAGGGTTCTTTTCATTTCAGAAGCCCAAGAGGGCAGAAAAAGAAGTAGGTGAGCAATTAAACACTCTGAGTCAGGAGCGTCTCCCCTTGTGTTAGGCAATGTTGTAGAACATCGTATTTAGCAAGCTCCCAGCAGATGAGCCACGTGGCTGCTGAGCACACACGCCTGCTTGCTGCTGTGAGCTCAGACACCATCATCATGTCTTTTCCATCTCTGGAGGGAATTGTAAGGGCCACTTAATAACCTGTAAATCACAGAGAGTTAAAGGTGCTTCCCCAAAACACTGATGACAGAATGAACGGTGAGGAGTGTTAGCCACAGGTCAGAAGTGCAGGAAAGTCTCTCAGTGTGGGTTGTTGAAGAAATGCAGGTCTTTTTTCTTTTGGAAGTCTCCCTAGAATGCGGTCAAGGACTCTGCCCACTCTAGGATGAAAAATTGGGATATTAGACACCCTCAGATATTTATCCCAAGCTTTCATTTTGGGCTCTTAATTAGTTCATCCATCACAATCTCAAATGCTAAGCAGGGCAGTTGAATCTCTCCACAGTCCAAATCAGCACCGTCTTTTAAAGTTGAGTTTCTTATTATTCTCACCTGGTATACCTTATTTATCCCACACCCACCCCAATAACATATCGTGCTCACTGTTGGGAGGACGTCATGGATGCAGGTGCAGGGGGAAGACCACGTGAGAGCACGGGAGGACGTCAGGGATGTGAGTGCAGGGGGAGGACCACGTGAGGGCATGGGAGGACGTCATGGATGCAAGTGCAGGGGGAGGACCATGTGAGGGCACGGGAGGACGTCAGGGATGTGAGTGCAGGGGGAGGACCACGTGAGAGCACGGGAGGATGTCAGGGATGTGAGTGCAGGGGGAGGACCACGTGAGGGCTCGGGAGGACGTCAGGGATGTGAGTGCAGAGGGAGGACCACGTGAGGGCTCGGGAGGACGTCAGGGATGTGAGTGCAGGGGGAGGACCACGTGAGGGCTCGGGAGGACGTCAGGGATGTGAGTGCAGGGGGAGGACCACGTGAGGGCTCGGGAGGACGTCAGGGATGTGAGTGCAGGGGGAGGACCACGTGAGGGCACGGGAGGACGTCAGGGATGTGAGTGCAGAGGGAGGACCACGTGAGGGCTCGGGAGGACGTCAGGGATGTGAGTGCAGGGGGAGGACCACGTGAGGGCACGGGAGGACGTCAGGGATGTGAGTGCAGAGGGAGGACCACGTGAGGGCACGGGAGGACGTCAGGGATGTGAGTGCAGGGGGAGGACCATGTGAGGACATAGGAGGATGTCTGGGATTCGAGTGCAGAGAGAGGACCACGTGAGACATAGGAGGATGTCCGGGATTCGAGTGCAAAGGGAGGAACGTGTGAGGACATGGGAGGATGTCAGATATACGTGTGCAGAGGGAGGCCCACATGAGAACATGGGAGAAGATGTCGTCTGCAAGCCAGGGAGAGGCCTCAGGAGGAGCAGCCCTGCCACACCTTGCTCTGGGACTGCCACCCTCCAGTACCCTAGGAGAACACATTCCTGTTGGTGAAGCTGCCAAGGCCGTGCTGCAGCACCAGGGGCCTCTGGTTGACAGACTGCAGAGCAGCGATGCCCGTGGTAGCCTCCACGTAAACTCTCTAGAAGGGTTTTGTTTTCTATCCTCATTTTTCCTGCCTTATCTTTCAAGAGGCTTCCTTTGCCTTCACTTGTGTAGGTTCGTTTCTAAATACAGAGAAGGAATGCAGGCAAAGGAGTACCAAGCCAAGCCATCTTTTTAAAAGATAAAAAGGGCACATTTTTCTTCCTTCCTGAGGAACTCATACACCAAGTATGCACAGAACACCTGTAAATGGTAGAGGATTCAGATATTTTGAAAGCACAAAACCTACTCTTGAAGAACACACAACTGCTGAGTGGTAACAAAGTTTTGGCCGCTATAGCTGCTAAAAATAGAGTTGTCATATTCTACAACTAAAAATAAAGAAATACATCACTGATCAAACACGCTTGATGGCCTTCATTTGCATACGGTCGTGACAAGCCCGGTGGGAGGTGTAAGAATGCTTGGGTGTTACCCTGCCCCTGAGGAGCTCATGAAAGCGGTGTTCACAGCATGCTGCAGTTGCTCACATCGTAGTTCATAAGGCATTTTCTCACATGCCACCTAAACTCTTCTGCGTGGCAGCTGGGGCAGGCACCACCTTTCTATTTCTCAGGTGTGAAAACTGAGGGTCTCAAAGAGGCAAGCACTTGCCAAAGTCACGCAGCAAGCAAGGACAAATGAGAGGGAGGCGTCTCCAACCAGGCGCAGGCTGACAGATGTGGGCCCGTGAGCACCACTTACCCTCAGGTCTGTGATAGGGGTCAGATGGGTGACAGCCACATGAGAGGCCGTCCTCTTGGGGTTGAGGAGAGAGGCCACTCTCCTCTGGGATGGGCTTGAAAGATGTCTCTGTACAGGGTGGGCAGAGAGGAGAGGGAGACCTTCTCAGAGCAGGGAGGTGCACGCTGTCACCAGGAGCTGGCCAAGAGGCTCACCAGAGCTGCGGTGGAGGCCGTGCAGACTGTGTGGCGGGGCTGGAACCTGGTTTCATAGAAACAACAGGGAGAAAACAGAGTTGTGAGCTGGAGAGGTTCATGGCCAGATGAGCTGCACAGGTGGGTGGTGGGACCAAGGCCACAGTGGTCAGGAAATGCTGTGAGGGGACAGTGAGGAAAGAGGATGTCCCAGGGCCGTTCATGCTTGTGACCACAAAGAAGAGATGGCTGGGCCAGGCTCCCCCTTAGCAGGTCTGGTAGCAGTTATGCAGGTGCGATCATCAGTTGATTGAAGAGCTCTCGGGTGAAAAGACACAGAATAGTTCCCATGTCATCGATGCCAGGGTGGGTTTTTATCTCAAAGAAGGCCCGTGCCCTACAGCTGGGAAATGCCATTCCCTTCACTGCTGCTTCTGCATTTAAAAGTCCTATCAGTGCTAATGGAACTCACAAATGCCTCACACAGGGGAAAACACACTGCATGAATAGGGATAGCAATTTATAGGACTGACTGAACTTAAAGACATTGAGATTACATCCCGCAGAAAGAGGCTGGCATACAGTCCAAAAACTGGCCTAGTTAGGTGGCATTCTGAATGAACGTCAGAAATAGCCTGTTATTTTTGCCTCAATCAGCCTTTGCATATTCTTTTTCTTAAAAGCTTAAAGCAAACAGAAAGACATGCTCAGTCCTAAAGGTTCTTTGTGGCCCAAGATGTTCTGGCATGAGAACTGCCCTATGCCAGGAGGGAAATGTTCCAGGAAAGGAGGTGTTGGTGGTTTTCAGCCACAGGAACCACCTCCTCGTGACACCCAATCCTGGGGAATTAATTCTGTGACCCCAGAATAAGTTTCCAAGGACAGGGATGTCACTTGGGTAAGGCATACCAATTCTCCAACTGTGAACACATCTCCGCTTTTCCAACCTCAGCCAAAGGAGGCTGCAGCTCTGGTCGGGCTCTAACACATGCATGGCTGTCATGGATGCCCATGTGTGCCTGGGCAATAGACGAGGGTGTGCCTTGCTGGCCCTTTCTGTGGTGCCCTGGCTAGCCCACCACCATTGTGCAGAGGAGGGTGCTGAGGCCTCTGGAAGTTACTGCAAGGTCACCAGCCCTTGCCCCTGGAGGAATCCGTGTGGTCCCAGCTCTCAATCTGCACACGTCGTATCTCCTCCTTAGGGGAGATTTCCCACCCCCTCTGAACACAGTGAAAAGTGAGTATGGTTGAAAGCACTGGCCTCAGTCCATGTTCCCTGATAGACACGGCCACATCTGTCAATCTAACCTTTGGGCACAGCACCTGCAAGAAACCAAGGCCCAGGCTGCAAAGAAAGGACGCGACAGAGCCTGGACACCGCTGCCTTCATGGGAGCTTGCTTGTGCGGGTGATACTGATGAGGCTCCTCGCGTCCTGTGGGTGAAGCTGGAAGTCCCAGGCTTTGCCATCTCTGGTTCCCCACTTCCCCAGTTTCGACGCTCTCCTCTCTCCCCACCCCGGCAAACACACCCTATGATCTAATTCAGCATTCTTCAATTTATTCACAAAATCATTTATTGCTCACGAAGGGATCAAGATCCATGCACACAAGCATTATTCCGGTTTACACAGCATCTTCTCGCTTCTGTGACAGATTCACTTAGGATGGTACACCTTCTCAGATTGTGTTTCCTTCTCATACAACGTCCAAACACCACTTCTCTATCTGGTAAGCTCCTAGTCATACCTTAAAGCCCAATCCAAATGCTATCAACTCTGAAACCTTCCACTACCCAACCCTGCAAGCAGAGCTGCTGTTCCCACAGCTGTTTGCTGTATAACTGATTATATTTGTATTTTTGTATTATATTTGTATATTCCGGATATTTGCTCACATCTTTCTCTCGCATTAGGTAGTGTTGCATGCCACAGCACCAGCACCAAGTGTGGCTCGTAATGTGCTTGCTCTTTATCCAAGGAAAGAGGCATGAGAGAGGCACAACACTAATGAGAGAAGCATTTTCAGTGGACTGTGTAGTAAAACCTAAGTACAGCTGTCCTAGGGAACAAGCCAAGGGAATCTGCCCTCCCCTCCCTCACTTCCAAACAGAACTGGCAACTGTAGGTGCACCCCTTCCTTTTCTTCATAAGGGCCCTTGGTTTTTCTTTGGAAGTCATTCCTCCCTGACAGTCTGAGCATTAATTTGGATGGGGAGGCTCCGACCTTGTGTTTTCCGGGGAGGCACAGAACCTGGGACTACCCTAGGAGAGTTCTCCATCCCCTGGCCTCTGAGATTGGTGCAAGATGGCTCCTGACCCCAGCAAGAACAGCATGTTACCCCAAATTTTGCCAGAAGTCTTGAGGGAAAGTCCTCTCTGATGTACTGGCTGCAAAGCATCATGCAAGCCCTGAGCTTTGTTACAGCTGTGCAGAGAAAACCATCTTAGAAATGAAGCCCACACAGAGACAGCAGAGTCAAAGATGGAGACAAATTTCCAGATGGTGCTGAGCACCTGGATCCAGCCATGCCTGATGCTCACACTGGGACTTTTGGTCACTTATCCTAAGCCATTTTGAAGTGGGCTTCAACCCCCATTGCCACATAAAATATCCTGGTCATTCTCCACCAATCTCCATATCAGAGGGGAACCAGCACCATAGTCAGGCAGCATGGAAGACGGTGCTCAGGGAAGAGACAGAGGAGTTTCTGCTGCAGGGTCCTTGTCATCCTGCAGACCCAGGTCTAGGGAGGACAGACACCCAGCATGGTCAGGGCATTCTGGGCAGAGGAACTGATCATCAGCCCCTCAGCCACCGCAGAGGGAATGAGTAAGGGAGTCACCAAACAGCAGAAGCAAGAAAGCACCGTATGCCTTTGCCTTCACAAGGTCCAGCCTCCACCCATTGTGACAATGATAACGCCGACCCAGAGGAGATGTGGAGAGGACTCTGGCTCCACTTCTGTGGTTCTGTGCCCATGCTGAGAGGTGCAGCTTCTGGAATAGCTGCCACTTCCATGTTCCCTTGTTTATCTTTTGTTGTCAGATTACAATATTTCTGATAGCTGGCTGAAATTCGACGTTTCAGTTTGCTGACTTTTGAATCCAACTGGTAGCATTCAGTGAAGTTATGATGCTCAGTCTATCATCCTTCTCTCTCTATCTCTCTATCAATCATCTATCATCCATCCATCTATCATCTATCTACTATCTACCTTATCTACTATCAGCTCTCTATCATCCATCCATCATCCATCTATTTATCTACCATCTCTACCATCCACCTATCTACCATCTATCAATCACCTATCATCCATCCATCCATCTATCATCCATCTATCATCATCTCTATCTACCATCTACCTATCACATCTATCTACTATCTAGCTATCATCTATCATTATCTATCATCTATCTACTATCTACCTATCATCTATCAATCAAGTATCTATCATCCATCCATCATCCATCTATTTATCTACCTATAATCTATCTACTATCTACCTATCATCTATCAATGATCTATCATCCATCTATCAATCACCTATATACTATCAACCTATCTACTATCAATTAATTACCAATATCTGTCATCTACCTATACATAAATCACCTATGTATCTATCATCTATCCATCTTCACATGCACACATATGCACATACACACATACATGTACATGATGTATGTGTCTATACTCATACACACATATAAAGGCAATTCTTATTTCTTATTTTCAGTATCTCCTCCCTGATCAGTGTTCGAGCTGTCCAGGAGATGCATGGCTGCTCGAAGGGTCTCACAGCCAGTTTGACTGCCCCTACAACCAGTTCTCTCCACATTTTAATGTGACATGACAGGTGAAAACAGTCATTTACTCTAATAAATTCTCCTCAGCAAAATGAGAGATTACTTTAAAATCGAAGCAGCCAGGACCAACACCCTGGGTGAAAACAATTACATTGATTGCTATGGGGAGATTCGAAACTCTTACAGAGGGCTGAGAAGAAAAGTCAGCTTAAAACGTCCACATTCAAGAGTTAAGTTAGTACTTACAAAGGGCAGGGAACTGTCTAAGGCCACGACCACAAGCACAGGGGGCCTCTGGGCATCAGCGCCAGGCCAGCGAGTAGAGAAGTCCGGCTTGGAGAGTACAAAACAGGCGCGATGTCTAAAGTCCATTGTGCCGCTGAGGAGAGAGGCCATTTCTCTTACTGTCTCCTGTCTGAAGAGGAGGAGGAAGTAAAAGTTGAAAAACAACAGGAATGAAGTCAGTGGCAAGACCAGCTGGTGCCCCTGATGATCAGGCCTGAGGTTAAAAGATTAACCCCCCCACCCCACTCTAAACGCATGTGCTCTCAATCTATCACGACCCTTTCACGTGGAACCTAAAGGTTGTAAACCCTTAAAAGGGCCAGGAACTCTGTCTTCAGAGAGTTCGGTTCTTGAGACTTGAGTCCGCTGAAGCTCCTGGCCGAATAAAACCAAATCATTCCTTAACCCGGCGTCTGAGGGGTTTTGTCCGTGGCTCATCCTGCTACAACACCGAGAAGTGCCAAGAAGGAAAAGGGCCTCTGGCCCGTGGGTGTTGGGCAGAGTCAGAGAAGGTGGGCAGGAGAACCAAAGAGGGCCCGTGGCACTGACGTTAGCAGGCACATGGAGGAGGTCTCGCTCCTGGAGCCTAGAATAGGAAGGATGACTAGGGAGCTGGGAGGGATGGAGGGAGGGCATTTGACGTGGACAGGACTTCTGCCTTCAAAGAAGGGCATGTCTTTAGGTTCCCTGATAAATTCAACTTCTCCTGTGCTCAGCCTACAGCAAAAAGAAGGTGGGGCCAGGTACAGTGGCTCCTGCCTGGAATGCCAGCATTTTGGGAGGCCAAGGCGGGACGATTGTTTGAGCCCAGGAGTCCAAGACCAGCCTGGGCAACATAGTGAGACCTTGTTGCTACAAAAAGGTTTAAAAATTAGCTGGGCACAGTGGCGTTTGCCTGTGGTCCCAGCTACTCAGGAAGCTGAGGTGGGAGGATCGCTTGAGCCCCTGGAGGTGGAGGTTGTAGTGAGCCAAGATTGTACCACTGCACTGCAGCCTGGGTGAAGAGCAAGACCCTGTCTCCATAAAAAAAAAAAAAAAAAAAAAAAAAAAAAAAAAGATGGTAGTGATGATTCTAGCACCTTCCTCAGGTTTCTTTAGATTCCTGGTTCTACCTGCATGGAGCATTTTGTATGGCAGGAAATTTTTTCTTCTTGTAATAAACAGTACACAGGAAATTGTGGAATGAAATGAAGCCCAAGTAATTCTGTTGACAAAAGCAGCATTTTAGTTAATTTTCAGATAAGATTTCTCAGCCCTCTACTGTGAATTTGCCTTTCTGATTGTTGGAGATAATGAAAGAGGTCATAAAACCTTCTTTATGGGTATTATATCATTTGTCTTCAATGTCATGCAATTCTAGAAATCAAAGCTGAAAAGAAACTAAGACAATTTGTAGACAATTTCATAGGTGTAGTAGAGGTGTGTTTAATAACTCAGGGCTGCAATTCTGAAGTGAAATTTAGATACTTCCAATAAGAGTCCACATTGTGGAAGGTATGGGGCAAGGAGCACTTGCAGACACTGTTCATGGGTTAATTGATGAAAGCTTCATGGAAATCAATATGTCAATCAAGAGCCGTGATACACATTGACCTTTCGATGTAGGAATTTTAGTTTTTAGGATACTAGACTAAGGAAATAATTAGAAATATAAATATTCTTGTACAAAGGTATTCATGACATTATTATTATAATGGAAATTATTGAAAATATGTGAATCCAAAATGATGAAGTAGTTAAATAACAAATGATATATAAATGCAATGAAATGTTATATAGTCATTAAAATTACTGTTTGGAAAAATTTTTATTCACTGGAAAAATGTTTATAAAGAAATATTAAGTGAAATGTTGAGAAATATATAGAACTTTACATAAAATATATTAGCCATGCAAATACATGAGTGTACGCTTTCTGTGGATAGACATAAATATTGCTAGAGAAAAAAATAGAAAAGAATCCATCAAGGCATTAACTACACATTTTTCTACGTTACCAGTATCTTAGTGTTCTAGGTGTAGGTTATTAAAATTTCCTTCTCTGTACTTTCTAAAATTTTAATAATAAGAATGTGCTTTTTAAATAATTTTTTTAACTTGAATATCTCACATGATCACCTGAAGTTCCCATTTTCTCAACTTAATAGAGAGCTTAACCGACCTCTTCTTATTCCTTTTTTTCTATTCTGGCTCACGCAGTGGATGGAAGATGGCATTGAAGGAGCTCTTAAGTCCTCTCCAAGCCTCGCTGTTTGTGATGTGATCATGGCAGTGAAGGGACACGGCTCTGGAGTGCTGGGCTCCGTTTGCTCTGCACTCAGCCTCCCATCTGGATGGGGTTTGGAATGCTGCCTAGGCTCTGCCTTCTCTCACACAGGAAGGACGTTTGGCCCCAAACCAGCTGCTGAAGGGTTTGGCAGAAGCACCCGATGCCTGAGCTATCGCACAGCACGGTGCCCTGGGCGGCTCCACACTCACCTGGCTCACCACCACCCTCTTCCTTCCTTCCCACCGGGCTGCCCTCTCACCTGCATTTCCTGTGGTCTATGGAACTGAAACGACATGAGCAGCATTTCAGGACGTCCCCCTTAAAACCCGCTCCTCTGTTCTTATCCACATGGCTTATTACTACTTTCCAATCTCATCTCCTGCGGTTCTCCACGTGACTACCTTCCAGGCCAGCAGCCTTGTCCCGTGGCATCCCCAGTCCCACCATTCCCGTCCCCCACCCGGAGCACCCTTCCCCCGGCCACACAGTGAAAGGCTGGGCTGTGAGAGCTTCGGTGGAAACCAGGCCTTCACCACTTCATCTCCCTTCAAGCCACACACAGCTGTTGCAAGTTCCGGATACCAATCATTTTTTACAAAATAAATTGCTATTTGCGTCAATATCTGAACAATGTATGAAAACAATCAGATTTTAGGCCCACTTATTTCTAAGCCCAGATGGCATCACTCATGCTCGACCACTGTCCTTATTCAGAATACTCAGGTTGGAACAGTTCAGCTCCTCAGAAAATAAAACACACTCTTCACTGAGTAAGTTTTACCACGAGAGTAGATCGTACACCATTGATTATGGAGGCTGTTTTAAAAAAAGGAGTTCAAAGAAAGCTTAAACAGCGGTCAGATCACTGCCACCAGCAGGTGGCCTCCAAGAAGCTCCGTTTTCAGTTCTCATTTAAAGGCAGATATTTCTATGTTAAAAAACCAACCTGCGCTGTATAGTCATATGTTATACACCTATCTCCCAATTCTAAAACTGACCCCTTAAGAAAAAAAAAAAGAAACAGGAATTGAATCAGCACAAATCACCAGTGAGACAAACCTCAATTAACATCATATGTGGACATTTTCTCTTTGATATTTAAGTTCCAGAAAATGGCTAAGGTTTTAAAATTAAACTGACATTAGTTTTTATACACCGCCTGTCGCAAGCCATGTACCTGGAGATAGTCACAACTAAAATTTGGGGATGGTGAGGGGGAGAGAGAAAATCAAACCGTGCTTCAAAAACCTTCGCTGGGAAGCCGCTCAGGCCTCTCATTTCCCCCCGTGCACCTTTCCTGATCCCCGGGGGTCCTGCCCACTCGGTCACTGCTCCTCATAATGCCTCTCCTCCTTTGGCCATGAGGCCTTTCCAAACGAGCGCAGTCAGCACGTTCTCTGTTCATCTTTGCTTCTTGGGCTTTCCCCTGGTAATTGTTTTCCTCAGCCCATAAATATTCTATTTATTATCTCCCTGTTCTTGACCACTTGTTCTGCATTTTCTCCATCTTCCTTGTGATTAGAAACCTCAAACAGAATGTCGGTGATTGGACTCCCAGGCATTTACTTTGCCTCTAAAATAGGCAGAGCTCCACTCCCATGGGTCCTAATTTTAATCAAATCGGTCATTTTTTTCCAAGCCTCATCAGCTTCGTGCCTCCACTAACGGACTTTTAGTTTGCATGTCTCTACGTGGATTATTGTTGCTGCTGGACAGAGCTGATCAGGAAGGAAATTTATTGCACAAGAATGGGAAGAAATTATCAAGTTAACTGATGTGTAAGGGAGGTGTACCTGGAAGATACTCTTTAATAGGCAATGCATGTGTGGGGATATTTTTAAGTTTTATCGGTACAAATGAAATATGTTGAACACAAATCGAGCAAATATGACTTGGTCGTTAACATCCCTCTGATTAAACAGGAGTGCTGCTATGAGAACGGGCTGTGCCATTCTGCAGGCACACGAGAGTCGCTGGGTTTTAGGGTAGTCTCTGTGGAGAATGGTGACTGGACCACGTGGGAGAGGGGCTTGAGGCAGGAAGGTGAGCAGACTCCAGAGTTCAAGAGATGTTTGCATACAGTGCCCTCTTGTTTCCCCTTACAGTGTGGCTGTGGCCAGTATTGAGAACCAAGTGTTCAGGAACTCATGCTGGCCTGCCGGTCCCACCTGACCTGAGAGTGGCGGGCACTCAGCGTTTCAGCAAGCTGCTTCCTCAACGATGCTTTTGATCTCTTATTGTTGCTGGGGAGGCTGGAGTCCACCCAAATCAAGTGGGAAGTGCTGTCAGCTGCTACGTCTCTCACCTAGGAGCTTTAGAGGCTCAAGGGCATGACTGGAACAGACTGGAACCCAATGGAAGAGTTTGGATGCAGCATCTGTCCTGCTCCACTGAGCCCCAGGGAGGAAGCCTCGGCCACTGGCTGTGCTGAAGAAGGTCCAATCCGAGTGTGAGGCAGAAGAGCAGAGGCGTCCTCGAAGAGAAGGCCGGGGCTGCAAACCACAGGAGCAGGGTGTCCTGAGAAGCAATGGGAGCAAAATCAAGATGCCCAGAGTCTTGGGGCTGTTTCAGAAACCCCAAAAGCAAGAACACGGGTTGTCCAGTGGGTGGAGTCAGCAGTCCCAGTGCCATTTGGAGTTCAGTCACAGGAAGAACTTGCAAATGACAACACAGCACTGGGCACTTGACCAGGTGGGGGACCCTGCATCCCTGAGGTGGCTCAGGGGACAGGACAGAGGCAGGACCTTGGATCCGGGAATGGGGAGCAGAGCACAGCAGGACAAACCCAAACCCATCTCCATCGTTAAGAAAATCCCCAGCAGGTGGGGAAGGAAGAGCAAGAAGGCGAGAGCCAGGCAAGGCTGGCAGTGTCTGGTGCACAGGCTCCCTTTTCACCCTGGCTTATTTGAGATGGAATTTAAAATATTTTTTGCAAGATAGATTGTGAGCTTTAGAGTGAGAAAAGTATTTCCCAAGAACTTTACTTCATTTATAAAAGAGTAGATATGGAGACAAGGCGTCTGTGGCCCATAGTATTTAATGCACTCGAAACACGTTTAACTTCCAGGGTAGATCTGATGTCCTCCCTCCACCCGTAACTCCCCTGAAATCTCCTTAGTGTTTAGTGGTGCTGTGCCTGCTTTCTCACACACACCACTTGGCCCTCGTGACTCATCTCATACATGCATCTCAATTCTCAGCCTCCCCACAGCCCAGACTTTCTGTTTTAACCTCACAGCTGCCCAGCGTGATGGCTGTGTCCAGCCCAGCTGACGGATTGGCCATTTCAACGTGAATCCCAGGCACTCCAGCCTTCCTTTGCAGGTGCCATTTCCTGACCTGGGTTACTCTACCAAGTTCTCTCCAGCTTTTGTCTCCACAGCAGCCTCCCCACATCCCACCAACACAAACACGCAGCACATGCAAGCACAAACACACGTGCAAACATGCTTAAATACCATGTACACATGCACACAGGTGTATATGTGTACACACACTACACACACTGTACAAACATAAACCCACATATACACACTTGCACACACTGTTGCACACAGTACACAGACACACATGCATGTGAACACATACACATGACACGTGTTCGCATTAAACACATGTGCAATACAAATTCATGTACACATATGCTCGTGTGTGCATACACAATACACAGATACACCCGTACATCAACATGCATCAAAGCACATGCATACACAGAGACATGCGCAATGTGCACAGGTACACACATGCACACATACGCTTTGGAGCTGGGTTCACATGCTGAGTGGATGGTGTGCTCTGAACTAGAAGCCCAAGGCCATGGCCCACTTACCTCAGTGAACCTCACCTGTGCTCCGTGTCAGCAGCCACACCTGGATGTCACCCGGAATTGCCCAATTCTGGCCCTGACAACACCGCAACCAAGGAAGAGGCACAAGACCCAGGAGACGATGGTGCTGGCTGATGCCGCCCCTCCCTGAAGGCTCAGAGCCTACACTTGCTGGGTGCTCCATGGCCATGTGAAGCCCAGGGGAGCTGAGTGATGGCACCGCAGGCCCCAGGAGTGCTCCTCTGGCTTCACATGCACCCAAGCTGTGATTTTTCAGATAAATATGACTCAGAAGACCTCGGTGTTTCTGTGTGATTTGCCTACCTAATGTCGGAGATGGGTATTACAAAATATTTTTGGTTCATCAAATGGTTTAAGGTAATTTCTCAGTAAGATGGCTTGGCTCACACGCCATTTTCAAGAATGCTGAGAAAGGAGAGTGTGCCATCAAGCTGTGGAATCGCTTGGTACGCTGTGGAATTCCGTGGTAAGACGTTTTTCAAGGACTGAAGTGCATGGAAGAGGAAAGGAAACCTTTGTTGCCTATTCATGTGTTATTTCCAGGTCTCGACCCACCAGTCCCCACTGCCTCCCTTCGTAGCTCCTCTGGTTCCCATGTGAGTCCCTCCCTTTGCATCCACACGATGCACTGCGTCACTCATCTGCACGCATCTTGCTTTCCAGAGCAGACTAAAAGCCCCTCTGGACACAGAAAGTGCCTCTGTCTCTTTTAATAGCTATTGTACCTCACAGAGCATTTAAATTTTTATTGATGGGTTAATAAATAATTGATTGATGGGGACCGAAACTAATCTTTAAAATTGATTGTCAACTGAAAACCTGCACAAGATATCCCACTGTTTAACAATAGAGAGGAGCTATTGCAGCTGCTGTGACGACTGGCAATGTCCTCTTCTTTATCGCACCTCTAAGAAATCTGCTGGCAAATGACTTCTTGGATACTGTTTCATTAAGGAATTTCTCAATGGATAAAGTTTTTACTATTCTAAAAGTATCTTTGTGTCTTCACAGTAGGTGCTGTATTTGGTTTGGAGGAATTTTATTAGTCTAAAGGACATAATTTCTTCCTTCTAGGAGCTTACAGAGGACTAGAGGATGAGTTACCTGCAGAACCCATCACTCTATGGAACCTCCCGGCCGGTGTCCTGCACCCTAGGATTACACACATGTAGTAACACAACTTATTTCCACATTCTGTAGCCAAAGCCTAATGGGTCAGGGTTCATCAGTTTACCACACGGCAGTCATCTCATGTTGATCAGGGTCGGGGTTCATCAGTTTACCACACGGCGGTCATCTCATGTTGATCAGGGTCGGGGTTCATCAGTTTACCACACGGCGGTCATCTCATGTTCATCAGGGTCGGGGTTCATCAGTTTACCACACGGCGGTCATCTCACGTTGATCAGGGTCGGGGTTCATCAGTTTACCACACGGCGGTCATCTCACGTTCATCAGGGTCGGGGTTCATCAGTTTACCACACGGCGGTCATCTCACGTTCATCAGGGTCGGGGTTCATCAGTTTACCACACGGCGGTCATCTCACGTTCATCAGGGTCGGGGTTCATCAGTTTACCACACGGCGGTCATCTCACGTTCATCAGGGTCGGGGTTCATCAGTTTACCACACGGCGGTCATCTCATGTTGATCAGGGTCAGGGTTCATCAGTTTACCACACGGCGGTCATCTCATGTTGATCAGAAGCCTTGACAGCAAGCCTAGATGTCTGTTGATTATAAATAAAAATTATTATTTATAAATGCAATTTGTTTGGAAAACAAAAATCAAAGCTTGGGATCCATGGAGTTAAAAAATAACTAAAGAATCTCTACTGATTGAAAGATAGTGAGCTAGGCAGGGCACAGTGGCTCATGCCTGTAATCCCAGCACTTTGGGAGGCCGAGGCGGGCAGATCACTTGAGGTCAGGAGTTCCAAGACCAGCCTGGCCAAGATGGCGAAACCGCGTCTCTACTGAAAATACAAAAATTAGACGGGCATGGTGGCGCACGCCTGTAATCCCACCTACTCAGGTGGCTGAGGCAGGAGAATAGCTAGAACCCGGGAGGTGGAGATTGCAGTGAGCTGAGATCACAGCACTGCACTCCAGCCTGGGGGACAAAGCGAGACTCCGTCTCCAAAAAAAAAGATAGTGAGTTGAGTGTGGTGGCTCATGCCTGCAGTTTCAGCTACTTAGGAGGCTGAGGTGGGAGGATCCCTTGAGCCCAGGAGTTCAAGTCTAGCCTGGGCAACATAGTGAGACCCTGTCTCTAAAATAAGCAAATGCATTATTACTTTTTTAAAGACACCAATCCCAGGAGCTGCTTAGATACTCTGCTTTATCACCCATACCTTTGGTCCCAGATCACTCCAGCCTCATCCATACACCCTTGTGACTTTTAACCTCTAAGTAGTTATCCTAAATCCAGTCCTTAAACAGGATCATACCTGGGGAGAAAACAGACATCCTTGAGAAAACAGGAGAATGTTGAAAATATTTGTCTAAGAAATTAAAGTGCTATATTGAAAAATGACCAAAGCAAGTAAATTGAGTAAAAAGTAGATTTGGGCAATGAATTGTGGAGGAATGCTAAAAAATGAAATGAAATAAAAATAAAGAAAGAAGAAACTTGAGAACGAGGATTTTTGTGATAGGAAAACACATGGCATTGAAAGCATAATTTAGGGTCAGAATGTCTGTGTTTCTCCAAGGGATTCAACACCAGCCTGTTGGCAGTGGACCTGACCCTGACCAGTCACGGAAGCCAACTGGGAACCAACGAGGGCAACAGTTAGCTGCTCTCAGTGCCACACCGGACGAGGATATGGGGACTAATGCTGAAAAGCCACAGGGCGTTGATAAGGCACTAGCGATAATCACTGACCTGAGCCCGTTCTTATTCAAATTCAGTAAGTGTATTTCAGACTGTCATCCTATGCCAAAAACTGAGACAGATGCTGCATCCTGGACTTGGATGATTATTTTTTGAACGATCATGTGATGTTACCTGGAGGTTGTGTAACTGCACCTGCTCCGGCAACTTTCATGACTCAGCACAGAGGAAGAAGCCGAGCGCGATTCTCCAACACACTGGGGTACGTACTGGCTGGCCTATGTCCTGGGTCGTCCAAGAGCAATAATTGTTCACAATGACAGGTCAAGTCACCTCCAGAGTGTATAACTAATGTAACCTATTTGAGAAAGAATGAAGGGTTTATGTTTTTTGAGAATATTTGCATTAGGCGGGCTTAGAAAATGTAGATACTTAAACAGTTTAGCACCTAGAAGACCACAGAACTATTAGAGAATCTGCTACTGAAAATTCGCCTGTCATTTTATGGCAGGACACTGGCAGAGTATTTTATCAGGCTGCAACATGGCTGCATTTTTCTCCTCATTACGCAAGATGTATCCAAGACATTTTCCCTGTTTCAGGTCATTACTCATCTTGCGCAGCCACTGAGCAAAGCGGGTCACGGGGTCCTCAACCGTGAAGTGGCGACGTGAGACACACGACCTCCTGTAACCCTTCAGCCTCCCAGAGTCTGCGATTCAGTAGACACAAACTCGCTGTGAAGGATGGGGCCACTCACACAGAGGCGCGCCGCCCGCCTCACCCTCTGAGGGTGACTTTCCACAGCTGGGACTGGAGGACCCTGGGGCAGATTTAAAAACTATGATCCCAGACGCACAGACCCAGAGTAACCGCAGCCTGGCTTGTGTTGCTCGGGGGGTGACAAGGGGCACTGGGCAACCCTGCTGGCTGAGACTCAGCCCCAGCCACCTTCCAAGGTTCTAGAATGTTCCAGAACCAAAAAGAGAAGCAGATGGCTACAAGTGAGGGAAATACTATTTCTCAGTGATCATTTACAACCAGCAGCTCCTAAATGCTTTTTAAAAAGGTTGATGAGGGATCTAGAACTAGAAATACCATTTGACCCAGCCATCCCATTACTGGGTATATACCCAAAGGACTATAAATCATGCTGCTATAAAGACACATGCACACGTATGTTTATTGCGGCATTATTCACAATAGCAAAGACTTGGAACCAACCCGAATGTCCAACAACGATAGACTGGATTAAGAAAATGTGGCACATATACACCATGGAATACTATGCAGCCATAAAAAATGATGAGTTCATGTCCTTTGTAGGGACATGGATGAAATTGGAAATCATCATTCTCAGTAAACTATTGCAAGAACAAAAAACCAAACACCGCATGTTCTCACTCATAGGTGGGAACTGAACAATGAGAACACATGGACACAGGAAGGGGAACATCACACTCTGGGGACTGTTGTGGGGTGGGGGGAGGGGGGAGGGATAGCACTGGGAGATATACCTAATGCTACATGACGAGTTAGTGGGTGCAGCGCACCAGCATGGCACATGTATACATATGTAACTAACCTGCACAATGTGCACATGTACCCTAAAACTTAAAGTATAATAATAATAATAAGAGATTTAAAAAAAAAAGTTGATGACTTCACTAACTCAAAGAGACACAGTCATTCCTGGAGGCAGGGAGTGCAGGAAGAGCCAGCAGGGTGCAGCAGCAGTCCTTGAAATAGCAGGAAAATCCCACTTGGACACTTTGTCTGTGCAGATCCACATCTCCATGGAGAAGAAGCCTAACTCCTAAGTTTAGATCTGCCTCTGTTTAGCATTCCCTGCACAGCTTGACGTGAATGCAGAGGGGGATGACATTTGCTGACTGGTACATCTAAAGACCTATCAAGGAAGAATGGGACTTGCCCTTAGGCCGAGAAGGCCTAGATGCGTCCGTCATCCCTGGCCAGCTCTTGTTCTTGGTGTGCCCACTGAGCAGCATGAGGGCAGCCTCAAAGACTCGCTTGCCGAGAAAACACTGCCAAATGTCACTGCACAAACCACCGAGTCAGGATCCTTCTCTGAAGGCTTCTCTGCCTACTGGGCACATAGAAACGAGTTTAAAATCTGCAGACAATTGATTTCAAGTGAAGACAGGTGGTGCTGAAGTGATTCCAAAGTGGTGAGTTTGGGCAGCCTGACCAGCTGCTGCCATGGGGGGCTGTGCAGAGCTGCCTGCCCTGAGGGCCATGCCTGGCACAGTGAGGCCTCTCAAAACCATTCTTGTGAATGCCCTGCTGCTCTCTCAGCACTCCATTTTCATGAACTATTTTGAAGTCAGTGGAAATGGGTTTCTCAGGGCCCTGGCTATGGTTTGAACATGTCCCCAAAGTTCAGGTGTTAGAAATTTAACCCCAGTGCAACCATGCTGAGCGGGAGCCTTAAGAGGTGATGGGGTCACGAAGGCTCTGCCCTGCTGAATGGATTAATGCCATTATCATGGGAGTGGGTTTGTTGTGAGAGTGAAATCAGCCCTTCCTCACTGTCTCACCACAAGGTGCCTTCTGCCATGTGATAAGGCAGCGAGAAGCCCTTGCCGGATGCAGCCCCTTAACCTGGGACTTCCCAGCCTCCAGAAGCATAAGCCACATGGACTTCTACTGTTTATAAATTACCAAGTCTGTGGTATTCTGTTACAGCAGCAAAAAGCAGACTGAGACAGTTGGTCTTCAGAGAGCAGACCTTTTCATATTCGAGGATATTTCATCCTTCAGGGATACTTCTCTTATTTTCTCTAAAAGTGAGAAAAATAAAAGCCAGAAGGAAGAGCAATGAGTGAACACCACACTTTCTCTCACACCTCAAGTGGAAAATACACCTTTCTTAAATGAGTGAGTGAACAGTCCCGGATGGCTTCACAATAGCACGTTGTAGAATCAATGCATTCTTCTTAAAACTGCCTATAAAAAGAAAAAACTGCCTATATTCAACAGCTGCAATGCTGTGCTCTTTTATTCCACCACAATGCTGGAATTAGAAGCACAATTCTCCCTTCGCATCCCTCTTGCATCAACCAAAAGTTGAGTTGCGAAGTGGAGTGAAAACTATTAAATAATCACCATATACATTTGTTTTTGAATATTCACTTTTCTGCAAAAATGTGGTTTTACCACATCTTTAGCTAATATCCTCTAAAGAAAGTGAACAACTTTAGTCCATGGGAAGTACATTATGAGGCCTCAAAGCGAAGATGCTGATAAACCTCAATCCTTTCTGCTTCAGTGTAGGCCCTTCCGTCTTGAACTATATGTGTTAACAAACAAGTGAAGTTTTTTGTTTTTGCTATGAGTTCAGGAGACAGGGAAAGATGGGTAACCCACAGCCTCATGTCTGGCAGAGTGAAAGGGTGGGCTGGTTCCTGGTATACTGATGTTCTCAGTGTCTACAGGTCCCTTTGTGCAAAGCAGCCTGCCCTGCAACGTCCTCTTTCAAGAGCTGTTTGGACCTGAGCTTTCCCAGGCTCTGACCTCCCTCATGCTTGAATGGATACTACAGCCAGTTAGATCAGTGTCATCCAATTTGAGAAGTCACACTCCTCAAAGACCCCAAAGACCTGAGACTCGAGAAATCCTTATCTGAGGGACCAACATGTAGTTCAGTAAGAAAACACTTTTAAATTGTGAATTAACAGTAAAAAAGAGAAGTATTTTCTTTACAGCATTTAACTTGAAAAGAATTCATCATAAGTGCTGTGATGGATTTGAGGTGACTGTCAGTTTGGCGCCAGAAATATGTTTCTCAAACACACATAGTTCCCAAGAATATACCAATGAACCTCATAGGTTCTGAAGACCGCAGTTAAAGAAACACATTTTGATATGGTTACTCTTATATCTAGGTTCATTTTCTCCAAATAACTATACCTTCATTCATTAATGTGTCATTTCTTTCAGGAACTGTTTTCTGAGTCTCAAACATATTTCATAGCACTCTCAAGCTTGAGGTTCCGCCTGAACACGCTCCTCCTCCTTTTCTTTTGTGACTCTTCATTTCATATGGAGTTAAACCTGAGCTCCTATATGTAGCTTTCATAATTATCCAAGAGTATTTTCTGGACATTTCCAATTCTGACCCATTTCTGTGTCCCAAAAGAACTCTTAGCACACAGCTCTGTCCATTTACTTGACTTATTCATTTCTTTAGTAACCACTGGCTGCATTCTAATTTCTTCAGAGAACTGTGCCAGGCACTTCCTGGGGTTCAAAGAAAAATTCAGCAGAGTCCTCCTTCATGACAGACCCTGCCATCAGCACTGGAAATCTCCCTGCAGAGGGCTTATTGTCTAATAACACTATGCTTAGGGCCACAGGGTTTGGAATCAGATCTGTGTGAATTTGAGTCCCGGTTCTGCCGCTTAACAAGGAGTCACACAATCACTTACCCACACCTGAGCCCCAATGTCTCCACCTACCCAAGAGTGGGCGAATCGCATGGCGTTGTTGCAAGCATCGTCTGAGAACCAAGGTAACGAACTGACTGCTGATCCAAGGCAGGCACTCAACGGTAGGATTTTAAGGTCCACAGATGTGGGAATGAAGAACTCCATAGAAGATAATGATGGAAACTGAGAGAAGTGAGTGAGATGTTAGTTCGGAGGGAAAGGAAATCTTCACAACGCCCTGTCTTAGCAGGATCACCCTTCCTTCTTTCCAGCCATTCAGGTTCCATGAGTGACCAGCCCAGGTTGCTCATGTCCTAGGGTCCTTCCTGAGCATTTCAGACCTGGGTGCATCCCGCACTCACACTCAGTTCCTACCTTGTGCCGGGCCCTGCCATCAGCCCAGAGAGCCATGGTAAGACTCACCATTTCCTTTGGAAGTCTCGTGGGCTGTCTTCCTGTCCTCTCACCTCACCTTCTGACCTCCCAGATTCAGCCCGTGTGCCAGGGCTTCTCAGCCCTCTCTGTGGGTGGTGGAGAAACACGTCCCCTTCTCCACCTCACCATCTCAGGAACACAGTCCTTTCCCCCTGGCCTTTTATACTCTGGGGCCAGAATCCAAATAGTCTATGAATCTCTACCACTCAGTTTAGCCTCTCCCTCAGTGTGTTTCAAGGAGCACTAATCTTACAAAATGTTCCCAGAAGAAACTGTTTCTGGGGCCAACTAATTATGGGAAACATGGCTCTCTGTATCATCCTCTTGGAGATTTAAAGTATGTTTTGACTATGAGAAATCTTGCAGTAAGGAAGCCTGTTGATATTTGCCCAACCCAGCATTTCCCAAACTCACTTGTCCATGGAACCCTCCTGCAAGTGACAGCCACACACAATCAACAGGGCCAGGCTCCACCTGGCATGTTCTGGGAAATGTGCCGTATGTAGCTTTGTTCTGTTTCCACTTTTGTTAGCTTCGATGGCAACAAGATTGAAAGCGCCCTGAGATAAGTGACTTTGTTTTGAATTGTTTAGTAATAATAATAGCTAATTCGTAATTCTAAGCACCAGATGGGCATAAAGTAGGTTCTCAATAAGTGCCCCATGACAGCTCAGCCTCCCTGGAGTGATCATTTTTCAGATCTCAAATTTACCTGACTCACACAAATATCATTTGGCTTTGGCTGTATGCATGCCCGGCCTCATTGCTTTGGTGTATTTTTAAATAAACGATTTTTAGAGCAGTTTTAGATTCAGAGCAAAGCTGAGCAGAAAGTACAGAGATTTCCCATGTACCCACCTCCCCACATGCATAGCCTCCCCCATTATCAACATCCCCCACCAGAGTGATGCATTTGTTACAGTCCATGAACCTCCATTGACACACTATTGTCACCCAGAGTCCACAGCTCACATCAGGGCTCACCACTGGTGCTGTACATTCTATAGGTTTGGGAAAATATATAGTGGCATGAACTCATCATTGCAGTATCACACAGAGTAGATTGTCTGCCTTAAAGATCCCTGTGCTCCACCTGTTCATCCTTCCCCACACCACCAGGCCTTATCTTTCACTGTGTTGGTAATTCTGCTTTTTCCAGGATGTCCTGTAGTTGGAAGCACACGGGGTGTAGCCTTTTCAGACTGGCTTCTTTCACTCATTTATGCATTTAAAGTTCCCCCATATTTTTTCATGCCTTGATAGCTCATTTCTTTTTGCGTTGAATAATATTCCACTGCCTGGACACACCACAGTTTATCCATTCATCTACTGAAGGACATCTTGGTTGATTCTGAGTTTGGGTGATTATGAATAAAAACAAATAAGCTTCCATAAACATCCATGTGCGGGTGTTTGTATGGATGTAAGCTTTGGTGCATTTTTGGTGTGTGCTCTTGAAAACTGGGCTGACAGTTATCTGAACCAAGCCTG
The DNA here is from genome assembly GCF_000001405.40 of Homo sapiens. Classification (NCBI taxonomy): domain Eukaryota; kingdom Metazoa; phylum Chordata; class Mammalia; order Primates; family Hominidae; genus Homo; species Homo sapiens. The sequence goes on along the minus strand of NC_000001.11, from coordinate 845,910 downwards.
GAGAGCAGGATGTGCCCTGGCTGGCCCCTCACCTGCTTCTGAACAATGAGAGGCATTTTGACCCCCTACACCTCAGGAATGTGACTTCTAGAGTGAGGCTCGGCCTGGCCTGAGGCTGAGCGAATTATCTAGCTCTTAACTTAAGGAGTGTCTGATGGTAAAGAGAGATAGGAATAGGCAAATAGCACTTTGCTTCTTAGCAAGAAATTGCAGCAGGTAAGTTTGGAGTATAGAAAGAGGAAAGATGGTTTTAAGTGTTTAAGCAACTCTCCAAAGATTACAAACTTTCATGAGAATAAGTGAATTTTCTGGTTCAGAGATTGCAGTTGAAATCTGTTCCACCTTGTAGGCAATTTGATCCATGCCGAACAGAAATGTAATAGAGGAACGGAAGGGCGCTAACTTAAGTCACGACTTGGATTAAATTGAGAAATTCAGGTCTTGTTGTTAGAAAGTATGGCTCCCATCTCATAAACAATTCTGAATCTGCAGCCTGCAAGCCCCAACCTGGGCCTGTCCTTGACTGAGTTTGTTCCCATCAGATACTCATTGCAAAGCTTTTGGGGGACGTAGCACTTGTGTTCTAAGCGGGCTCTGAGATAACTTACTGGGGTTCCACTAGTACCTTGTGAGCCATTGCCACTCCCCCTCTATGATGACCTCGCCCAGGGCTAAGGGGAAAAAGCAGCAGGGCCCCCATGGACCTATCCAAAAGGAGATTAATCCAGGGTACTCAGGAAAATCTGTGTTGGAAATCCCTGAAAAAACATGGAAGCAGCATGGTGTGTGATTCAGTACAAACTACAAAAAACCTGGAGAAACAAGGCTTCCATGTGAGATTCGTGGGAGCTCTGTGACCTTACGCCACCAGCTCTAAATCAGCATTCCCTCACGTGTTTGCATAAACTTAGTGATAATACTTATTGTAATTTAAATTAATTAAAATAGAATAAAAGGAAAACTTCGGTTCCCCAGCCTCAAAGGCTGCCGTATCCTACACACAGTGAAGAAGACCCTGCCAGAGAAAGCTCCCCTGGCCCCTGTGGAGAGCCGGGCCTTACAGGAATGCTCTGACACTTGCTGCGTGAACTGGTGACTGTAGAAAGGAAACAGGCTCACATGGCACACGGGAGGGTTGCTCCAGCCCTTTTTGGCTTTCTCGGCAGCAGGATGCTGATCAAGGTACAGCGAAACCTATCGGTTCGAATCCACACTGGCAGAACCACCGCAGCCCATGCAAGGCAAGGGCCTGAAAGTGGCAAGCGTGTGGGAGAACCAGCCCCACCCTACTCCCCGCAGACCCAGCTTCCTGCTTGACAAATGTATACAGAGGCTGCTATTTTTGAAACATCCCATGTAGATTTCATTAAAAAAAAAAACAAAACCTCAAAACTCACAAGATTCCCACTTACTTAAAGATCACTGTCATAACCTGGTTAGCAATCATCACACACAGCAGGCCTGCAAAGGGACCAACATCTGCTCAGAGGGAGCCTGGCCTAGCTCCACTGAACCAGTTTAAGAATCAGACTGAACCAGTTTAAGTATCATTTTAGATCCCAGGTTAGCTTGCTGGAGCTGCCATAACAAAGCACCATAGACTGCATGGCTTAAACAACAGACATTTCTCTCTCACAACCCTGGAGGCTGGAAGTCCCAGATCAAGGTGTGGGCAGGGCTGGTTCCTCCTGAGGCCTCTCTCCTTGGCGTGCAGATGCCATCCTCTGTGTCCTCACACGATCGTCCCTCTGTATGTGTCTGTGTCCTCATGTCCTCTTAGGAGGATGCCAGATTGCATCAGGGCCCACCTGGTGACCTCACTACGCTAATCACCTCCTTAAAGGCCCTGTCTACAAATCTAGTCCCATCAGGGGTAAGGACTTCAACATAAGAATTTGGGCAGGAGAAAATTCAACCCATAACAGATCCATACCGAGATGTTCAAATCACCTGGGCAAAATTGGGACATTGTTCTCTCTCACAGCAGGACATCATAGGGTTCATGTGTTCAAATGCTGGAACATTCTTCAAACCCTGTCTTAGAATCTCAGAGTAGGGGCCTCAGAGGGCCCCTCAGTGAAACTGCCTCCATGGTGGCTGCACCTGAGCTGCTGCCTTGGGGGTGACACCCCTGGAACTTGCCCCAGAGTCACCCACTTGTCACTAAATGGTGCCATGAGCACGGCCTCCCCAGGCAGAGCTGATTTGATCACGAGCTTTGACTCCTGTGATTGGCCTTGGACATTTTTCTTACCAGTGTGTTATCTTCCTATTCCTATTTGGTATTCTCTAGTGATTCGAGTGAGTAGGTAACTAAGTTTCCTGTTTTAATGATATATTTAGGAAATTCTGATATCATTTCAAGTATCTTTAAAAACAATCTACTTAATTGTCAACAACCAAGTGTATGGAAATTTACGTAAAATCCTGTTTACAGATGAGAGAAGGCGGCTGCTGTGGTGACAGCACACAGTCAGCAAAGAGGTCCAGAGGATGACGTGCAGCTTCCCGGCGGCCTGGAGAGCTCCCCAGGTCTCACCCCATCTCGCTTCCATCTCAAGGCTCTGGGCACCCCCCTCTTGCAGACCTGCTTCTATTTCTTTGGACAGTTTGGGAAAATCACGCTCTTTAACCCTAAACACTTCGGATCACTTCAAAACAAGATGCTCAGAAAAGGGAAACTCTAATCCGTCAACCAGGGAAAGATAGTAACTGTCTAATTGCACAGCATCCCACAGTGAGCAGCCACCAGGCCGGGACAGAGCAGATGGTGCATCCAGGTGCCTAGACTGCCCCACCTTTGAATTCAGAGGAAAAAAGTCCCAGTTCACTGCAGCAGCATTACTCGGGATAAGGCCATGATCTCATAACCTCTCAGTAGTGGCTGTGGGGTGGGGCTGGCTTCTGGACACCCAGCTCAGCTGTTATCACCTTCTCCCATCCTGTGGGAGGGCGTGTGCGCTGATCACTCCTGGTGTGAGCACAGAGGGGTTGACGCGGTCGGTGCTGCTGAAGGCCGCCGTGCATTTGTTCTGTCTAACATACATGCATTGGGCACCCAGGGGGCTGGTAATGGTGAGTGACACAGACACACAGAGGCTGTCGGGTGCTGCTGAGGATGGTGACTGAGTGAATCATGGGCGGTGGGAACAGGCAGCAGGAGGTGTTGCAGGAGAGTCGGAGACCTGTGGCTCTGGGAGCCCTTAGGTGGGAGGAAGGATCAGTGTCTCTTCCAGTTAGGTTTGAAGAATGGTGCAGGACTCCCTGGTGAGCCAGGTGGACATGACCTCAAGCTCCTGGGCCCGTTGCCTGGGATGCATCCCAAGGCACGCACCAGGACCTAACCAGTGTCTTCAGCCTCTGCTAGGAGCTTCCAGTCAGAGTCCCCCTGCACATTCAAACGTGTGACAAGCATTCTCGATGCTTCACCTATGCCCAGGATTTGACTCCAGCCAGTCTTTGCACAGTTGTCCACCTCCCTGTTCACTTTTCTTTAAGTCATGGATAACAAAGGGTGGAGATTTGATGGTGTTGCTGTCTTCCGCCGAGTGTGGGATAGCCCACAGGGCCTCTGAGCACTTCACCATCCATTCTCTAGCCGTCTCTGTCTGTCCCAGACCCCTCACCCTTTGATCTGCTGCCAGGCAGGAAGACGTTTAACTGATTTTGCAGATTGGGACCAAACAACTTCGGTGGGTGGAACGGCTGGTGCGTGCGCTTCCTTTCCCTCCCCCAGTGTCAGGGCACTGAGGCTGGAGTTGGTGAAGCACTAGGGCTCGTGCAGCAGGTGAGAGGAGGGAAGCTCCTCCCTGGGAGGGACAGGCACCCCTACTCGCCTTCACGGAGCCCTTCTTCAGCTCCCAGTATGTTAGCAGGAGTTTCAGGAAAGAAACAACAGAGGCCATCAAATACACAGATGAAATTTTTAAATGAAAGGAAATACTGTCCAAAACTTTCATTTTAGAAAGGAAAGAAGCATTTCTAAAGAAGCATTTCTTGTCCCGAGAGACAAGAGGGCCACCCATGGTTGCTCAGGGTGGGCTGCCGACGGCCGCCCAGGTCTGGTGCATGTGGTTTCTTGTCTGCTGTGCACTGAGCACAAACTACATGCCAGGCTCTGCCCTGTGCTTCTAAGACATTATTTTTCAATACTCATGGCAAACTGATGTTGTAGATATTCATGCCTCCTTTACAGAGTAGAAAACAGAGGCTCACAATGCTGAGAGCTTTGCCCAAGGTGACACGCTAACCTGTGCTTCCCAGGCCTGTGTGTCACCGAGGGTCTTACCACAATGAAGATTTTGATTCAGTCCGTCTGGGTTGGGGCCTGAGATTCTGAATTTCCAAGAAGTTCCAGGTAATGTGAGTACAGGAGGCCCAAGGACTTCCCCGTGAGTAGCAAGTCTCTAAACCAGCATCTCTGCTTATCGTCAGAGAGGTGCACAGGCTGATTCTGCAGGCCTCTCCTGGCTGACGGTGGCCTTGGCACCCAAGAGCAGAGGGAACTGGTCCTGGCTGTGGATATTCAGGGCCTCACCTGGACTGTGATTCTTGAGGCCATGACCATCACAGGGGCCCATGGGCGGGGCCCTCACACACCTTCCAGGTCACCCTTTCTCTGCCCAGCAGGGTCTCGCTTCTGTACCGAGGTTTAACCCTGTGGCACTGAATATTCACAGCTTTTCACAAACGCGTGTCACTGGTGAGATTCCTACAATGTGGACCAAAATAAGAGACATCGTTTTTACTGAAACTGACACCATCCCATGATAGACAAAAAAGTAAAAACACTGAGCATTCTGACACTGTCTTGTTGCCTTGTTATTTGAAGAGGCAATAAATGAATCAATAAGATATTTAGGACATTTCAGCTGGCAAACTCAAATATTATTCAGCCGTTGTTATCAAAAGCCAGATTGCACTTAGCCCATAAAATACTGAAGAAAAAAACTGCTATGAATAATATTTTATAATTTCTTGGTGAGCGTTTGATATGTACCTACACAGCACAGCAAAGCACGCCTTTGCCTGTGATTCTACCACACCTCACCAACGCGTTTGTTAAAACAGTCTGCACGGGGCTGTAAATGCTGAGGCCAAGGGAAAAAGTAAAAAGGAAAACTATATTACCTGGGGGAAGTGGTTTTACTTGATATGACTGAAACAGATGCTGAACAAAACACATCATCTAGAATCAAGAGTATTGGGATTCATAAGTAAATTCATCACAGAAATGTTTCAGACTCTTTCGAGGTATTGTGTCCTTGAGTTATTCAATAATTTGTTGTTAAGGCAGGTGGAGGAAAATAAACTTTAGATTCACACAGACCTGGGTTTGGATTCTGTCTCTGATGAATATTTGCTGCGGATGAATATTTCTGGGGAAGTTATGTAGCTAATTTTGAGTTTCTGGATAACAGAGCTTTCCACTAAAGATTGATTTTACAATTATGTACCCAAAATTCTACTCTTCTTTTCTTTTGTTCTTTTTTTTTTTTTTTAATACTACAATGGTTTTTAGTACGTTCATAGAGCTGTGAAATCATCACATTTTTGTCATTCCCTAAGGGAAACATGCTCATTAGTACTCATTTCCTTCTTTCTTGCACCCACATCGCAAGCCCAGGCAACTATGAATCTACTTTCTACTTCTGTGGATTTGCCTATTCTGGACATTTCATATAAATGGGATTATACAATATGTGGCCATTTCCTTACTCCAGTGCAGTTTTTCCCATTTGCCTCCTTTGTACTGTTATTGTCAAGTATATTACATTTCTGTATGTTATGCGTCCAATAATACAATTCCATACTTATTGTCCTATGCAGTTGCTTTTGAAAACAGGAGAAAATATATGCATTTACACCTTTTTTAAAAAGTACATAATTACCTTTACTACTGCCCTTTGCTTTTTTGTGTGGATTTGAAAATCGTATGAGTTCACTTGTTTTCAGCCTGAAGAATTCCTTTAATATCTCATAAAGCAGTTCAGCTAGCAAGAAATTCTCTCCGTTTTTGCTTATCTTGAAATTTATTTCACCTTCATGTCTGACAGATGGCCTTGCTGGATATAGGATTGTGGATTAATAGTTTCTTCCTCTGAGCACTTTGAATATGTTATCCCACTGCCTTCTGGCCTCCATCCTTTTACAGACAGATCAAGTGTTAATCCTACTGGGTTCCCTTCTTTGTGGTGAGCCATTTTATTCTGTTCCTTTCAAGGTTTCTCCTTGTCTTTGTCTTGAACATTTTGATTCTGGTGTGTCTAGGTATGTGTGTCCAGGTGTGTGCGTCCAGGTGTGTGTGTCCAGGTGTGTGTGTCTAGGTGTGTGTGTCCAGGTGTGTGTCTCTAGGTGTGTGTGTCTACGTGTGTGTGTCCAGGTGTGTGTGTCTAGGTGTGTGTGTCCAGGTGTGTTTGTCCAGGTGTGTGTGTCTAGGTGTGTGTGTCCAGGAGTGTGTGTCTAGGTGTGTGTGTCTAGGTGTGTGTGTCCAGGTGTGTTTGTCCAGGTGTGTGCGTCCAGGTGTGTGCGTCTAGGTGTGTGTGTCCAGGTGTTTGTGTCTAGGTGTTTGTGTCCAGGTGTGTGTGTCCAGGTGTGTGTGTCTAGGTGTGTCTCTTTGTGTAGAGCTTTTTGGGCTTCTTGAATGTGTAGGTTAACATTTTTCAGCAAATTTGGGAGCTTTTCAGCTATTATTTCTTGGACATTTTTTCTGCTTGGAACTTTTTTTCTGCTTCTTTCTCTCTCACATCTCCTCTGGTACTCTCATTAAGGATGTCCCAAGCTTCTATTCATTTTTCTTAATTATTTTTCCCTCTCTGTTTTTCAGGTTGTATAATCTCTATTGACATAACTTCAAGTCTGCTGGTTCTTTCTTCTGACTGTTCCAATTTACTGCTGGGCCCCTGAGTGAACTTTTCATTTCAGTTATTGTTCTTTTCAACTCCACAATTTTTTGTTTTTTAAAATAATTTTTATTTCTTTATTGATATTCCTTATTAGATGGGACACTGTCATCATAATTTCTTTTAATTCTTTTAACATGGTCTCCTTTAGTAACTTGAATATGTTTCTGTGGCTGTTTTGACACTGGCTGTCTTTGTCTGTTAATCCGATGTCTGGAATTTGTCATAGTTTCTGTTGCCTTCTGTTTTCCTGAGCATGGGTCTCACTTTCCTGTTTTCTTGCATTTTTGTGGAAACTGGCATTTTAGGTAATATATCATAGCAAATCTGGATTCTGACCCCGACCCGCAGGGGCTGCTATTTCTGTTTGATTGCTTGTTTATTTGATTAGGGACGTAGCTCTGATATTGCTCCTCAGAGGGCACAGCCTTGGACTAGCACACAGTCTCTCCGACCACCTGTGGTATCTGTGGTTTTCTCTGGGCTCTCTGTTAAGCTTCTGCTGGTCTGTCTCTCTTTGGTGTCACACACAGCTGTTAACATCCACTAAATGCAAGTGCTCTATCATTTTTTATGATGCCTGGGGCACAAATTGCTCCATAGACTCATCCAGTGAACATCAGGCTCTTTTGCAGGGGCAGAGTGTTGCCAGCTTTTCAAGTCTGCTCAGACCCCGGAGCTCTTCTCAACAATCTCTCTTCCTTGTTCCCTCTGTTTAAGTTCTATCTAGTCTACCATTTCACCCACTCTTAATTGTTCATCAACAAAATCTCCACTATTTTTGCCAACTTCCTTGGGCTTGAACTTCCGCATGCTGTTCTCCAAGTAAAGTCTGTCACCTCAGGGACATGCTCTGCTCTTAGGTCTCCTCTGCTCCTGGGGACCGTGATCCAGTTCCACCAGAGCGACACCCTTGCTGCATGAGCCAGTAGCTGGGTGGGCATGGTAGCCTCTTGTCTTCCTAGCTTGCCCCTCCAGACATGGAACCTCCACACTGTGAGTGACTTGGTGTGGGGCAATCCAGGCAGATGTGCTCAGTCTGCCACACCTGGGATGGGGCTCCCACCCTCTGAGGACAAGCACAGGCTGAAGCAGGGGAGCCCTAGTCCTCTCAGTTGCAACTTCCTGGAACGGTGCTTCTGCAGTGCAAACTGAGAGGGATGAGAGATGCTGGTGGCCTGCCTTCCTGGGGTGAAACCACAGCCCTAGACCAGGAGCCGGGAAGACAGACCACAGCATCTTGTTAGCTGGACCTTCCTGGAGCAGAGCTTTCATCACAATGCGCTTTGAGGGTGGGGAGCGGTGGATTGTGGCTCTGATACCACTGATCCTTACCGTTCTTACTGAGATTTGATTATTTATTTGAGTAAATATTTATCCACCTGCTGTATGCCTTTAGGATAATTTCTAGTTTTAAAAAAATGAATGTTCGGAGGTTAAATGGTTATTTCCCTGGATAGAGGGCCTGCCAAGCTCCTCACACCACCATTCCAGAAGCTCTCCTCTGCTGCTTATTTTTGAAAATAAAATTTTATTGGAACATCCAGACATGCTCATTCCTTTATATATTACCTACCCACGTCTTCACCCTTCAACAGCAGAGTTGGTAACTGCAACAGAAACTGCATGGCCCTTAAAGCTTAAAACAGTTACCCGGCCCTTTACAGAATTTTTTTCCACTGCTTGTCCTAGATAATAATTTGATACAAATTTGTGCTCATTTGTTAATTCAAAAATGCGTAACTATTTATATGCTGGGATAAACCAAAGAGACACAAAGTTCCATCCCTCAGGAGATTTCAGGTTAGAAGAAAAGATCATTTTTAGTCAAAGAGACCACAAACATAGGCCAGGCTTGGTGGCTCAAGCCTGTAATCCCAGCAGTTTGGGAGGCTGAGGCAGGAGGATCACTTAGAGTTTGAGACCAGCCTGGGCAACATAGTGAGACCCCGTCTCTACGAAAAATTAAGAAAAAAAAATTGACCACAAATATAAGTCAGACCACGACTATAATAGATATGGCCTAAGAGATATTCCCTGACTCAGGAAGAAGCGGCAGACATGACGAGGAGACTATACTCAAGAAGACTCCCATGAAGAAGTGAAAATGGAAGCTAAATTCTGAAGGATAAGCCAGCATTAGCAAGGCCAAGAAGATCCCTCAGGAGCTGACCCTGTGACAAGGATTGGAGTGCAGGCTGTTTATTTCCAAGAGAGAGGAAGATGGCCAACAAAGGGTACGCTTAAAACCAGTCACCACTGTGGGCAGCTGGAGCCTTCTGCCACTGTCAGACTCTGGGAGCCAATGCAAACAACAAAAGCAAAAAGAAACACCCAAAAGAGTGCACCTGAGATGTATTCACCCCAGAGGGCGAGGAGATGGATAGATGTCCGTAACCAAGGTCTCCTGAGGGCTGTGCCCTGACGCATTTATTCCCGGGAACTTTTGCCTGTGGATGGAGCCGGTGGCAGCAGATTGGGTTTTAGCTGCGGGACAAAGACCTTGGACAAGGAACTGGGGGCACTGGCCCCTGGGAGCTGGCTGGGGGGGCACTGCAGTGCCACATGTAGAGAATATGGGCAAGGCCCCAGCAGTGGACATTATGGAGGTACTCCAGGCAGAGGGAGTATCACCAGCAAAGGCCCCGTGGCAAGGGAAGACCACAACCAGGGTCCAAGAGAAGTGGGCAACAGCAGAGCCACATGGAGCCAGGGACTTATTGGACACAGGCCCCTCATTTCCTGGCACGTGAGATGGTGTCCTTGGTTATCCTGCCCTAGAACATGCTTAAAGGTGTCCTATAGTCACTTAAGAATTCAGCCAATACTGTAGTGCCTGTGAGTATCAGATGTTTCATTATTTAAACTTCAAGTATTCTTGTATGTATTCATTTCATTAGTAAGAAAAATAGTGGTCAAAAGGTGAGAGGAATTGCCCATATCACACAGCTTATAGAGCTGCAACCACCATAACTGAAGCATCAAAAGGAAAGGAAATCGTGAACAAAAGTCCACGATGCCTCCAGCACACGCACAGGGTCTTTAATTCACACCTTCCCCATGGATTGGACTGAAAGGATAAGCTCCAAATTTGCAGCATATTAGTGTATTTTTTCATTAAAGATGATTCAGTACTTGCAAGGGTCATTTCAGCAGCTGCAGGCCAAAGGATAGAAGTCTCTTGTCCCTTCCTAAGGATAAGAGGAGCACGGTCATGTGGATCCCTGCACCCTGACTCAGTTTGAGGAATGCATTCTTCATTCTGTGCCAGGCTTTCTAATTAAGGAACAGCTCAGATGCCAACTCCTGCACGGCAGTCACCCTTGACCGTCCCAGGCTGGGTCAGGTGCCCCGGCTCTCTCTATGCTTCCCCAGCACTCTGCATTGGGCTCTTTTTTACCCTTCATCAGGCTGCATGGGACATAGCCTGATCCCGGATCCTGGCTGTGAAGTAAGCCGCGTGGCTTCGGAGGCACACCATCGTGGCCGTGGGCTGGCTGAGCGCTCAGCTCCTCAGCACCTTGGAGACACCTTGGCCCTGCTCGTGGTCCTGCTGTGGGGCACTGGTCAGGTGAGGGTGGGGGGTCTGCAGTGATTAAAATACTCCATTACCTGGGTGTGCAATCCGTTCAGATATTGGCAGGTGATCCAAGTCAGGCCAAATAAAACTTGCCCTGAGAGTTTATGAACACTGAGAGATAAATTATGAGTCTTTCTCTAGGGATCTTGCTACAAGGAATAAATGGATGCCGCTTTCAGGAAGCCTTATGAAATAGAGAATAGTGAGAACAAAATACAAAGAGAAGCAGAGACAAGAAGACAGAGAAGTGGACGGAAAGATGCAGGGATGGATGAATGGGTGGGTGAACAGGGGGTGGAGGGATGGGGGAGGGAGGAAAGGAGAGATGAAGAGGTGGATGGAGGGATGGGCAGATGGATGGGGAGGGAGGCAAGGGAGAGGGATGGAGGAAAGTAGAGATGAAAGGATGGATGTGCACGTGGATCAATGGATAAAGACACGGGTGAGTGGGTAGGTGGGTGGATGGGTGGATGGAGGGAGGGAGGGTTGGATAGATGGGTGGATGGATAGGTGGATGAGCAGCAAAGAAACAGTTTCTGACAAAATTATTTAAACTCGTATATCTAGTTATGACTTCAGCTAGAATCTTTCACTAGATTTTTATGATGTGAGCCAATAAATCCCCTTTGGATTCAGCTAGTTTTGCTAGGTTGCTTGCTACCAAAAAATTTAAAATTTGCGTAATATATGCTCCTCTCTCTCTTGAATTCCCTGCTTTGCCCACTCGGCTCGTGTCTGGAACCGTCTCCCTCACTGCTGGCTATCTCTAATCCCCTCCTTTTCCTTGGCCCTCATGCTCTTAACCACGCCTTCTTTCCTGTAGGAACTGTGCTTCTATAGGAAACCGTCATTCCACTCGCTTGAGACTATGCTGGGGAACAACAGCAGTTCCAAACTTGCCCACAGCCCAGGAGCGACGTGCGCGGAAGCAGGAACATCTTGCACCTTCATCACAAGGACTGACTAATGGTGGTTCCCTGTAGCTACAGATGACTCCATCCTTCCCACTCTCGCCCTTTAGATGACAGTCTTCCCCCTGATCTCCACACCCAGCTCCCTCACTCCCAGCTCCACACTTGCTTCCTGGTTGGTCCTGGTGGGCCATTAGTGGGTCTATGGGACTCAGCAGGCACCTGTGCTGATGGTTTCTGGGTTCCTGGATGTTTGCTGCTGGTGCCGCTTCTCATCTTTCTCATGAACATTTCCAACTGCACCACGATCCCACTGAGACACCTCTCAGGGAACTCATTGTGTGGAGAACTGAATGCTTCTCCTCCTGCATCCCATAATGCAGACAGTGGCTTCTCCACCCTCCCAGGCCCCAGCCCCCAAACCCCTCAGTCCTTTGTCTCCTCTCCTAAATCAACAAGCCCTGTTGGCTCTTGCCAGTGAAGTTCCTCTCACTCTTTGGCCTGCCTGTCACTGTCCAGTCCTCGTTAATTCTTGCCGGATTTCCTGTGACCATCTCTTAGCTCCAGGCATCATCTTGCCTCCAGCTTCACCCCCACACAGCAGGGACCTGTCTCCTGCAAGCCTCGCTGTCACCGCATCCTGGACGTACATGAGGGCCTGTGTCTTTCACAGCGAAGTCCAGACCTCCTGATGGTGAGCGCAGCCCTTCGTGATCTGCCCCCGACACTCAGCCGTCTCATTCTCAGCTCCTCACACATGTCTCACCAGAGCCATATGCTTTGCATCTTGGATATTATTTTCAGGAAATTGCCCCAAACCAAGCAGTGGGACCAGGGACAGTCGGCGACTTCTCTGGTCCTGTCTTTCCTTATCGATAAGATGAAAGGCTTAGACAAGGCCACCTCTATGGAGCCCGGCCAATTTGCCCCACTGGGTTTCCTTTTGATATACTTAATGACACTAAAAAACCTATTTAAAGGTACAAATTCTGGGAGAGGGAAAGAAACAGCAAAATGCAAATTCTACCAGTTCACCAAACCCAACTTAAATCTTCTTCAGGAGCACAATGCAGCTGCCGCCCACCCAGGCCTGCCAGGAGCCTGCAATGAAGTTAATTATTAGACCTGAGGGCATTTGAGTGGAGTGGGACTCCCAGCACACTGAGGAGGCAAGAAAAACCTGAAGTAAAAAGAGAGCTAAGCTAAGACACCTGATAGATGTTAAGTCAGGAACGATCCCCTGGAAAGTAAGTTAGGAATGTAGAAAATTTTTCCAAGTTGCTCACTTAAATCATTTCCAAAATGGTTTGACTTTTTCCTTAATGAAATTGTCATGATAGGTGGGACGTAACTTTGGATTTGAGTTCATAATATCTCTTAAAATCAATTAGAATAATAAAGTCATATATGTTTCTGGCAAGTTAGTGTGTAAATATCTGGCTCTAAAACCTACTGTCAGCTGAGGCCAGGTGCAGTGGCTCATACCTGTAATCCCGGCACTTTGGGAGGCTGAGGCGGATGGATCACCTGAGGTCAGGAGTTGGACACCAGCCTGGCCAACATGGTGAAACCGTGTCTCTACTAAAAATACAAAAATTAGCCAGGCATGTGGCATGCACATGTAGTCCCAACTACCCGGGAGGATGAGGCAAGAGGATTGCTCTAAGGTGGAGGCTGCAGTGAGCCAAGATCACGCCACTGCACTACAGCCTGGGCGACAAAGCAAGACTCCATCTAAAACAAAACAAAACAAAACAAAACAAAACAAAACAAAACAAAACTTACTGTGAGCTGAAAGAACTCTGGCCATCGAACCTGCCTATGCCCATGACCATCAAACCTGCTTACGCCCATGTCCATGTGGACCCCACCCCAGGGCCAGCCTCTCTGGAGCTCCAGACACTGCAGGACAGAAACAGGAGAGCAGGAAACAGCAGGAAAGGAAAAGGAGGAGTGAGAGAAGAAAAAAAAGAGGGAGGAAGGGAGAGAAAAGAATCAGCCCAAGTCTCCATGCCCTGTCCTGGTGCCGTGACGGACCAGCACTTGGGCAAGGTTGGAGAGTGGAGGGTGTGTGCTGAGCGGGGCGCTGCGGGTTTAGCAGGTGAGGGAGCTGACCACTCTCAGCCCTTCCTGAGTCACCCTGGAGACCAGGCCGTTTAAGGACACCTCACAGCCCCTCTCCATGGCGACTTGGCGGGAGGAGCCCTGCCACAGCTCTGTCTTCTCTGCACTCACCAGCCTTTTTTCCCTCATAGCCAAAGTCACGCAGCTTAATGTTGACACAGCTCTTCCGACTTTACAGGATGCTTGTCGTTTTGGAACCACTTTACCTACCCCGAGGGAGAAAAGCAGCTAAAACCAACAACGGAGGCATTTTATTCTTGAAGACACTGAGAAAGGTGGCGAAGGCCTGGCTGTGGAGAGAAGAAACAAGGGGCGCCCTCTCCTCCCTCTTCTGTTTCTCTCCACACTGTGGCTCCCACTAAAACACATTTAAAGCCAGTTCTTGAAGGGTTTTCTCCATAACTGATGTGTCAGTTTTGTCTGACAATTCATTTTTCAAATAATCATCCATTTGGGAAGTGCTTTTTTGTAAAATTCACATTCTAAGAGAAATTTTAAAAAACTAAATCCTCTAAAACACGGATATATCTACAAGAAGACAGCACCACAAGACGCTATCAGGTCCCATGACTCAGCCCTAGATAAGCTCTTCGAAATAAGAGGGAGCTCATCTGTCCAACATCTCATCAGTTTCATTAACAACTCCCAATCCAAGCCTGTCAATTAATGATAAACCGTTGTTTATGTAATGAAACACACAGATTTTTCTGACTTACCGCTTCTACATAGATTCATCGTGTTTATTTATGACTTCTTCAAGAAAGACAGAGATTGAGTGAGGTATTGCAGTCACTGCTGCAGAAATAATCAGTATTTAGCATTTGGACGGCACTTTCCTTGACAAACACCTCACTACCCGTCACTTAATTTAAATTTATCACTAAAGTGCCAGCGGCTTTCAGAAGCTAGCCATTGCCCTGCCCCCAAGTCTGTCATCACACTTCACTGTCAGAGAGAAGCCTCTGAAAATGGAAAGATCCCGGTATGGCCCCCTGTAGGATGGAGCTCAGGTGCTCTGGTTTCTAGGCCCCATCACCATTGCTGAAGCAGGGAGTTACAACTTAAAATCTAATTTAGAATTACATTCACTATGAAGAACCGAATTATTTTAATTACTGAGCTGATAGCCTGCTTGTGACCTGCAATGACTGAAGGACATTTTTAAACATAAGACAAAGCAGAAAAGTCATAGGCATGTCCACGTGTACCCTAGGAAAGAGAAACTCCTCCTCCAATGAATAAATGTAAGTGAATAGAAATAAAGTTGCTTTCTAATTACATCCCACAGACCCAGCCTGCAAGAGAGAGGTCCAAAACCAGTTGCCACTCACCATATAAAGAGCCAACCCAGGGAGGGAGCACATGTGTCCCTGACCTCTGTCCCAGGCTGGAGAACGGACTGTCCCCTCTGGGAAAACCTGACCAGACCAAGAGAAAATGCTGACGGATACAGACAGCTGAGAGCTGCCAAGGGAGACTGCGTGGCCCGGTCACCCCACAGCAGCCCCATGTGAACAGATGGTCAGGAGTCAACAGGAGGATGCACCATGAAGGACAGAGATCAAAACGGGAAAAGGAAAACAGACCAAAGACAGGTGGAGAGCAGGAAGGAATTCCAGTAACTGTAAATACTGTCTTCAGAGAGAAAAGATACGTCACCACTAAAGAACTGGAAGTCATGAAAAATGAACAGTTAAAAAAAGAGGATCTGGGAACTTAAACTCTGAAACAATTTTTAAATTCCATAAAACTTGTACTAGATAAAGTTGGTAAACCTCACAGAAAGTAAATCAACAACAAAAAGAGATCTAAAAGGTGAAAAATAGGAGAAAAAAGTATAAGAAAATTGGAGAAGTGGTCTGGAATGTTCAACACCAGAAATAATGTGTTCAAGGAAGAGACAAGATAAAAGACTGAGAAGAAAAAATTATCAATCAAAGAATTCCAGAAAATGTCTTAGTGTTTTACTCCATTTGTACTGCTCCAACAAAATACAGGAGACTGAGTACTTTATAAAAAACAGAAATTTATCTCTCACAGTTCTGGAGGCTGGGAGTCCAAGATAAAGCACCAGTGGGCTCAGTGTCTGGCAAGGGTTGGGACTCTGCTTCCCAGATGGTACCTTGTGGCTGGGCCCTCACGCGGCAGGAGGTGAAAAGGTAAAAAGGCAAACCCAGGCCCTCAGCCCTTCCTTAAGGGCACTGATCCCACTGTGAAGGCTCTGCCCTTGTGACTTAGCCACGTCCTTCAGGCCCCACCTCTCAATACTATCACCTTGGCCATTAAGTGTGAACATATGAATTTGAAGGTACACTTTCAGACCACAGCATTCAGAACGCAACACAGGTTTCCAAATGAAAAGAGCTAGCACAGAGATAAAAACGAACCTACATCATATTGTCCTGCAATTTCAGAAAGCCAAAAATGAAGAAAAGACCCTGAATGCTTCAAGATAATAAAGAAAAAAGAAGTGTATCGCTTGAGGATGGGGGACGAGATTGCGATTGAGCTTCTCTAGAACAACATAGGAGGCAAGCGGAAAATGAAACAGTGTTTTCAAAATTCAGAGAGAGCTTTAAATCCAAAATATATTCTATAACCAGAGAAACTGTTAGTCAAGTAAAATGTGAAGAGAAATCCTTATTTCCTATACACTCATTCTCCTGGAGGAATTAAACAAACAAACAAAAAAGTGTGATCCAGGAAACAGCACTGCAGTGCAGGTGAGAGGTGAAAAGAGTGTTCGGGATTAAGGTGAAGACGGAGCTCAGATGCTGCACACCTGTACTGCATGCCCATATAATACACCTACACAGCACACCTGCACAATATACCTGCATACCACCCCTATACAGCACACCTGTACAATACACCTGCATGGCACACCTACATAATATACCCCCACAATACACTTTCACAGCACACATGCATAATACACCTGCATAGAACACCAGCACAGTACACCCACACAGCACACCACTCAGCATTCTTAGTTTAAAAATAAGTTTTACTTTAAAGGTAATAGTACACACATAAATTGATGTTAAAATCGACAGTAACAAAGAGAAGTAACAATACTAATAGCCTGTCACAAACTGATTCTTAATAACCTATATAAACAAACATTAAGCCCGGGCGCCGGGTGGCTCATGCCTGTTATCCCAGCACTTTGGGAAGCCGAGGCAGGCAGATCACTTGAGGCCAGGAGTTCCAGACCAGCCTGACCAACATGGTGAAGCCCAGTCTCTACCAAAAATACAAAAAATTAGCCGGGTATATTGGCACGCACCTGTAATCCCAGCTACTTGGGAGGCTGAGGCAGGAGAATCCTTGAACCCAGGAAGCAGAGGTCGCAGTGAGCCGAGATCATGCCATTGTGACAGGAGAGAAACTGTTTCAAAAAAAAATTATATGTTTACAACAGGTGCATTCCTCCTCTTGCTTTCTGAGGACGCCCTGCTATGTAGCTGAGTAGTTGCTAATAAACTATCTTAACTTCACTATACTCTGTGACTTGCCAAAAGGTCTTTCCCATGTGAAATCCAAAAACCTGTTCTTGGGGTCTAGGACAAGACCCATTTTATAATGACAAAACTATACAAATTCTAGAGGAAAACATGGAAAGAAAGCTATGTGACCTTGGGTTTGGCCATGAGTTTTAACACGACACTATCAGAGGCATTTGAACCCCTCCTCTATATGAACTCCAGGGTGGTTTATGTTCCACTGGCTAAGAGAAAGTTTTCTTCAAAAATGTGACATGATTTGAGGTCAAACATTAATATCAAGTAAACTCAAAAGATTGAGAAGCTAGCATTAGTTCTGGGAAAACCAGAAGTGTGCCTTTTTTTGGAAATAATCATTGGTAGCACAAACTTAAGAATCTCCAAAGGAAATAAAAATGAGTTATTAACTTACAGTTTTCACCAATTAAGATATAAATGAAGCTAATGAAATCCGGAAATACAATTTCACTGTTTTTAATGTTCATTTAAAAAAAAAAATCCTTATCAAATAGCCCCAGTAAGTCACCAATTAAGTCTTTACTACTTAAAAGCAAAATCCACCTATGTCCTGAACACTATCCACTTTACAAGCCTCATTATATGTACTGGAGACAAAATTCAGAAATAAATAAATATATATGTACATATATACAAATATATTTCAAATTAAAAAATACTTTTAGAGAGTGGTATGTATTACATTTAGAAATTAATAACGAAGTAAATTATGGGATGTCATCCACGCCTGTCCCAAAGGTACCGAATTTATAAATCATCTCAGGTGCGGAGCAGGACAGGTTGAAAATAGGAATGACATGAACCCGCGCGGAACAGCTGCCGGCGCGGTGTCCAGGGCGGCACCCCGCCCGGTCCCGGCCCCTCCAGCCCTGGGCCCGACCCCTACTACGCCTCTGCCTCGACGCGAACGCGGAGCCCGAGCGCGCGTCACGCCGTGTGGGGCCGAAGAGGCTGCTACCCAGAGGCGGAGTGCGGGCTCGCGAGGGTCCCCACCCGACTCTCGCTCCCGCCAGCACCTACGGACTCGCGTCCCCGCCGCGCGCCGACTCGGGAGCAGCACCGCCCCCGGCACAGGAGCCTCACGCGCCTCTTACCTAACAGGAAGTTGGGTGGAAGCAGCGCGGACCCACGGCGCACCGAACGCACTCCAACAGAACCCGACGCAGACACGCGCTTTCAACCGGCGGAGACACTGGCAGGGCCAGAAACGCGCGCAGCGGGGGCGGGAGGTCGGTAAGCTCCCCGCCCCTGCCCGAGACCCCGCCCCGGCCCGGCCCGGCCCCGCCTTTTTCTCTGCCTCCCCTCCCTGCACGTACGCGCCCCGCCCCTCGCGCGACGTTTTTTGTTGACCCGGAAACGGATTATCCGGAGCCAAGGTCCGCTCGGGTGAGTGCCCTCCGCTTTTTGTGGCCAAACCCAGCCACGCAGTCCCCTCCCTGCGGCGTCCTCCACACCCGGGGTCTGCTGGTCTCCGCGGATGTCACAGGCTCGGCAACCGCCCTCCTGTCGGCGGGGAGTCCCGCGACGCCCGGAAATGCTCCGAAGCCTGTCGCTCAGCTGCCAGATCTGCGTCTGTGTCCGGTTCCGTCACTGAGGTCGCCCCTGTCCGGCCCTTCCACCCTAGTTCTCTTCACCGTCCGCCCATCCTATCGCGCGCGGCCTCAGGTCCCCATTCGGCATGTGGCTTGTCTTCCATCGTCCCCACCCTCGCCCCTCTTGGCCCCTCAGGGCAGCCCTGGGATTCGGCAGACGCCAGTCCTCCCTGAGATGCTTCCCCGTCCTTCCCTCCGCCAGGCCCTACGTCTCCGCAAACCCCACGCTTCGGGGTGGCCGCCTCAGACAGGACCCTGAGTCCGAGACTGGGGTAGGGGACCTGCCCGATCCTGTAACAACCCTCGTGCTTCTGCACAATCGCCTCCCACTAGCGGTGACTGTTGGGTGTCTACCTTCCCGGTGTCCCACTGAGAAGCGGGCTCCTCCTTGGCAGGGGCTTCTTCATTGCCTCGCTGTGGATGTCGAGGTGGGGCAGGAGAGTGAGGAGAAAACAGAGAGGAGGGAGGTAGAGCCAACGAGCGAGAAAAGGGGAGGGAAGTTTAGATGGGAAGTGGATGGGTCTGAGGAATTTGAACAAACACCGACAGTGAAGGAGAGTGACCTGAGCAAGCAGTAGTGGGGTAAATGGAAATAGACAAAATGGGAATCAGCAGAGATATGGAGGACAGAATACAATGAGGAGGCCTTGACCGTCAGTAGCAGAGAGGGCAGCAGAAGCCTAATTCCCAAATTCCTTAGTGGTTTTCTGATTTCCAAATTAGTTTCCCTTTTAAATTTATTGTGTCAGGTTCAGCTTATGAGGCCTCAATACTTTTCAGTCTTAATTGTATATTGAAAATACTTTTTGTTTACTAAATGCTTTTTACATTAATTCAGTGTGCACTCCGTAAGGATATTGATGATTTGAGTTAGTTTAGTATTCAACAGCTTCCTCTATTCCTTTGTATGATCTCTGTATTTAATGGCTGTGGCATAAAGTTTCCAACTAAGTATAAGTATCAAGTTTTCTTTGTGATGTTTTCTGCAAATATTGAAGGATGACCTGGATTGTCCTAGAACTTTGTTCCAACAGATTACATGTGTTCATAACGAATAAATTGCTCAAAGATATTTCCAAAGCTCACCTTTTATGTTTTTCAGTTCCAATAATTACATCTTTTTAAGGTTTATATTTTTTGATGACTTAATGTGATGTTCTGGAGAAGACAAATGCTTTTAATCAATATGATTAAAACCGTGAAAGACAAATCGCTGTTACTTAAGAGTGTGACATATGATCTGAAGTCTTTAGGGGGCAGGGATGTTAAGGGAAAACTGCCGCTATCGTATCAAGGTCATGCCATTCCTGTGAAGCTGGTGCTGGTTACTCTCTACTGGCTTCTGTTCACCTTTCCACCGGCCCCAAGACACACACATACTGACACAAGGCAGTGGATAGGGAAAGAGCAAGACTTTATAAAGTAAGCACAGAACAAAGGTATCTTTCTAATGAGGAGGAGGTGTTGGTTCTGGGAAGGAAGCTTGGTTTTTGGGTATTCAGGATCCAGAAGTGAGAGAGCCTGGGAAGTTCAGGAACCAGAGAAAGAAAAAGACTTGCCCATTCTCACCCATGACCCTGTGCTCAGCAGGTACTAGCAGAGACTTCAGGCTCTGTGACTAAAAGGGGTCAGACCAGTTGATATACCCACAGCTGCCATGTAAGGATGTGTGTGGACTTCACTAGGGAAGAACGGTGTTATGAAAGAAGGGGCAGAAAAACTCACCTGTTGGTCTCCATGTAGACGTTTATTGTCCTGAATTCCTGGAGGTTCAGTGAAAAGCAGAAGATTGTCTTTTACACATGTTGAGTTATGCCCCCATATATGTGGTTGTGGTAAAGAAAGAGGATGTGTTGATGAGAGGTCCTGAAATGCATTTTCCTAATACTCAGCAGGGGCTTCTCAAGAAGGATCTTCCCTAAGAAAGAAGCTCAGAGAACAAAAATGGAAAAGGATTAGATATGGCACTTTCACTGGAAAAAGTCATGTTATTCATTGATTGTTTTGTCATCTCCCTCCTTAAGTGTTGTTTTTAGGATGTGGTAATCTCTGACCCTGCCTAACACATTTCCCAACTCACCCATAGCCTTCCCTTAACGTCCTCCCATCTTCACACTATCACACTGTGACCCAGTGAATTCGAACTTGTGAAGTTCCATTCGGGGGATCATATGGGAAGGGCTTCACACCCAGACATAGATTATAGATGGGAAGTGGGCCACATGGTGTCAGTGAGGCAAGTATGGATCGTTTAGGGACAATGCACTGTCAGATCTTTGTTGACCATGATTAGAGAAACTGTGCATATTAGTAGTGAATTAATGTCAGGAATACCTGACAAATCCTGGAAAAGAAGATTGATGAGAGGAAATGTGTTCTGCCCAACTGTATAATGCATTTGAAGCTTAAAACAATGAATCAGTATTGATCTGGTCACAAATTATTAATGATTTGAATTAAAAAGAAAAGTTTAGAAAATGATAGCTTTGACAAATTAAGGTAGCATTTCATCCACACGATGGAGTGTGTTTTATTCAGTAATTGATTTAAAAATGGAATCAACCTAAGTGTCTAACAGGAGGGAGTTTTATAAATTGTTCACAGAGCATCTGTTCCAAGGAGACCTTGATGTTCATAGATTTGTAAAGAATGCTGCTTACTAGCACACTGACTCCTCTGCAAATGTCTGAGGGTTCCTCCACTTGGGGCAAGTTGGGGGTTTGATCGCAGAGTAAATAAATGGTGCATTTTATAATGTAATATATTCTAGCAAGATGCAGCCCACAAACTGTATAGATACTCTTATGTACCACGTAAAGTACATCTACTACTTTAACCAGAACTTGATACTGTATGTATGTTTTTTTTTAGATTTGGATAAAATGACAACTCATTGTTATTTCCAGTTCACAAAGTAATTGTGAGGCTGAATAAATTTTATTATTTTATAGACATATATGTAAAATGAATTTTTCTATGAAACTCATTTTTGATGTATATTAGATGCTATTTTATATTCTGTAGTTTA
This sequence comes from Homo sapiens, assembly GCF_000001405.40. NCBI lineage: Eukaryota > Metazoa > Chordata > Mammalia > Primates > Hominidae > Homo > Homo sapiens. The sequence continues at coordinate 824,249 of NC_000001.11, read as the reverse complement.
AATATATGTACGCACACACAAACACACACTTCGGTGTCTTATTATGTTTCTGCAGTGAAACCAAAATCCTTCCTTCACGCCCTTTGATTTTATGTTTTCCTCAGGAAGGCAGGAGCTATTGTATATGATAAAATATTATGTTTTATTCAGTCCACTTATGAAATTGTTTAACATTGTTATAAATATTTATATAACTTATTTTAAATTTCCAAATAACATAGGTTACATGAAATTTGACAACTTTATTTTTTTCTTTTCACAACTATTTTGACTGTATACTCACCAAAAATCAAAATTTAGACAAAATTGACTTTTAGACTAATTCTCATTTTTTACATGTAAAAGACCACATGGGACTTTTAAGTCTAGGTTGCCCTGAGTCTACAGTCACTGAGGTTTTATGTCACTATGTCCTCCATTCTAATAATATGATTTTCAGGCTTTATTCATGTCATTTTTATATCCTCATTGAGTTTTAAAATTTATTTACATGGGTCTACAAATTTATTTCAAATCGTAGTCATAATATTTGGCTGTTGTAAATAGACACTGATTTTGTGTGTTTGCTTTTTTTAAGGACTAATGTTGCTGGACAGGCAGGTATTAGAGACAGGGTGGATCTGCTGGACAGGCAGGTAGTATAGACAGGGTGGATCTGCTGGCCAGCCAGGTAGTATAGATAGCGTGGATCTACTGGCCAGGCAGGTAGTGTAGACAGGGTGGATCTGCTGGGCAGGCAGGTAGTGTAGACAGGGTGGACCTGCTGGACAAGCAGGCAGTGTAGACAGAGTGGATCTGCCGGCCAGGCAGGTAGTGTAGATAGCATGGATCTACTGGCCAGGCAGGTAGTGTAGACAGGGTGGATCTGTTGGGTAGGCAGGTAGTGTAGACAGGATGGATCTGCTGGACAGGCAGGTAGTATAGACAGAGTGGATCTGCTGGACAGGCCGGTAGTATAGACAGGGCGGATGTGCTGGCCAGGCAGGTAGTATAGAAAGGGCGGGTCTGCTGGACAGGCAGGTAGTGTAGACAGGGTGGATCTGCTGGGCAGGCAGGTAGTGTAGACAAGGTGGACCTGCAGGATAGGCAGGTAGTATAGACAGGGTGCATCTGCTCGACAGTTAGGTAGTATAGACAGGGTGGATCTGCTGGACAGGCAGGTAGTGTAGATAGTGTGGATCTACTGGCCAGGTAGGTAGTGTAGACAGGGTGGACCTGCTTGACAGGCAGGTAGTATAGACAGAGTGGATCTGCTGGCCATACAGGTAGAGTAGATAGCGTGAATCTACTGGCCAGGCAGGTAGTATGGACAGGGTGGATCTGCTGGGCAGGCAGGTAGTGTAGACAGGGTGGATCTGCTGGCCAGGCAGGTAGTACAGACAGGGCGGATCTGCTGGGCAGGCAGGTAGTGTAGATAGGGTGGACCTGCTGGGCAAGCAGGTAGTGTAGACAGGGTGGATCTGCTCGCCAGGCAGGTAGTGTAGATAGCGTGGATCTGCTGGCCAGGCAGTTAGTATAGACAGGGTGGATCTGCTGAGCAGGCAGGTAGTGTAGACAGGGTAGATCTGCTGGATAGGCAGGTAGTATAGACAGGGTGGATCTGCTGGACAGGCAGGTAGTGTAGATAGGGTGGACATGCTGGACAGGCAGCTAGTGTAGACAGGGTGGATCTGCTGGACAAGCAGGTAGTGTAGACATGGCGCATCTTCTGGGCAGGCAGGTAGTGTAGACAGGGTGGATCTGCTGGCCAGTCAGGTAGTATAGACAGGGTGGATCTGCTGGCCAGGCAGGTAGTATAGACAGGGTGGATCTGCTGGCCAGGGAGGTAGTATAGACAGGGTGGGTCTACTGGACAGGGAGGTAGTATAGACAGCGTGGATCTGCTAGCCAGGCAGGTAGTGTAGATAGCGTGCATTACTGGCAAGGAAGGTAGTGTAGACAGGGTGGATCTTCTGGCCAGGCAGGTAGTGTAGACAGGGTGGATCTACTCGGCAGGGAGGTAGTGTAGACAGGGTGGACCTGCTGGATGGGCAGGTAGTATAGACAGGGTGGATCTGCTAGACAGGCAGGTAGTATAGACAGGGTGGATCTGCTGGATAGGCAGGTAGTGTAGACAGGGTGGATCTGCTGGACAGCCAGGTAGTGTAGACAGAGTGGATTTGCTGGACAGGCAGGTAGTGTAGACAGGGTGGACCTGCTGGACAAGCAGGTAGAGTAGACAGGGTGGATCTGCTCGCTAGGTAGGTAGTGAAGACAGGGTGGATCTGCTGGGCAGGTAGGTAGTGTAGACAGGGTAGATATGCTGGATAGGCAGGTAGTATAGACAGGGTGGATCTTCTGGAGAGGCAGGTAGTGTAGACAGGGTGGACCTGCTGGACAAGCATGTAGTGTAGACAGGGTGGATCTGGTAAGTCAGGTAGTGTAGATAGCGTGGATCTGCTGGCCAGGCAGGTAGAGTAGAGAGGGTCAATCTGCCGGACAGGAAGGTAGTAAAGAGAGGGTGGATCAGTTGGATAGGCAGGTAGTGGAGATAGCATGGATCTACTGGCCAGGCAGGTAGTGTAGACAGCTTGGATCTGCTGGCAGGCACGTAGTGTAGACAGGGTGGACCTGCTGGACAAGCAGTTAGTGTAGACTGGGTGAATCTGCTGGCCAGGGAGGTAGTGTAGATACCGTGGATCTACTGGCCAGGCAGGTAGTGTAGACAGTGTGGATCTTCTGGGCAAGCAGGTAGTGTAGACAGCGTGGACCTGCTGGATAGGCAGGTAGTATAGACAGGGTGGATTGGCTCGAAAGGCAGGTAGTATAGACAGGGTGGCTCTGCTGGACAGGAAGGGAATGTAGATAGCGTGGATCTACTGGCCAGGCAAGTAGTATAGACAGGGTGGATCTGCTGGGCAGGCAGTTAGTGTAGACAGAGTGGATCTGCTGGACAGGCAAGTAGTGTAGACAGTGTGGATCTGCTGGACAGGCAGGTAGTGTAGATAGCGTGGATCTGCTGGCCAGGTACGGAGTATAGACAGGGTGGATCTGCTGGACAGGCAGGTAGTGTAGACAGGGCAGATCTGCTCGACAAGCAGGTAGTGTAGACAGGGCGGATCAGCTGGGCACGCAGGTAGTGTAGACAGGGTGGACCTGCTGGACAGGCAGGTAGTATAGACAGGGTGGATCTGCTCGACAGGCAGGTAGTATAGACAGGTTGGATCTGCTGGACAGGAAGGTAGTGTAGATAGCGTGGATCTACTGGCCAGCCAGGTAGTGTAGACAGGGTGGATCTGCTTTGCAGGCAGGTAGTGTAGACAGGGTGGACCTGCTGGACAAGCAGGTAGTGTAGACAGGGTGGATCTGCTGGCCAGGCAGGCAGTGTAGACATGGTGGACCTGCTGGACAAGCAGGTAGTGAAGACAGGATGCATCTACTGGCCAGGCAGGTAGTATAGACAGGGTGGATCTGCTGGGGAGGCTGGTAGTGTAGACAGGGTAGTTCTGCTGTATAGGCAGGTAATATAGACAGGGTGGATCTTTTGGACAGGCAGGTAGTGTAGACAGGGTGGATCTGCTGGACAGTCAGGTAGTGTAGATAGGGTGCACCTGCTGGACAGGCAGGTAGTGTAGACAGTGTGGACCTGCTGGACAAGCAGGTAGTGTTGACAGGGTGGATCTGCTGGCCAGGCAGGTAGTGTAGATAGCGTGGATCTACTGGCCAGGCAGGTAGTGTAGACAGGGCGGATCTGCTGGGCTGGGAGGTAGTGTAGACAGGGCGGATATGCTGGCCAGGCAGGTAGTGTAGATAGGGTGGATATACTGACCAGGCAGGTAGTGTAGACAGGGCGGGTCTGCTGGACAGGCAGGTAGTGTAGACAGGGTGGATCTGCTGGAGCGGCAGGTAGTATAGACAGGGCGGATCTGCTGGCCAGGCAGGTAGTGTAGACAGGGTGGATCTGCTGGACAGGCAGGTAGTATAGACAGGGTGGTTCTGCTGGACAGGCAGGTAGTATAGACAGGGTGGTTCTGCTGGACAAGCAGGTATTGTAGATAGGGCAGATCTACTGGAAAAGCAGGTAGTGTAGACAGGGTGGATATGCTGGCCAGGCAGGTAGTGTAGACGGGGTGGATCTGCTGGAAAAGCAGGTAGTGTAGACAGTGTGGATCTGCTGGAAAAGCAGGTAGTGTAGACAGTGTTGATCTGCTGGACAGGCAGGTAGTGTAGACAGGGTGGATCTGCTGGAAAAGCAGGTAGTGTAGATAGGGTGGATCTGCTGGCCACGCAGGTAGTCTAGACAGGGTGGATCTCCTGGAAAAGCAGGTAGTATAGACAGGGTGGATCTGCTCGACAGAGGGAGGTGTCACACCCCAGGTGGGGCTGAGTGGGACGGCATGAGACTTCATCAAGCTACTCAGAATGAAACATGATTTAACACGTGTGTATTGTTTATTTCTGGAATTTTTCATTTAATGTTTTTGGACCATGACTGACTGAGAGTAACTGAAACCTTAGAAGGCAAAACAGTGGATAAGAGTGACTTGCCGACCTGAACAGTTTGCTCTTAGAAACTTTGTGTGGTTGGTTGTCTGATCTGTGACTTCCTTTAATTCACTTCTCTGAGTTCCTTAAAGGTAGGAATCATGTTTTATTCCTCTCACAGCCATATTTCCTTAAAAACTAGTTGGTGAACCGTGGAAAATCTAGATTGCTCAGGCCGCCTTCTGCCAACAGAAATAACGTTGCCTTTCAGCGGTGGTTTGCTTTTCTGAAATTTTCGGTCATCACACCCTTTAGAAGGAACAACTTTAGAGAATAAGACTGGCCGGTATGCAACTCCCAGAATTTTCTCAGGAATGTTTCAAAAATCTATTGTTATTCTGGATACTGGTGAACAGATGCGCGAACGGCTCAGGCTCTGCCACTGGCCTTCTCCATGACTGTGTTTGTAGGGACAAAGCATGGTAGCAAACAACTTCAAAAAACCTCTGTGGCTTGAAAACACAAAGTTTAATCACTTGTCCATGCTTCTCTTCCACTGCAGGCTGGGGGTAGCTCCTGTATCCTCAGGCCCAGGTGAGATAATTTTCCCATCCTGAGCACTGCCAGGCTCATGGCAGAGGGGAGGGTGCAGGAACGTTGTGCGGCTTTTAAAGTTTCTGCCAATAAGGGGCAGAGTCACTTCCATTCCGTTCCATTGGCTGGGCCTGACCACGGGACAAGTAGCAGAACCTTTCCATCCAGGAGAAACAGAGAGTGTCTGGAGGAAGAATACACACTGTCCCCAACTCCCAGAGTTAATGCTGTGAATTCATCAACAGGATGATACACTTGCCTCACTGGCTTTTTGTTCCAATAGACAGAATCATAGAGTCTTGTTGTGCTGAGAGCCTTGTAGGTCACGCAGTCCAGGGATGCAAAATTAGAAGACAATGACGAGGTGCAAACCTGAGAGTGGAGGCGAATGGAGTCCGGAGGGCGGGGACTGCAGGCCGAGCACACACCCCACCGGGGAGCAGCCATCTCAGCTGCAGCCGACGTTGCCCTAGAGAGATGAATGCAGGCCCAATGTTGGCAGCTATTCCAATGTGAAAGAAACTAAAAATCCAGACTTTTATGTAACAATATTCTAATATTTACAACATTAATCAGCTGGGGGAAAAAGTGTCCACAGAACTTTTGCAGCCTGTGAGCCACCCATTTCTACCCAAATTCAGCCCAAACCTCTAACTGCACAAGCTCACACAAATAGAGAAAGCCAGGAAAAGTATCCAGAACTCCACATGCACTTCACTACTCACAGGGGCCTCCAGCCCTGGTAAGCATGGGAACCACACATGTAAACACTGAGGTGCCCTGCCACGCCAGTGAAGTGCATGCTGCTCGTGTGTGACCCATTTTTAACCCCTAAAGGCATAAAACACGAATACTGTGAATTCAGTTAATAAGTTGAATTTACACCAGTCCTTCCTGATACAGCCGAATCAGATCTTTCCCATTATTCACTCCTCAGTATATCACCCCTTCTGTTGAACAGAAATAAGTAAATATTTAAAATTTCTTACCCAGGGGTCAGCAGATTATGATCCAGAGGCCAAGCCCAGCCCGTCTGCTTTTGTGTATAAAGTTCTCATGGAACAGAGCTGTGAGCCTGCCGTGTGTGGTCTACGGCTGCCCCTGGACACAGCTGCAGAGCTGATTCCCGCACAGACCTCGGGGCCCACAGAGGGAGGCGCCTTCCCGCCATCATCCCCACTGAGCACCAGCCGCCGCAGCCGCTAAAACCTGCGGAACTCACTCCATGCCCCTTGTTGGCTTTCTTCACATAAAGTGGATAAAACTGGGTGTTTACAGCCTAAAGCAGCCCATGCCAAGGCAGTCCTCAGGGACTGAGCCTTAGTCACAGTCCTTGTGACTACAGCACGTCCATAGATGAGAGCTGGCCGAGGGATCCGTGTGCCTCCAGCTTCTCGGAGCTGGAAAGAATCCATACTGGAAAAGTGTTCCTTCAGTGCTCCTCCTTCTGGGAAAAAAAGACGGGGAGCTACATCAACCTTAAGGGTTAATGTTGCTTGAATGTAAGCATAATAAATATTCAGCATGTCTCCTAAGACCTGGAGTATCATCAGAGACCAAGCTTGGAAAACCACAAAGAATGACGCCCAGTTTCTAAGAGTCATTCCGTGCTTTACAATCAGCCCACAACCACCGAGTCCCAGGAAGCCCAGCCGAGACCGCGGCAGGTCCTGACGCAGCATCAGCCTGAGTCTGAGCCCAGAGGAAGCTTCTGCTGCCACAATTGCTGCGTGTGCTCATGGCTTGGGTGCAGGCCCAACCACAGCGGACCAAGGGCAGGCTGAGATTTGGCCTGGACTGGAGGGCTGTCTCAAGGAGGGTGACGTGTCTTTGACTTTTGCATTCTTCCCTTTTCCTTTCTATTCTCTTGGTGACGTGAACACAGACAGAAAGTGAACGTTTTTTGCATAAGTTCCCTGTAGATTCTGGATATTAGGCCTTTGTCAGATGCATAGTTTGCAAATAGTTTCTCTCATTCAGTAGGTTGTCTGTATTCTCTGTCAAACGTTTCTCTTGCTGTGCAGAAGCTCTTTCATTTAGTTAAATTCTACTTGCCAATTTTGTTTTGTTGCAATCGTTTTTGGGAACTTAGCCAAAAATTCTTTGCCAAGGCCAACGTCAAGAAGAGTATTTCCTAGGTTATCTTCCAGGATCTTACAGTTTGAGGTCTTACATTGAAATCTTTAATATATTTTGAGTTAATTTTTGTATATGGTGAAAGGTAGGGGTCTGGCTTCAGTCTTCTGTATGTGGCTAGCCAGTTATTCCAACACCATATATTGAATAGTATGGTCTTTTTCCACTGCTGCTTTTGCTGGCCTTGTCAAAGATTGGATGGTTGTAGGTGTGTGGCTTTATTTCTGAGTTTTCTGTTCTGTTCATTGGTCTATGAGTCTGTTTTTGTACCAGTACAGAAGCTGTTTTGGTTACTGGGGCTGTATAGTATAGTTTGAAGTTGAGTAGTGTGATGCCTCTGGCTTTGTTCTTTTTGCTTAGGATTGCTTTGGCTATTTGGGCTCTCTTTTCATTCCATATGAATTTTAGGATAGTTTCTTCTTGTTCTTAAATGCATTTTATAATTAACTTGTTTAGCTCTAAGAAAAAAACTTGATTTTGTATTGGAATAGCATTAAATTTAATATTTTTAAAAAATGTTTCATCTACTTCTAACTTACTGCAAAGAGTTTTATAAAGTTGCCTGTAATGATTTTTTAATGTTTTTCTTCATTTTTATAAAGGAAACATCCTTGTAACCACACCCAGGTCAAGGAATAGAACTTTATCAATCATCCCAGAAGCGCCCACCACATGTCCCATTTCTATTATAACCTACTTCCTCTCCCCAAAAATAACCACTTCCCAAACTCTTATGGTAATCATTTCCCTAATCTTTATAGTTTTATCACCAAGTGTATATCCCTAGACACTATAGTTTAGTGTTGTTTTATTCTTAAAATTTGATATGTTTTTAAAGTCTCTTTTAATCTACACGTTTTTCTCTCTATCTCTTTCTTTTCCTTATCTTTTACAATGTTTAAATTTTCTTCTGTTAGCACTTGTAACTTTCTTATTTTTTTTTTTTTCTAATCAGATACCTAGTGGTTTGTTTTGGTTGATTATTTTCTCTTGAGAGCCAGCTTTTGGATTTACTTCTTAGTTCTATTCTTTTTCTACTTAATAATATCTGCTTTTATTTGTAATAATTCACCCCTTTCTTTTGGTTCACTTATTCTTTTTCTGGCTTTTTCAGTTATATGTTTAAATAATTTATTTTTATTATTTAAATTTGTATTGATATAGGTATTTAATGCTATAAAGTTTCCTGTGACAGTTACTTTTTTTCTGAGTCCTATAAATTCTCTATATATTTTCCCAGCCTTTTATAGCTGTATATCTTATATGCAGTATGGTGTTTGATTTTGCTTTGTGAGCCAATCCAAGACTGTTTTCCATTTAATAGGTGAGCCAAGTCCATTTTTTACATCACAGATAACAGGGAACCACCTTGTTCTATTTTATTTGCTTTTACCCTTTTGGTATTTAAGAGGGCTTTCTTCCTCTTTTTTTTCCACTTTTATCCTAATGCCTTTATAGCAAACACTTAGTTTCTTTGGTTGGCTCCCCATAGTACCTGATACTGCAGTTAGCTGATGGACACCCCAGTCCCAGTTGGCCCCTGCACATCTTCTGCCCGCCCCTACCACTTCTCTGGTGGTTGTTCTTTGTCTGCATTGTCCAAGCTGGTAACCATGGCATGCTGCACTTTTATCACCGTCATGTGCCAGCAGCTCCACAGATAAATACAGACCACCTGCAGCTCACCTTTGCATCTGCCTCTAGTCATTTTGGTTTCCGGAGCTTATTCTTTAGTGGGTCATCCCTCAGCTCCTGGTCACCGTACTTCCTGTGTTTGTGTGTACTCATAAAAAATATGTGTGACTTTTACCCTTGATAGTCACTATTTAGATGTTAAATCTTTGGCTTATATTTTTTCCCTTAAATATCTTAAATATGTTACTGAACCTATTCTATTCTGGACCTGTAATCCCTACTACAAAGCCACTCACGAGTCCAGTTTTCATCATTTCTGATTTTACAGACATGCATTCTTAAGGGGGAGGAATTTATAGAACTGGAAGCCATGTTAATATCCTAGTCATGAGGTGGCTGAGATTTAGTCTGTCCAGGTAAGATGGTGCAGGTAGGGAGTGTGGTGGTCCAAGTGGCACGCGCAGGAAGTCACAGAATGTGGGAGGCATTGTTTTGTGTACCCTGTGCACAGAGTGTCTGATGCCCTTTGATAGGTTTGCGGCCTCATCTGGTGGACTTTCTGGCACAGCCCTTCCTCAAGGTTGCTGCATCTGAAGCTCTTTAAGACGGCGTTTCCCTTCTGCCAGATTGCACTCTGTGCACAGTGCAGTTGCTTCTCCCTGCGGAGTGAGATGGGCCCACATTGGCTGTGGCTCCACCTGGCCTTGGTGCTCTTGCCGCCCTCTGCTCTGCTGCTCCTTCATGTAATAAGGGTGTGTTAAGAGTCCGTAAGTGTGTCGTGTTAGATGTTTAGGAAGGAAATGTTAATTCTGAAAATAGGTTTCACATCTTTTTTTTAACTTATATAAAATTGACTGGACTTTCTCTTCTGGATTATCTTCTTATAATTAGAGACTAATAACACACTGATACGAAGTAGCTTTATATCAGGAAAATGGATAAACGTAAACATTTGCCTACCAGGAGAAAATAATACGACCTGATTGGAAAATGTACAGATAAAAAGCTAAGTTTAGTAGGTAGCCATTGATGAACACAGTGTGACTTAAGACAACAACTGGGGATTGTTAGAGCAGAGATTGTAGCTCCCTTCTGGGGAGGAGCTGACCAAAATGTCGTCCAGCTCCTGCTTGACAGAAGAGGTGCAGCCAAATTGATCGAAAGGAAATGTCAGAGGAGGCCAGGGTGGGAATTATCAGCAACTGTGTCTGAGGATTTGTTCCACTTTGTTTTGGTTTTGGTGAAATTATCACAGTCTGCATGTTATATGACCTTGGCACTTAGAGTCATGGCAACTTGTTGCATTTATGCGAGATTTTTTCTCCCTAAAGTCTCTTCTGTTTGATAGCATATATGTACCTTTCATAATCAATATCAAACTGAAGTAGCTTGAAAAGATAGATAATTTTATTCATTTTCTGGGATTCCATAACCACAAACTCGGTGGCTTAAAACCACAGAAATGTATGTCCTCACAATTCTGGAGGCCAGAAATCCAAAATCAAGGGCTCGGCAGGGTTGCTTCCTACTGGCAACTCAGGGAAGTTGAGTTTATGAGTATGTATTATTTTTTATTATGTGTAGTGTAGTACTTTAATAATTATTAAAAATTAAATCATTCACAAATGTTGGTCATTTTTCTTACTGGTAACAAAAGTTTTGTGACATATCTTACAGCAATATAGTTAAGAACTGATGCCCTTGATTAGCAATTTTAAAAACTGGAGGCTTATCCTAGCCTGTCTTATTTTCCTAGACTTGTGTGGAAATGATTTGAAGATGATGGCCCATAACAGCACATTTCTGTAAAGCCTGTGCTTAGAACCCTAGAGTGGTCTGGGAGATGAAGATTAAGACCTTGTTATCCATCTCTTAAGGGAAATACCATCAGAGGAAAATGCAAATCTTATTATAGGTCATCACTAGAATGAGGATTGTAATTTATAGAAATTGGGGTTTAATTATGAGAAATAGTTCCGTTCTTGGCTCTCGTTTACTTCTATTTGGAGTTGTTTTGTTGATTCTTCTCTATTCTCTTCTCTTCCTTTTCTTGAATGGAAAGGAACTTGGAAAACTCATGCCCTGTCCTTGGGCTTGTCAGAGGAAACTTGGAATGTCATTGCCTTTTGGGCACATTTGCAAGCAAGGGGGTGACATATGCTGTGGTGCAGCCTGGGTGTGGGGAGTTAAGGGCTGTTAGCTCCATCATTCAGACATGTTTTAAGTTTATGGAAACTCTGTGTTTTATACAAGTGCGTTTGTGCCCTGTGTTTTCCGCTTGTGTTGTATAACGTTCTATTCTTTGTTTTTAACACTTCCCGCCCCCACCCCATCCCTCCGACATGCACCTCAGACAGCATGAACAAGACAAGCTGCTACTTCCTCTCCTCTCTTGCACACTGTTTATCTTTAATTGCAGCAAAATACACATAACATAAAATTGCCTTCCTAACCATTTTTAAATGTACAGTTCAGTGGTGTTAAGTACATTCACATTATTGTGCAACCATTACCACCATCCTTCTCTAGAACTTTTACATCTTCCCACACTGAAACTCTGTCCCCATTAAACGCTAACTTTTCATTCTCCAGCACCCCCAGACCTGGTAACTGGCTTTCTGTTTTCTGTCTGTATGATTTGACTTTTCTGAGTACCTCACATAAGTCAAATCAGACAGTATGTGTCCTTTTGTGACTGTCTTATCTCAGCGTAACGTCCTCAAGTTTCAGCCCTATTGTAGCATGTGTCAGCATTTCCTTTTTCAGACTGAATAATATTCCATATTGTGTATAGTGTACACCACATTTTGCTTATCTATTCATCCACTGATGGACATGTGGGTTGCTTCCATGTTTATCTGTTGCAAGTAATACTGCTATGAATGTGGGTATACAAGTATCTTTCATTCTCTGCTTTCAGTTCTTTTGAATATATACCCAGAAGTGGAATTGCTGGATCATATGGTAATTCTGTGTTTAATTTTTTGAAGAACCTCCATACTGTTTCCTATAGTAGCTATACCATCCTCCATTTCCACCAACATTGCACGAAGGATCCAGTTTCCCCACATCCATGTCAATACTTGTTAAACTTTCTTTTTTTTTTTTTAATTTGCCAGTAGCCTCATAATGAGCGTGAGGTAGTATCTCATTGTAGTGTTAATTTGCATTTACCTAACAATTCGTGATGTGGAGCATCTTTTCATGGGCTTGTTGGCTGCTGTGTCTCTTCTTTGGAGAAGTGTCTGTTGAAGTTGTTTGACATTTTTTAATCAAGTTGTTGGACAGGTTCCCTTGTTTTTAAGTCAGAGTAGGTGATGTTTGTCTTGAAGGTTATAAAAAGAGAACATGTTTGCTATGACATGTAGTTGATTGCTATGAAATGTAGTTGACACATGCAGAATAGAAAGATTTATAAATTAAATACTCCTTTATTAACATTTTAATGTGTCAAATTTAAATTTCAGAAGCATTCATCTTTCTTCTCTACTTGTACATTTTTGTTTACCTGACAGTGTAAAACCCACAACCAAAAAATAATGGCTTTTTCCCCATTTAAAATACTTTGTAAAAATAGTAGCCTAGTTGTCATTTGTGAGCCCAGGCTTGGTCCTCAAGTCTGACATAGACTCCCCAAGGCCCTAACGCTGAAGTTCTCTGAGCCCTACCACTGCCCAGGCAGGCCCAGGAAGTGTCCCAGCAGTGCCCAAGAAGGTCACCTCCACCTGTGGAATCCACAGTGTGGGTAGCCCCCAGGGAGCCACAGCCATGTAGACCCAGATTCACAGGAGGATGCGGTTACTGCAAGCATCTGAACCTGGCCCCACCACCTATGGGCAGAGTTGGTTCCAGCTCAGTGTGTCCATGGGATGTCTTTAGGTTCACCTTGCTTTTCTGTCCCACGCTCACATGTTGGAGCTAAGCTGCATGGAGTGTCGTTCTCCCTGTACATATGAGATTAGTCAGCAATCCTGTCTCCTTCCATATTCTGTCTTTATTTCTGCGACACTATTTCTGGAGAACATTGTATTTGTGCTTTTCCTTTGATATGTTTGTAATTTTCGTTAGAAAACCCTTTTAGATTCTAAAGCTTCTACATTCAGTATTTCAATCAATGATAACAAACTGGTGTAAGACTAAATATAAAATACAAACACATTTCCATAAATCAACACATTTCCATAAATTGCTGTTATAATGTCTGCCACAAAAAGTTCAGTTGTTTGTATGTTTTTCAAATGTGCTTTGCTTGTCTTGATGATTTACAACTGTTGGCACTGCTGTTTAAGTCTGTTCTGACAGTGAGAAAGTGACTCATTTGGCAAAGTCAGCTGTTTTTTACTAAAAGTGAATAGTGGTGAGTGGAAAGGGGCTTGTATACAATTTTCTTGTCAAAGAACGATGACCGGCAAATAAGCAATTTTAGTTCCTTGGATTTGAGCACCACTCTTGCATGCCTCCACCAACCAGCTTGTCTCCACAGAGCTTCCTTCCTCACTTTACACTGAAAATCTGTTATCAGTGTGTGGAAAATAAAAATTTTACACATCTTTAGTTTTGAGGATGTGGATTACTATTTACAGGTTTTTTTTTTCTGTAAGGAAGACATTTTTTTAAAAAGTAAAAGGTGTTCCCATTGTTTAGTTATTGCCTTATGATTTGATTTTCTTGTTTCACAAAGAACAGCTTTTAATTAAACGTATTTAAATAGTAAAAATATACATGTCACTTCACCTGGTTCCAGTTAAATGTGTTAACAGTGTATGTGGTTGGTGCTTAATAAAAACATGTTCAGTGCAGTAATAATTAACTTCAGTTAAACCCTTAAACATATAGGGAGTAAACAGAAATGTTGAGTGGTTACTCAGCATGGGGTAAGGGACACATCAAGTCATTGGTCAGTATTGGGTATCATCATGTTCTTACCATCTTTTTTCTGGAGTTTTAATAGTTGTTTTTTAAAAAAATCTCTGTTTTAATAAGCCATTTTGATGTTTGAAACTACCTTGGATAAGCATATCAAGACCCTTCAGAGATTCTAAAACATGTTCAGCACTTTCTGGTACAATATTCTCAAAGAACCAGGATACATCTTATTTCTCAAAATGAAACAAAAATGTATTAGACATTACCCCTGTGATTTCAAGCCCACAGTCTGTCACTTTGAAGTATTTGTATCCTTTTACAAAAGAAAAGCCAAATGAAGATCTCCCTGAAAAAATATTTTAATAGAATATGTCTTTATTTCAGTATCTTAAATAGTGAAGATGGAGAAATAGTCAATAATGAAGAGCATGAATATGCATCCAAAAAAAGGAAAAAGGACCATTTTAGAAATGACACAAATACTCAAAGTAAGATCATTCTCATTAATTTTATTTTACTTGTTGATTATGTTGAAATACTAAATTACTCTGACAATGCTATCTTATGAAATAAAAGGTGATACAAATATGTAAATAACAGCCCAGTATCCAGCATTGCCTACATATTTAGTGATCAAACTTTTTGCAGCCCAACGTTTCAGTGGGTAAGATGTGCAAAAACAAAATAAGAGATAGCAAAACCCACAAAACAGCCCATGAATCTGAATGCTTGAATTATGGTCATGAATTCAGCTCAATCTTGAGCAGTGAGGCCAAACTGAGAGGTGTCCTGACTTGAGTTTCGAAGTCACTGAAGATTCAGAGCAGGAGACAGACATTCAGAGCTGGAGTTTAGGATGTTAGATGGCAGCAGGGGAAGGCTGGAGGTGGGACCTATCTGTGAGAGGGCATAGCGTTCTATCATGCAGCATATCTGTGAGTTACCAAGACACATGTTAATGTATAGTAGGCTTCCTTACCTCAGGGGATAGACCTCCAGTGGATGCCTGAAACTGTGGATACTACCAAACCTTATGGATACTATGTTTTTTTTTCTGTATATACACACTTATAATAAAGTTTAATTTATAAATTAGGTGCAGTAAGAGATTAACGAGAATAATAATAAAATGAAACAGTTATAGCAAGATGGCCACCATCACTGCTCTTGCACTTTGGGGCTATTATGAAGTGCAATAAGGGTTCTTTAAACACAAGCACTGTGATATCTCAACAGGTGATCCGATAACCAAGACGGCTACTGAGTGACCAAGGGGCGGGTAGTGTAGGACTCGCTTGACAAAGGGAGGATTTGCATCCCAGGCAGGACAGAGCAGGACGGTGTGAGATTTCATGACACCACCCAGAATGGCACACAATTTAAAACTTATGAATGGTTTATTTCTGGAATTTTCCACTTAATGTTTTCAAACCAAAGCTGACTGTGGGTAATTGAAACTGTAGAAGATGAAACTGTGAATACGGGGGGACTACTTTATGAAGAAGATAGGGTCACATGGAGAATACAGTTAGTGTGATTCTTGAAACTTTTAAGATTTATCTGAAAAATTTGTTTCTATGGAGTACTATACACAGCAACAGAAGAATAGAACTTTTTATTAGGGTACATAGGAATGTAGTAATGTAATTGCATTTTATAATCATTTATGTCTTCATATGGCTTCAGTCATTAATAATACTAATTTTCTTCTAAGTTACTAGGACTTGGTACTGTCTGAAATCATTGTTCATATCTTAAACTGATTTAAGAAACAAAGCAATTCTGTTTGCATTCAACCAAGTAAAAGCATTTCTTGTCAATATAGTAAGTCAGATAATTTTGTTAATATGTCCAATTATTTAAATTCCTTTAAAATCTTCATTTTGAAATGATTTGCCAGATTTTAAAAACAAAGGTAATTTTTATTCTAGGTTTTTATCATGAAAAATGGATCTATGTCCATAAAGAAAGCACAAAAGAAGTAAGTATTCTATTATAAATAAGAGAGTATCTTGGATTGTTTCTGTTGAATATGGAGTCACATTAAATAAATGTATTAATAAAGTTGCATAAAACACATTTCTTTTGCAATATCAGATCTATGGTTCACATTCTGACAGATAATAGCATATGAGGAGCTTTTGAGGCAGTGATTCTCCATTGTGTGTGCTTGCATGTGCATGTGGTATGTGGCTGTGTATTTGTGCACACATTGGTGTGTGTTGTGTGTATGGTGTATGTGTGTTGTATGTATGGTGTGTATGTATGGTTGTGCATGTATTTATGCACACATTGGTCTGTGGGATGTATGGTGTGTGGTGGCATGTGGTATATGTGTACAGTGTGTGGTTCCTGCCTACCTGTACATATCTGAGTCAACAGCAGGGCTATTTAAACCAAGCATGGACTCCTGCAGTCATACGCATTTTCTCTGTGTTAGCATGAACCCCTGATGCTGATGGGAATGTGTCCTCCCTGTGGCGTGTTTTGGAGGGCAGGGCATCTGTGAGCCCTCTCATTCCACATAAAGAGTGGCTAACATGAAATTAGTAATTGGGTTGGGTTTGTGCAGAGCCATATGAACTCTTTCCCTGCCTTTCTTTTGCCAAGTTGGGCTAAAGCTTTTTCATGAGCCATAAAACAAACCAGAGAGCTTCAAGCTGTTTCCTGTTTCTTTACTAGGATCCGGGAAGTTGAGTTCCTTTTATAGTCCTAGAAACTCTGCATTTGCTTTATTTTGCAACAACTGGGGAAAATAATTTAGGGAATTACTGTCTATCGTCTGTTATTTCAGGGTAAGTTAAATATTCCAGAAATGTTTGTAGATGCTCTGAAACTAGTCCAGCTTCCAAGAAACTGAAGGATTAGATTCTGAGAAAGAAAACTTAATCTGTTTGGTTATGGTTAGTGGGTATAGAATGAATCAGATCCTTAATATACACTCGAATACACCATTAGACGATTATTTGACAGAATCTAACCTAGTTTGTAAAAAACAAAATTTAGTGCTCATGAAAGACCATTAAATATTTCATCTGCTCTGTTGCCATACTGATTACAGAACAGAGGATCCCATCCAAGCTAGCATATGCAGGAAAGGAGGATCTTATTGTGAGGCTGTGGGGATGTTCCCTGGAATCTTAGGAACCAGGACCTAACAAGGCTGAGAGGGACCAGAACTAGGACTGGGTGCTGGTGTCCCTGCACCACGTCATGTCTCCACACCCTCACCTGGTATAGAGCAAGTGCCTGCTGCTTGTCCATGCTGGCTGGTGTCTCACTGCTTCCGAGGTTACATGCTGTGGTTCTAGGTCCAGACATGCTCTTTGTGGTCTGCTCTGTGAATCAGATTTAATTTCCTTTTGTGAGATGGGTGGTGACCTTGGAAAGTGTCTGCTACACCATCGTGTGGAATATCAGCTGTGATGGATTTCAGATTATAATCTATATCAAAATGAGTGTTTCCTTTCCCCAGAGTTCCCAGGAAAATGTTTTCCACATAGCAGGCACTCAGTCAACATATTTGGATGTTTTAAATGAGTATATTTAGTTGAGTTGTGCACCCGTCAGGGCGATTGGGGTTGGCGCACAGAAGCACATGAGCCTCTGAGTGTATCGGCTGTTAGAGACAAAGGTGCTATGGCTCCAGCTGCTTTCTCTAGGACATCTCAAGTCACCTGTTTGGAATTTGAGACCAATCGTCTCATGTTTTCTATTATTGTTTTCTAGCTTACTTATCTCTACAACTTTGACCTGAAAATCTGTAGATTTTAAATATTTCAAATATGGAGGATGAAGATGGAGTTTAAAATGACTTCTGAAACCTAATGTGCTAATCTATACAAACCAATACAGGATAAGGGTATATCATGGAAGAAAAACATCTAAGAGAATAGCAGCAGTGTTTACAGTACTGAAAATAAATTGTTTCATTTTCTTCCTTCGGTTCTTGGACCTGTGGGTCTAAGCACCAGTTTTTTTGGTGTTTTGGGTTCTTGGCATCCGTGCTCCCAGCCTGAAAGCTGCCCGTGGTCACATCCAGCACTTGCCTTCAGCCCTCTCCATCCCAATGCTGGTTTTCAGAGGCACCTTCTTGCTACCGAAGCGCCTCTCCCAGCCCTGACCCTTGTGGTTGAGCATACTTCCAGCCTGGGCAGTGCATGGCTGCTCTGGAGAGAAATCCCATGTTACACTTCAAACTCGGGCAGTGCATGCCTCCCCTGCAGAGAAATCCTGTGTTTCAACTAGATATTTGTAACACCTACATCCTTACAATGCAGTTAATCAGATGATTTATGTATTTTTAGTTGCGTAGCCTAGAATGAATCCAGTTTTTTTATGATCTTAGCTTTAACATCGTCCACACCCCAGTTTGTCCCCAACAAAACAAACCAGCAAGATATTTAATAAATATTTGTCTTTGTCATTACTTCAGCAGGTTGTAAAAAATGTCAGTTAATGGTGTCTCAGGTATACATAAACAGCTTAAATTATTAGCATTGCTACAATTTTACTATACTCTCATCTAAATCTAAAATCAGTCTTCAAAATAAAAACAAATTGTCCTTTGCCAAAAATTTTTTTAATCGCACAATTAATTGACATTAACTGCCAATTCTTTTTGGCTAATTGACTAATTTTAAATTCTGTGTTGCTCTTCCAGAGGCATGGCTATTGCACCTTGGGAGAAGCCTTTAATCGGTTAGACTTCTCAAGTGCAATTCAAGATATCCGAAGGTTCAATTATGTGGTCAAAGTAAGTGTTCTATTTCAAAAACTACTTTGATGACTCTTTTGAACAACTATATTTTGAAGATTGTAAGTGTACAACGTTTAAGATGCTTTTGGCAGCTTGAAGGTGTGCCTGTTTGCTGTGTATTAATCGAAAAACAGAAGGGAACAAGTTCAGGAGAAAACAGTGAGGTTGGAGGATTTCTCCAGTATTGGTGGCAGAGGTTGCAGAGCCTCAGTGGGAGCAAACACTCATCTGCCCTGTGGCTCTGTGGTTGCTGAGGATGCCACAAGGTGGTCCCTTGGGGGTTGTACCATGTACCTACATACTGTGTCAGTGATAGAACGGTCATGGGATCTTTACCTGATGATTTCACGAATGTTTTCTGCTTCGTGTTTTTCACAAGGAATGAGGCTTGTGTCACAGAGGAAGAAGTAGCTAATAGAAAACAGGAATTTCGTACAAAATAGAATTCCACAAAAGCCTTATTGCATTAATGTTACCCTTTTGGAAGAAATTTTTATCTTGGGCCACACTCAAAAAGAAAGGATCTTAGCCATATATTCCATTTATTGTTTGCTTTTGTCCAAAGATTAATTACTATGTGGTTTATGCACCTTCATTCTATTATGGATAAAATAGAAGCTATAGTTTATGAAGCTATTAATTTTGTGTTTCTAATGGTTCTGTGAGACATTGGAAAAATGTTTCTTTTAATTGCTTTTAGGCATTTGAAAGTGCTACTGGGAGGACAGAAAATTTAGGGAGTTAAATAATTGTAAGCCTTAGATAATGTTATTTGTTCAGTTTGGTTCTGAGCAGAATTTCCAGGGCTGCTGATGTAACTACTACTTACAACTCCTGTTGTGCTGCATGCTTCACTGAAGCCCAGCCACCACGTGCAGGCTGGACTTCCCCGGTGTTTTCTGAGTCCTCCTTTAGATATTTACACACTGGCCAGCAGGGTGTTCTCGATAGGTACCTTTCTTATAGATGATGAAACGCAGATTTGACTCAGCCTTGTGGAAATTTTCAGGACTTAAGTAGCTGGGAAAAACATCAGCAGAGAGGTCTGTTTAGCAGTAGCTATTTCTCCATGTAGCTCTCTGATAGTTCAGACCATACTGAGTTGCTTTATAGTAGCAATTCTTGACCATCTGTCTACATAAAAGGATTTAATTCCTGGTGTGAGTGAGAGAGTAGGATGGAGCACAGGAGGAAGTCATTGGCTCCTGGTGGTTTCTGTGCTGGGTGCCCTGCTCTCTCATCTTTGGTCACTGACTCTGGAGAAGGTGCGAGTATTCTGTGCTTTGTCAGAGGGGGAATCCATAGACCAGGACCAGCATTTTATCAGTTTCAGTCATTTGGACGACTGCATAATTTTTTTTTTGTCTGTGTACCACATACTACTATAATTTGCTGGGTAGCTTTTCTTCAAATTTACTTTTTTAAACAGAAATACCTACTTTAGCCTCATCCTAAACACTAATACCTGTGAAATGGTAAATTTTCTGTCGGTCGTTTGTCTAGTACATATAAAATAAATGCATAACTATAAAAATTAAAATGTGCTGTGCACTCATGTACCAACTAAACTTACCTTGCAGCCCTCTTGAGAAGGGCTGTGTTTCTCCAAACCACCTCTCAGAGGTGGAGCGAGGGAACTGGTGAGCTCAGGAAGCAAAAGGGCTGCATTGTTGCATGGCTGTCCCGGCACCCTCACAGGTCTGTGCATCTCTGTTGATTGCTGCCTTCCAAGCAGGGCCTTGCTTGGCTTATCTGTGCTCCTGCTCTGTGGGAATCCCACCTTCCCTCTCCTGCAGTCGCTCTGGACCTTGCACACCATTCTTCACAAGTTCAGCAAAGTTACCTCTAAAAAGTAATTTGCTCATGCTTACCTTCTGCTAAAAACAAAAACAAGAAGCAGCCTTTGTGACTGTGGTAAAGCCTGAACCTGTGTCTTGCCTTGGATTGGGCTCCTCCATGTCCCCATCCCAATTCTTGCCCTCCCTGGCCCATGCCCAGTGCCCTCTTCTGTTGGCTTTCTTTCAGTGTGTGCTATTTTTTTTTTTACTTTATCATATGCATTTATCATACATACTGTGCAGGTATTTGGTATTTTTTTGCTGTTTTAAATGTTTATAGCAACACTTACTACAACAACTGAGAGGATTGTCTTGCAGTTCTACTAAATAATTTGATTTTCCATAATTTAGGCTAAGTTGTCCGTAATGTCACGCAGTATTATTAGAATACCTATAAATAAGAAATGTAGAAGCATTTTTAAAAAATGCTTGATAAAAGGTTTCCTTTTTTTCTAATGGCATTTAGTAATATCTGCCCTTAAGAATTTGTGTGAAAAACTTAATGTGTATCTTTTTTTTTTTTAGATGGAGTCTCACTCTGTTGCCCAGGGTGGAGTGCAGTGGCACGATCTCTGCTCACTGCACCCTCTGCTTCCTGGGTTCCAGTGATTCTCCTACCTCAGCCTCCTGAGTAGCTGGGATTGCAGGCATGCACCACGATGCCTGGCTAATTCTTTTTTGTATTTTTAGTAGAGATGGGGTTTCGCCATTTTGGCCAGGCTGGTCTTGAACTCCTGACCTCAAGTGATCCACCTGCCTCGGCCTCCCAAAGTGTTGGGATTACAGGTGTGAGCCACCATGCCCAGCCTGTATCTTTCAACTAATGTTTTATGTAAAATCATTTTTTCCATCTAAACAGCAACTTTAAACGGAGACTAATCAATAATTACTACACAGTCTTAGGATAAAAGTTAGTAATAGAATTTAGTGTTCAATTACAGATTGTTCCAGTTGCCAAAATAAAGATAAGTAGTTTGGAATGGAAGTTTCGTTTTTACTCTAATCTTTGAAGTTGAGTTTGAGCCAGATGTCTTGTTGGAGGCATAAAATGGCCCCACCTTTTGTTCACTGTCCAGGGGCAGATGCTCTTCACTCAAGGCAGGAGGAGCCCATCAGTGCTGGCGTCGCTGAGCACCTCCTGTGTGCAGATCAATGTACCTTGTCTTTTCTAACTAGTGCTTTCAAGAAACTTTGAAATCCAGTTCTAGTCACACTCCCACCATGAAATCTTGTTTGCCAGTGATCACAAGGTTGTAGCAATACCAACTCAAGCCTACCTGGCTGGGACCTTGGCCTCGCCACCCCCATCATGTCAGCAGCATTCCCTGGCCCTTAGGTACGCCAGTGGTCACGTGTTTAAGTTGTCTGCGTCCCCATCCCAGTTGAGCCCCAGGAGCAGGGGCTTGGTTTGTTCACTGCTGTTCACCCACTGCTGAAAATAACACCCCCTTTGTCAAAGTGGAGTGTGTCCCAACTGCAGTGAGGAGCTGCACTTCCATGAACTCGGAGGTGCCCAGCAAACCCAGGACGGCTGTAAACACAGAGAGGGAGACCAGTACCCAAAAGCTGTCTGGAGGAAGTAGAACTGGGTCCTGAGCCTATAGGTTAATGTGACTGTGGTTTTTACACATTTGTTATCATTCCCTTGGAGTCCTGGGCTTGCTTATAGCACTGAGAAGAACAGCCTGCCCCCTCGCCCCTCTGGCAGCCAGGAGGTGACTTCTGACAGCCAGGCATGAACAGCCCGAGGCTTGGGAGGTGCATGCAGGGCAGTGCACGGTGTGAAAGCTTCCTGAAAGCTGCACGGTGTGCAACTGAAATTTATAAAAATGTTAAATATGCTGTGTTTCCTAAAGTACACACATCTGTAGGAAAAAAGTTTTCAGAATCGTAAAGTTTATATATCTAATTTTAGTTATTTGATAAATTAACTTATCTGAAGTACTTCATTCTCTACCTGTGGCAGACCAATTAGATAGTACATCCAGTGTCACATACTTTCAGGGGTAGTGTATTTTTAGTTTAGTTTCTTGCCATCATTTATTTTTATGTTTTCATTTGCTTTAGATGTAGGCGAAGAGTCGGTCTCTCTTGTCTTTATTCAAAAGTTTCTGTGTCCCTGGGCATTGCTCTGCCCCTCCAAGACTCCCCAGTCCTGTTTCCTTTAGCCCACCTGCTCCTCATGTCTGGAGATGGACTCCTGCTTCGCAGTATCCCAGGGATCTCTTAAATGTGGAAAGGTGGCCAGGTGCGGTCACTCATGCCTGCAATCCCAGCATTTTGGGAGGCCGAGGCAGGAGGATAACTTGAGCCCAGGAGTTTGAGGCCAGCCTGGGCAACATAGGGAGACCCTGTTTTTACAAATAATAATAAGCAAATAAGGAAAGACATCTCAGGCTAGAATCTCTGGCTATATGAAGATTTTTTTTCAAATTTTTTCATAATTTCTACTAATGACTACTCCATAGTAGCAAGTTAATAGCAGCAGCCTCACAGCAGCGCATGGGAAAGATGCTTAGTGAGTGACCCTGAGCCCTCCCAGGCGGGGACTCGAGGGTGAGGCAGGGAGGGAGAGAGGCTCTGCAGCCACACGGCCGCTGTTGGAATTCTGTCTCTTTCTTATTTATTTACTCAGGGATCTCAAGCATATGACTTCATCATCTCATCCATAGTATCTGGTAGATTTTAGCATCTACCTCAGAGCACTGTTATAAAGATTAGATTAGTTCCATCATAGGAAGCTCTTGGAACAGTCTGTACTCTGTGTTAGCCACTATTTTGATTTTCTTTTGAGGAGGATTTAGGCAGAGGGATATCAGCTGCATGGAGATCCATTTATGACCCAAGAGGTAAAGACAAGAAAATGGGGCCCAGAGAGATGGGCTGAAGGTCACAATGGAATCAAGGACAGAGACCAAAAACGTAGCTGTCCTGACAGCCGTGAAGAGCTTCTTCATTACGACTTTATTTCCTAAGTCTATAAACTTTGATTTTCCTCTGATGTAAATTAAGTGACTTTCTTAAATGCATCATATGACTTTTTAAAAAATTTTTTAAATTATACTTTTAAGTTCTGGTATACATATGCTCAATGTGCAGGTTTGTTACATAGGTATACACATGCCATGGTGGTTTGCTGCACCCATCAACCCGTCATCTACATTAGGTATTTCTCCTAATGCTATCCGTCCCCTAGCCCCCCACCCCCCGACAGGCCCTGGTGTGTGATGTTCCCCTCCCTGTGCCCATGTGTTCTCATTGTTCGGCTCCCACTTATGAATAAGAACATGTGGTGTTTGGTTTTCTGTTCTCGTGTTAGTTTGCTGAGAATAATGGTTTCCAGCTTCATCCACGTCCTTGCAAAGGACATGAACTCATCCTTTTTTATGACTGCATAGTATTCCATGGTGTATATGTGCCACATTTTCTTTATCCAGTCTATCACTGATGGGCATTTGGGTTGGTTCCAAGTCTTTGCTATTGTGAACAGTGCTGCAATAAACATACGTGTGCGTGTGTCTTTATAGTAGAATGATTTATAATCTTTTCATCATACTACCTGACTTCAGACTATATTACAAGGCTACAGTAACCAAAACAGCATGATACTGGCACCAAAACAGATATATAGACCAATGGAACAGAACAGAGGCCTCAGAAATAACGCCACACATCTACAACCATCTGATCTTTCACAAACCTGAGAAAAACAAGCAATGGGGAAAGGGTTCCCTATTTAATAAATGGTGTTGGGAAAACTGGCTAGCCATATGCAAAAAACTGAAACTGGACCACTTCCTTACACCTTTATACAAAAATTAACTCAAGATGGATTAAAGACTTAAACATAAGACCTAAAACCATAAAAACCCTACAAGAAAAGCTAGGCAATACCATTCAGGACATAGGCACGGGCAAAGACTTGATGTCTAAAACACCGAAAGCAATGGCAACAAAAGCCAAAATTGACAAATGGGATCTAATTAAACTAAAGAGCTTCTGCATAGCAAAAGAAACTATCATCAGAGCGAAGAGGCAACCTACAGAATGGGAGAAAATTTTTGCAATCTATCCATCTGACAAAGGGCTAACATCCAGAATCTACAAAGAACTTAAACAAATTTACAAGAAAAAAACAACCCCATCAAAAAGTGGGTAAAGGATATGAACAGACACTTCTCAAAAGAAGAAATTTATGCAGCCAACAAACATGAAAAAAAGCTCATCTCTGGTCATTAGAGAAATGCAAATAAAAACCACAATGAGATATCATCTCACACCAGTTAGAATGGCTATCATTAAAAAGTCAGGAAACAACAGATGCTGGAGAGGACATGGAGAAATAGGAATGCTTTTACACTGTTGGTGGGAGTATAAGTTCAACCATTGTGGAAGACAGTGTGGTGATTCCTCAAGGATCTAGAACCAGAAATACTATTTGACCCAGCAATCCCATATGACATTATAAAATAATGACCTGGCAAATTAGATGGAACTGTTGAAAAGGGCTGTTTTTAAAATTTCAGATCATATTGCTAATCAGGCTTTTGTTTGCTCTGGTGAGTGTTGTTTTAAGCAACACAATCCAATGCTAATTTACTGTTGTATAATAATTTATTCAGTAGGCCCTGCTATATCCCAAGCACCTGGCAAGTAGTAGGCACTTGTTATTCCTAAAATGAATGAGTGACTGAGCATACAAACCAACTATTGTATATATAAATGTTTTCTAAGTTACTCCAATTATTTTTTTTTTTACCACAGTTAAACTCCTTCATAAGTTCTACTTGAAGTAGGAACTATTAAGATACTCTAAGATAATTACATTTGTGCTGATAGTTGTACTACACCTACAGGTTACTTTTTTTTTTTTTTCCAAGCAAACTGCATAGTTAGAAGCAGAGGAAGTTATTTCCACTTTATTTTTTTATTTTGTATTTTTCTGAGACAGAGTCGCTTTGTCGCCCAGGCTGGAGTGCAGTGGTGTAATCTTGGCCCACTGCAATCTCCGCCCCCCGGGTTCAAGTGATTCTCCTGCCTCAGCTTCCCGAGTAGCTGGGATTTCAGGCACCTGCCACCACACCTGGCTAATTTTTGTATTTTTAGTAGAGAGGGGGTTTTGCCATATGGGTCAGGCTGGTCTTGAACTCCTGACCTCAGGTGATCTGGCTGCCTCGGCCTCCCAAAGTGCTGGGATTGCAGGCGTTAGCCACCATGCCTGGCCTATTTCCACTTTATAAAAAGATTCTACACAAAGATATCCTCTAATTTCCTAAGTTAGCAGGACTTTTCTTACACAGAAAAAGATATATTTACATATATATTTTTCAGTTTTCCTAGTTGTTGATCCAAGAATTGGTTGTAGGCTATTTAATTCCAGGCATTTCCTATAATTACCCCCATAAAAATGCCAGATTAAAATGTATTAGCAAAGTATGTTAATGCTCCTGAGAACAGATTTGTTAAAGAAGGTCCAAGAAATGACAGTGTTGTCACCACTCAGAAATGGCCATTTCCATTGAAGGAAGTGCTCCTCAGCTCCCCTGAGAGTCTGACCTCAGTTGAATTAAATTTGACCTTGTAACTGATGTTTTTAAGAAACATTGAACATAGATTGCTGACGACGGTGGATAGGTGGTGTCAGGGCAGTTTGAGCACACTGGGAATATAAGGCTCCTCATTATACGGCATGCCAAAAAAAGTTTGTCCTCCAGGCAAGTATCCGAATTATATTGGAAGTTTGAAATGCCGGTATTGATAATAGTCTGCAAATGTCCACTACCATCTTCATTTTTCTTTAATTCTCACCATATTTATCCTACCAACAAGATAATTTGTAGAGTATGACTAAACACAGCAACTAAGAATGCTTTTACCAAAATAAAATTATAAGTTGTGTAACAGTTCAGTTTCAGATAAAAAAGCAGACGTTCTTTCTGCCAGTGCTAGAAGTCAGTGAACATTTGACAGAGTCAAAATGGTTCCCAAGAAAAGCAGAGAAAAGGGACAACCCCAAAAATAGAATCACTTCTCACAGACCACTGCTTGAGCAACTTGTGAGCTGTAGGAGGGGCGCTGGTTCCTAAGCCTGAAGTGGAGGGCATGTTTTAATCCAGCCTGCATGAGGTTGTAGTGTGGTGCTTCCCTACCTCGGGGCAGCGGTGGGCGGGCAGTCCACACATTGCTAAAGGACCTGAGGAAAGTGGCTGGAGCGTCCAGAAAATTGATGAAAACTACAAAGTCTGCTTGGTTCTGCTTTGGCTTGCTAGATTACATCCCTTTTTTGTAAAAGACAATAAACTTGAGAAGTCTTTTTAAAATTAGATAATCAAAGTTGAGATCACTGAGGGCTGTGTCCAGCACACACGCTAGCTGGGAAGCAGCAGAGCAGGAAGGCACAAGCACAGATTGTGGGATCCCCCTGCTCTCCAGGTCTGGCCCCTCCCTCCTCAGTGGTGTGGCCTTGGGGCCAGCTTCTTCATCTCTCCCTGCCTCAGTTTTCTCATCTCTAGAGCAGGGATAATAGTAAGACCTACTTCACAGGGGCATTACAGCATTAAAAGGGCATCAGGTACTTCAAATGGTGCCTTTATAATAATCACTCAGTAAATGCTTACAGTTCATTATAAACCTAAAGGAACCCAAAGGCGAAGATTGAGCAAAGTTGATTTGGTCTGCCCAGTGAAGAATACTTTCTGTATTTTGTAGTAAGGCTGACTTTAAAAATAGAGGTAGTGGATGTTGTTGTTTCTCTTTCTCTGCCCTTCCCCATGTATGTGAGGCCCTTCAGGAGCCCAGGCACACATGCAGTGCCAATTTGCTCCCAGATCCAAGGGTGTTCAGAAGTGGACTTCGAATTTCAAATAGCTGTGATTTTATTTAACTTTATTGAATTCTAGTTTTATTATATTACCACCAGAGAGTTTGGCCTTTAAGATCTCTAATTCTTTGAAATGATTAAGTTTTCCTTTGTGGCCTTCTTTATAATTGATTTTTGTAAATATTCTATTGATGTGTGAAAAAAATACAGATTCTCTATTTGAAGGATGTACTTTCTTTCTGTTTATCTAATTCTTCCACATCTTTACTTGTTTAGAATTGTCAGATTTGAGGAGATATGCAGTCATGCACTACATAACGATGTTTTGGTCAATGACCGACCGCGTGTAGTGTAGTGGCCACATAAGATTGTTTCCTTTTTTTACTGTACGTTTCCTATGTTTAGATATATTTAGATACACAGATAGTTGCCATTATGTTACAGTTGCTGTTCAGTGCATTAATATGTTGTATAGGTCTGTAGCCTAGCTGTGTAGGTGTTGTGTAATACACTCTGTGATGTTCACACAATGAGGAAATTACCTAGCAATGCATTTCTCGGATCAGATTGTATCCCCCTTGTTAAGCGACCCATGACTGTATAAAAAACTTCCTATAATATTTGTGTTTTTAACAAATGTTCATTAAATTCCCAACAGACTTTGCTTTATGGCTAATTAGGCTTATGGACGATTACAGTTTCTTTGTTAATTGTCTTTTTCCCTGTTATCTTAGTTACCAGTTTAACCTGAAATGTAATCTTGTCAACTGTGAACACGGCCCTTCTCACCTCTATGCTTATGTATGCCTCGTGATGTCCATTCTGTAGTCCCCTGTGGGTAACTAGTCTAAACTGACTGTGCTAAGCTAATCCCGTGCCTTCTGCTGATGATTTCAGTCTTTTAAAAGGAATTTTAAAACATGATATTAAAGAAATGTAGAAAACTTATTTCGATGATAGGAGGGGAGGTAGTCGGGAAGGCCTTATCTCCCAGGGAACACATATTCTCTGTTCTGGTATCTCTTCCCCTAGTGGAGCAGCAGTTCCAAACCCAAATGTTGTCTCAGGGGTCCTTTTCACTTTTTAAAATTACTGAGGACCCCAAAGAGATTTTGGTCATGTGAGTTATATCTATTAATGTTTGCCACATTAGAAATTAAAACAATTTTTAAAATATTTCTCCATTTATTTAAAAGTAAGGACTGGGCTGGGTGCAGTGGCTCACGCCTATAATCCCAGCACTTTGGGAGGCCGAGGTGGGTGGATCACCTGAGATCAGGAGTTTGAGACCAGCCCGGCCAACATGGTGAAACCTGTCTCTACTAAAAATACAGAACTTAGCCAGGCATACAGAAAATTAGCCGGGCATGGTGGCATGCACCTGTAATGCCAGCTGCTCGGGAAGCTGAGGCTGGAGAATCGCTTGAACCCAGGAAGCAGAGGTTGCAGTGAGCCGAGATCGGGCCATTGCACTCCAGCCTGGGGGACAAAAGTGAAACTCCGTCTCACAAAACAAAACAAAACAAAAAAAGAGTAAGGACTGTATGTCTCACACCTTGGCACACCCTCCTGGTGTCTGGTGTGATGGAGGGGATTATTCCTCATCTCTCCTGAGTTCAGTCTTCTGTAATGTAGCATGCTGGGGCCTCTGGAGCACTTCACTGCACACTAACGAATGTGAGGATGGAAAAGGAAAATCTTATCTTAGTGAAACTGTGGAAATAGTTTAGACCTCGGGCTCCCCTAACAGGCCCCTAGACGATGCTTTGGGAACCGTGGTGGTAGAACTCTCTCTCCCAGACTCACTCTGCCCTGACCCCTCTTATTGGTGAGAAACAGGCATGTGTAACTCTTCTTTTTCCTTTGAGGAATAAAAGATATTTGTACATTTTGGTCTGTTTCTTTCATGTCTTCAGTGCTGTAGGGCAAGAAGCCTATCTGGGGAGGCTTTGGTTATTAAGCAATGCTTACGGCTGGCTGGCTTCATCTCAGTCTAGGATTCAGATTAGGAAATCCATTGTTGTGTGAATCTGAATCGCATCCGCCAGTCCAGCTATTATTAGCGATAATGCTGATGACCTCAGTTGGCCTGAATCCTTTGTCTCTAAATTGATTCTAAAGTGAGGCAGGGAAAAGGTGCTATTCGACACTAAAACAAGAAATTTAATAACAATATTCAGTTAATTTGAAAAGATAAAGGAACAGGATTGAAATTTTAACAATGGTCTTCTCAGCTTTGCTTGGCCTTAACCTAATCTTATCTCTGGCCAGTGCCCTCAACTGGTGTGTTTTAGTGTAAGATATTTTTATGTAAATATGTTAGAAATCACAGAATGTTTTCCCCCCAAAGATTATCATGTAATTGTCACATTTATAATGTTATTTGTGGCTCAGTATATGACTTAATGATTTCTCATTCTGGAAATCAAGAAAGGCTGGAAGGAGAATTGGAAGGAAGGGATGAAAAACTCCATTTTCAGAGAAATAAGAGGCAGATGCAATTCACAGACTCTAAAATGTGCATGAGGCTTACCAAAAGCAGCTAAGCCTGGGCAGCGATAGTATAGGCGGAACTGAGCAGAAGGGCTCAGGCTAACAAAAGCACTCGTCAGGGCCAGGTCTAGAAGTCGAGCCCCACATACCCTGTGCACTGAGAGGCTGAGTCGCAGATGTTCAACTCCAGCTTGCAGAGTGCAGAAGTTCCAGGGAGGACCACTGAAAGCAAAGGGCTTCCTGGATCCAGTTTTACTCAGAGACATGGGCTGTGGGGTCTCCCAGGGATTCACATGCAGGTAGCGGCTGGGGGAGAGAGTGCTGGAACTGGGAAGGCTGGAAGCTGCCCTTCCCCCACCCTGAGGGCATCTGCAAAACAGGTGCCCTAGAACGTCCCACCTCACTCTGAAATGCCTGTTAGAGAAGGTGACCATCACTGCATGGATATTCTCTAAGGAAATTGTGGGAAATGTGTCTGTGAAGCAGGATGGAATCATGACCAGACAGTTCATCATAAATGAAAAAAACAGGAAACTCATGAAGCAGTTCTGTGGCAGAAGATCCCAGTGCAGGAATGCCACAAAACAGAAAAGAGATTTTAATGAGGTTGAGTATCCCTTATCCCAAATGCTTAGAACTGGAAGTGTTTTAGATTTTGGATTTTTTCAGATTTTGGAATATTTACGTATACATAATGAGATAACTTGGGATACAAGCTTAAACACGAAATTCATGTATGTTTCACATACACCTTATACATATAACCTGAAGGTAATTTTATACAGTATTTTTAATAATTTTGTTCAACCCATCACATGAGGTCAAGTATGGAATTTTCCACTTGTGGCATCATGTCCATGCTCAAAAAGTTCCGGAGTTTGGAGGATTCTGGATTTTGGAATTAGGGATGCTCAACCTGTACAACCAAGTGAGACAGCAGGAGACAAAGTCAAGTTGGCAGAAGAAAGGATGGCAGCAGCCAGGAGAACCACCACAGAGGTGAAGGTGCGATTGGAAGGGCCCAGGAGAAGACAGATGTTTTGGGAAACACAAAAAAGGTGATGGAAAAATACGAATGAGAGAATTAATAAGAATGAAACCGTAATCATGAGTTTAAAAGGAACTAGAAAGAAAATTACAGCTGAAGAGAACAGGGAGAGGGGTTCCAGCATATTTATCATTGGAATCTTCAAACAGGAAAACAAAACAAAAGGACAGAACAAATATTTAAAGATAATGTTCAGGAAAATTCTGCTCAGGTAAAAATAGATGGAAGTGTACATTGTGAGAGGGCAAATTTTATGCTGGGGAAGGTTGACTGAGAACAGGTTATGAGTGTGCCATATCCTACAGGAATTATTAAACTCTGAAGATGAAGCAAGAACCTCCCAATGGGTAAACAAACATGTCATCTCTTACGGAGGGAAAAGATCAGGGTGGCTTCAAATTTCTCCAAATTCTTCAGATAGTGGAGTAATCCTTACTTATGGGATCCTCCAGGAAGAAAGGATGGCCCATGAATTTTATGTCCAGTCAAACCATCTTTTGTATCCAGTCTGCAAACAAACACTATTGATCATGTGAGAACTCAGGGAATACACACTGTTCTCATGAGCAGTTTCGGCTGGAGAAACAGTGTCCATCAGACTGGATGTCAGTGAATCTCTACAGCGTCAGCTGTGTGGCTGAGGGTGATGGAGCAGAGTGTGAGTGGAGGGCAGAGGAGAAAAGGTCGGTGGTTAGAGGTTTGTTGACTGTCTCACCTATAATCACAGGGAGGCAGTAAGATGTTATTCACTAAAATCAAGTTGTAGAGGAGAGGGATGGAAGGAAGAAGGAGCAAGATGAATGACAGTTTTATCACAGTGTGGAACAGGAAACTAACAGGCTAAGATGTGTTGTATGAGGATTCCGAAGGAGAGGGAATTACATAGAGTTAAAATTCCAAAAGTAACCCCTAGTACAAAATAGTGCAAACATTTCTAAATTTCAGAAGAACTACAGAGAGAACACAAACTTTTTCAAAAAGCTACAAAAACATGTCATAAAAGTAAGACCAAACATTGTATCTATACATGTAAACACATAACTTTATACACATAACCTGAAGGTTGGTAAAAGTAAAAGATTTCAGATTGAATCAAAAAGTGAAACCCAACTCCAAGTTGTACGTAAGAAGCCCACCTAAAACAGAGATTTACAAAAGTTGAAAATAAAAGAATGAAAAGATATACTAGGCAAAAGTAAAAAATAAAGTGGGACAAAAAGCATTAAAGGAAAGCAGCAGCCCACTTTTTCCTGCCATGATGCACATCAGAGTAGGGGCAACTGGAAAAGCAGGGCATCCCTGGAGGGGCAGGTGGAGCAGCGGCGAGGGCCTCGGTCATCATTCCCACAGGAGACCTCTACTTCGTGGGTTCTGTCACAGGGATTTGTTACTGTGGCTTCCCAGAATACAAATTCTACAATTTTGTATTTTAGTGCAATTTATTTGCTATTTAATAATGAGTTTTCAAATACAAAATGCTATTTAATAATGAGTTTTGGTGTTGTGTTTCCTTCTTAATTTCTACATGGAAGGGCTGTTTGATTTATTGATTGTCTGTTCAGCAAACAACTGCGAGTATGGGCTTAGGTTGTGAAAATATTTGTTAGTGCCCAACCATTCATTCTAGCCTCTTTCTGGTGTGCCCTTTTGATACAGAGGCTGGAAAGCTAAAAGCTCCATTTCAGACTCTTGCAGCCTGGGCTCTGGGAGGAGATATGCTTCCACTAACTAAATGAATGCCTGCAAGACTAGAAGACAGAGCTGCAGGCTGCGGCTGCCTCAGCTCCCTTGTATGAAGGTCTCTTCAGGTTTGCATGGGTAGTGACTGTTTCCTATACTTGGACTCTGACTGATACAGTGACTTAATTTAGGATGGCATGTTAGAAATCTTCATGCATGTGTGTTATATCACTGTGGTTTGTAATTCCATTAAATTCTATTCCATTTGAGTCCATTCCTTTCCATTCCATTCGAGTCCATTCCATTCCATTCCATTCCATTCCATTCCATTCCATTCCATTCCATTCCATTCGATTCCATTCCATTCCATTCAAGTCCATTCCATTCCATTCGAGCCAATTTCATTCCATTATATTCGAGTCCATTCTATTCCATTCTATTCCATTTGAGTCCATTCCATTCCATTACATTCTAGATCATTCCATCCCAACCCATTCCAATCGAGTCCATTCCATGTCTTTCCATTCGAATCCATTCCATGTCATTCCATTCGATTCCATTCGATTCCATTCCATTCCATTCCATTCGAGTCCATTCTTGCCATTTCATTCAAGTCCATTCCATTACATTTAATTCCATTTGGGTGCATTCCATTCCATTCCATTCGAGTCCATTCCATTCCATTCCATTCGAGTTCATTCCATTCCATTCGAGTCCATTCCATTCGAGTACATTGCATTCCATTCCATTGCTTTCGGGTCCATTCAATTCAACTGCATTCCATAGGTGTCCATTCCATTGCATTCCATTCCATTACATCCCATCCCATCCCATCCCTTCCATTCCCATTCCCATTCCCATTCCATTATATTCCATTCCATTTGAGTCCATTCTATTCCATTCCATTCCATTCTATTCGAGCACCTTTCATTCCATTCCATTCCATTCCATTCCATTCCATTCCATTCCATTCCATTCCATTCGGGTTCATTCCATTCTGTTATAATTCTATTCCATTCGAGTCCATTCAATGCCATTCCATTCCATATGAGTCCATTCAACTCCATTCCATTCGAGTCCATTCCATTCCATTCGAGTCCATTCCATTCCAATGCATTTGAGTCCATTCCATTCCATGCTATTCCATTTGAGTCCATTCCATTCCATTCCATTCCATTCCATTGCATTCAAGTCCATTCCAAACTCATTACATTCCAGTCCATTCTATTCCATTCCATTCTTTTCCATTCCATTCCATTTGAGCCCAGTCCATTCCATTCCATTCGGGTCCATTCCATTCAATTCCATTCGAGTCAGTTCCATTCCATTCCATTTGAGTCCATTCCATTGCAGTCCATTCCATTCGAGTCCATTCCATTCCATTCCATTCGAGACCATTCCATTGTATTCCATTCCAATCCTTTCGAGTCCATTCCATTCCATTCCATCTGAGTCAATTCCATTCCATTCCATTCGAGTCCATTCCATTGCATTCCATTCCATTCGAGTCTCTTCCATTCTATTCCATTCAAGTCCATTCCATTAGAGTCCATTCCATTAAATTCCATTGTATTCCATTCCATTCGAGTCTCTTCCATTCTATTCCATTCAAGTCCATTCCATTAGAGTCCATTCCATTAAATTCCATTGTATTCCATTCGAGTTCATTCCATTCCATTCCGTTCCATTCATGTCCATTCCATTCCATTCGAGTCCATTCCATTCCAATCCTTTCGAGTCTATTCCATTCCATTCCATTCCATTCCATTCCATTCCATTCTATTCCATTCAAATCCATCCCATCCCATCCCATCCCATCCCATCCCATCCCATCGCATCCCATCCCATCCCATCCCATTCCACTCGAGACCATTCCATTCCATTCCATTTCATTCGGGTCCACTCCTGTCCATGCCATTCGAGTCCATTCCAATACATTCCATCCCATTCGATTCCATTGCATTCCATTCCATTCCATTCCATTCCATTCCATTCGGGTCGATTCCATTGCGTTCCGTTCCGTTCCGTTCCATTCCTTTCGGTTCCATTCCATTCGAGTCCATTCCATTCCATTCCATCCCATTCGAGTCCATTCCACTCCATTCCATCCCACTCGAGTCCTTTCCATTCCATTCCATTCTATTCGAGTCCATTCCATTCCATTGGAGTTCATTCCATTCCATTCCATTCGAGTCCATTCCATTCCATTCCATTCCATTCCATTCCATTCCATTCCTTTCGAGTCCATTCAATTCCGTTCCATACAATTCAAGTACATTCCATTCCATTCCATTCGAGTCCATTCCATTCCATTCTAGTCCATTTCATTCCATTCCATTCCATTCCATACCATTCCATTCCATTCAATTCAAATCCACTCAATTCCATTCCATTCCATTTGAATCCATCCCACCACATTCCATTGGAGTCCATTCCATTCCATTCCAGTCCATTCAATTCAATTCTTGTCCATTCCATTCCGTTCCATTCGAGTCCATTACATTGCATTCCATACCATTCTAGTCTATTCTGTTCTATTCCATTCGAGTCCATTCCATTGCATTCCATACCATTCGAGCCTATTCCGTTCTATTCCATTCTAGTCCATTCCATTCCATTAGAGTCCATTCCATTAAATTCCATTGTATTCCATTCGAGTCCATTCCATTCCATTTGGTTCCATTTGTGTCCATTCCATTCCATTTGAATCCATTCCATTTCATTTCTTTCGAGTCCATTCCATTCCATTCTATTCCATTCAAGTCCATTCCATTCCATTCGGTTCCATTCCATTCCGTTCCATTAGAGTCCATTCCATTCCATTCCATCCCATTCAAGTCCATTGCATTCCATTCCAATGCATTCCATTGCATTCCTTTTGGATCCTTTCAATTCAACTGCATTCCAATTGAGTCCATTCCATTCCATTCATGTCCATTCCATTAGAGTCCATTCAATTCCATTCCATCCCACTCAAGTCCATTCCGTTCCGTTCCGTTCCATTCGTGTCCGTTCCATTCCATTCCATTCATGTCCGTTCCATTCCATTCGAGTGCGTTCCATTCCATTCCGTTCCGTTCCATTCCATTCGGGTCCATTCCACTCCACTCCATTCCATTCCATTCCATTCCATTCCATTCCATTCCATTCCATTCCATTATATTCACACATCACATTCTGGTTTAATGCTTATTCAATAATGAACTGTTTTGTTTCTCTACTTCCTTTGTGGAGAAAATTTTTGGGTTGAGAGATTTTGAATTTAATTACATTTAACCCACACATACTTGGGAGGGCTTGCCATAGCTTGCACTCCCATTTGGCTCTGTGACATCACTCTGCACTGTGTTTTGTCCTGGGTCTCTGGCATACCTTAGTCTCTTGCCCTAACTTACTTTCTTTGGCCCACACCTTAAGCAATAGGTCCTCCAAGGTTCCTGCTCGATTTCTAGTTTGTTCGTTCATTCGTTCTTTTGTACTTTCTCTCTCCTTCTCTCTGTCTCTCATCGTCTCTTCCTTTCTCTCTCCCTCTCTCCCTCTCTCTCTCTTTCTTCAGAGTTTTGCTTTTTTTGCCCAGACTGCAGTGCAATGGCACGATCTCAGCTTGCTGCAACCTCCACCTCCTGGGTTCAAGCAATTCTCCTACCTCAGCTTCCCAAGTAGCTAGGATTACAGGCATGTGCAACCACGCCTGGCTAATTTTTTGTATTTTTAGTAGAGATGGTGTTTCACCATGTTGGTCAGCTGGTCTCAAACTCCAGACCTCAGGTGATTCACCCACCTCAGCCTCCCAAAGTGCTGGGATTACAGGTGTGAGCCACCACACCTGGCCAAGTTCTAGTCTTGTCTTAATATGAAAAATTTCAGCCATGCTAAGGATTTCTACAGCTGACTACATGTGATGAGGGCTAATTTTTAAAAAAATCTTCAGTCCAGATCTCATTTCCAGATTTGAATTTTAATTGTCTATTGGACACCATCATAGAGCAGATTTTCCCATTAGCACCTAAAATGCACCATGATAGAATAGTGGAGTAGAAATAAATAATTTTGGTTTGGTATAAAAAAATCTTTGTTCACATACTAGAGCTGAGTTATAGTTGTGGCAATTAGCTCTGTGACCTTGGAAAAGTTATTTCTAACCTCTTCAAGCCTTACTTTTCCATCTGACGAATCAAAATAATATTAGTGTTAGTATTGTCTCGCGCATCTGTGTGAAGAGAGTCCACCAACAGGCTTTGTGTGAGCAACAAGGCTGTTTATTTCACCTGGGTGCAGGCAGGCTGAGTCTGAAAAAGGAGTCAGTGAAGGGAGACGGGTGGGGCTGTTTTATAGGATTTGGGTGGGTAGTGGACAATTACAGTCAAAGGGGGTTGTTCTCTGGTGGGCAGGGACGGGGGTCACAAGGTGCTCAGCGGGGGAGCTTCTGAGCCAGGAGAAGGAATTTCACAAGGTAATGTCACCAGTTAAGGCAGGAACTGGCCATTTTCACTTCTTTTGTGATTCTTCAGTTATTTCAGGCCATCTGGATGTATACATGCAGGCTTGGGCCCAGAGGCCTGACAAGTATGAGTATTATAAGAAATAATTTATAGAAATCAAGAAAATAATTCAATTTACCCTAGTATCAAAAAGAATGAAATTGTAGGAATAAATTTAACCAGGTAAGTGAAAGATCTGCACAATGAAAACTATAAAACATTGATGAAAGAAATTGAAGAAGACACAAGTGAATGGAAAGATATTTCATGTTCATGGATTGGGACAATTAATAGTGTTAAAACATCCATACTATCCAAAGCAATATATAGATTCAACACAATCCCTATCAAAATGTCAATGGCATTTTTCACAGAAATAGGAAAAACAATTCTGAAATTCATATGAAACCACAAAAGACCTGAAATGGCAAAAATAAATAAATAAATAAATCTTTAGAGCAAAAAACAAAGTTATAGGTATTACACATTCTGATTTCAAATTATATTACAAAGCTATAGTAATCAAAACACTGTGGCACTGGCATGAAAACAGAGATGTAAAGCAATGAAACAGAATAGAGCCCAGAAATAAACCCAAGCATATAAAAGTCAACTAATTTTTGACAAGGACATCAAGAAAACACAGTGGAGAAAGAATAATCTCTTCAATAAATGGTGTTATGAAAATTGGATATCCAACACTGGGGAGACTGGACCCTTATCTTACATCATACACACAAATATACTCAAAATGGATGAAAAATCTGAAACCATAAAATTTCTGTAAGAAACATAGGGGGAAAGTTTCTTGATATTGATCTTGGCAATGATATTTTTGGATATCACACCAAAAGCTCAGGCAACAACAAGAAGGATAAATACATGAGACTACATCAGACTACATCAAACTGAAAACCTTCTGCACGTTGACTGGGTGTGGTAGTTCACATCTGTAATCCCAGCACTTTGGGAGACCAAGGTTGGAGGATCACTTGAGGCCAGGAGATCAAGGATCACCCTGGGCAACATAATGAGATCTGTCTCTATAAAATAAATAAATAATAAAAAATTAAGTGAAATAATCAACAAAATGAAAAGACAGCCTACAGATTGGGAGAATATACATGTGTAAATTGGGACTGTCCTGGGCAGACTGAGATAAATGATTGCCTTACCTTTTTCTGAAAAAATTACTACCTGCCCTTGGGACTGTGTTTTTGTCTTACCTAAGAATTTGCCCATGGGTACAACAGCATGCTGACACAAAGCAAGAAGCTTGTATAGTTCTGATCTTAAAGTAGAAAAAATCATCTGTGATGAGGAATGGAATTGGACTTGGTGCAGCTCTATCTTGACTGGGAGCCACAAAGGCAAAAATGTTGAAGACCGAACACCCCAGCCTTTGGGCATCTACAGTGGATTTTTGGGATTGAGTTGCCTGGAACTTAGGATTGCAGGTTTGGAGGTGCTTTGAATAAAATGGATGTTCCTTTCATAAAAAATTTTGAAGCACCAAAGGAGGAAGCCCTTGGTAGAAGATAGTGAAGGATGCTTCCTATCAATGGAGTGAAATGTTTGATTGTATTTGCACTCTGAGGTGCAGAGATGTTTGGAGAAATCTGTTAGTGGCAGGATGGGAGGAATTGGTCTTGAGAGCTAGAAACTCTGAGGTCAAGTTTTATTGTGATATATCTAGGTATGATTTTTTTTTATTATACTTTAAGTTTTAGGGTACATGTGCACAATGTGCAGTTTAGTTACATATGTATACATGTGCCATGTTGGTGTGCTGCACCCATTAACTCGTTATTTAACATTAGGTATATCTCCTAATGTTATCCCTCCCCCCTCCCCCTACCCCACAACAGGCCCTGGTGTGTGATGTTCCCCTTCCTGTGTCCATGTGTTCTCATTGTTCAATTCCCACCTATGAGTGAGAACTAATCATGCGTGGAGTTTATAGCACTTTGAATCTGTGGCTTGATATCTTTGTTTGTTTTTGAAAGTTCTTACTGTTTCGGAGGGGGCAATCTCAAAGAAAATTGCAATAACAATACAAGGAACTATTTTTCTCTGAAATGTTTGTTGATAAGTGGCTGATATAATGCCCTGTCACCCTCGATTAGTTTAATTCATATTACCTGTTGACTAGAACATTCTAAAAACCAGAGTACAATGATCAAAGTGAGGAAATTAAATTGAGCTTACTACTACCAATGAATCTTCAGACCCCACTCAAATTTTATCAATAGTCTCAATACTGTTCTTTATATCAAAAAGATGAAATCCAGAATTAAGCATTTAGATTTCATGCCTCTTTAGTTCCCTTGAGTTTGGAAAAGATTGTCTGTTTTTCTTGACTTTTATAACCTTGAAATTTTTGAAGATTACAGGACAATTTATTTGTAGAATATCCCTCAGTTTGGTTTTTTCTCATGTTTCCTCATTATTAGATTCATTTTTTATAGGGTGTCACAGAAGTGATGCTTTATTTTCTCATTGTATCTATCAAGTGGCTTATGATTTTGATTTACTCTGTTACTGATAATGCTCAACTAAACCTCTTGATTAAAGTAGTTCTGCCAAGATTCTCACGTCAAGGTGCACTTTTCCCCTTTGTAAGTAATACATAATTTGTGAGAAGATACCTTAAGACTACATAAATATCTCATTTCCTTTAACGAATTTCAATATTCAATTATTATTTATATTAATATGATGTCATGAATTCCTTTCTTCACTGGGTTATAATTCTGTGACTGTCACCATTTTATTCTGATGTTCAAATCGCCCCATATTTGGCCTGTTGGAATCTTTTCAAGTTGGCTTCTCTGCTTTTTTTGGGCATGTCTCCATCATTCTTTGAGCATTGCCTTACTTTCTTGTACAAAAAGATATTCTGGGCTCATCTTATACTTTCTGTGCTCTAGCTTTGAAATTACCGTTTCTTCAAAGAGCTCTGTTTCCTTTTAGAGGAGGATGGTTTTTAGAAACCAAGTTCTAGGTAGCAGGTGTGCTTGTTGCTGTTGAGGTGTTGCAGCTCCCAGGCCCTTTCCGTGAACAGAGCTAGGAAAGTTTGATTATATGTGTGTTAAACCTTTTACCATGTCTGATATGTCTCTTAAGCTCTTTTCTAAATTTGCATTCTATGCTTCTCAGTGTTTTTATTTTCTACTTCTTTCCATTTTTTGAGTATTCTTGTTTTCTTACCAACTTTATGGAATTTGCTGTTAAACCTATCTGGTAATATCTTAATTTTAGTCATTGAAATTTTCAGTTATAGAAAATCCATTTGATTCTTTCATAGAGTCTTTAGTTTTGTTTATGTTTATATATATAAATACTATATATAAAGTATTAAAATCCAAATAACAAGATTTTATATTTAAACACAAAATACTTGCTGAATATTTATTATAGTATCCCAACTTTTAAAGAGAAAGATATTTAAAAATAAACATGACAAGGAAATTAGAGAAGTCAACTTCTTAAATATAACCAAAGTGTCAAAAAACATTTAAGTCAGTTTAAATAAATAATAAAGGATATACTGATACATTCACACAATGGAGTATTATACGACGATGAAAAAAACAACTACACCCAACATGAGTAAATAATACAGACATAATCTTCACTGAAAGAAAACAGATACAAAAAAGTATACGTATATAACATTCAAGAACAGGCAAATTTATGGAGAAGGCAGTCAGTAAGGTGTTTATCTTTGGGGGTTGTAATACTGAATGCAAGTGAGCACATGGAAGAAACTAGGGTTCTGGAAATGAACTGTATATTAATTTGGATAGTGGTTAGTTTTACCTTTCATATCTAAATTCATAAATACTTAAGTGAAGGTATTCATAATAGATACCCAAATTAAGAAAGTTCAAAGTTCATTTTCTTGCTTAGGTTTAAAATTTCCAATATTTATCACAAAATAAGCATGTAGGATCAAGTTTTTAGAGTAGAATTTTGCAGGTAATTTTAAATCTCAAGCCCTATGAAGGTTACTAAAAAAAAAAAAAATTCCTAAAATAGAAACATTAAAAAGGAGAAATAAGATATTTACTTCACAAAATTACTCCTTTGGGGTCTTGCAGTATGAGATATATGAGTTACTGCTCAGAATACATAGACTGTCCACCTATCCTGTGCACTGGGATGATCACTACCACTTCTTCAAATCCAGCTAAAAGCATCACAGCCTCAATGAAGCCTACTCCAGGCCAGAACTGTTCACGTGCCTCCTCTCTGCTCATGTCCTATATATTACCTAAGCAGAGCTCACCAACAATATTTTTCATCAACAGCTTAGAGCAGCGCTGCCAAATAAAAATACCATGTCGGTCATGTAAGTAATTTAAAATTTTCTTAGTAGCCACTTTTAAAATAGGAAAAAGGTGAAATCAGTCAATTTTATTTAACCTGATACATCCAAAATATTATCACTGCAGTATACAATCAATATAAAAAATTATGGAGATTTTCTTTTCCATGCTCAGTCTTAGAAATCTGTGGCATATTTTATGTTTGCAGAACATCACAATTCAGACTACCCACATTTCAAAGATTAATAGCCACATGTGGCTACAGGCTGCTGTACTATTTAATAAAAAGTGCATATCTAGAGTCTAGCCCCTTGCTTTATAAAGTGTGATCTACCATCCAGCAGCATCAGCATCACCTGGGATCTTGTTAGAAATGTAGAAAGGCAGCCCATCTCAGAACTACTAGAAGAAATAAATTTAACAGGATACCCAGGATTGGAATGCATAGCAAAGACTGAGAAGCAGTAAATTAGATCACATATAGCTTGGGAGTCTTACAGAATTGCTATTGCCATTCAACTATGATATGGTATTATCCCACTGACTAATATAGAACACTGTATTTAAATAACAATAGTTTTTCTATGAATCATGTTTTCTCTACACTGTCCAATGCAATTTTCTACAATGATGAAAATCTTCATATATGTGCTGCACAAAATGGCAGCCACTTGCCACATGTGGCTGTTGAGCACTTGAAATGTATCTGGAGCAAATGAGAAATTGCATTTTAATTTAATTAATTTTAATTGATTTAAACATGTGGCAAATGACTATCATACTACATAGCACAACTCCAGGGGAATTGGTTACTATGTCACAGTGTCATCTCTAGGAGAATCCTTAGGACAAATTTGGAAAGTTCTAGTCAAGATAATCTTTCGATTAACTGTACTTCTTCTGTTTTTTTGATTTTATGAAGTCATATTTACCATCTTACACTGGCTAAGGGCAAATTTGCATCTTACCTCTAAGGAAGCATAATGAAAGTTACAACACGTGCTTTGTGTGTATTAATATTATTCCAGCTTATCATCAATTAAAAATA
Source organism: Homo sapiens (assembly GCF_000001405.40). NCBI lineage: Eukaryota > Metazoa > Chordata > Mammalia > Primates > Hominidae > Homo > Homo sapiens. Next base: position 782,056 of record NC_000001.11, on the reverse strand, counting down.
CCAATATCTAGACCTGTACAGGCTTTTTAATTCTCTGAGAAGGACCTGGATACTCTGGAGAATACAAATCTGTGAGGAATAATGAGTTGATTAATGTCAACTTTCCCAATCCAGATTTGCCTAAAAGAAATAAGGGAAAATATCTGTTAAACTCACCCACTTTACTCAACCTTAAATATTCAACAGATACTGTAATTGAACTTGCTTTATGCAAGTATTTCTTGGTGAGACAATGAAATGACATTAGAAAATATGCTACAAAGAATAAGTATCTTGTCCTCAGTTTCTTAGCTATCAAATTAAACTCACGTTTCCAAGGATTCTTTTCAGCCTTCTAATTATACCACTTATATTCATTAAAAGTAATGTATCTAATAATTACATTTTTAACAGTAATGTATTCCCAAAGAAAAAAAGTCAGTCATTATTTAAAAATCCAAGTTGGATTATATATCACTGCTTCAGTGAAATAAAGTTTTTCTTTATTAATAGACAATAATGAATGAATAATAAACAAGAAATCATGCAGCTATAAAAAGCAAAAATCTGCTAATACAAAGAATAATTAATCACAATGAACATCTCTGTATAAAATTCTAAATCACAAAAAATACTTTCTAATTTTGCCGCCCATCAGCCTAAATATAAGGGTGCTTCTCCACAAACCAGAATCCAAAAAATCTTAGGTAATTACTTTTTCTACCACTTCTACTCAAGGTAGGAGGTAGACACGAAGGAAGCTAGGGCATGATTTCTACTCTGACCACATACTCTTTTTTGACTCTCCGTGTTTAGTCCAATATACATAGTCCAGTGTATAGTAATTATTACAAGTATACCAAAATATAAATGGCTTCAAGGTATATATAACCTAAGGTTAAAACAAATTATAAATCAGATTATGATAATTAACATGGCACAGAGTTAAAGTATTTATTGTTAATAACTCACTTAGCATAATAGGCATGTTTAGCCTAAGTAACTGGTGTCATAATATTTTTATGCCTAGGAGGAATTCTTTTTATATTAGCTCTCAAAAGAGATAAGATTCTCTCCACGTGGTTTGGGCTTACCCCTTTGACTGAGAGCATGCCACTTTTTACTAGAGGTTGATGTATGACTCAACTTAGAGTTGAGGATGAAAAGTGGGGATCATAGCACCTGCCTATACCCTGGTACAGATCATATGACGTTGATTTATTTATTTGTGGAGTCAGGGTCTCGCTGTGTTGCCCAGGCTGGAGTGCAGTGGTACGATCATGGCTCACTGCAGCCTTGAACTCCTGGGTGTGGTGGTGCACACCTGTAGTCCCAGCAACTCTGGCAGGCTGAGGCAGGAGAATCGCTTGAACTCAGGAGGTGGAGGTTGCAGTGAGCCGAGATTACGCGACTACACTCCAGCCTGGAGACAAAGTAAGACTCCATCTCAGGAAAAAAAAATTTTAAATTAAAAAGTTCTAGTATCTAAAATGAGCAAAATCGCCAGGCGCGGTGGGTCACACTTGTAATCCCAGCACTTTGGGATGCAGAAGTGGGTGGACCATCCGAAGTCAGAGGTTGAGACCAGCCTGCAGTGAGCCGAGATTGCACCACTGCACTCCAGCCTGGGAGACAGAGTGAGACTCCATTTCAAAAAAAGAATTAGCCAAGCGTGGTAGCATGCACCTGTAGTCCTAGCTACCGGGGAGGCTGACGGGGAAGGATTCCTTGAGCCCGAAGGTCAAGGCTGCAGTGAGCCTTGTTTGCACCACCTCACTCCAACCTGGGCAAGACCCCATCTCAAAAAAGAAAAAAAACCCACAAAAACAAAAAACAAAACAGAACAGAACAGCATCACTTCCTTATCATTAGTTTGAAGGAAGTGAATTGCCTGTAAAAGTTTCCATTTTCAAAAAAAGTGTTAAAATATAGTGTAAAGCCAGGCACGATGGCTCATTCCTGTAATCTCAGCACTTTGGGAGGCTGAAATGGATTGCCCCTGGAGGTCGAGGCTGCAGCTGAGCGATTCTCCCGCCTAAGCCCGGCAAGTTGCGGAGACTACAAGCGCGTGCCACCATGTCCAGCTAATTTTTTGTATTTTTGTAGAGAAAGGGTTCCACCATGTTGCCCAAACTAGTCTGGAATTCCTGAGCTCAAGTGATCCACCCACTTCCGCCTCCGCCTCCCAAAATGCTGGGATTAAAGGCGTGAGCCACCGGGCCTGGCCCAATTACTTTCTTCAGTCTGAGCATGAGTGCTGGAAGAAAAGCTCTCACTTGCATATAATTTTTTAGAGACAGAGTCTCCCTCTGTTACACAGGCTGGAGTGCAATGGCGCAATCTCAGCGCATTGTAACATCAACCTCCAGTGCTCGATCGCTTATATAATCTCAGCTCACTGTAATCTCAACCTCCCGGGCTCGATCGCATATATATACACACATATATTTGTTTGTTTAGACGGAGTCTTGGTCTGTTGCCCAGGCTGGAGTGCAGTGGCGCGATCTCCGCTCACTGCAACCTCCGCATCCCGGGTTCAAACAATTCTCTGCCTCAGCCTCCCGAGTAGCTGGGATTACAGGCACCTGCCACCACGCCCGACTAATTTTTGTGTTTTTAGTAGAGACGGGGTTTCAGTGAAACCATGCTGGCCAGGCTGGTCTTGAACTCCTGTCCTCGTGATCCACCCGCCTCGACCTCCCAAAGTGCTGGGATTACAGGTGTGGGCCACCTCGCCCAGCCGACTGCTTATATTTTTAAAAAGATGTTTTCTTCATTTCCTAGCCCCTTCTACCCCGCTACAAGTTTCAAAGACTTAATGCTATTACAAAGGACCGTCAGAGGTCAAGCTCAGGGGTGCAACTCCCTCATGCCGGGCAGCCTCAGGGGGCCGACCCTACCCAGGATGAGCGGCGCCAGGTAGCCGGGGACGCTCCCGGGGATCCCCGGGCCCTGGCTGGGGGAGGCGTTGTGGAGCGCACGTACCCAGGCTCAGATGAGGCGAGTGGGCGGCCGGGGCTGCAGCTGGCGCTGGCCATTGAGGAGCTTCTGCGCGACAGTGCGATCGGTTGCACCTTCTGCGACAGGTGCCGGCCGGTTGGCGCGCAGCGCCTGCTAGCGCAGAGTCTGGCCCTTGCTGCGCCCGGCGCCGAAGACCGGGAAGTCGTAAAGCTCCTCCTCGTGGCTTATGTGCGGCGGCGGCCGGGCAGAAGCCTAGCGACACAGAACTGCCAGCTCAGCAGCCGGTTACATCCCGCCCGGCCACCAGTAGGCAGCGTCCGCTCATGCGCGCTCCTGGAAGAACCAGCAGCCCCCACCGCGAGTTCTGATTGGCTCTGCGTGAGTGGTAGTCCCCTGTGACGTCACAAGGGTGCGCCTTCCGTGACGTCACAAGGGCGGGTCTTCGCCGACACCATAGAGGTGGGCCGTTGGCGACGTTAGAGGCGCGGGTGTTCGGCTACATCACTGGGGCGCCATGGTGCCTGGAGCTGGGCAGTTTTCTCATCAGAGTGGGGACTGGTAAGAGTGACCTCCCCGCCAGGTTCTGTGTGTTGCCGGCTGAAGAAGGGTAGCTGAAAAATTCAGACCCAGCACAGTGTTTATGTTGGTCAAAAATAGAAAACTATGTCTGGCGCGGCCGAGGCGGGAGGACCCTTCAGGCCAAGAGCAGCCTAGCAACATGGCGCAACCCCATCTCTGTAGTCCTACCTCAGCCCCCCAGCTACTTGAACCCAAAGGTTCAAGGCTCCAGTGAGCTATGATCCCACCACAGCATTCCAGCCTGCGAGATTGAGGTAAACCCTGTCTAAAAAAATTTAAAAAACTATCCAGGTGTGCAACAGGGAGGGACTGCTAAATAAAACATGAGGCTGGCTGGGCCCTACTGTAATCCCAGCACTTTGGGAGGCCGAGGCGGGAGGATGGATGGCTTGGGCTCAGGAGTTCGAGACCAGCCTGGGCAACATGACGAAACCCCGTCTCTACAAAAGATACAAAAATTAGCCGGGCGCGGTGGACACCTGGCCTAATTTTTGTATTTTTTTCTAGAGATGGGGTCGGGGGGTGCCTCGCTATGTTGCCCGGGCCAGTTTCGAACTCCTGAGTTGAAGCAATCTTCTCACCTTGGCCATCAGAGTTGTCGGGATTACAGGCGTGAGGGACAGCGACCCACCTGGGTTAGGCTACTTAATAACATAAAGTGCTCCGCCAGGCTCAGTGGCTGACACCTGTAATCCCAACACTTTGGGAGGCCGAGGCGGGTGGATCACCTGAGGTCAGGAGTTGGAGACCAGCCTGGCCATGGTGAAACCCAGTCTCTACAAAAAATACAAAAATTAGCTGGCCGTGGTGGCGCATGCCTGTAGTCCCAGCTACCTGGGAGGCTGATAAAGGAGAATTACTTGAACCCGGGAGGCAGAGGTTGCACTGGGCCAAGATCACACCACTGCACCCCAGCCTGGGCGACACAGCGAGACTCCAAAGTTTGACACCAGCCTGGGCAATGTAGTGACACCCTGTCTCTACAAAACAAACAAACAAAAACCCAGGCATAACTGTGTCCACCTGTGGCCCTAGCTAGTTAGGAGACTGAGGCAGGAGGATCACTTGAGGCCAGGAGCTCAAGGCTGCAGTGAGCTATGATAATCCCACTGCTTCCCATCCTGAGCAATAGAATGAAAGCATGTCTCTAGATAGATAGCTAGCTAGATAATTGATACGTAGTTTTGTATCAAATTTTTTCCCTAGATTTGAGCATGTTTTTCTAAAGTAGCATTCAACACATCAGCATTTTACAGTGTTATTATTTGTTAATATGATTATGTTTTTCTGAAATACAGTGTCCTTTACAAAAGCAGTTTTGTCTTTCAAAGCGCATAGATAAGGCCCTCAAGTAAATTTGTCTGATGTTGCCGACCTTGGTACCATTTTGTCCACTTGATTGAAAAGCCAGTCAATAATTTCAGGTCACTGTTGGCCTTAGAAGAAGAGCCCAAAGGCAACAAGCAAAGGCGCTGGTGTCCAGTCGCCTTCTAGAAGCATTTTCACTTTCCCTTAAGGTTTCCCTTGATGAACATAGAAGTACTGTATGTAGAATTGACCCAGTGCTGCCCTGGCAACTTTGTATATTAGGCCAAATTTACATTTCTTAGCTTTATGAGAGGCACCCTGGTAGGCTAGTGGAGTTACACACAAAGTCTGATCTCAGCTGCACTGTCCAGAAATGCAACACGGTCCAATCAAATAACATTCTCTGAGCCTGTTTCTTTAGCTGTGAAAGAAGAATAACATACCCATCTAAAAAGGCAGCTTATTGTATTTGATTGGTCTTTTATTTTCTATGAAACTGTGTTTAACACAGTAATTATTTTCATTTGTGTACTACATTTGTGTTGTGTTTTTGGTTTTAGTTTTGTTTTTGAAATGGAGTCTTTTTTTTAGTGGTTTTTTGTTTTGTTTTGTTTTGTTTTGTTTTTGAGATGGAGTCTTTCTATTGTCACCCAGGCTAGAGTGCAGTGGCGTGATCTCCGCTCACTGCAACCTCCACCTCCCAGGTTCAAGTGGTTCTCCTGCCTCAGCCTCCTGAGAAGCTGGGATTACAGGTGCCCACCACCATGCCCAGCTAATTTTTAAAATATATTTTTAGTAGAGATGGGGTTACAACATGTTGCCCAGGCTGGTCTCAAACTACTGACGTCAAGTGATCCACCCGCTTTGGCTTCCCAAAGTGCTGGGATTATAGGCATGAGCCACCGCGCCTGGCTTGTTTTAAAATAAGGGTTTCTTGGCTAGGCATGGTGGCTCACACCTGTAATCCCAGCACTTTGGGAGGCCAAGGTCAGTGGATCACCTGAGGTCAGGAGTTCGAGACCAGCCTGACCAATATGGAGAAACCCTGTCTCAACTGAAAATACAAAATTAGCCAGGCGTGGTGGTGCATGCCTGTAATCCCAGCTACTCAGGAGGCTGAGGAAGGAGAATTGCTTGAACCCAGGGGGCAGAGATTGCAGTGAGCTGAGATCGCACCATTGCACTCCAGCCTGGGCAATGAGCAAAACTCTGTCTCAAAATAAAAAAAAGATTTCTTAAAATGATATTTTCAGTATTTTATAGATGATGTGTAAGCAGCAAGCTTAATAGGATGTTACCCGACACTTTGCGAGACTGGCAGCTGATTTGATCCAGATGTCTCTAATTCTTTTTTCTTTTTCTTTTTCTGTTTTTTTTTTTTTTTTTTTTGACAGAGCCTTGCTCCGTCCCCCATGCTGGAGTGCAGTGGCAAGATCTCGGCTCACTGCAACCTCCACCTCCCGGGTTCAAGCGATTCTCCTGCCTCAGGCTCCCGAGTAGCTGGGATTACAGGCGCGCGCCACCATGCCCAGCTAATTTTTTGTATTTTTGGTAGAGACAGCATTTCACCATGTTGGCCAGGCTGGTCTCGAACTCCTGACCTTAGGTGATCTGCCTGCCTCGGCTTCCCAAAGTGTTAGGATTACAGGCGTCAGCCACTGTGCCTGGCCCAGATGTCTCTAATTCTAACATGAGATGTATTGCAGGATCATAGCAGAGTGAGTTGCTGATGTATCCAGAAGGAAATGAGCATGGAACACTCACGACAGCTGTCCTGAGAAGTGTGTGTGTGCTGTGCTTGAATATCTCACTGCTCATTTATACACAGGCTTTCTGGTGACTGAGTTAACAGTACCTGTTTCATAAATAATGTAGCCCTCTTTCTTTCTTTCTCTCTCTCTCTCTTTTTTTTTTTTTTTTGAGACAGGGTCTTGCTCTGCTACCCAGGCTGGAGTGCAATGGTGCAGTCTCAGCTCACCGCAACTTCACGCCTGGCTAATTTTTTCTTTTTTTTTTTTTTTGAGACGGAGTTTCGCTGTTTTTGCCCAGGCTGGAGTGCAATGGCACAATCTCGGCTCACCACAATCTTTGCCTTTTGGGTTCAAGGGATTCTCCTGCCTCAGCCTCCCGAGTAGCTGGGATTACAGGCATGTGCCACCACACCTGGCTAATGTTGTAGTTTTAGTAGAGACGGGGTTTCCCTATGTTGGTTAGGCTGGTCTCAAACTCCTGACCTCAGGTGATCTACCCACCTCGGCCTCTCAAAGTGCTGGGATCACAGGCATGAGCCATCACTCCTGGCCTAATTTTTGTATTTTTAGTAGAGAGAGGGTTTCACTCTGTTGGCCAGGCTGGTCTTGAATTCCTGACCTCAAGTTATCTGCCTGCCTCGGCCTCCCAAACTGTTGGAATTATAGGCGTGAACCACCATGCCTGGCCAGCTCTATTTCTTTAAGCCTACATGTTTTGCAAGTATTTGAACATACAATTACTCAGCTTCCCTTGTTTACGCGTGAATTTTGTAGAATCTTAAATATTTTTTCCAATCTAAGCTTTATTTTATCCCGTTTCTTCTATATTTGTATAACTTTAGGCGGCTATCTTCATTGAAAGTTTTTTCTCAAAAGCCTTAAGATAGAACATAGTTCTTGGCAGCAATTTGAAAGTTATTTGAGGAGAAGGGGAGACTTACAATGATGATTCAAATGAAGGAAACTAAAAAGTAATGAAGCAAGGCAGAGGAAAAAGCAGTACTCACTTGAGCACATCCCAAAAGAATAACATTTCAAATGTAACTAGAAAAAAGTATGCTGAAGTTCGCAATACAGAAATAATTATTAATAAGATAGCTTTAAAGCCCTGCTCAGCTTTTGAATGTTGGGAATTGACCCAGAGGTGGCTGTAACCTAAGATGGTTCCTTCAGTAATGACCATTTTTTCTTTTTCAAGATGATGATTATTCCCCACCTTCTAAGAGACAAAGACCAACGAGCCACCACAGCCACCAGTCCCAGAACCCGCCAATGCTGGGGAACGGAAAATGAGGGAGTTCAACTCTGGTAAGTTCTCAGCGAAATCCATGACCTTTTCCTTTATCTTCTGGACTCTCAATGTGACTGATGAAAGTTACCACATGCTCTGCAGGGGGAAATGGTTTAGCATGTGTTACTACATCTTAATCACATCTTTGTAAAGCCAGGAGCATTTTACAAGTCACGTTACAGACATTGTTTAAACATAGTCTGTATTTACCAAAGTATAGGACATTGTATCATCTCATATTAATTAGTTAGTTGGCTCAAAATTAGTGCTAATGACTTAGTAATTCAGTGATTTCTGTTAGCTTTAAAACCTTTATTTCAGAACTATTTCACCTCTTGGTTTTCATTTTTGCGGTGTGTCACTGCCTGCCGGCTGCTAATTTATTAACTCCCAGTGAATCATGTCCTGTGAAGGGACTGAATATTAGTGGCAATTTATGTTGATGATTTGTATTTTGAATAAACAGTTTGAATACATAGAACATTAAGCTTGTATACATTTTGAAAATAGTATTTTAATATTCTACTGTGTCATAGTTACAATGATTGGATATATATTGAATTTATATGTACTTTAAGTTGTTATATGTTTATGGTCTTTAGCATTCTAACGTGCAATTGTATATCTGTTAAGCCTTTTTTTTTTCGAGATTAGACTGATTTATTGAGGCGTCTGTTTGATGCCACATTAAGTGGCCCAGGCTTTGTGTAGGGGTTGAGGTAAAAGCAGGAAGAAGGGTGGTGAGAGGCGGGGCACCAGGGTTAGGTTGGAATACCTGGGGGTGCTCTGAGGCTCCCCAAGTTTCCCTGGTCTTGGCCGGCTGTGCTGCTGGCCTGGGCATCTGATGGGCCTGCAAGGGTGGTCCAGGGGCTAGGGCAGGGACTTTGGAGTCACGCCGTTGGCTTTGAATCCAGACTCCTACACTTGGTAGCTGTGAACTCTCCATGCCTCAGGGACCTGCAGAACTGAGCTCTGTCTGAGCCAGGTTCCATCCAGGCACTGCGCATCCATCCAGAGGGGCACTGCCTCAGGCTGCTCGCTGTTCACTGCCTTCTCAAGCAGACCCTTGTCTCCTTCTAGGCCCTCACAATCCAGTGGAGGAGACGCAACTCATCTGCCTCTGTCCCTCTGGGCACGCCTCATGCCAGGTGCATCTGTGGACAGGGGCCATGCTCCTGGGCTTCCAAAGTTGGAGAAAGCTGCCAGGCTCAGGTGGGTACATCACAGCAGCTGCTGCCCTCTGAACACAGTGACAAAAGAACACTCTGGGCCTGGAGCCCTGGTCTGGGGCATTGGGCAAGGCTGTTGCACTTCTCTGATCCCATTTCCCCATCTGGAAAGTGCGCTGATTGTATCTCCCTGTGGGCACTGAGGGCTCAGTGTTAGTTTGAGAGCCAGCATCTGGGGTTTGGGCTGTAATTCCCCGTCAGCCCCATAGCTGCGGGGAACCAGGGACTTTGTTGGGATTACCCTAGGTATCAGTTTAGCTTCCTGCCCCTGGCTTGGGCTCAGCACCTGAAGTAGTCTAGGGGATAGGTGGTGCTGGTGGGGGCTGGGGCTTTTACCCAGACTGAGGTCACACCCAGAGCCAGAAGTCTTGGTGCCTGCTCTGGGCAAAGGTGCCAGCCTGTGTGACAAGAGCGAAACTCCGTCTCCAAAACAAAAACAAAAAACCTTGCATCGTTTCAAGGGGCTCACACCTCCCTAAGGGCCTGGTAATTGGCTGGCTCTGGCCTGCATCTGGCCCCGAGGGTGTAGGTAACACCCCACCTTACCTGGTTTCTTCCTGCCAGGGCCAATCTTCAGACCTCAGGACTTTACAGCCTATCCCACCTCCCCTCTGGCCAGCCTAGAGCCCTTGTGGGTCCAGCACTTTTTCCAGGCTGTCTCCTGGTTGTCCTTCTGCCTCGAGGCCTGGCTCATGCTGCTCCCCCTCCCACTCTCCAAGACCCACAAGGACCACTCCACACCCAGCTCAGCCCCATCCCCTCAGATAGTCCTTTCTCTTTCCTCAGGTGGCCAGGTGCATATCTTGGTGTGAGGACCTTCGCTGTATCTGGGAATGCCTACTGGTTACCTTGGTAACAGAGAACAAGGCATTTACCTGATATGAGTGTCTTGGTTCACTGTCTACATGGCTAGGGAGGGAATCAATAATAGGCTTTTCACTTGCTGCAAGGGCCGGTTCTCCTGGCCCCATGGCTCTAGGGATGGAGGACGCTGCAGGAGATGCAGCGCTCACTTCCCAGCTGAGGACTGTGGGTCATCTCAGGGCGATTTCACAGTCCCCACATGCCCCACCCCCTCAGCTCTGCAAATACCAAGCAGTGCAGCCTGCCTAGGGGATGATGGGCTCGAGAGTGCCCAGGTAGTGCCCAGAGTGCCCTTGGCAGGCCCCTCACCTGGCTGCTTCCACAGCTCTGTAGCAAGAGTTCTAACCTTTTTTCACCGTGAAGTCTGCTGAGAATAAGCGCTGTGGACTGTTTTCCCAGAAAGGCATGTACATGCTCTCCACACAAAACCTTTCATCGTGGCCAAGCACAGTGGCTCATGTGATCCCAGAACTTTGGGAGGCGGAGCCAGTCGGATCACCTGAGGTCAGGAGTTCAAGACCAGCCTGCCCAACATGGCGAAACCCTGTCTCTACTAAAAATACAAAAAATTAGCCAGGCGTGGTGGCAGCCACCTGTAATCCCAGCTACTCCAGAGGCTGAGGCAGGAGAATCACTTGAACCTGGGAGGCGCAGGTTGTAGTGTGGTGAGATCACGCCACTGCACTCCAGCCTGGGCGACAGGAGCGAAACTCTGTCTCAAAAAACAAAACAAAACAAAACCTTGCATCCTTTCAGGGGGCTCACACCTCCCTAAGGGCCCAGTAATTAAACCCTTTGGGCCTGAGGGCGAGAAACTTTGTCTCAGTTCTTCCCCAAGTGATCAGCCCAGGGGTAAGGAAGGAGAAGCCAGAAAGCAGGACCCATGAGAAGGGCCCCCTCCTGGAGTTTGAGGCCCACTCCCTCCTGCCCCTGCCTCTCCTCTGTCCAGGACTCCTCCCTGCTCTGCCCCACTCCTGGGGCCATAACCATGGGGAGCTGTGGTTTTCTACAGGCCCCTGGGCACAAAGTGGGCAGGCTCACCTGGAGGCGATCAGAGTAACATGGCAGGAAGTGAGGGGGAAAGCCACCCTGGAACTGCGCCTCTCTGCCCCCTGACGTCACTGGCGTGCACTCCTCCCCCCCCTCAGGCAGTGGCATGAGTTCCATGTGAGCGCTGTCCTGCTCCCTCTGCTGCCTCTTTTTTTTCTTGGGGCTGCCATAACACTTTCCCTTCCCCAGCCCTGCCAACCTGGTGGGACATTGGGCTTCCCTCTCACAGGGTCCTGGGGACAGGCCCATCCTTTATCATACCCACAGAGAGACCGTTTTTTTCTTCAGGACCTGGGGAGCAGCCAGGTTCCATGAGTTAAATGCAGATCTGAACCAAGCTGGGATTGGGGTACACACTCTCCTCTACTGAAAAGTAGCTAGGGATTCCAACTAGGTGAGAAGGAGAGTGGGGCAGAGCCAGACCAGACAAGGACTGATCACCTGGAAAAAGCCTGCCATCAAAGGTCTTGGCAAATGCTGGGTGCAGTGGCTCACTCCTGTAATACCAGCACTTTGCGGGGCTGAGACAGGTGGACTGGCAACGTGGCAAAACCGCATCTCTACTAGAAATACAAAGATTAGCTAGGCATGCTCCACTCCTGTCATCCCAGCTACTCAGGAGACTGAGGCAGGAGAATCACTTGAACTGGGGAGGCAGAGGTCGAAGTGAGCCGAGACTGTGCCCCTGCACTCCAGTCTGGGAGACAGAGTGAAACTGGCCTCAAAAAAAAAAAAAAGAATATGGCCTTGGCAGAGAGGGGCCAGCCCAGCAGTGCCTTCCCTTGGGTTTCTCCTGGGTAGGCCTCTGCCATGAGGAGGTGCTTCCTTCTGCCTGTCCATGGCCCACAGCAATGGAATGTCTGTTTCTGGGGGTTGGGTGGGAGAGTGCTGGCAGAACTGGAAACCTTCAGGTGGGGTTTTTTTGTTTTGTTTTGTTTTCGAGGTGGAGCGTCGCTCTGTCACCCAGGCTGGAGTGCAGTGGTGGAATCTCAGTTCACTGCAACCTCCGCCCCCCTGGGTTCAAACAATTCTCCTGTCTCAGCCTCCTGAGTAGCTGAGATTACAGGCATGTGCCACCATGCCCGGCTAGTTTTTGTATTTTTTGTATAGATGGCATTTCACCATGTTGGCTGGGCTGGTCTCGAACTCCTGACCTCAAGTGATCCACCCATCTCGGCCTCCCAAAGTGCTGGGATTACAGGCATGAGCCACTGAGCCCAGCCCCTTCAGGGGGGTTTTGAGGCTTCACTACAATACTAGTTTCCTGTGGCTGCTGCAACAAATTACCACACACTTAGTGACTTAAAACAACCAAAATGTATTCCCTTACAGGTCTGAAGGCCAGAATTCTACAGTAAGTCCTACTGAGTCAAGGTGGGAGCAGGGTCGGTAGCTTCCGAGGCTCTGCGGGAGAATCTGTTTCCTGGCCGTAGAGGTGGCCTGCACTCCTCAGCCTGTGCTGCCCGTCTCGAATGACTGGAGTTTCCTGCTTCTGTCACTACACCTCCCACCCTCTCCATCACCTGCTCTGCTCTTACAAGGATCCGAGTGAGTACATCAACCCCAAAAGCCAAAGACCCTTAACTTCATTATATCTGCAAAGCTCCTTTTGCCATATAAGGTCATGTTCACCAGTTCCCGGGATTAGGATATGGGCATCTTGGGGGCATCAGCCTGCTACAGCTAGGCTGCAAAACTGTTACACCCTCCTGGTGTTTCAATGATTGGGAGAAAAAGGGTTGGCATTTTTTGCTTAGGGGTCCCTCTTAAACTTGCATCTGTAAGGTCGGGGGTCCCTCTTAACCTTGTGTTTTTGTTTTTGTTTTTTTTGAGGTGGAGTCTTGCTCTGTCATCCAGGCTGGCAGTGGTGTGATCTTGGCTCACTGCAATGTCTGCCTCCTGGGTTCAGGTGATTCTCCTGCCTCAGCCTCCTGAGTAGCTGGGACTACAGGCGCCCGCCACCATGCCCTGCTGTTTTGTATTTTTGGTAGGGACGGGGTGGGGGTGGGGCTGGGGAGGGGGGTTTTGGCTATGTTGCCCTGAGCTCAAAGTGATCCACCTGCCTCTGCTGCCAAAGTGCTGGGATTACAGGCCTGCACCACTGCACCCGGCTGCTGTAAAGTCTATTTTCACACAGCTGAGACATGTTTTAGGAAGTTTGCTAAAAGACCCCTGGAGACCGCCTCATTGTGACCTCCCTGTTATTGTGTTTAATTTGATTGAACTTTTCTGCCCTCCTGCTTTTCAGCTTCTCTAATAGTCTCCCATTAAACCAATTCTAAGAACCACCAAGAAGGGGAAATTTTTTCTTGAAAGCAGTAAAATGATATGGACTGTTAGAATGTAAAATATATGACATCAGTCATTATACGTTAGTGCTGCTCTGACATAGGGATGTGTTATTGAGAAGCAACTTTTGCTTGGTTTTCAGAGAAATGGAATCATCGTATCGCTGATCTACGTAAACAAACTGAAGAATTGTCTGAAAGAAAATATGGTATGTCTAAACTGGAAAAGTCTTGTAATCTTATGTTCATGGGCGTTTACACAGTGGAGTTACTGTTCATCATGGGGGTACCGTGGACAAGCCCAGGGCTGCCGGCGAGTCATGCCATCCTTACATGTTTCTCCTTGTAAGGTGCTTTGTAGTGTCTACACACTTTGTTTCTAGATTGCTGCAAAGCTGAGGAAAAGTTGTATTTCTTTAGTTATTAGTTAGCATTTCTTTTAAACTTTCAGTATGGAGATTGGAAATTTATTTACATATTTATTGCAAAGCCCTGGATCTTAGGAATTTCATTGAATTATTTATTTATTTTTTTTGAGACGGAGCCTCACTCTGTCGCCCAGGCTGGAGTGCAGTGGCACGATCTCGGCTCACTGCAACCTCCGCCTCCCGGGTTCAAGCAGTTCTCTGCCTCAGCCTCCCGAGCAGCTAGGATTACAGGCACCAGCCACCACGCCTGGCTGATTTTTGTATTTTTAGTAGAGACGGGGTTTCATGATCTTGGCTAGGCTGGTCTTGAACTGCTGACCTCCTGATCCACTCACCTCAGCCTCCCAAAGTGCTGGGATTATAGGTGTGAGCCACCATGCCTGGCCAAATATTATTTTTTTAAATGAATTGTTTCTCTTAGTCTGCTTTGTTAAATTTGGAATTCATCTGGGCGCGGTGGCTCACACCTGTAATCCCAGCACTTTGGGAGGCCAAGGCAGGCAGATATCTAGGTCGGGAGTTCGAGACCAGCCTGACCAACATGGAGAAACCCCGTCTCTACTAAAAATACAAAATTAGACGGGTGTGGTGGCGCATGTCTGTAATCCCAGCTATTCGGGAGGCCAAGGCAGGAGAATCGCTTGAACCCAGGAGGCAGAGGTTGCAGTGAGGCGAGGTTGGCACCATTGCACTCTAGCCTGGGCAAAAAGAGCAAAACTCCATCTCAAAATAAATAAGTAAATAAATAAAATGTTCAGTACTCACCAAGGTGCCCCTGTTGTCTCTGCTTTTATCTTGATGCATCACTGAATTGATGTTAGATTTCAAATTCATCATTGCCCTGATACTATTCTATCCTGAAGCCACCTTTATATAGTGATGAAAGAAATTAGCGATTTGTTATTATCCTCTCTCTGTTGGTATACATCAAATACTCACCTAAAAAAGAGCAACAACCAGTGGAAAACATGATGTTTTTATTTGGGTGACTATTTACTTGTAACCTACTAGCAAACTATAAAATTGTATGATATGCAGAATTTTAACTGAATTGCTTTAAGTGAACATTTAAACATGATAAACAATATTGATGGTATTTATGTTAATATACTTAAAAGGAACATTTTTCTTCATCATGAGTAATATAACCTACTCCTCAATGAAAACCTAGCACTAAATTTGCTAATGAATTCAATAACATTTCCATAATATTTTTAGTTACATGCTTAAGGTTCTCTTAGTGTTTCTCCCACTTTTTAATAGCTTATGCCTTTTTCACCTTTGGTTTTTTTTTGGTTCATTTTAAAGCAAAAATCTCACAACATGTGATATCTGGAAACACTGTAACCTAGTGGTAAGACCATAGGCCCTGGGGACACAGGCTGGCCACGTCTCTTCTCCTGTCTGAGCTTTAGTATCCTCTTTTGTGGTCATGAGAACTGAAGACCTGTCCCGAAGATTTGATAAGATAGTAAAGTGCTTCACATAATACCAGACATATAAATACACAGTAAATGCTTCCTCCTTATATTTTTATTGATTGATTGATGGAGACAGAATCTTGCTCTCTTGCCCAGGCTGGAATGCAGTGGCGTGATAATGGTTTCTGCAACCTCCACCTCCTGGGTTCAGGCAATTCTCCTGCCTCAGCCTCCTGAGTCGCTGGGATTACAGGTGCCTGCCACCATGCCCAGCTAATTATTGTACTTTTAGTACAGACGGGGTTTTACCATGTTGGCCAGGCTGGTCTCGAACTCCTGACTTCATGATCTGCCTGCCTCGGCCTCCCAAACTGCTGGGATTACAGGTGTGAGCCACTGTGCCCAGCCTGTCTTTTCTCTTCACACCCGCAGTTCATGATGAAATGTTAAATATGTACTAGTGGATATTACTTTGCTGAAATTGCCTAGTGAATATTAAGTATTTATTCTCACCTTTCAGACATGAACTTATGAATTCAACAGGTGAAGATTTACAACTTGATAAATCAACTTTGTCAGGTACGTCTTCAGTCAAGTCAGATTAGAAGATTATGTGAGGTAATTAACACTTAACATTGATTTAATGGTAGCTTCCACATGAAATAGTATGCCTCTAAGTATTAATTATGTCCTAGGACAGGAGAATTCATGTTGTCAAAATTCTCATACTCTCTAGAACAATAAACTCATTTTCTTTTTATTAGTAAATATTGCATTTATGGGTAGACAAAACTGAAAGAACAATATTTGTTCTACTTTTGAGATGCAAGATTCATCTGGCATAATGCATTGAACAGGTTATTATTGAAGTCTACACCAGTCAACTGAATAAGCATTCATCAAATGTCCATGATATGCAGGACATAAGTTTTCTTTTAGAGTATGGAACCATGCATATTATCTTTTAATTAGATGATTTAGTTAGATATGTTTTTAAAGAACTAGAAATATAATTGATTTTCTTGTTTTGGCTCTGGAGTGGAGTGGGGACGAAACAGAATGGATTCACACTGTTTAGATTTACTAAAATGGAAGGATTGCAGCAAGATCATATCCCTAGTCTCCCTATAGCAAATGTCACCTGCTAGCTGTTTTTTTTTTTTTGGAGGTTGAAGTTTTGTTCTGTCACCCACGCTGGAGTGCAGTGGTATGATCTCAGCTCATGGCAAGCTCACCTCCTGGGTTCAAGCAATTCTCCCTGCCTCAGCCTCCTAAGTAGCTGGGATTACAGGCCTCTGCCACCACGCCTGCCTAATTTTTGTATTTGTAGTAGAGTTGGGGTTTCACCATGTTGGCCAGGCTGGCCTTGAACTCCTGACTTCAGGAGATTCACCCGCCTCAGCCTCCCAAAGTGCTTGGGATTATGGGTGTGTCACTGCACTTGGATTTAATGGGATATATCACTACAGACTTCGGTAAACAGAATATTAGCATTTTTGGTGTTCTTTTTATTTTACTCATACTGTTTTTCTTTGGACTCAATCACAATAACAGAATTAAAGATCAAAGTGTAAAAGTTAAAGACCAGTACAGATTCAATAATTATTCTTTTCTACATACTGTGTTTAAATGATATCCCTTTTTCTTTTTGTTCTTATAGCTCGAGCTGTAAAAGCCAAAGGTCCGGTGATGATCCCATACCCTTTTTTCCAGTCTCATGTTGAAGATTTTTATGTAGAAGGCCTTCCCAAAGGAATTTTTTTTTTTTTTTTTTGAGATGGAGTTTTCACTCTTATCGCCCAGGCTGGGGTGCAATGGCGCAACCTTGCTGGTCACTGCAACCTCTGCCTCCTGGGTTCAAGAAATTCTCCTGCCTTAGCCTCCCAAGTCACTGGGATTACAGGTGCCCACCACCACACCAGGCTAATTTTTGTATTTTTAGTGGAGATGCGGTTTCACCATGTTGGCCGGGCCAGTCTCGAACTCCTGACGTCAAGTGATCTTCCCGCCTCGACTCCTGATATCAAGTGATCTTCCCGCCTCGGCCTCCCAGAGTGCTGAGATTACAGACGTGAACCCATGCCTGGCCAGGAATTTTGTTTTTTAGGAAGGCTTTCTACTAATGGAATTCCTGGCCTTGAGAGGATGTTACTTTAGAAGGAAAGGATTTTTTTGTTATTAAAAGGTAAGATTCCTGGATTCTTATTGGACCGTTATCTCTGTTATGAGTAATCCATCTTTAGTCATTCACCACTAGGGTTGTATTTAATTAAGTCTGAGTTATTTTATGGTGATTTTGTTTTGTTTTGTTTTGTTTTTACCGAATTTTGTTCTCATTGCCGTGGCTTGAGGGCAATGACGTGATCTCAGGTCACCACATTCTCTGCCTTCCAGGTTCAAGCAATTCTCCTGCCTCAGCCTCCTTAGTAGCTGGATTTACAGGCATGCGCCACCATGCCTGGCTAATTTTTTGTATTTTTAGTAGAGATGGTGTTTCACCATGTTGACCAGGCTGGTCTAGAACTCCTGACCTTGGGTGATCCACCCGCCTCGGCCTCCCAAAGTGCTGGGATTACAGGCATGAGCCACTGCGCCCAGCCTGGGCCTGCTTCTTTCTCTTTTTCTTTTTTTTTCATTAGCAGCTTAAAATTGGTGCCTTATTCAGACACAAGCAAAAGGACATTAGCCCAGCTTTGGAAATAGGTGAGAGCCCATATATGATTTTCCTAGTTTCTCCTCCCCCTTTGCTTTTTGCTCTCTTGTTAGTATATTAATTGTTTTCACTCTCTGAATCTTTTTTCCCCATTTCTTTGGCAGACATTTTTACTTGTCTTGGAAGAGTAGGTGAAGAGCTGTTTTTAGGACTCTTTGAAAGGGTACAGTATGGGTGACAGTCTTGGCTAATGGTAACATCCAGGGAGCTGGGGTCAGCGTGAGCTGGAATCAGTTCAAATTAGCAAAGCACTGGCACTCAGTGGCAGGAATACAAGTGACTGCAAAGTGTTAAACACATCTGGAAAGGGATACTGACATCATCCTCAGAATCTGTGGGGAGTTCACATAGCCAGTTAAGACCCATTCTTCTTTGACCCTGTAAAGATTCTTTAAAGAATAAATACCCTTAGTGGTTTTCTAGCCAGCTTGCCTGCTCATTTATCTTTGAGGACGACATGCCTTGTGGAGCTCCACAGGCCCCAGAGGGGTATGGATTCTGCATTTAAAAGTGCTGAAGCTGAGAGACTGGGTCTTGGTGGACCCCGAGTGGTCTGTTTCTCCTCTACTCATTGTTCCTTTTTTCCCCAACAGCTGGCATTGCTGTTTAAATGGGTTGTTCTTTGCTGTTTTAAGTTGTTTCATAGTGGTGTGTCAGGATTTGGGTTTTCTTAATACTTTCCAAGCTGGTGACTTGAGTGGTGGTTAGGGAGGAAATGTTTTAGGGCTGTTCTGGAGCTATTGAGGTCAGGTGTCTAGATACTCCCAGCTTGTCTGTTGAGGAGAATGCTGTTCTCATTGTGCTGCCTTTGGTGGTGCTGTGTGTGGCTCTTTAGATGTGGGTGGAGGTGAGCTGGGGGAGTTAATGAGATCTTTTTTAGGTGCTTTTGATAAAGTAGCCTGCACTACAGGATTCACTGTGACTTTTTTCCTTAACCTATGCATTTCTCTCTGCTAGCTTTTGCTGTCTTTCTCATGCCTTTGATTTTCCCAGCTCCTCTTAGTTGAATTAACCTAAGTGCTCTGCTATGGTTTAAATGTGTCCCCCAAAGTTTATGTGCTGGAAACTCAATCCTCAATGCAACAGTTGGGATGTGGGGCCTAATAAAATAGCCTTCATGAATGAGTTAATGTTGTTATTGTGCTAATAGATTAGTAATCACAGAGTGGGCTTATTATAAAACAGAGTTCAGCCCCTTTTGCCCTCTTGCTTTCTTGCACTCTCTTTTCCTTCTGCCTTCTGTAGTGGGATGATGCAGCAAGAAGACCCTTACCAGATGCAGGCCCCTCAACCTTGGACTTCCTAACATCCAGAACTGTTAAGAAATAAAATTTATTCCTTTCCTTTCCTTTTCTTCCTCCTTTCCCTTCTCTTCCCTTTTCTTCCCTTCCCCTCCCTCCCTCTCTCCCTCCCTCCCTCCTTCCCTCCCTTCCTCCTTCCCTCTTTCTCTCTTTCCCTTCCTTCCTTTCCTTCTTTCCCTTCCTTCCTTTCCTTCCCTCCTTCCCTTTTTCCCTCCTTCCCTCCTTCCTTCCTTTTTTCTTTCCTTCCTTTTTTCCTTTTTATAAATTATGCAGTCTGTGGTATTCTTTTATAGAAGCATGAAATGGACAAAGACTCCATTTTCAAGAGCAAGCACTTTTGTAGTTTCTGAGTGAACTATGACTGCAAAGGAAGTTCTATAGGTAGCCTCAGATCCACTACCTAGGAAGCATGCCACCAAGCAGACCTAGGATCTAGGATTTGATCAAGTGCTGGGCAACATGATACCTCTGCAATTTAGCACTTCCCTATATACCTCCAGTTGGCTCAGCCCAATAGGGCTAAAACTACCCCTCATATCCTGGTGTCTCTTGTAGGCAGAAGCCTTGCCTAAACCCTAAGCTGCTTGGCTCACATTCTGTCTTGTGCTTTTTTTGTAGGGGGTTCAAATATACACAAAAGAAATATGTTGAACCTCCATGCACCCAACCCGCAGATTAAGCAGTTACCTCCATTTTTCCAGATTTGTTTCATCTGCTTCAATCTCCCTAAAAATTTATGTTTGTACAGGAAAGACTGAATAAATAGCTAATTCTCCACCCTACCTCTCATCTTAAGTCACTTTTCAGAGTAGTAAGTTAGTGACCTAGTAACCTTCCCTCTAATGACCAGTAGTTTTTTTTTCTGAATACCATTATGAACTCATAGTTTATTGTTTGCATTTGATGTATTTCAGGCCATTGCAGTCTTTATTGTTTTGGATGCTTACATTGTCTCATCTAGGTTAATAATTATCTCTTCAAGTTGACTTTCATGTCTTTTTGACGTGATCCTGTTGGACTTTGATGGCTTCCTTGCTTTCTGGCAAAAAAGATGTTCCAGGATCAATATACTGCACCATACATGGAGTCAGCCGTTTCTCTAGGGAACCTTGATTCCTTTTAGTAGAGAACACAGTTTGAGGTCTTGGACTGAATGACTTTTGTGAACCTCCTCTCCTGAGACTACAGCCTGCATCCCTGCATATAGCCCGTTTGGAGCTCTTGCTGGGCACCAACAGATCTCCTAAAACTGCTATATAGTTCTGCCTCACTCTTACAAAGATTCATCTCTTGAGAGTTTTGTGCTCTACCCCCAGATGTGGTCTTTCTGGTTCTGAAGCTTTTGCTTCAGTCACCCTGAATTTTGCCAGCCCTATGCATGCTATACCTTGGATTGCCAACTTGCCCTCACTGAAGCCAGTTTCTCTGGTTAGAATAGTTGCCCAAACCCATGCCTAATACTCTAGTAAACAAGGTTCTACCTGGGCTTAGGTTAACTTTTGCTCCTTTGGGCCCTGTGTTCTACCAGCATTCCATTTATCTGAAACTCTCCCTCACCTTAAGAACTTATCTGTTCTTTAATGATTTACTGCTGCTTCCTGGGCTCAAAAGAACCCAGTTCAGGAGTTTCTGTTTTAGTTTGAGATCTTATAGGCCTGTCTCATCAGGTTGGTGTCAGCCCAGCTAGGATTAGGCAGAATTGGGTGGGGGCTGTAGTGCATTTTTGGCACAGCATGTACCTGTCTGACTAATTCTCTGTCTTTTCTTTCCTGTTGCAATTCATGGGTCTTAGCATCTTCTGAATGGTGTTTAGTAGGTCATCCTGTTGATTTCCTGCTAGGGAGTAGCATACTCTGGCTCTGTACCATTGGCCAAGGGACTTAAGGATAGATGAAGGGCTGCAGTTTTGTTAAATGGAACAATATGAAGAGATGGCATTGTTAAAAAAAAAAAAAAAGGCTTGGCAGCAGGGCCCATTTGAATGGTTGGTCCTTGGCTCCTTTGTTGATATAGGCAGATCCTTGATGGGAATTTGGAATGATCCCAAATATTGTAGATCACTGGTACATCAAGTCATCCTCAAGGTTGTCTGTGTAACAGTCTTGAATGATATTTTGTCAGTCTTTGGAGATTCTCTGTATAGGGTTTAATCATTTAGTTATTTCAGTTGAGACTGTTTAGTTTCTTTGCAAGGAGATAAGAAATGTGAAAGAGATGCAGATATTAGGGAAAAAAAGTCAGGAGCCTTGTTTCCCCATCCTCTACTTGGGTTCTGGAACTAGACTCATAGGTGAGTAGTGAGGAGCTGGGCCCAAGCACATTAATCCTAGATCTAGCTCTGCTTTGCCCTCGCTCCAGTTCTTGTATCAAATTCACTTCAAGCCACCCAGAGTAGTATGTAGAGGAGTCATTCAGGACCGTGCTCATACTTCATTGTATCAAATGGGAGATCCAGTAATTTATAGCCTATTGTTTCTGGAGCCTGGAGTTGGCTCTGCATAAGATTTGCCGAAGCAAATTTTATTACATTAGAAGAGAACCTAGCTGGCTGCATCCTACACTGGAAGCTTTTAGATGCTAATAAGGAGGTCATGTAAAGGTCACAGAATGACTCTGGAATCCATTCCCCGCCAAGAAAGAATAATGACATTCTATGTTGGCCTCTTTTCATTTCCCTTTGGTTTTGAGTAATAAATTCTCTCCTCACTTCCCAGTCGAACTGTTTGGGAGTCTCTATTCCCTAGAAAGACTCTGGTCACATACCCATCAGATTAAATTAGGTGAAAACTCTTTGGCCTTCATGAATGTTGAAGGATTTCAAAGGGCTAATGGAAATTCTTCTAGAAGTAACTGCAACCTCCGCCTTCCGGGTTCAAGCGATTTTCCTGCCTCAGCCTCCCAAGTAGCTGGGATTACAGGTGTCCACCACCATGCCCAACTAATTTTTGTATTTTTAGTAGAGACGGGGTTTCACCATGTTGGCCAGGCTGATCTAGAACTTTTGACCTCAGGTGATCCGCCCGCCTCAGCCTCCCAAAGTGCTGGGATTACAGGCGTGATCCACCGCGCCCAGTTAAACTTCAGTTTTTCATGTTCCATGCATTGGTCAGGGTCTTAGGGAGTGATTCATTCTAGCAGAACTCCCTGGATTTTAAGGCTGATGTTCCATTTATTAATTGACAAAGGAGGCATATTTCTCCCCTGGTAACCCAAAGATTTAGGTCATTTTCCCAGAGACTCCATTTCCACTGTGAGGGTTCTTGGAAAACTAAGCAGAGGATGAGGAAAAGTCTGTGAACAAGCTTGCTGGTCTCTCCCTGTCCTACAAAAGAGCATACCTCTTCTGTAACCAGAAGGCCCTTTTGATTAGTCAAGGCTGGACAGAGTGAGATTGGGTGTGTGTGTGTGTGTGTGTGTGTGTGTGTGTGTGTGTGTGTTTGTGTGTGTCTTGAGACAGGGTCTCACTCTGTCACCAAGGCTAGAGTGCAGTGGTGAGATCAGAGCTCACTGCAGCTTCCACTTCCTGGGCTCAAGCGATCCTCCTATTTCAGCCTCCAGAGTAGCTGGGACTATACGAATGTTTTACCGCACCCAGTTCATTTTCTAATTTTTTGTAGAGATGAGGTTTCACTGTGTTGCTCAGGCTGGTCTTGAACTCCTGGCCTCACGGAATCCTCCTGCCTTAGTCTCCCAGTGGGCTGGGATTATAGGTATGAGCCACCTCACCTGACCTGCGACGATTTTTCAATGATGTAATTTCTCTTTTACAGAGCCACCTAAGCTGAAGATTCCCTTGAGAACAAGTACTGTCCCTAGTTTCCCAGTGCTGGAATATAGAAAATGGATGGACAAGTAAATCCCACTCAGCACCCATAGTCCAGGCATGGGGACCTCAACACACCTGAGCCCCAGACATCACCTTTCATTGTGAGTAGCTCTGAGATGACACTTCTGCTGTTCCCAATTCCAGCATTAATTGGATTAGATAGTTATTTTATGAAGAATTTTCATATGCCACAATCCTGACCATATCTTCAAGTGAACAGAAAAATTCTATTAAAAAGTCAACCTTCTGTCTCACTGTGTTGCCCAGACTGGAGTGCAGTGGTGCAATTATGGCTCACTGCAGCCTCAACCTCCTGGGCTCAAGCAATCCTCCTGCCTCAGCCTCACAAGTAGCTGGGACTACAGGTGCTTGTCACCACACCTCACTAATTTTCCCATTTGTGTTATATGTGGATTCCACAGGACTGACTTCGAAAACTTGAGTATGCGTGGATTTTGGTATACACAGAAATGGGAGAGCTGGAACTAATCCCCCCATATACCAAGGGACAAATTGTATCTGTTTCTACAATTACACAGTAGGAGACATTATGTTCCATGACAATGGTAATTTTTAATGACAGTTTTTAATTGAGTGAAATTACCATAAAAATAATAATAGTAGCAGCTAATATTTACTGAGCTGTTACTAGGTGCCTATAAATAGCATAGATTTTTAAATTCTCCATAATTCTTCCTTATGTCACTTAACCACTCTATCTTAAATTACTCATGCTTGCCTCAGTAGCACACATACTTTAGTTGGAACAATAGAGAGATTGGCACGGCCTCTGTGAAAGAATGACATGCAAATTTGTGAAGCATTCCATATTTTTTTAAAAAAAGAGAAAAAAATTACTCGCAGATTTTCACTGTGTTTGTGCATATGACCTTTTGTTTAGGTTGAATTATATCCAAAGGTGAAATTTCCAGAAGTGAGATTACTGTGAGTCACAGGGCATGAGCATTCTTATTACCCTCGATGTAAATTGCAAAGCTTTCAGGCATGGTGGCTGTCAGCCTGTAATTCCAGCACTTTGGGAGGCTGAGGTGGGAGGATTGCTTGAGGCCAGGAGTTGGAGGAGGCAGTATAATGAGTCACTGTCTGTATGATTTAAAAAAAATTTCCAAGCTTTATGCTGGAAGGCTTATATACATTTTAAACACCACTAATACTACAAGAAAATGGCCATTTCACTGCACCTTCGCCCACACAGGTATTATAATTTAACAAGTTATTTTCTGTGTGATAAATGAAAGACCTCCTATTATTACTTTGTCACCCATTCTTTTTTCATTTTTGAGACACAGTCTCGCTCTGTCGACCAGGCTGGAGTGCAGTGGTGTGATCTCAGCTCACTGCAACCTGTGCCTCCCAGGTTCAAGCGATTCTCCTGCCTCAGCCTCCTGAGTAGCTGGGATTACAGGCATATGCCACCATGCCTGGTTAATTTTTGTATTTTTAGTAGAAACGTGGTTTCACCATGTTGATCAGGCTGGTCTCGAACTCCTGATCTCGTGATCTACCCGCCTTGGCCTCCCAAAGTGCTTGATTACAGCTGTGAGCCATGTGCCCAGCCTATTTGTCACATATTTTATCTTTCCTTATGTTAGCTTATTAGCTTTATTTCTTTATTGTCCTTTTTTTTTTTTTGAGATGAAGTCTCGCTCTGTCTCCTAGGCTTCAGTGTAGTGGCACAGTCTCAACTCACTGCAGCCTTGACCTCCTAGGCTCAGGTGATCCTTCCACCTCAGTAGTTGGGACTATAGGCACATGCCACTATGCCTGGCCAATTATTTTTATTTTTTTATTTTTACTAGAGAGGAGGTCTTGCTTTGTTTCTTAGGCTGGTCTGGAACTCCTGGCCTCAAGCAATCCCCCCACCACCCCCTCCCAAAGTACTGGTATTATAAGCATGAGCCACCATGCCTGGGGTATCTGTGTCTTTTCCATTTATTTATAGAGTTACTTTGTCTTTTACTAATTCAATGATCTGTTTAATCTTTTATTAAATTATAAAAATGATAAATACTTTTAAATAAGTGAAAAATGTCCTTCACTCTTTAGACCCATAATCTTATCTCAGGAAATAATTGCAGTTGAGAAAATGGGCCATATCCTTCAAGATACGTACATGGTGATTGAACATCACTTCATATTTTCATATTTCGTGGACATTTGTGCCAATACCTATTGATCTATCTTAATCCTTTTTATGGTTGCATAATATTTTATTATATGGATGTATCACAATTTACCAGTACCAGTCAACTGCTGGAGGCATTTAGGCTCCTTCTAATATTTGCTTTGAGCTCTTTATATAATTAAAAATTAACCCCCTCAGCCAGGTGTGGCAGCTCACACCTGTAATCCCAGCATTTTGGAAGGCTGAGGTGAGAGAACTGCCTGAGTGTAGGAGATCACCACCAACCTGGTCAACATAGTGACACTTTGTCTCTACTAAAAATTAAAAAAAAAAATGAGCTACACGTTGCAGTGCACACCTGTAGTCCGAGCTACTGGGGAGGCTAAGACTGGAGGATCACTTGAGTCTAGAAGGTTGAGGCTGCAGTAAGCTATGATCACACCATTGCACTTTAGCTTTGCTAAGAGCAAGACTGCATTTCTTAAACAAAATAAAAATTAGATGGGAATATTGCTCAAGCCCTGGAGGTTGAGGCTGCAGTTAACTGTGATTGCACCACTGCAGTCCAGCCTAGGTGATAGAGCAAGACCCTTTCTCTAAAAATAAAATAAAATAAAAATTAACCTTCTATCATATTTCCCAGTAACACCTTCCCTCCTACATTTCTCCTAGAAGCCCTTAAATTTTGTTTTTCACATATCGTTTAAAACTTTTAAGTGCTGATGTCTGTCTGTGTCATCCCTCTTTTTTTTTTTTTAAATGTCTTTTTGTCACTTCTAGCTGGACCTACCATGAAAGACTTCTGAATCCAGGAAGAGAAACTGACTGGGCAACATGTTATTCAGGTACAAAAAGACTTGGACTGTAACTCAAAAATGATCAAATAATAGTGCATGCATCAAGTGCAATCGGAAGCTCTTCTGGAGAGGGAGAGAAGCTTCCAGTTAAGGTGACATTGAAGCCAAGTCCTGTAAGATAAGGAAGAGTTGTATGAGAGTGGGGAGGGAAGGGGGAGGTGGAGGGATGGGGATTGGGCTGGGATGGGATGGAGTGAGCTGCCCAGGCAGGGAAACCAGCACTATACAGACCTGAACAATGAAGATGGCACATTTTGTTCAGGGAATGGTGAATTAAGTGTGGCAGAAATGCTTTGTAGAGACAGTAATTTGCTTGTATGGAATTTTGCCCAAGAGACCTCATTACAGTTTCTAATTTTTTGATGTTATCATGCATCACTGCCCTTGTCAGATAGTATCATGATCACAATAACATCAAGCATAATATTTCATTGATTCTCACAAAAACAGGTGGGTGCCACAGTTATCCCCATTATATGCACAAAATGATGAAGACTTGGGGTTAATGAGCGATTTGCCCAAGCTCACCTGAATATTAGGACTGAGTCAAATGTTAGTCTGGTCTGACTTTAATGCTTGCCTTGTTCATGAGCACCATGCATTGCCTCTCCTATTAAGTTAAGCAGGTAGACAGGTGAGAGAAGAGCCAGTGTGATATCGGGGGAAATTCACCCCTGATATTTCATGTAGGTTCTTTTCTATTTTCCCTGAGTGTCAGCCAGTCTGAGAAATAAAGGGAAAGAGTACAAAAGAGAGAAATTTTAAAGCTGGATGTCCAGGGGAGACATCACACGTCGGCAGGTTCCGTGATGCCCCCCAAGCCGCAAAACCAACAAGT
The DNA here is from genome assembly GCF_000001405.40 of Homo sapiens. NCBI lineage: Eukaryota > Metazoa > Chordata > Mammalia > Primates > Hominidae > Homo > Homo sapiens. Next base: position 755,226 of record NC_000001.11, on the reverse strand, counting down.
TTTTATTAGTGATTTTCAAAAGGTGAGGGAGTGTACGAATAGGGTGTGGATCACAGAGATCACATGCTTCACAAGGTAATAAAATATCACAAGGCAAATGGAGGCAGGGCAAGATCACAGGACCACAGGACCGGGGCGAAATTAAAATTGCTAATGAAGTTTCGGGCGCGCATTGTCATTGATAACATCTTATCAGGAGAAAGGGTTTGAGAGCAGACAACCCATCTGACCAACATTTATTAGGCGGGAATTTCCTTGTCCTGATAAGGCTGGGAGCGCCACGCGAACCCAGGGCTTATTTCATCCCTTATCTATGACTGTAAAAGACAGCCGTCCCCAAAGCGGCCATTTCAGAGGCCTCCCCTTAGGGATGCATTCTCTTTCTCAGGGATGTTCTTTGCTGAGAAAAAGAATTCAGCAATACTTCTCCTATTTGCTTTTGAAAGAAGAGAAATATGGCTCTGTTCAACCCGGCCCACTGGCAGCCAGAGTTTAAGGTTATCTCCCTTGTTCCCTGAAATTGCTGTTATCCTGTTCTTTTTTCAAGGTGCCCAGGTTTCATATTGTTTAAACAACTTGTGCAGTTAACGCAATTATCACAGGGTCCTGCGGGGACATTCATCCTCAGCTTACGAAGATGACCGGATTAAGAGATTAAAGACAGGCATAGAAAATCACAAGGGTATTGATTGGGGAAGTGATAAGTGTCCATGAAATCTTCACAATTTATGTTCAGAGATTGCAGTAATGACAGGCCTAAGAAATTATAGAAGTATTAATTTGGGGAACTAATAAATGTCCATGAAATCTTCACAATTTATGTTCTTCTGCTGTGGCTTCAGCCAGTCCCTCCGTTTGGGGTCCCTGACTTCCTGCAACACGTTTCTCTCTACTCACAGACTTCTGACCAAATGTGTGTGCAGAGTTTCTACACCAGTTCTCCAACTCTCTGGATACCAACCGCGTATCCCACAATTCCATTCTGACACTACCTAGAGTTAGCACAGAACCCACAGGTTAGGGGCTCAGTCCCACAAGACCACCCTCACTTCAGATGCCAGTTGCAAGTCCTAGGTTGTCACCTGTATTTTGACCAACCAGTTAGAAATCAGGGTTTCCCATGACCCTCTTGTTGAGTTTAATTATTTACTAGAACAACTCACAGAACTTAGAAAAACAAGTTTTTTTTTCTTTTCTTTTTAAGAGACAGGGCCTCGCTCTGTTGTCCAAGCTGGTGTGCAGTGGTGCAATCATAGCTCATTGAAGCCTCAACGTCCAGAGCTCAAGTGATTCTCCTGCTTCAGCCTCTCAAGTAGCTGGAATTACAGGGTTCCCACCACCACATTTGGCTAATTTCTTTTATTTTTTGTATAGATGGGGTCTTCTTATGTTGCCCAGGTTGGTCTCAAATTCCTAGGCTCAAGTGATTCCGCCCACCTCTGCCTCCCAAAGTGCTGGGATTACGGGCATGAGCCAGCGCATCTGGCCACCTTATTTTCTATTACTGGCTCAATGTAATGGCTCCATCTCAGGAACAGCCAATGAAAGAGATGCACAGGACAAGGTAAGTGGGGAGGGGCACAGAGCTTCCATGCCCTCTGTTGGGCACACTACCCTCCCAGGACCTCCTTGTGTTTAGCAACACAGAAGCTCTCCAAACCCTGCTGTTTGGGTGTTTATGGAGGCATGATTGATAAAATCATTGGCCATTGGTAGTTAAGTCAATCTCCAGTTCCTTTTGCCTCCTGGAGTTCAGCAGGTGAGGCTGAAAGTTCCAAGCCTCAAAAAATGTGGTTGGGGCCAGGTGCGGTGGCTCACTCCTGTAATCCTAGCAGTTTGGAAGGCTGAGGCACATGGACCACTTGAGGTCAAGAGTTTGAGACCAGCCTGACCAACATGGTGAAACCCCATTTCTACTAAAAATAACAACAGTTAGCTAGGCGTTGTGGCACATCCCTATAATTCCAGCTACTCGGGAGGCCGAGGCAGGAGAATTGCTTGAACCCGGGAGGTGGAGGTTGTAGTGAGCTGAGATTGTGCCATTGCACTCCAGCCTGGGCTACAAGAGCCAAACTCCGTTTTAAAAAAAAAATGTGGTTGCTTTCTCTGGCAGCTAGCCCTCCTCCTGAAGCAGTCTCGGAGCTTGCAGCCACCCTGTTAGCTCAACAGCATCCCACATGCATTCTTACCATGCTGCAGATCTGAAAGACCTTAGAGGCCCTTGTGTCAGGAACCTGGGACTAAGACTAAATATCAAAACAGAAAATGCTCCTATTACCTCTGTCACGAAGGGCTTTATAAGAGCTTTGGAAGCTTTATGCCAGGAACCAGGGGCAGAGACCAAATGTATATTTCTTTTCTTATATCGGAGACAGAGTCTCACTCTGCCACTGAGGCTGGAGTGCAGTGATGTGATCATAGCTCACTGCAGCCTTGACCTCCTAGGCTAAAGCAATCCTCCCACCTTAGCCTCTCCAGTAGCTGGAACTACAGGCATGCATCACCATGTCCAGCTGATTTTAATTTTGTAAAGGCAGGATCTTCCTTTTTTTCCCCAGGCTGATCTCTAACTCTTGGCCTCAAGCAATCCTTCCTCTTTGGCCTCCCAAAATGTTGGGATTACAGATGGGAGCCCCCATACCCACCAATCACAAGGATCTTTATAAGAGAATGAGGTAGGAGAGTCAGAATTAGAGAAAGTGATGTGGTAATGGAAGAAGAGGTCAGAGAGGGAGATTTGAAGATGCTGCACTTCTGGCCTTGAATATGGAGTCACGAGGTAAGTCAAGGAATGGGGGTGGCTTCTAGAAGCTGGAAAAGGCAAAGGAGCACATTCTTTCTAGAGCCTCCCCCAGAAGGAATGCAGCCTCTCTGACACCTTGACTTTAACCTTAATAGACCTAGTTGGGCTTCTGGCCCCCAGAACTGTAAGATGGTAGATTTGTGGTGTTTGATGCCACTAAATGTAGGGTACTTTGTTGTAGCAACAACAAAAAATGAACATGAAGCTGGGACCTCATGTTACGGTTGCTCACGCCTGTAATCCCAGAACTTTAGGAGGCTGAGGTGGGAGGATCGCTTAAGCCCAGGAGCTTAAGACCAGCCTGGACAACATAATGAGACCTCATGTCTAAAAAAAAATTTTTTTAAAGGCCAGGCGCAGTGGCTCACGCCTGTAATCCCAGCACTTTGGGAGGCCGAGGAGGGTGGATCACGAGGTCAGAAGTTCAAGACCAGCCTAGCCAAGATGGTGAAACCCCATCTCTACTAAAAATACAAACATTAGCCAGGTGTGGTGGTGGGTGCCTGTAATCCCAGCTACTTGGGAGGCAGAGAATCACTTGAACCCAAAAGGCAGACATTGCAGTGAGCCAAGATCGCACCCTTACACTTCAGCCTGGGCGACCGAGACTCCATCTCAAAAAAAAAAAAAAAAAGCCATGTGTTGTGGCATGCAGCTGTAGTCTCAGTTCCTAGGGTGGCTGAGGCGGGAGGATTGTTTAAGCCTGGGAGGTTGAAGTTGCTGTGAGCTGTGATTGCACCAGTGTACTCCAGCCTGGGCAATAAAGCAAGACCTTGTTTCAAAAAGAAAGAAAGAAATGAGCATGGTGGGAATGGGGACAGATGGCAGTGTTAAGTAGAGTGGTCAGGGTTGGCCTCATAAGTGAATATTGAGCAAAAGTTTGAAGCAGGTGATGGAGCTGGCCAAGGTGCTGAGGGAAGAGCATTGTAGGCTGAGTCAACAGGATAAAGGCATTAGGAGGAAACTCTCTGGTGTGTCTGAGGCTCTGGAAGGAGGCCAGTGGAGCAAAGAGATAGAGGGAGCGAAGTCAGCGAGGTGGCCAGGGAGTTGCTGGGCTGGGATCGGTACAGATCGTGTAAGCCCTGGGACGCTATTGCTGGGGCTTTGGCTTTTACTCTGACTAAAATGGGAACCACCGAGGGCTTCTGAGCAGAGAGGCGACATGATCCGTCTCCTGATTTAAAAGCACGACCTGGCTGCCGAGTTGAGAAAGACTATGGGAAGATTTGGGTAGAAGCATGGGAGCCAAGCTGTGGCAACATCCCGGTGGGAGATGATAGTGATCCTGACGGGGTTCATGGTGGTGGTGAGAGATGGTTAGAGCCTGGATACATGTTGAAGTCAGTCAGTAGGATTTCCTGACAGACTGGATGTGAGCTGTGAGAGAAGGCAGTGGTCAAGGTTGAGTTTGATTCTGATTGAATTATTAAGTAATTTTAAAAAACACTACTGCTTTTCCCAATCCTACCAAGTAAAGGATGCTAGATAAAAGAAATCCCAAGTCAGGCCAGGTACAGTGGCTCACACCTATAGTTCCAACAGTTTGAGAGGCAGAGATGGGAGTATGTTTTAAGGCCATGAGTTTGAGAGCAGCCTGGGCAACACAGCAAGACCTCCTCTCTACAAAAATAAAAAAAATAAATTTAATAAAATAAAATAAATATAGCCAGGCATGATGGTATGTACCTATGGCCCCAGTTACTCATGTGGCTGAGATGGGCAGATCTCTTGATTCTAGGAGTTTGAGGCCAGCTTGGGCAACATAGCAAGTCTTCTCTCTCTACAAAAATGAAAAAAATGCCTGACATGGTGGTACTTGCCTGTATTCCCAGGTATGGGGGCAGCTGAGGCAGGAGCATCTCTTGAGCCCAGTTGGTCAAGGTTGCAGTGAGCTATGATTATACCACTGCACTCCATCCTGGGTGACAGAGTGGGACCCTGTCTCAAAATACAAATACAAATGAAATCTCAAGTCAGACCAGTCCCTTCTAGGCTATGTAGGCCTTGTAACCACATAGCTGCATGATCGGGTTTGTGTGGCTGTGGATGAGGAGACCCCTGTCCAATTGTTGGCTATGTAATCAGTTTATTTTTCAATATAGTAATCAAATATATTTCATCATACTTGATGGTCTCAGATATGTGTGGATTTTGGAATTCCCCTTGGAACAGGTTGTAACATCTTATTGGCTCCATAATTCCATAATTTTTTTAATCTGATCAGTTTTTAATAAGATCGCAATTTATATTAGACTACTTAATCGGTTTTGTTAATGAGAAAATGAAATTGTGTTGTTTGCATTTTATCCAAGATGGGTGTCATATTGGGTAAATCTCATCAATACTTGAACAAATGCAAAATTAGAGCTTCTTTATCATGAAACACGATGTAATTCTTGAAGAAGATGCCATTTCTTTTTTTTCTTTTTTTTTTTAAGATAAGAGTCTTTCTCTTGTCACCCAGGCTGGAGTGCAATGGTGCGATTTTGGCTCACTGCAACCTTCACCTTCTGGGTTCAAGCAATTCTCCTGCCTCAGCCTCCCGAGTAGCTGGGATTACAGGTGCCCGCCACCATACCCAGCTAATTTTTGTATTTTTAGTAGAGATGGGATTTCACCATGTTGGCCAGGCTCCTCTGGAGCTCCTGACCTCAGGCAATCTGCCTGCCTCAGCCTCCCAAAATTCAAGGAGTACAGATGTGAACAACCACGCCCGGCCTCCATTTCTTTTTTGTAGTCTTTAATAAACAGCTGCTATCATTGCAGACTTGCTGTTTAGGCACTTAGGAATTTTTCACTAGAAGGCATGTAAATAAAGACCATGGGCAATTGTAATGAATTTCGCCTTCATTCTTTGACTACATGACTGTCCCCAGAGCTGTAACTTTATTGAATTTTTTAGAAGCCATTTAGCTAGCAACTGAGCCTAACCAGCCACTCACCGTCATTATTCAGTGCTCTTTTATTATTGTCTATTTCTCCTCCAACTTGGCTACACTCACAAAGTGATAAAAACTTGCATTTGTTTTCTTTCCTTTTCAGAGATGGCATCTTGCTCTGTTGCTTAGGCTACAGTACAGTGACATGATCATGGTTCACTGTAGCCTCAAACTCCTGGGCTCAAGTGGTTCTCTCACTTCAGTCTCCCAAGTAGCTGGGACTACAGACATGTGCCACCATGTCCAGGTAATTTTTTATCATAGAGACGAGATCTTGCCATGTTGCTCCGACTGGGCTCAAAACTCCTGACCTCAAGTGATCCTCCTGCCTCAGCCTCCCAAAGTGCTGGGATTACAGGCAGGCATGACCACCTGTGCCCAGCCCCCTATTATTATTATTTTAAATAATAGCTTTATTAAAATATTCACATACCATTCACTTTATTTATTGAAATCTGCAATTCAGTAGGTTTTAGAATATTCACAGAGCTGTGCATCGATCACCACAGTCACTTTTAGAACCTTTCATTACCCTATAGAGAAATCCATACCCCTTAGCCACTACCTCCTACTCTCCCCACCTACCTTTGCCCCCAGCCTTAGGCAACCATTGATTAATTTTTTTGTCACTATAGATTTGCCTAATCTGGACAAATAGAATTGTACAATATGTGATCTTTTGTGGCTTTTCTTCCCTCTTAGCACAGTGTTTTCAAAGTTCCTTTATGTCATAGTGTGTATCAATATTTCATTCCTTCTATGGCAGTATTCCATGGTAGAGACACACTGCATTTTGTTTATCTGTTCATCAGTTGGTGGATATTTGGGTTGTTTCCATGTATTCCATGTATTGGTCATTATGAATAATGCTGCTATGAAGATTGTTGTACAAGTTTTTGTGTGGACATATATTTTTATTTTTCTGGGATATATGCCTAGGAGTGAAATTGTTGCATTATAGGATGACTGTACATTTAGCCTTTTGAGAAACTGCCAGACTGTTTTCTAACGTGGCTATACCAGTTGGGTGCAATGGCTCACACCTGTAATCCCAGCTACTCAGGAGGCTCAGCTAGGAGGATGGCTTGAGCCCGTGAATTCAAGACCAGCCTGGGCAAGATAGTGAAACCCCGTCTTGATTTTTTAAAAATCCAATTAAAATGACAAGAAAAGAAATACCCAAACAAAATGGTTACACAATTTTATGTTCCCACCAGTAATGTATGTGGGTTCCAATTCCTCCACATCTTCACTGACATTTTTTTTTTCTAGATAGGGGCTTGCTCTGTCTCTCAGGCCGCAGTGCAATGATGCCATCACAGTTCACTGCAGCCGTGACCTCCCAGGCACAAGTGATTCTCTCATCTCAGCCTCCTGGGTAGCTGAAAATTACAGGTGTACGCCACCATGCCTGGCTAATTTTTAGATTTTTCTGTAGTGGTGGGATTTTACCATGTTGCCCAGGCTGGTCTCATACTCCTGGCCTCAAGTGATCTGCCCACCTCAGCCTCCCTAAGTTCTGGAATTACAGGCTGCCACCATGCCCGGCCTTCACCAACATTTGCCATTATCTGTTTTTTTTTTCTTCCTTTATACCTTAAAGCAGTATAAGAACAAGTGTCTTCAATTATAGGAAACAGTATAATCCCAGGGCTTTGGGAGGCTAAGACAGGAAGATGTCTTGATGCCAGGAGTTTTTTTTGTTGTTGTTGTTTTTGTTTTTGTTATTGTTGTTGTTGTTTTTGACAGTCTCGCTCTGTCACCCAGGGTGGAGTGCAGTGATGGGGTCCACTGCAACCTCCACCTCCCAGGTTCAAGTGATTCTCCTGCCTCAGCCTCCCGAGTAGGTGAGACTACAGGTACACGCCACTACTGCCCAGCTAATTTTTGTATTTTTGATAGAGTCAGAGTTTCACCGTGTTGGCCAGGCTGGTCTCGAACTCCAGACTTCAGGTGATTTGCCTGCCTTAGCTTCCCAAAGTGCTGCGATTACAAGCATGAGCCACCATGCCCAGCCTGATGCCAGGAGTTTTAGACTAGCCTGGGCAACCTAGCAAGACCTTGTCTCTACAGAATATTTAAAAATTAGCCAAATGTGGTGGTGCCTGTGTATAGTCTCTCTCCCTCTTTTTTTTTTCTAACTTTTTGTGACATGGTCTGGCTCTGTCACCCAGGCTGAAGTGCAGTGGTGTGATCATGGCTCACTGCAGCCTGAAACTCCTGGGATCAAGTGATCAATCCTCCCACCTCATCCTACCAAGTAGTAGGGACCACAGGTGTATGCCACCCAGGTCTTGCTATGTTGTCCAGGCTGGTCTTGAGCTCCTGGCCTCAAGCAATCCTCTCACCTTGGCCCCCCACAGTGCAAGGATTACAGGTATGAGCCACCATGCCTGGCCCCCTACCCTGCCTACTGAGAACCAAAGGAAGGATCCAAATTCTCCTTAGCTCAACTCGAGCCATTTCCTGATTGCTTCATCAGCGAGGAGCTGGTTATTGGGCTGTCCAGGCCTCCCAAGCAGCACAGAAATGAGGTGAAGGAGTTTTCCTGTTGCTCCACTCTGTAAGGAGTTGGAGGGTGATGTTTACTCGTTTGCAGAGAGAGATGCCTTGTAGGCACCTCAGGATGGAGAGGGTCCTGATTCCAATGTCCTTTTTTTCTTCAGAAACAGGACCTTGCCCTGTCACTCAGGATGGAGTTCAGTGGTCCTATCATGGCTCATTATAGCCTCAAACTCCCAGGCTCAAGCAATCCTACCATGTCAGCCTTCCCAGTAGCTGGGACTACAGGTAAGCATCGTGACACTCAGTGAATTTTGTTTTTATTTTGTTGTAGAGATGGGACCTCAGTATGTTGCCATGGCTGACCTTGAACTCCTGCACTCAAGGGATTTTCCTACCCTGGCCTCCCAAAGTATTGGTATTACAGGCATGAGCCATTGTGCCCACCGTCTCTGGTTCTTAACCTTCTGCCTCCCTCTTCCAGTTTTAAAGAATGCTTGTAATTACATGGGCTCTCCTAGATACTCCAGGATAATCTTGTTTTAAGGTCAGCTGATGAGCAACATTAATTTTATCTGCACTCTTAATTCCCCCTTCCTATGTAATTGTGCTGTGTAACATAGGACATGAGCAATTGGTGGCGGTGGGGGTTATTACTTTGGCCACCACAGTAACTATTTTATGCCAGGTACTCAGCTAAGCACTGGTGAATTAAGCATGAATAACACACACTCCCTAATCTCCATCCATTCATGGGAGGAGCACTTCACCTGCCATGCTCCTGAGAATCTCGGGAGTCATAGAAGTCTTCTATGAGGAGGTGATGCCAAAGCGGACAAGTGACAGAGGAGTCAAAGCTAGCTAGGAAGAGAGTAGAGGTTTAAGGGGAAGCATATTATAAGCAGAGGATATTACCCACTTCAGAGACTCCCAGAGGAGAAAGAGTGTGCGTTCAAGGGGCAGATGAGGCTCAGTTGGACTCCATAGCAGATGAAATGGAGAGGGGCAAGCAGTGAGGCTGCCTTGCAAGGCAGGGCAGAGCAGGGGCTGTTAAGGAGTTTGGACTTAATCCCTGAGGCAAGGAGAAGTGATGTAAATGGGGGAGTAACATGATGAGATTCATAGATTAGAGACATGGCTCAGGCTGCTGTAGAGAAGGCACCAGGAAGAGCAGATGGCTCAATGTGTGTGCAGAAGACCTCTCCCTGAGTTTAGGGAGAGGTTTTTAAAACAGAAGAAGTTTGAGTAATTTAAATGATGATGGGAAGGAGCTAAAAGTGGGGGATAGGTTAAAGATACAGGAAAGTGGGAGGAAGAACTGACAAGTGAGGTTCCAGAGAGGGCAGGAGAAGAGGAGATTCCCATAGGGGGATTAACACTTTCTTTTCTTTTTTCTTTCTAAGACAGGGTCTCACTCTGTCGCCCAGGCTGGAGTGCAGTGGCACAATCTTGGCTCACTGTAGTGTAGACTTCCCAGGCTCAAGGGATTTCTCCCACCCCAGACTCCCAAGTAGCTGGAACTACGGGTGTGCACCACCACCACACCTGGCTAATGTCTCTTTTTTTTGGTAGACACAGAGTCTCACTATTTAGCACTGATTGGTCTCCAACTCCTGGCCTCAAGCGATCCTCCTGCCTAGGCTTCCCAAATTGCTGGGATTACAGGCATGAGCCACAATGCCTGGCCTCTGCTAGTTCCGTATTCTCTAGAGTTGTCTTTACTTTGTGCTAGTGTGTCCCTCATTGTGCTGATCCTCTGTAAAAATTAATACCTTTTTTTTTTTTTTTGAGATGGAGTTTCACTCTTGTTGCCCAGGCTGGAGTGCAATGGTGCTATCTCGGCTCAGCGCAACCTCCACCTTCTGGGTTCAAGCAATTCTCCTGCCTCAGCCTCCCGAGTAGTTGGGATTACAGGCATGTGCCACCATGCCCAGCTAATTTTGTATTTTTAGTAGAGATGGGGTTTCTCTGTGCTGGTCAGGCTGGTTTCGAACTCCTGACCTCAGGTGATCTGTCTGCCTTGGCCTCCCAAAGTGCTGGGATTACAGGCATGAGCCATTTTGCCTGGCCAAAATTAATACTTTTTATATTAAATTTACATATATATATATATATACGTTTTTTCTTTTTGATACCGGGTCTCACACTGTCACCCAGGCTGGAGTACAGTGGCACAACCTCTGCTCACTGCAGCCTCCACCTGCCAGGCTCAAGCAATTCTCCTGCCTCAGCCTCCCGAGTAGCTGGGATTACAGGTAAGTGCCACCACACCCAGCTGATTTTTGTGTTTTTTGTAGAGACGAGGTTTCACCATGTTTCCCAGACTGTTCTCAAACTCCTGAGCTCAAAGCAGTCCACCCACCTTGGCCTCCCAGAGTTCTGGGATTACAGGTGTGAGCCATCTTGCTCATTCTAGTTTAAACTTTTGAGTGGTTTGTGTCTCCTGATTGGACTCCTACAAATACAGAATTGATGCTAGGAAGGGTACCAGGAGATAGACGCACACAGATGGGATTTGGGAATAGGTTTGGTTATCCAAGGAGCAGTGCTGAGCTCCTTGCAATGGGATATGGGATGCTGGTGATTTCCAGGAAGTGAGCTCACAATGACTCAAGCTGCCACATACTGTTGATTGTGAAATGCCAGTTGAAGCATATGTCCTGCGAGCTTGGGGGTGCTACAAGTTGACCACTGCAGCAGTAAAGATGACTCTGAAGAATGGCGTGGGATGGTTCCTTTCAAATGCACTTGAGCAGCGGTCTCCAACCACAGGGCCACAGAGCTGGAGGTGAGCAGCAGGCGAGTGAAGGGAAACTTCATCTGTATTTCTAGCCCCTCCCATCGCTTGCACGACCACCTGAGCTCCATGTCCTGTCAGATCAGCAGCAGCATTAGGTTGTCATAGGAGCACAAACTCTGTTGTGAAGTGTGCATGCGAGGGATCTAGGTTGTGTACTCCTTATGAGAATCTAATGCCTGATATTCTGTTACTGTCTCCCATCACCCCAGGTGGACAGTCTAGTTGCAGGAAAACAAGCTCAGAGATCCCACTGAGTCTACGTTATAGTGAGTTGTAGAATCATTTCATTATATATTACTATGTAGTAATAATAGAAATAAAGTGCACAATATATGTAATGCACTTGAATCATCCTGAAATTATTCCCTCATTCCCAGTCTGTGGAAAAATTGTCTTCCACACATTCACTCTGTTTTTTGGTAGAGGCAGGGTCTTAATATATTGCCCAGTCTGATCTCAAACTCCTGGCCTCAAGTAATATACCTCTCTCAGCCTCCCAAAGTGCTGAGATTACAGGCATAAGCCACCACCCTCAACCAAGACTTTCTTAAACCAAATAAAAATTAAGTGAGATTACTTGAGCCCAGGTGGTCAAGGCTGCAGTGAGCCTGATTGCACCACTGCACTCCAGCCTAGGTGACAGAATGAGACTGTCTCAAAAAATAAAATAAAATACAAATTAACCCTTCATGACATTCCCAGTAACTTCCTAAGTGCTCCCCACAAGTCTTTGAATTCTGTTTAATTTTCACATGACATTTAAGACATTTAAGAACTTATGTCTGTCTGTGTCATCCCTTTATGTCAAAAGATGTCTTTTTGTCACTTCCAGCTGGATCTACCATGAAAGACTTGTGAATCCAGGAAGAGAGACTGACTGGGCAACATGTTATTCAGGTACAAAAAGATTTGGACTGTAACTTAAAAATGATCAAATTATGTTTCCCATGCATCAGGTGCAATGGGAAGCTCTTCTGGAGAGTGAGAGAAGCTTCCAGTTAAGGTGACATTGAAGCCAAGTCCTGAAAGATGAGGAAGAGTTGTATGAGAGTGGGGAGGGAAGGGGGAGGTGGAGGGATGGGGAATGGGCCGGGATGGGATAGCGCAAACTGCCCGGGAAGGGAAACCAGCACTGTACAGACCTGAACAACGAAGATGGCATATTTTGTTCAGGGAATGGTGAATTAAGTGTGGCAGGAATGCTTTGTAGACACAGTAATTTGCTTGTATGGAATTTTGCCTGAGAGACCTCATTGCAGTTTCTGATTTTTTGATGTCTTCATCCATCACTGTCCTTGTCAAATAGTTTGGAACAGGTATAATGATCACAATAACCCCAAGCATAATATTTCGTTAATTCTCACAGAATCACATATAGGTGCCACAGTTATCCCCATTTTATGAATGGAGTGATGAAAACCTTAGGAATAATGAATGATTTGCGCAGGCTCACCTGGATATTAAGACTGAGTCAAATGTTGGGTCTGGTCTGACTTTAATGTTTGCTTTGTTCATGAGCACCACATATTGCCTCTCCTATGCAGTTAAGCAGGTAGGTGACAGAAAAGCCCATGTTTGTCTCTACTCACACACTTCCGACTGAATGTATGTATGGAGTTTCTACACCAGATTCTTCAGTGCTCTGGATATTAACTGGGTATCCCATGACTTTATTCTGACACTACCTGGAGTTAGCACAGACCCCACAAGTTAGGGGCTCAGTCCCACGAGGCCATCCTCACTTCAGATGACAATGGCAAGTCCTAAGTTGTCACCATACTTTTGACCAACCTGTTACCAATCGGGGGTTCCCGTAACTGTCTTCTTGGGTTTAATAATTTGCTAGAACAGTTTACGGAACTCAGAAAAACAGTTTATTTTCTTTTTTTCTGAGAGAGAGGGTCTTATTTTGTTGCCCAGGCTGGTGTGCAATGGTGCAGTCATAGCTCATTGCAGCCTTGATTGTCTGGGTTCCAGTGGTTCTCCCACCTCAGCCTCCCTAGTAGCTGAGACTACATGCCTGCACCACCACATCTGGCTAGTTTCTTTTATTTTTTGTATAGATGGGGTCTTGTTGTGTTGGCCAGGCTGGCCACAAATTCCTGGTCTCAAGTGATCCTCCCACCTCAGCCTCTGAAAGTGCTGGGATTACAGATGTGAGCCACCACATCTGGCCAGTTCATTTCCTATTACTGGTTCATTGTGAAGGATACATCTCAGAAACAGTCAATGAAAGAGACGTGCATGCTGGATGCAGTGGCTCATGCCTGTAATCTCAGCACTTTGGGAGGCCAAGGTGGGAGGATCGCTTAAACTCAGGAGTTTGAGACCAGCCTGGGCAACATGGTGAAAACCTGTCTCTATAAAAAATTAAAAAATAATAATAATAACTGGTGTGGTGTTGTGCACCTAGAGTTCCAACTACTAGGGAAGCTGAGATGAGAGGATACCTTGAGCTGGGGACTGGGGAGGCTTAGGTTACAGTAAGCTGAGATTGTGCCACTGCACTCCAGCTTGGACAAAAGAGCCTGATCCTGTCTCAAAAAAAAGAAAGATACCCAGGGCAAGTTAAGTTCGGAGGGGCACAGAGCTCCCATGCCCTCTGTTGAACATGCGACCCTCCCAGCATCTCCTGTGTCCAGCAACCCTGAAAGCTCTGCAAACCCCTTTCAGGGTGTTTATGGAGGCTTTATTATGCAAGCATGATTGATAAAACCTTTGGCTGTTGGTGATTAAGTCAGTCTCCAGCCCCTCTTCCCCCTGGAGTTCAGTGCATGAGGCTGAAAGTTCCAAGCCTCTTACCATGTGGTTGCATGGTAATCAGCCCTCCTCTTGAAGAAATTTAGGAGCTTGCAGTCACCCAGTCATCTCAACAACATCCCCAAATGCATTCTTACCATGCTGGAGATCCCAAAGTTCTTAGAGGCTCTTGTGTTAGAAACCTGGGACCAAGATCAAATATTAAAACAAAAGATGCTCCTGTCACATCTATCACTGAGGTCTTTGTAAGAGCTTTAGAAGCTCTGTGCCAGGAACCAGGGACAGAGATTAAATATATATTTCTTTTCTTTTTTTTGAGACAGAATCTCCCTGTGCCATCCAGGCTGGAGTGCAGTGATGTGATCATAGCTCACTATAGCTTTGGCCTTCTGAGATCAAGCAATCCTCCCATCTCAACCTCCCAAGTAGCTAGGACTACACATGCATGTCACCCATGCCCAGATCATTTTTGTAGAGTCAGAGTTTCACCGTGGTGGCCAGGTTGGCCATGTTGGCCAGATGGGGTCTTCTTTTGTTGCCCAGGCTGGCCACAAATTCCTGGGCTCAAGTGATCCTCCCACCTCTTCCTTGTAGAGATGAGATTTAGTTACGTCGTCCAGGCTGATCTCAAACTCCTGGGCTAAATCGATTGTCTCACCTCAGCCTCTCAAGTTTGTTATGAAGGTTATATGTTAGGAAGGGTCCCAGGAGGTAGACCCACACAGATGGGATTTGGGCATAGGTTTGGTTTCCCAGGGGGCAGTGCTGAGCTCTTTGCCAGTGGGAAATGGGATGCTGGTGATTTCCAGTAGGTGACCTCACAGTGACTCAAGCTACCACTTACTGTTGATTGTGACGAAATGCCAGCTGAGGCACATGCCTTGGGAGCTAAGTGGTTGCTGCCCTTGACCACTGTGAAGACTGGTGTGGGAAGGGTCGTTTTGGATGCACTTGAGCAGGGGTCCCCAACCCCTGAGCCATGGAGCCGCAAGGAGCCACACAGCAGGAGGTGAGCGGTGTCGAGTGAGGGAGTGAGGGAAGCTTCGTCTGTATTTACAGCCACTCCCCTTTGCTCACATTCCCACCTGAGCTCCACCTTCTCAGATGAGCAGCAGCGTTAGATTCTCATAGGAGAACGCACCCTGTTGTGAACCGTGCATGTGAGGGATCTAGGTTGCGCTGTCCTTATGAGAGTCTAATACCTATTGATCTGTCACTTTCTCCCATCACGCTCAGGTGGGAACATCCAGTTGCAGGAAAACAAGCTTAACACGCCCACTGATTCTACATTATGGTGAGTTCTATAATTATTTTATTATATATCACAGTGTAATAATGGAAATAAAGTGCCTAATAAATGCAAATGTGCTTACATCTTTTGGCCCAGCTCCTACCTCCCGGCAGCCTCTCCAGGCCCAGAACTTTCTCCAGTCAGCCTCTACAGACCAAGCTCATGACTCACAATGGCCTATTTAGGCCCATACCCTACGTCACGGCAGCCTCCGCAGATGAGGCTACTGCCTCACAACAGCCTCCACAGGCACAGCTCCATCGTTACAATGGCCTCTTTAGACCCAGCTCCTGCCTCCCAGCCTTCTCTCCAGGCCCTGAACATTCTCAGTAAGTTCAGGTAGCTGGGACTGTAGGTATACATGACGATACTTGGCTAATTTTTAAATTGTTTTGTAGACACGGGGTCTCACTTTGTTGGCCAGGCTGGTGTCAAACTAATGGCCTCAAGTGACCCTTCCACCCCTGCCTCCCATCCTCGAGGCATGTGCCACCACAAGGAGCACTTGTTCAATTTTCTAAAAAAAAAATTTCTAAAGTAAGGCTGTGGGATGATGGCAGGAAGATAAAAGAAAAACAGAAGAATAAGTTAAAATGACTTATTCACGCATATTCTTTTGACAGCAAGAAGAACTTTTAGTATATACATTCCTTACAAACAAACAAAAGGCAGATAAACAATGTTGTATAGGAACTTCAACACACACTGTACAATATTCCCACTTTGCTGACATAAGTTATGGAAATTTCATGGTTTACTTGAGTGTCGCTACCAGTATTTTGCTTCTCTGATGATTTTTATCAACTTCCTCATCTGTTAACTTCTCTCCAAGGTATGTCATGTCACGACATACTGCCGCTGCACGAACATGGCCAGTGTCTTCCTATTCAACATGTAGAATGCTTTCCTAATTTCTCTTTTTACTCTCTGTCTTTGTGTTCTGCATTTTCCTTACTTTTATTGTCAGAAACTCCAGAAAGCCAATCGTACTAATTTATCACGATTTGCTTTATTAATTTATACTTTGCTTATATGGAATTTTGCCCAGCAGACCTCATCACAGTTTCTAACCTGTTTTATTTATTTATTTTTTTTTTTCTGAGACAGGGTCTCCCTCTGTTGTCCAAGGCTGGAGTGTAGTAGTGCTATCGCAGCTGACTGCAGCCTCAACCTTCCAGGCTGAAGCGATCCTCCCACCTCAACCTCCCACGTGGCTGAGACTACAGGTGCTTGCCACTATGCCCAACTAATATTTGGAATTTTCGTATACGTGGATTCCAGAGGGGTGACAGCAAAACGTGAGTAAGCATGGATTTTGGTATATGCAGAGATGGGGGGCTGGAACTAATTCTGTATACTGAGGGACGACGACTGTATATGTTTTTACAATTACGCTGTAGGATACATACTGTTGCATAGCCTTGAAAATAATAATTTTTAATTGAGTGGAATAAGAATAATATTGATAAAAGTAGCAGCTGGCCAGGTGTGGTGGCTCACACTGGTAATCACAACACTTTGGGAGGCTGAGGCAGGAGGATGGCTCGAGGCCAAGAGTTTGCGATAGGCCTTGGAAACAAAGGGGGAGTCACCATCCCTACAGAAAAATACATGAATTAGCCTAGTGTGGTGGCATGTTCCTGTAGTCCCAGCTACTTGGGAGGCTGAGGTGGGAGGATCACTTGAGCCCAGGGAGGCTGAGACTGCAGTGAGTCATGATCAGGCCTCTGCACTCCAGCCTGGGTGACAGAGTGAGACCCTGTCTCAAAACAACAAAAAAGTAGCAGCCAACATCAACTGACCTTTTGTACCAGGTGCCTATTGATACCATAGTTTAATTTCTTATAACTGTTTCTTATTTCACTTACCAACTCTGTCTTCAGTTACTCCCAGATTTTTACTGTGTGTGTACAGATGACCTTTTGTTTAGACTGAATTGTCTCCCCAGAAGTAAGATTACTGTGAGTCATGGTGAATGGACATTCTCCTTACCCTTGATGTAAATTGACAGGGTTTTGGGTGCCTCCCAGCTATAATCTTAGCACTTTGGGAGGCTAAGAGAGGAGGATTGCTTGAGGCCAAGAGTTGGAGGAGGCAGTATGGCAGTATGGTGAGACCCTGTCTCCATTATTTTAAAAAATTGACAGGCTTTACCCTGGAAGGCTTATACACAATTTAACCACCCCTCATAGTATAAGAAAGTGCCCATTTCACTGCACCTTTGCCAGCACAGGGTATTATAATTTAGTAAGTCATTTTTTGTTTGATTATTTTACATAGACAAAAGAACTCATATTACTTTACTTGTCACATTTCAACATCTTTCCTCAGCTTATTAGCTCTATTTCTTTTCTGTCTGTAAATGGTTGTTGCTGTTTTGGTCTTTGAGACAGGATCTTGCTCTGTCACCAGGCTGGACTGTAGTGGCATAATCATGCCTCACTGCAGCCTTGACCTCCCAGGCTCAAACTTCAGCATTCCGAGTAGCTGGGACTACAAGTGTGCACCACCACCCCCAGCTAACTTTTTTCTTCTTTTGGATAGAGACAGGGTCTCACTGTGTCGTCCAGACCGGTCTCTAGCTCCTGGCCTTAAGCAATCCTCCTGCATTAGCTTCTGAAATTACTGGAATTTCAGGCATGAGCCACCATGCCTGGCCTGGGCTAGTCCCATATTCTCTAGAGTTCTGTTTACTTTGTGCTAGCCAATCTCTCATTATGCTGTTCACCTGTTATAATGAATAATTCTCTGTATTAAATTTTACCACTTTAAACTTTTGAGTGGTTTATGCTTCCTGATTGGACTCTGACTAATATGTTAGGAAGGGTCCCAGGAGGTAGACCCACACAGATGGGATTTGGGCATAGGTTTGGTTTCCCAGGGGGCAGTGCTGAGCTCTTTGCCAGTGGGAAATGGGATGCTGGTGATTTCCAGTAGGTGACCTCACAGTGACTCAAGCTACCACTTACTGTTGATTGTGACGAAATGCCAGCTGAGGCACATGCCTTGGGAGCTAAGTGGTTGCTGCCCTTGACCACTGTGAAGACTGGTGTGGGAAGGGTCGCTTTGGATGCACTTGAGCAGGGGTCCCCAACCCCTGAGCCATGGAGCCGCAAGGAGCCACACAGCAGGAGGTGAGCGGTGTCGAGTGAGGGAGTGAGGGAAGCTTCGTCTGTATTTACAGCCACTCCCCTTTGCTCACATTCCCGCCTGAGCTCCACCTTCTCAGATGAGCAGCAGCGTTAGATTCTCATAGGAGAACGCACCCTGTTGTGAACCGTGCATGTGAGGGATCAAGGTTGCGCTGTCCTTATGAGAATCTAATACCTATTGATCTGTTACTTTCTCCCATCACGCTCAGGTGGGAACATCCAGTTGCAGGAAAACAAGCTTAACACGCCCACTGATTCTACATTATGGTGAGTTCTATGATTATTTTATTATATATTACAGTGTAATAATGGAAATAAAGTGCCTAATAAATGCAAATGTGCTTACATCTTTTGGCCCAGCTCCTACCTCCCGGCAGCCTCTCCAGGCCGAGAACTTTCTCCAGTCAGCCTCTACAGACCAAGCTCATGACTCACAATGGCCTATTTAGGCCCATACCCTACGTCACGGCAGCCTCCGCAGATGAGCCTACTGCCTCACAACAGCCTCCACAGGCACAGCTCCATCGTTACAATGGCCTCTTTAGACCCAGCTCCTGCCTCCCAGCCTTCTCTCCAGGCTCTGAACTTTCTCAGTAAGTTCAGGTAGCTGGGACTGTAGGTATACATGATGATACTTGGCTAATTTTTAAATTGTTTTGTAGACACGGGGTCTCACTTTGTTGGCCAGGCTGGTGTCAAACTAATGGCCTCAAGTGACCCTTCCACCCCTGCCTCCCATCCTCGAGGCATGTGCCACCACAGGGAGCACTTGTTCAATTTTCTAAAAAAAAAATTTCTAAAGTAAGGCTGTGGGATGATGGCAGGAAGATAAAAGAAAAACAGAAGAATAAGTTAAAATGACTTATTCACACATATTCTTTTGACAGCAAGAAGAACTTTTAGTATGTACATTCCTTACAAACAAACAAAAGGCAGATAAACAATGTTGTATAGGAACTTCAACACACACTGTACAATATTCCCACTTTGCTGACATAAGTTATGGAAATTTCATGGTTTACTTGAGTGTCGCTACCAGTATTTTGCTTCTCTGATGATTTTTATCAACTTCCTCATCTGTTAACTTCTCTCCAAGGTATGTCATGTCACGACATACTGCCGCTGCACGAACATGGCCAGTGTCTTCCTATTCAACATGTAGAATGCTTTCCTAATTTCTCTTTTTACTCTCTGTCTTTGTGTTCTGCATTTTCCTTACTTTTATTGTCAGAAACTCCAGAAAGCCAATCGTACTAATTTATCACGATTTGCTTTATTAATTTATACTTTGCTTATATGGAATTTTGCCCAGCAGACCTCATTACAATTTCTAACCTGTTTTATTTTGTTTTTTTTTCTGAGACAGGGTCTCCCTCTGTTGTCCAAGGCTGGAGTGTAGTAGTGCTATCGCAGCTGACTGCAGCCTCAACCTTCCAGGCTGAAGCGATCCTCCCACCTCAACCTCCCACGTGGCTGAGACTACAGGTGCTTGCCACTATGCCCAACTAACATTTGGAATTTTCGTATACGTGGATTCCAGAGGGGTGACAGCGAAACGTGAGTAAGCATGGATTTTGGTATATGCAGAGATGGGGGGCTGGAACTAATTCTGTATACTGAGGGACGACGACTATATGTTTTTACAATTATGCTGTGGGATACATACTGTTGCATAGCCTTGAAAATAATAATTTTTAATTGAGTGGAATAAGAATAATATTGATAAAAGTAGCAGCTGGCCAGGTGTGGTGGCTCACACTGGTAATCGCAACACTTTGGGAGGCTGAGGCAGGAGGATGGCTTGAGGCCAAGAGTTTGCGATAGGCCTTGGAAACAAAGGGGGAGTCACCATCCCTACAGAAAAATACATGAATTAGCCTAGTGTGGTGGCATGTTCCTGTAGTCCCAGCTACTTGGGAGGCTGAGGTGGGAGGATCACTTGAGCCCAGGGAGGCTGAGACTGCAGTGAGTCATGATCAGGCCTCTGCACTCCAGCCTGGGTGACAGAGTGAGACCCTGTCTCAAAACAACAAAAAAGTAGCAGCTAACATCAACTGACCTTTTACCAGGTGCCTATTGATACCATAGTTTAATTTCTTATAACTGTTTCTTATTTCACTTACCAACTCTGTCTTCAGTTACTCCCAGATTTTTACTGTGTGTGTACAGATGACCTTTTGCTTAGATTGAATTGTCTCCCCAGAAGTAAGATTACTGTGAGTCATGGTGAATGGACATTCTCCTTACCCTTGATGTAAATTGACAGGGTTTTGGGTGCCTCCCAGCTATAATCTTAGCACTTTGGGAGGCTAAGAGAGGAGGATTGCTTGAGGCCAAGAGTTGGAGGAGGCAGTATGGCAGTATGGTGAGACCCTGTCTCCATTATTTTAAAAAATTGACAGGCTTTACCCGGGAAGGCTTATACACAATTTAAACACCCCTCATAGTATAAGAAGGTGCCCATTTCACTGCACCTTTGCCAGCACAGGGTATTATAATTTAGTAAGTCATTTTTTGTTTGATTATTTTACATAGACAAAAGAACTCATATTACTTTACTTGTCACATTTCAACATCTTTCCTCAGCTTATTAGCTCTATTTCTTTTCTGTCTGTAAATGGTTGTTGTTGTTTTGTTCTTTGAGACAGGGTCTTGCTCTGTCACCAGGCTGGACTGTAGTGGCATAATCATGCCTCACTGCAGCCTTGACCTCCCAGGCTCAAACTTCCGCATTCCGAGTAGCTGGGACTACAAGTGTGCACTACCACCCCCAGCTAACTTTTTTCTTCTTTTGGATAGAGACAGGGTCTCACTGTGTCGTCCAGACCGGTCTCTAGCTCCTGGCCTTAAGCAATCCTCCTGCATTAGCTTCTCAAATTGCTGGAATTTCAGGCCTGAGCCACCATGCCTGGCCTGGGCTAGTCCTATATTCTCTAGAGTTCTGTTTACTTTGTGCTAGCCAATCTCTCATTATGCTGTTCACCTGTTATAATGAATAATTCTCTGTATTAAATTTTACCACTTTAAACTTTTGAGTGGTTTATGCTTCCTGATTGGACTCTGACTAATATGTTAGGAAGGGTCCCAGGAGATACACCCACACAGATGGGATTTGGGCATAGGTTTGGTTTCCCGGGGGCAGTGCTGAGCTCTTTGCCAGTGGGAAATGGGATGCTGGTGATTTCCAGTAGGTGACCTCACAGTGACTCAAGCTACCACTTACTGTTGATTGTGACGAAATGCCAGCTGAGGCACATGCCTTGGGAGCTAAGTGGTTGCTGCCCTTGACCACTGTGAAGACTGGTGTGGGAAGGGTCGCTTTGGATGCACTTGAGCAGGGGTCCCCAACCCCTGAGCCATGGAGCCGCAAGGAGCCACACAGCAGGAGGTGAGCGGTGTCGAGTGAGGGAGTGAGGGAAGCTTCGTCTGTATTTACAGCCACTCCCCTTTGCTCACATTCCCGCCTGAGCTCCACCTTCTCAGATGAGCAGCAGCGTTAGATTCTCATAGGAGAACGCACCCTGTTGTGAACCGTGCATGTGAGGGATCTAGGTTGCGCTGTCCTTATGAGAATCTAATACCTATTGATCTGTCACTTTCTCCCATCACGCTCAGGTGGGACCATCCAGTTGCAGGAAAACAAGCTTAACACGCCCACTGATTCTACATTATGGTGAGTTCTATAATTATTTTATTATATATTACAGTGTAATAATGCAAATAAAGTGCCTAATAAATGCAAATGTGCTTACATCTTTTGGCCCAGCTCCTACCTCCCGGCAGCCTCTCCAGGCCCAGAACTTTCTCCAGTCAGCCTCTACAGACCAAGCTCATGACTCACAATGGCCTATTTAGGCCCATACCCTACGTCACGGCAGCCTCCGCAGATGAGCCTACTGCCTCACAACAGCCTCCACAGGCACAGCTCCATCGTTACAATGGCCTCTTTAGACCCAGCTCCTGCCTCCCAGCCTTCTCTCCAGGCCCTGAACATTCTCAGTAAGTTCAGATAGCTGGGACTGTAGGTATACATGACGATACTTGGCTAATTTTTAAATTGTTTTGTAGACACGGGGTCTCACTTTGTTGGCCAGGCTGGTGTCAAACTAATGGCCTCAAGTGACCCTTCCACCCCTGCCTCCCATCCTCGAGGTATGTGCCACCACAGGGAGCACTTGTTCAATTTTCTAAAAAAGAAATTTCTAAAGTAAGGCTGTGGGATGATGGCAGGAAGATAAAAGAAAAACAGAAGAATAAGTTAAAATGACTTATTCACGCATATTCTTTTGACAGCAAGAAGAACTTTTAGTATGTACATTCCTTACAAACAAACAAAAGGCAGATAAACAATGTTGTATAGGAACTTCAACACACACTGTACAATATTCCCACTTTGCTGACATAAGTTATGGAAATTTCATGGTTTACTTGAGTGTCGCTACCAGTATTTTGCTTCTCTGATGATTTTTATCAACTTCCTCATCTGTTAACTTCTCTCCAAGGTATGTCATGTCACGACATACTGCCGCTGCACGAACATGGCCAGTGTCTTCCTATTCAACATGTAGAATGCTTTCCTAATTTCTCTTTTTACTCTCTGTCTTTGTGTTCTGCATTTTCCTTACTTTTATTGTCAGAAACTCCAGAAAGTCAATCGTACTAATTTATCACGATTTGCTTTATTAATTTATACATTGCTTATATGGAATTTTGCCCAGCAGACCTCATTACAATTTCTAACCTGTTTTATTTTGTTTTTTTTTCTGAGACAGGGTCTCCCTCTGTTGTCCAAGGCTGGAGTGTAGTAGTGCTATCGCAGCTGACTGCAGCCTCAACCTTCCAGGCTGAAGCGATCCTCCCACCTCAACCTCCCACGTGGCTGAGACTACAGGTGCTTGCCACTATGCCCAACTAACATTTGGAATTTTCGTATACGTGGATTCTAGAGGGGTGACAGCGAAACGTGAGTAAGCATGGATTTTGGTATATGCAGAGATGGGGGGCTGGAACTAATTCTGTATACTGAGGGATGACGACTGTGTATGTTTTTACAATTACGCTGTAGGATACATACTGTTGCATAGCCTTGAAAATAATAATTTTTAATTGAGTGGAATAAGAATAATATTGATAAAAGTAGCAGCTGGCCAGGTGTGGTGGCTCACACTGGTAATCACAACACTTTGGGAGGCTGAGGCAGGAGGATGGCTCGAGGCCAAGAGTTTGCGATAGGCCTTGGAAACAAAGGGGGAGTCACCATCCCTACAGAAAAATACATGAATTAGCCTAGTGTGGTGGCATGTTCCTGTAGTCCCAGCTACTTGGGAGGCTGAGGTGGGAGGATCACTTGAGCCCAGGGAGGCTGAGACTGCAGTGAGTCATGATCAGGCCTCTGCACTCCAGCCTGGGTGACAGAGTGAGACCCTGTCTCAAAACAACAAAAAAGTAGCAGCTAACATCAACTGACCTTTTACCAGGTGCCTATTGATACCATAGTTTAATTTCTTATAACTGTTTCTTATTTCACTTACCAACTCTGTCTTCAGTTACTCCCAGATTTTTACTGTGTGTGTACAGATGACCTTTTGCTTAGATTGAATTGTCTCCCCAGAAGTAAGATTACTGTGAGTCATGGTGAATGGACATTCTCCTTACCCTTGATGTAAATTGACAGGGTTTTGGGTGCCTCCCAGCTATAATCTTAGCACTTTGGGAGGCTAAGAGAGGAGGATTGCTTGAGGCCAAGAGTTGGAGGAGGCAGTATGGCAGTATGGTGAGACCCTGTCTCCATTATTTTAAAAAATTGACAGGCTTTACCCTGGAAGGCTTATACACAATTTAACCACCCCTCATAGTATAAGAAAGTGCCCATTTCACTGCACCTTTGCCAGCACAGGGTATTATAATTTCGTAAGCCATTTTTTGTTTGATTATTTTAAATAGACAAAAGACCTCATATTACTTTACTTGTCACATTTCAACATCTTTCCTCAGCTTATTAGCTCTATTTCTTTTCTGTCTGTAAATGGTTGTTGTGGTTTTGTTCTTTGAGACAGGGTCTTGCTCTGTCATCCGGCTGGACTGTAGTGGCATAATCATGCCTCACTGCAGCCTTGACCTCCCAGGCTCAAACTTCAGCATTCTGAGTAGCTGGGACTACAAGTGTGCACCACCACCCCCAGCTAACTTTTTTCTTCTTTTGGATAGAGACAGGGTCTCACTGTGTCGTCCAGACCGGTCTCTAGCTCCTGGCCTTAAGCAATCCTCCTGCATTAGCTTCTGTAATGGCTGGAATTTCAGGCATGAGCCACCATGCCTGGCCTGGGCTAGTCCCATATTCTCTAGAGTTCTCTTTACTCTGTGCTAGCCAATCTCTCATTATGCTGTTCACCTGTTATAATGAATAATTCTCTGTATTAAATTTTACCACTTTAAACTTTTGAGTGGTTTATGCTTCCTGATTGGACTCTGACTAATATGTTAGGAAGGGTCCCAGGAGGTAGACCCACACAGATGGGATTTGGGCATAGGTTTGGTTTCCCAGGGGGCAGTGCTGAGCTCTTTGCCAGTGGGAAATGGGGTGCTGGTGATTTCCAGTAGGTGACCTCACAGTGACTCAAGCTACCACTTACTGTTGATTGTGACGAAATGCCAGCTGAGGCACATGCCTTGGGAGCTAAGTGGTTGCTGCCCTTGACCACTGTGAAGACTGGTGTGGGAAGGGTCGCTTTGGATGCACTTGAGCAGGGGTCCCCAACCCCTGAGCCATGGAGCCGCAAGGAGCCACACAGCAGGAGGTGAGCGGTGTCGAGTGAGGGAGTGAGGGAAGCTTCGTCTGTATTTAGAGCCACTCCCCTTTGCTCACATTCCCACCTGAGCTCCACCTTCTCAGATGAGCAGCAGCATTAGATGCTCATAGGAGAACGCACCCTGTTGTGAACCGTGCATGTGAGGGATCGAGGTTGCGCTGTCCTTATGAGAATCTAATACCTATTGATCTGTCACTTTCTCCCATCACGCTCAGGTGGGACCATTCAGTTGCAGGAAAACAAGCTTAACACGCCCACTAATTCTACATTATGGTGAGTTCTATAATTATTTTATTATATATTACAGTGTAATAATGGAAATAAAGTGCCTAATAAATGCAAATGTGCTTACATCTTTTGGCCCAGCTCCTACCTCCCGGCAGCCTCTCCAGGCCCAGAACTTTCTCCAGTCAGCCTCTACAGACCAAGCTCATGACTCACAATGGCCTATTTAGGCCCATACCCTATGTCACGGCAGCCTCCGCAGATGAGGCTACTGCCTCACAACAGCCTCCACAGGCACAGCTCCATCGTTACAATGGCCTCTTTAGACCCAGCTCCTGCCTCCCAGCCTTCTCTCCAGGCCCTGAACTTTCTCAAGTCGACCTCACCAGGCCCAGCTCATGCTTCTTTGCAGCCTCTCCAGGCCCAGCTCCTGCATCTTGGTGGCCCCTCCAGGCCCAGCCTCTGCCTCCCGTCAGCCTCTACAGTCCCAAAGTCTGCCTCACAGCAGATTCTTCACGCCCAGCATCTACCTCACTGTGGACCCCCCAAGCCAAGCTCCCAACCTTTCAGCAGCTTCTACACACCTAGCTCCTGCCACCCAGTGGCCTCTTTAGGCCAAGCTCATGCTTCACAAGGGCCTTTCCAGGCCCAACTTTTGTCTCATGGCAACCTTCCCTGGCCAGATTCCTGCCTGTCTCCCAGCAGCCTAGACAGGCCCAGGTCTTGCCTCACACTGGCCTCTCTACATCCAGCTTATGCCTCACGGTGGCCTCTCCACGCCCAACTCCTGTCCCAGGACGTCATCTCCGGGCCCAAAACTTACTCAAGTCAGACTCTCTAGTCCCAACTGCTGCCTCCTGGTGGCCTATGAAGGCCCAAAATCTCCTCAAGTTGACCTGTCCAGGCCCAGCTCCTGCCTCCTGTCAGCGTCTACAGGCCCAACCTCTGCCTCATGGGGGCTTCTCCAGGCCCACCTCTTCCTCTTGGCTGGGTCTACAGGCACAACTGCTGCCTCACAACAGCCTTTTTTGGCCCAGTTCCTGTCCAGCTCATGGCGGCCAATGTAGGCCCAAAACTTCCTCAAGTCAAACTCTCCAGGCCCACCTTCTGCTTCCCGGTGGCATCAACAGGCCCAGCTTTGACTTGAGAACAGCCTCTGCAGGCCCTGCTCTTGCCTCCCAGGGGCTTTTTCCAGGCCCAGCTCTTGCCTCATGGCAGCTGCCCCAGGCCAAATTTCTGCCTGCCTGCCAGCAGCCTCAACAGGCACAGCTCCTCCCTCACAGTGGCCCATTTAGGCCCAACTCATGACTGTGAGTCCATTTCCAGGCCTAGTGCCTGCCTCGTGGCTGACTCTTGAAGCCCAAAACTTCCTCAAATCAGGCTTTTGCCCAACTTCTGTCTACTGTCGGACTCTACAGGTCAGCCTCTGCCTCACAGTGGACCCTCCAGACCCAGATGGTGTCTCACTGTGGCATCCTCAGGCGAAGCTCCTGCCTTTCGGCAGCCTCTCCAGGCCCAGCTCCTCCTGCCTCCCAGTGGCCTCTTTCGGCCCAGCCCAGCTCATGCCTCCCGGCGGCCTTCCCAAGCCCCGCTTTTGACTTTCGGTGGCCTCTGCAGGCCTCGACAAGGCCCAGCCTCCTGCCTCCCGAAGGCCTGCACAGGCCCAGCCTCTGCCTCACAGCGGACTCTCCACGCCCAGCTAGCTGTTGCTTCACTGCGGCCTCCCGAGTCCAAAGCTCCTGCCTCTCGGCCGCTTCGGCAGGCCCAGCTCCCGCCTGCCAGTGGCCTCTTCAGGCCCATGGGGCTCATTCCTGACAACAGCCTTTCCAGGCCCAGTTTTTCCCTTCCGGCGGCCTCTCCGGGCCCAGAACCTCCTCAAGTCGGCCTCTCCAGACCCACTTGCACCCTCCGGGCGTTCTCTCCGGGCCCAGCTCTTCTTCCTGGTTGGGTCTCCAGGCCCGATTCCTGCCTCTCAACAACCTCTTTGGACTCAGTGCCTACCCATCTCCTGGCGGCCTTGGTCGGCCCACAGCTTCCTCAAGCCAAGCTCCCCAGGCCCAGGTCAGGCCTCACGGTGGCCTCTCCAGGATGAGCTCCTGCCCTCCGATGGCATCTCCAGGCCCCAAATGGTCTCCGGTCGGTGGGCTCCTCCACGCCAAGGTTGGGCCTCCCGGCGACCGCCGCAGGCCCAAGTTGTCCTGAAGTCAGGCTCTCCCGGCCCTGCCTCCCAGCAAGTAAGCAAGCTCTTTTGGCTCAACTCCTGCCCAGCTCCCAACCGCCTTTGTAGGCCCCGAACTTTCTCCAGCCAAGCTCTGAGGGCCCACCTCCTGCCTCCTGGTGGCCTGTACAGTTCTAGCACTGGTTGGAGAACAGCCTCTGCAGGCCCCTCCCTTGCCTCCCAGGGGCCTCTCCAGGCCCAGCTCTTGCCCCCACGGCGGCCTCCCGGGGCCAAGTCCCTGCCTGCCTCCCAGCAGCCCGCGTGCGGCCCAGCTCCTCCCTCACGGTGGCCTGTTGATGCCCAACTCATGCCTCTGGCACCCTGCCCAGAGGCGTGAGCCCCTGCCTCACACTGGCTCCTCCCACGCTGAGAGAGGTCAGTGTGAGCCCTTGCCTCACACCGGCCCCTCCCACGCGGACAGAGGTCAGCGTGAGCCCCTTGTCTCACACCGGCCCCTCCCACGCTGAGAGAGGTCAATGTGAGCCCTTGCCTCACACCGGCCCCTCCCACGCGGACAGAGGTCAGCGTGATCCCCTGCCTCAACAGGCCACCGTGAGGGAGGAACAGGATCGCACTCGGGCTGCTGGGAGGTAGGCAGGGACTTGGGCCTGGGAGGTCGCGGTGGGGCGAGAGCTGGGCCTGGAGACTCCCCTGGGAGGCAACAGCGGGGTCTGCAGACGCCCTTCTCCAGCCGGAGCTGGGACTGTTCAGTCACTGGGAGAAGGGATGTGGGTCTGAAGAGCTTGGTTGCAGAAACTTCGGGGTCTACAAACGCAGGCGGGAGCTGAGCCAAAAGAGCTTGTTTGCTGGGAGGTGGGAGATGCAGCCAGGAGGAACAGCTGGGCAATGCGGGAGGCAGAGGCCAGGCCTCCTCAAGTTGGCCTCTCAGACCCACTTGCAGCCTCCCGGCGCCCCCTCCGGGCCCAGCTCTTCCTCCCGGCTGCATCTCCAGGCCGGACTCTGGCCCGACTCCAGGTCCCAACAACGTCTTTGGACTCAGCTCCTGCCCAGCTCCCAGCGGCCCTGGTAGGCCCACAACTTCCCTAAGCCAAGCTCCCCAGGCCCAGCTCAGGCCTCGCGGTGGCCTCTCCAGGCTCAGCTCCTGGCCCTCCGATGACATCTGCAGGCCCCAAATGGCCTCCGGTCGGTGGGCTCCTCTAGGCCCAGCTTGGGCCTCCCGGCGGCCTCTGCAGGCCCAAATCGTCCCGAAGTCAGTCTCTCCAGGCTTAGCTCCAGCCTCCCGGCGGCCTCTGCAGGCCCAAGTCGTCCTCAAGTCGGCCTGGAAGTGGGCCTGGAAGAGCAGCAAGTCGGCCTCCCTGGGCCCAGCTCCGTCCTCTCGACGGCCTCTCCAGGTGCAAAACTTCCTCGAGTCAGCCTCTCCAGGCCCAGCTCCTCCTGCCTCCCAGTGGCCTCTTTCGGCCCAGCCCAGCTCATGGCTCTCGGCGGCCTTCCCAGGCCCCGCTTTTGACTTTTGGCAGCCTCTTCAGGCGCAGAACTTGATCTCCAGTCGGCCTTTGCAGGCCCGGCCTCCTGCCTCTCGAAGGCCTGCACGGGCCCGGCCTCGGCCTCGGCCTCACAGCAGACTCTCCACGCCCAGCTAGCTCTCGCCTCACTGCGGCCTCCCCAGTCCAAAGCTCCTGCCTTTCGGCCACTTCGGCAGGTCCAGCTCCTGCCTGCCAGTGGCCTCTTTAGGCCCAGCTCATTCCTCACGTCGGCCATTCCAGGCCCCGTTTTTCCCTTCCGGCAGCCTCTTGGCCTCTAATTTGTTTATCTTTTGTGTATAAATCCCAAAATATTGAATTTTGGAATATTTCCACCATTATGTAAATATTTTGATAGGTAATTTATTTGGAGTGAGTTTCTGCGCCAAGCCCGAATTTTTTATTTTATTTTCCTTATTATTTGGTGTTAAACAGGTTTAATGACGGTCATGGCAACTTTTTGGCACAATGAAAAATATCGCCCACGATCAACGTGTTCTGTTCTGGGGAAGGGGGCAAAGGCAGGGTGAATCACTTTCTTAAAAAGTATAGCTCAAGTTGGGAGTGCAGAGGGAATGGGGAGAAAACCCTCCCGCTGCCTGTGTCGAAGTGCAGGAGCCCCCACCCCCATACTCACCTGAGTCCAGCCCCTCTGGGGAAAGAAGGGGTGCATGAACTCCCCCTAGTCCACAGGCGCCTCCCTGTGGCCCAAGGCCCTCTTCACACTCCATCTTGTAGCCCCAGCAGGAGCTATTTTCCGAAAAGTGAAAAGCTCTGAAGGTCCCACAATTCATGGTATGTACAGGGGCTCGGAGGAGGGAAACTGCCCAGCTTTCCCCCGGCACAGCTGCAGGGGTAGGGGGTATAGATAAGAGGAGCAGGCCTTGGCCAGGCGTGGTGGCTCACGCCTGTAATCCCAGCACTTTGGGAGGGGGAGGCAGGCAGATCACGATGTCAGGAGATCGAAATCAGCCTGGCCAAGATGATGAAGCCCCGTCTGTACTAAAAATACAAAAATTAGCCGGACGTGGTAGCGTCCACCTGTAATCCTAGCTACCCGGAAGGCTGAGGCAGGAGAATGGCGTGAACCCGGCGGGAAGAGGTTGCAGTGAGCCAAGATCGCACCACTGCACTCCAGCCTGGGCGACAGAGCAAGACTCGGTCTCAAAAAAAAAAAAAAAAAAAAAAAAAAAAAGAGGAAGGCCTTACTCCGTCCCAAACTGAAAGGATTAAATGGCTTCACCTGGGAGAAGATAACCATCCTGCCCTCCATTGCTACCCCCACATACTGTCCATGTTCTCAGGGGGTACTGTGAGTCCTGGGATCTTTGGGGTTGCCCACCTGCCTGTGGTAGTTATGGAGACCCCCAGGTGTTGAGGCAGGGCTGGGGTGTCCCCTTCCAACCAGGCTGTCAAGGCCCCAACTCTGGGGCAGAGGCAGTGGCAGGGCAGCCAGGGTTGTGCCAGAGCCTGAGCAGGTTGAGGTGGGGTCAGGCAGGGCTGGGAGTCAGGGCAGGGGCAGCAGCAGTGGACCTGCTATGCACACATCTTCTTCTCCAAGGTTTGTGTGCAGAACATCCTGCCCATGCTGCCCCAGCAGCTTCAGTTGGCACCTGCCTCAGTCCAGCCTCTGGGAACCATGCAGCAGCTCCCAGCGGCCCTGCACCCACCACCAGCATCCGTTTCACCTGCAGTTGAAGATCCGTGAGGTGCCCAGAAGATCATGCAGTCATCAGTCCCACGGAGCAGCCTGCGAGGCTGAGGCTCCTCCCACTGGACCGCCCCCCAACTGGCACCACTGCTGCCCCTGCCCCTACTCTCAGCCTCACGTGACTCTCGGGCAGAAGCAGTGGTGGGGCAGCCAGGGCAGCGTCAAGAGTCTGAGCCAGGTGAGGTGCGGTCAGGACCCCCACAGGGCTGGGAGTCAGGGCAGGGGCAGAACAAACCTTGGAGGGGAAGATGTGTGCATAGTGGGCCTGGAGGGCGGCTGTGGCCTAGTGGACAGGAAGAAGCAGTGGGCCTGGAAGAGCTGCATGATCAGGGCCGGCACTGGTCCAGGGTACGTGCAGTGAAGAGGACAGCGCCTTCTCGGTCTCCGGTTCCCTGAGCCTGTCCTCGGCTTCTCCACCTGTACAGGCAAAGGGGAAGCTGTCCCCATCACACATGGCACACTTGGGGGTGTTGGGCTTTGGACTGCAGCTGGAGCATCTTCTCATCTTGCATTTGGGCGCGGTGGGGTCCTCCAGTGTGGGATCCATGTCCGTGGGGTTCCCTCTGCCCCGACCCCGAAAGCCCAGTCAGTTTCTCTTCAGGCTCTGCCCCCCGGGTGGCTCAGCCCAGCTCCTGCCTAGGAAAGCCTTAGTGTTGGGAGGGACCCTGATGACTGAGGAGCCTGGTAGCTCCAGGTCACCCACACTTTCAGGTCTCTTGCACCAGAAGGTGGCAGGATCCATTGGGAGGAAACAGGCCACCTTGGAAGGCGTCCCTGGGCCCCCATCCCCAGGGGTTGGGGCCGTAGGGGGCCCGCTCTGCTGCGTTGACCAGACTCCTGGGCTTTGAAGGCTCCTGGGCCCAGTAAGAAGGAGGTGGGTGCCAAGGTTGAGGAGGAAGCATCCGAGTATGTGTAGGAGGAGGACAGGGTGTGACCATAGACTGCCAAAAGCTGCAGGTGGATCGGGGGACCCTGGGGGCTCAGGATCCAGCAAGGGGCGGCAGGAGTAAAGGAGGAAGGAATGACAGGTGCAAATACCTTCCCACCAAAGCCCTTGTTGCCCTCTGGCTCCTCCCCAGAGTTGTCCCCACTCTCAGTCGGTCACCCACTCCTTGAACTTGAGATCGGTGTCGGTGGTGCTAAAGCCATCATCAGCAATGACATCATCACCCCCTCCTCCTCATGGATGACCGTGTGCTCCTCGTCACTCGCTATGACCTCGCTGGCCATGTGCTGGGAATGAGCAGCTCACGTGGGCGGCAGCAGGGCTGCCCACGGGTCACCTCCCTCACCAGGGGCTGCAAAGTGGCCTGGAGCTCCATGCTGAGTAGAAGGCTTTGGGCCAGAGTATGATGCAGTGCCAGACACCACCTGTGTCAGTTCCCGTAGTGCCTGACGGTCTATTTCCCTGCCGTCCAGGCTGTGTACCCCGCTGTGGGAGAAGGCTTGGGCCAGGCTGAGCCAGGTTCCCTGACTGTGTGCAGCCGTTCTGCCCCATAGAAGCTGCTCCTTGGTATCCGAGCTCTGGAGTGTTTGGGCTGCAACTGACAGGAGTTCAGAGGACACCCCAGGGGCAGTGGCAGTGCCCGTCTCTGATATGCTCCGCTCCCACGAGCCCTTGTTACACTCCTGCTAGCCCCTGGCTTGTGGGCTTGGCCTCTGAGCTGGACTTCTTTCGGTCCTTGTTGCAAGTGGGCCACCTTCACCTGGAAGGCCAGGTTGTATTTCTGCATCTCATTGGGCCCCAGGGTGTACCACCGCTCGCTCAGCATCTGGCTGACGGTCCGGTTATCCTGGTTGGGGTGACCCTGGTGCGCCCCGCCAGGGCCTGGTGCCGCCTGCTGAAGATCATGAGCGCCACTCATGGGCCACCGGATGTGGTCCTTGTCTGATTTGTTGGGGCTGCGTCCATCCTTCTCAGAAGATGAGTCCTTTTCCTTGCGCAGGGCACTGAGGGACTGGGCCTGACATCATCTGAGTGGTAGAGGCAACTGGGTGTCAGGAGACATGATGGAGAGGAAAGCATCATCATGGTCATTCTCTGTCTCACTGTCCAGCAGGGACTCCCCTGAGGGGCCCAGGGCTCCTCCTCCATGGTGGGAGGTGAGCTTTTACCAGGTTCCACCACCCCCAAAGTGTGTGGGGTTGCGGGCCCTGGGCTTTCAGGGCAGGTGGCTCCAGGGGGCCGCCCAGGGTCAACACTCCCTGTCCCACTTGGTGGACGCTCATGAGCAACGGCTGCCAACTTGGCAGGTTGTTTTCTCTGGTTGGAGGCCAGAGACTCTGAGTGACTGGCAGGTTGCTGGGCCTCGTGTGGCTGCAGGGAGGGGTCAGGAAGGGGATGGAGTACCAGGAGAACACGGCCGAAGAGTGACCTTCCACATTCCTCCACACGAACATGCTGACGCCACGGGAGGCCTCACTGAACGCAGGCCTGGGGGCCGAGCACTTGGTCCGGGCAGGGGGTTCCTGGCAGGGGCTCACACCTCCTCGCCCCCTCCTCAGCCAAGGTGGCTTGGGCCCAGAGAAGGGGAGGTTGGAGAGGAGCAGAAGGCCAGGCCTCAAGTTTTGTTTTTTTTGTTTGTTTTGTTTTTTGTTTTTGAAATGTAGTTTGACTCTTGTCACCCAGGCTGGAGTGCAGTGGCACGATCTCAGTGGCCTTCATACCTGGCTAATTTTTTGTATTTTTACTGGAGGTGGGGTTTTGCCATGTTGGCCAGGCTGGTCTTGACCTCCCGACCTCAGGTGATCCACCCACCTCAGCCTCCCAAAATGGGATTACAGGCATGAGCTACCGCTCCCAACTTCATTCATTTTTACTTGAAAAACTCCGTTAAGCATTTTTTTAAGGTAGACCTAGTGGTCCTGAATGCCCTCAGCTTTGTTTGTCGAGGAAACACGTTATTTCTTTTTCCTTTCTGAAGGACAGCTTTGTCAGACATAGTATTAGTTGCTGGCAGTTTTTTTCTTTCAGCACTTTGAATGTATTATTCGATTCTGTCCTGACCTGCAAAGTTTCTTTAACTTTTGACTATTTGATTATATTGTGACTTGGTGAGTATCTATTTGGTTTGAACCTCTTTAGGAATCTTTAAGCTTCATGGATTTAGATGTCTAAATCTTTCCCATGATTTAGGCAGTTGTCAGCCATTCTTTAAATAAGCTTTATTCTCCTTTCTCTACTTTCCTTCTCAAACTCCCATAACCTGACAATGGTTTGCTTAATGGTGTCTTGTTGGCTTTCTTTTCTCTGTCTCTTTTTTTTTTCTTTTTGAGACAGAGTCATGCTCTGTCACCCAGGCTGGAGTGTAATGTGTGGTCTCGGCTCACATTGCACTCCAACCTCCGCCTCCTGGGTTCAAGCGATTCTCCTGCCTCAGCCTCCTAAGTAGCTGGGACTACAGGTGTGTGCCACCACACCCG
This sequence comes from Homo sapiens, assembly GCF_000001405.40. Classification (NCBI taxonomy): domain Eukaryota; kingdom Metazoa; phylum Chordata; class Mammalia; order Primates; family Hominidae; genus Homo; species Homo sapiens. Next base: position 721,112 of record NC_000001.11, on the reverse strand, counting down.
GCTAATTTTTGTATTTTTAGTAGAGATGGGGCTTTGTCATGTTGGACAGGCTGGTCTTGAACTCCTGACCTCTTAATCTGCCTGCCTCGGCCTCCCAAAGTGTTGGGATTACAGGCTTGAGCCACCACACCCAGCCTTCTTTTCTCTCTTTTATTCTTTTTTTCTCTGTCCTCTGACTGGATAATTTCGGAAGATCTATATTCAAGTTTACAGATTCTCTCTCCTGTTGAAGTTGACTATTGTGTTATATCACCCAGTCTGGTCTTGAACTCCTGGGCTCAAGCGATCCTCCCACCTTGGCCTCCCAAAGTGCTGAGTTTACAAGCATGAGCCACTGCATCCAGTCAGTCCCAGCACTTTGGGAAGCTGAGGTGGGAGGATCACTTGAGCTCAGGAGTTTGAGACCAGCCTGGGCAACGTACTGAGAACTTGTCTCTATATTAAAAAAAAAAAAAAAAGTCTTTGGGAGGCCAAAGCGGGAGGATCACCTGAGGTCAGGAGTTCGAGACCAGCCTGGCCATCATGGCAAAACCCCATCTCTACTAAAAATACAAAAATTAGCCAGGTGTGGTGGCACACGCCTGTAGTGGTGGTGCATGCCTATAGTCCCAGCTACTCAAGAGGCTGAGGCAGGAGAATCACTTGAACTGGGAGATGGAGGTTGCAGTGAGCTGAGATCGCACCAGTGCACTCCAGCCTGGGCAACAGAGTGAGACTCCATCTTATAAAAGGAAAAAAGAAAGAAAAGAAAAATTCCATATCTGAGTGTTTACTCCTGAGTTTTTGAGATTGTTATTAAGATCGTGCTCTACTGTGATGATTTGGGTTTGTTTGATAATCAGAAAAAAAGCGTATTCTTTTAGGTGTTCAGCCACACTGCTTTGGTGTCACAACTGCACATTGGTTTCACAGCTGCAGGACAAGTTCGAGCATCTTAAAATGATTCAACAGGAGGAGATAAGGAAGCTCGAGGAAGAGAAAAAACAACTGGAAGGAGAAATCATAGATTTTTATAAAATGAAAGCTGCCTCTGAAGCACTGCAGACTCAGCTGAGCACCGATACAAAGAAAGACAAACATCGTAAGAAGCAATAGTTTCTCTTACTATTCTGAGAGCCTTATCATTCTACATCCCATCTTCCTGTGAGTTTGTCTTTGTAGCATTTAACTCTAATTGCAGTTCTCATTTTAAAAACTGGCTTGCTTATTGTATATTTTCCCCAACTAAAGCGTGAACTCCTAGCAGGGCGTGGTGGCTCATGCCTGTAATCTCAGCACTGTGGGAGGCCGAGGTGGGTCGACTACCTGAGGTTAGGAGTTCGAGACCAGCCTGACCAACATGATGAAACGCTGTCTCTACTAAAAATACAAAAATTAGCTAGGCGTGGTGGCTGGGACCTGTAATCCCAGCTACTTGGGAGGCTGAGGCAGGAGAATCACTTGAACCCTGGAGGTGGAGGTTGCAGTGAGCAGAGATCTCACCATTACACTCCAGCCTGGGTGACAAGAGCAAAACTGCATCTCAAAAAAAAAAAAAAAAGGGGGTGAACTTGAAGGCAGGTCCTGTGTCCATCTTTTCAGATTCTGTATCCCAGCACTTAGGACATAGACAAACACGAAGATGACAATCAATATTTGCCAAAATGAAAAAACAAAAGAAACATGTAACATCATGTAAAAGAAGCTGGTTAGGTGGAGAAATTTATTTACCATAGTCTTGCTTGTGGATCCAGTAGTGACTTTTACAGTTTGTATCTAAATAGAAGCTGGAGGCTTTGTTGGGGACTCATAGGCATAAAATATTATTTATTATAGAGTTAAATGCTACAAAGACAAATCTAATTAATAGGCCTATTTTCCTTTTTAAATTCTACTCATAATTTCTTCATAGTTTTTATGATAAAAGGTTGGATTTTGATTAGAACTCCCATGATTTTGTGTCAGAATTAAAACTGGTATTAGAATAAATAATTCAAAAGCTAGAGAAAGAGTACAAAGAGAAGCCATGAGTTGCATTTGAATTATAATATTATGTCTTACAGATTTGGGGTATATGCTAAAGTTACCAAAGTTGTAGAAAATAAGGCCGGGCATTGTGGCTCACATCTGTAATTCCAGCACTTTGGGAGGCCGAGGTGGGCGGATCATTTGAGGTCAGGAGTTTGAGACCAGCCTGGCCAACATGGTGAAACTCCGTCTGTACTAATAGTACAAAAATTAGCCAGGCGTGATGGTGTGCACCTGTAGTCCTTGCTACTCAGAAAGCTGAGGCAGGAGAATCGCTTGTACCCAGGAGGCAGAGGTTGCAGTGAGCAGAGATTGTGCCACTGCACTCCAGCCTGGGTGACAGAGTGCTATGAGTCACCACACCTGGTATGAGCCACCGTGCCTGGCCCACAATGACTTTTACACATGTTGTTAAATCATCTTACAGATTTTATAATTTGGGGGAAGAAAAGTTTTACTAAATTGTCTTTTAATGGAAACTCTACAAGAACCAGAATCTTTGCTTTGTTCACTTATGTATCCATTCCTAGGCCTAGAAAAATGTCTGACACATAGCGGCAATTATTCATTGAATAAATGGACCCAGCGATAGTACATTAGCTATGCTATATGCATACATTAAAGATGTAGATTATCGACTTTCAAAAGATAATTAATGTAACTTCTTACTGCTTCTGAACATGTTTGTGAGTTATATTGCTGAGGGACCTTTATCTTCTCATTCTTTCATCTTAACCCAGTGTTATAAAATTGAAATCATCAATATTATTCCATATCTAAAATTAATATCTACCTTGTAAAAAATATCACTCTGCTGCATTTGAGAATAGACTTTTTAGGTAATAATGATGCAATCCATAGGGTTTTTTGGGGGCACAGAGGGATTCATGCTAACAGAACATTTTATTTTCTATTTTCCCAGAGCTGTAAAACATGAAATTACGGTAGTATAAGGCATATTTTTACTTTTTATAATTTTTTCTAAAAAAAATTAGTGTTTGTTCCCTATATAACTTTTAACTTTATAGGTAAATATTTGTTTCTTTCAGCTCCAGTTTTATGTGAAATAGAGTTTTCAGATTTATGTAGCATGGAAAGTTTTAATACGTCAGAGTTACTGATTTTTGCCAATCATTTTCTCAATTATTTCTTTTTTATCTTTAGTTGATTTTTTTGTAGTGACACATTTTGTTTCTAGTCTCATTTCCTTTTGTTTATATTCTATATATATTTCATTTTTGGTTACTATGAGAATTACATATAACATCCTAGAGTTATAACATTTTAATTTGAATTTATTTCAACTTAAGTTCAATCACATACCAAAATTCTACTGCTATATATATAGCTCTACTCTTTTTATGTTATTGATGTGACAAATTATATCTTTATTCATTGTATACCAGCTAACAGATTTACAATTACATTTTATGCATTTGCCTTTTAAATTATGTAGAAAATAAAAAGCAGAGTTACAAACCAAAATTACAATAGGACTGTTTTTATGTTTGTTTATGTATTTACCTTTACCAGAGAGCTTTGTATATTCATACAGCTTGCTTATTTACTTACATAGTTATTGCCTAGAGTTCATTTATTTCAACCTGAAGGACTTAACACTTCCTGAATGTCAAATTCAGGGATAAATGGATTTTTTTCAGTTTTAAAAAAAAATCCGGAAATGTCTTAATTTCTCCTTCATTTTTGAAGGATAAGTTTTCCAGCTATATATTTCTCAATTGACAGGTTTCTTCATTATTTTAAATATATAATCCACTGCCTGCTGGCCTTCAAGGTTTCTGCCGAGAAATCAGCTGCTAATGTTATCTGGATCCCTATCTGTGAGAGTTGCTCTTCTCTCTGAGTTTTCAACATTCTCCCATTATCTTTTTTTTTGTTTGTTTTTGAGACAAATAATTGTACATATTCATGGGATACAGAGTGATATTTTGATACATGTATACAATGCCCAATGATCAAATAAGGATAATTAGCATATCCATCACCTCAAATATTTGTCATTTATTTGTATTGTGAACAGTCAACATTCTTTCTTCTAGTTTTTTAAATTTATAAACATTTAAATTTTATTACAGAAATTTAAATTTTTTGATTCTGAAAAAGTCATATATGTATGCAACATTTTTTATCATTTATTTATATATTTATGCATCTTTCCTTTTAGTTTTGACAGAGATTTTCTATTTTATCATTATTTCAAAAGAACTCTTACCTGTATTTATTTATCAAGTATATTTCCCTTGTTTTTTCCTAGTATATTAATTTATTTACTTATCTTCTAAAAATCCTCCATATAATCTGTTTATTTTGTTTCCTTTCTATAATTTCTTCAATAATTAGTTCTGTTCTATTTTCCATTAAAATATTTAAATCTTGTATGAATTTTTGTCAGATTAGAAATTTAGGGCGTTTCTTAATTTCTCTATACTCTAGCTTTTGACTTTTTTTTTCTGACCTAAGAGGTATTTAGAGCACATTTTAGATTTTTTATTTTGACTAATCATTTAAAATGTATACTAATCTTCAATTTAAATAAAAAACTGGTCTATAGTGACAAAAATTACAAATGAGCCTAACTAATAAATTATCAGCTGTGTTTATATGTATAAGCATGCACAGATTTTGGTAAATATGTACATAGTATATTGGTGAGCTTATTTTTATCATTCTTAACTCATTGTGTAGTCTAAACGTTGGGGAAAAAATAAAATACAATAATCAGATGGTGTGAATAAGAAAATTGTTCTAATGTTTGTAAACCAAGCAACTGTTTTAACTGCTCCCCTCTTCCTGATTGACTTCTAAAAGGGATTGATCCATATTGGGTCCTATCATATACGTCACGGTATGACATCTCCAGCTATAAAATGGAAATTTGAGAATAACTTTGCTGCTACTCAGATACATTTTATTTCAAAAACATACACTAAGGTGTTGCTGTTGGATCTTTCCAAAAACATATTCACACAGAACTTTCAATCACACTGAGCCATATTTGAACAATCTTTCAAGGTCAGCTCTGGCATAAGCTAACATTATACCATTTAACTCAGAAATTTCTTTAGTATTTGATTAATGGGTTTATGTTTGATATGTAATGTAATTTTCTAATGCTAAATCAAGTGGTAATTTTGTTAGTCAAGTTGATTTAGTGGCTTGGGAAGAAAGCTTTTAATGTTCCCCTAATTTTTCTTACCTTTGACATGATCCTTCACATGTCTTATTTTGCTTAGTGATTTTTCTTTTTTTTTTTGAGACAGGGTCTTACTCTACCACCCAGGCTTGAGTGCAGTGGTGCAATCACAGCTCATTGCAGCCTTGACCTCCCAGACTCAAGCTATTCTTCCACCTCAGCCTCCCAAGTAGCTGGTACTACAGGCACATGCCACCAAACTTGGCTAATTTTTGTATTTTTTGTAGAGACAGAGTTTTGCCAAATTCTCAGGCTGGTCTGGAATTTCTGGGCTCAAGTAATCCTGCCTTGGCCTCCCAACATGCTGATATTACAGACATAAGCCACAGTACCTGGCCAGTTTTCTTTTTAAAAAAATCTATTGGTTATTAATTTGAAGCCTTCCTTTTCATAGCTGTGCTCCTTAATTGGGAGCAAACATGAATGGACCACAACTTAGCCAATTTTCTATATACGATCTTTGCCATCCTAATTTAAAGGAATATTAATTCTTTCTTTTCCTCTTTCATTCCACAAACCTGTATTGACTACATCTAAGTTCTAAATGGTGCACTGGATGTTGAAAAAGTTGATGATGAGCAAGAACAAAATTCCTGCTTTCAGGAGACTTACAGTTCAATATGGGAAATATAATTTGTTAAAATATAAAAGTGCAATTGTGTTACATGCTGTACGAAGTACATGTTGACATGTGAGCATATAATAAATGGGCTGGAGGCCAGAGGATTGCCAAAGAGAATGGGCCTCCTGCTGAGATGAAAAGTTGAGCAGGGATTAGTTGGCGAAAGTGGAGGGACGATCCTTTCTAGGCAGGAGGAAGAACATGTACAGAATCTCTGAGGTGTGATGCGACAAAGTCTATATAAAAAACTGAAGAAAGGTCTAATGTGGCTTAAATACAGAAGCTAGTAGGAGAGGAGTCGAAAAGAGGCTGGAGAAGTAGAAAGTGTCTGCATTCTGCAGGAACTTATATTGTATAAAAAGAATTTCTCTTTATTCTAAGTGCAATGTGAAGCCAATGAAGTGCTTTAAACAGGTGATGTGATTTGATTGAATTTATTACTTCACTTAACATATATTCATTACATGCCCACTGTTTGTCAGATATTGCTGTAGCCCCTGGTGATACAGTAGGGAATAAAACAGGCAAAAATCCCTGTCCTCTTGCAGCTTATAATGGACTGCAATGTTTAATATGTCAGAGGAGGTCCACGGAGGAGTGACTTCTAAGCAAGAATCTGAAAAAAATGAGGATATCTAAGGAGGGAACAAATGGTTCAAAAGCCCTATAATTGCAAGCAGGCATGATGAAGCAATTGCAGTTGTCCTGACTCTCAACACCGTGGAACTCAAAGGAGATGGAAAGATTCCTTCTCTCCCTCATATATTTTCTCTCTTTCTGTCTATATATATAGAATATGAGACATTTCCCTAATCATTATGTGTAATTACAATTACATATATATATGTAATTGTAATTACACATAATGATTAGGGAAATGTCTCATATTCTTCTATGTAATTGTAATTACACATAATGATTAGGGAAATGTCTCATATTCTTCTACTCAGAAATAAGCAATATAGCAATTACTGTTTTTTACATTTTACAGTTACAGTTTCAGAGAAAGTTTGATATTTATCTAAAATTTTTCAATGTATGAACTTTTTCATTTGACAAACCATAATTGTACATATTCTTGGGATACAGAGTGATATTTTCTTTACATGTATAGAATGTGTAGTGATCAAATCAGGGTAATTTCCACTAATTTAAAATGCCACCTTTATGTTATTGTAATTTATATATATACTATATATATACACACACACATATATATATATACATGTCCACATACAGTGTGTGTATGCACATGTACACACATGCATATGTGTATATAATGCCCAGTATAAGCAATGTGCACAAATAAAATTAGCTAACAGAGATAGTATAGAGTGAGAGGAGAGGCAGATTAATCTTTGAGGAAAAGCACAATTTTATAGCTGAATGGAGAAAGCTGAGGTGGTTTCTAAGATGGAGAATAAGACGAAAAATGTAAGTACGTTGTTTGACTGAATTCAAGAAAGAAGGGTAAAAGAGAAGAAAGTAGTGGTCTTATCATTAAATGCCACAGAGAGGTAAAGATAAAGACAACATGTTGTTTTGGGTTTAGTAATTTAAGGGTTACCAAATTCCGTTTTGGAGGAGGAACAGATTCCATGTCCACTAGAATGGAATGAACAAGAAATGGAGGAGGAAAATAGGTAGTTTTTCAAAAGTTTTCAAAAATATGAAAAGAAGAAATGAAGTGGTACTTGGAAGAGATTGTTGAAATGGGAGAGACTATGGTGGCTTGTTTAGAAGCAGTTGAGATAGATCCAATTGAGATAGAGATTGACTATATAAACAAAAGAATGACAAATTAATAGTGTAATGGATAACTTGACTTTGGCAAATATTGTGAATTTTTGTGAAAGTACAACTAAAAGGCAATGTCACTCCAATAATCACCAGAGTAATCAATTTGCTTATTGCTGTCCCTTTAAATATAGTTCTCTGGTATCAACTAACATGTTTTTAACTAATGATGCTTCTTAAAGAAAAGGGAAAAGACCTTTTTCTTTCTTTCAGTCTTCAATGATTCACTGCTTCATCTCGCTCCACCAAAGATAAATGAAATCTACATCTCTTATACATTAACAATGCATGACAATTTACAAATAGCTAAATTTTTGGAGCTAACTTTAAGTACCTGAATGGAATTTAATCAACCCACTAATCTCCTTCTCACTTCTCAGTTATTTATCAAGTTTATGTCAAGGGACAAGGAAAAATTATCCAAACATTGTTTAAAACAATCATCATTAATTAGTAACACTTATCCAGGGGGGTTTTTAACCTTTCCCCCACTCAAGGATTATTCTAATGTCAGAGTAGAATAAAAAATAAGTGCAGCGATGCTGACTCTTCCAAGCTTAACATTTCTCACAAGTCAATTAGCTTTGTACTGGGAGGAGGGCGTGAAGGGCTGCTTGCGGTAGTTGTGTAGCAGCAGCACAATGGCCGCAGACAAGGAAAACAGTTTCTAGGAATTCCTCGTATATAATTTTATATTTTTGACAAGATTAATGACCCATGCTCCCTTCCTCTCCATTTCTTTTTTTGGAATTCTGTTGGTATGTAGTTACTATATTTTATTAAAGGAAATTAGCCTTATCTCTTATTATATTTTATTAAATAAAATTATTATATTATTCCTTTATATTTTTATTAAAGGATTTTATTATTATTAAAGGAAATTAGCCTTATCTCTTATTATATTTTTTATGACCTTCAAAGTAGTGTCTCTGCTTAAAAGTGTACCCTGGCCGGGCGTGGTGGCTCACACCTGTAATTCCAGCACTTTGGGAGGCCGAGGCGGGTGGATCACGAGGTCAGGAGATCGAGACCATCCTGGCTAACACGGTGAAACCCCGTCTGTACTAAAAATACAAAAAATTAGCAGGGCATAGTGGCGGGCGCCTGTAGTCCCAGCTACTCAGGAGGCTCAGGCAGGAGAATGGCATGAACCCGGGAGACGGAGCTTGCGGTGAGCTGAGATCGCACCGCTGCACTCCAGCCTGGGCGACAGAGCAAGACTCCGTCTCAAAAAAAAAAAAAAAGTATACCCTGAGGCACACATCAAGCGACATGTAGAGTTCATAAATTCTGGCCAAATGGTCATACCTCAAACCTCATCAGCAGTAAGGCTCTTTACTTGCACTGACAAATATGAACGCTGGGGAATTTGGAAATGATATATAATATATAATATTATATATATAATAGATATATAATATATATAATACATATATAATATATATGTAATAGATATACAATATATAATATATAATAGATATATAATATTATATATAATAGATATATAATATATAACTTTCCATGTGATTTTCCTCTTAATTTTTTTCTAGCTGATCCATATGAATTCCTCTTATTAAGAAAAATAAAGCATCCAGGATTCAATGAAGAACTGACTATCACCTTGTTAATCATTCAGAAACATGTTGCAGGCTTAAGCCATTTTTGATATAGATACTGAAACAATTACTTGCTAAGAGCAAACTTGAAGGTATGGATAAGGCCCTGAGTCATCTTCCTGAGCTGAATGATAGTTAAGCTGAATGTACGTATAAAATATGATTTTCTAACCACTTGCTCGCCAACAAGGAAAACTTTTAAGTAGAGCAGAACCTGAATAGACAAGACATTTCTTTCTTTTGGTAGAAAATGATTTACCATCACTGTGTAGTTAATTGTAGACTAGGTAATTTTAACTTTGTGATTTATTGCCGGAGACATTTTCTTCTGTACTGTAAAGTGTGTGTCAAAAAAAAAAATAGCGATTTTGGAGGATTAGGGGACTTTGATAAATTGCCTGCAATTCTGGCAGTATGAACTGCATATTAATTTCTCTCTTTCAAGAACATTTTTATTTATTAATTCCTTACAAAAACTCCCTAAACTTTGGAACAGCTCTCAATTGCCTGTATTCTTTTTTTTCTTATTATGGTACTCTTCTAGAGATTTGGCTTGCATCTGTGAATAAGCCAGGACATCTTCAGAAATTGTCTGATTAAAAACACCACCAATGGAGTTTCGTTAAATTTGTATTGCTCTGACTAGTGAAACATACACATCTATGTTGCTGAGGATATTTTACTGCAGTTCAAGTTGTAATAATAGCTCTGTTTAAGATCCGTCAGTCACTTGAATCTTCTCTAAGGCTTTGTATGTTAGAAGTTAATTTGCTTTCTTACAAGGCCACATTCTATCTTGTAACTAAACAACTGAATTTTATGTCTTAGCGTAGATGGTTTATTACTTTCTGGTTTTTCTTTAGTAAGAATCCTATAAAAACACTAGTATTTTTCTCTGAGTTTAAAATTCAATACATGCCTACTGATATGGTTAGGCTTTGTATCCCCACCTGAATCTCGTCTTGAATTGTAATCCCCATAGCCCCCATAATCCCCACAGGTCAAGGGAGAGACCAGGTGGAGGTAATTGAATCATGGGGGCAGTTTCCCCTGTGCTGTTCTTGTGATAGTGAGTTCTCACGAGATTTGATGGTTTTATAAGGGATTCTTTCCCCTTTGCTCGGCACTTCTTCATGCTGCCTTGCGAAGAAGCTGGCTTGCTTCCTCTTTGTCTTCCGCCATGATTGTAGATTTCCTGAGGCCTCCCAAGCTGTGCTGAACTGTGAGCCAATTAAACTTCTTTCCTTTATAAATTACCCAGTCTTGGGCAGTTCTTTATAGCAGTATGAAAACAGAAAAATACACCTACTATGTAAAACTTAAAATACAAAAAAACAAAACATTATCTCACTAACATAGGAGCTAATATTTTGGTGTACTTTGTTTAGTATTTTATATTAAAAATATGTACATATATATTTATATATAATTAAGAACATGTATGTACAATCGTGCATACATCATGTACATACATCTACTTAAGAAAATAGCTATGTAATATACCATTACTCAACTAGATTATAATTTTTTCTCCATTTCTTTATTGTAATTTATCATTTTCTACTTTTTTGTTTTCTCATTTTTATTGCATAATATTTAATTATGCAAAAAATATATTAAATACATTGAAAATATATAGTGTAGCTATAAGAATAAAGAACGATGGTAAAACAAATGCTAATACCCACTACCTGACTTAAAGAATATGATATTATTTTTTTCCAATTGAAATTCCCTCAACTACTCAGAATTACTGCTATCCCTCTTATCCTTTCATTAATTTTCTTCTAGTTTTCTCACATGTGAATCTATTTCTAAATACATTTCTTTATTTTGCAAGTTTTGGGACTTCATATAAATGTAACCATATTGTATATATTCTTCTTCAGCTTCTTAGTTTTTCACTAAACAATATGTTTTGCTGATACTTACATTCATATGTACAGTAATAGTTGATTTATTTTAATGGCTATATATTATTCCATTGTTAGAATACACCAGGATTTATTTTTACTTATTTTTTTTGCTGGAAAATTGGGTGTCTTTTTTATTTTTTGATATAACAAACAATGTTGTAATCATTTTGTATTTACTTCCTAGTCCACTCCTGTAAGTTTCTCTTGAGTACATACTAGCAATGAATATGCTGAGTCACTGCATATACATACTCACAACTTTATTCTATAATGTAATATTCTATAAAGTAGCTGTATCAGTTTATACTTTAACCAGTAATGGACAAGATTTTCTGTTACTTCCCATCTTTGTTAATTATTACTTTTAGACTCTAACTTTTATCAGGCTCATGGATGTAAAAAGCATCTCAGGGTGGTTTTAATTTGCATTTATCTGCTCATCTATGAAGATGAGCTTCTTTTCATATAATTATGAGTCATTATTTTTGTTTTGCCTTCTTTTGTTTATGCATTTTGCTTGTTCTATGTCTTATTTTTCCTGTTGATTTTTGGGAGTTCATATATATTCTAAATGTATATTTATTCACTTATATATATGTTGTAAATATTACAGTTTATGATTTGTCACCTTATGATATCTTCCAAATAGAGAAGCTTTATATTTTGATGTAGTCATATGTTCATTTTTCCTCCTTAATGTTTGTTTTTCTTGGTTCTATGACCTACCAAAAGTAACAAAAATTCTCATTTATTTTTAATCTAAATGTTTTAAGTATTTTCCTGGAATTCACCTTGAATTGATTTCTATTGGAGATAGGTATCCAATCTAATTTGCCTCATATGGATAACCACTTGTTCTATTACTGCTGTAACAAATTTCTGCAAACTAAGTGACCTAAAATAACACAAACTTGTCATCTTACAGTGTACACAAGTCAGAAATCAGGCATGAATTTTAGTGAACTAAAATCAAGTTGTCGACAGGCATGTTTCTTTATGGTGGCTAGGGTAGAATCCATATCCTGGCCTTTTCTATCTTCTAGAGAACATCAGCATTCCTTTTCTCATTGCCTCTCCTCTCTCTTTTTAAAGCTGGCAATGTCACATTTCTCTGACCATTCTTTCATTGTCACATCTCTCTCTGGACTCAGCTAAGAAAGGTTCTCCATTTTTAAGAACTCATGTGATTAGACTGGGCCCATCTGGGTAACCCAGGAAGATCTCTCCATCTCGGTTTGCATCCTTAATCACATCTGATAAGCCTTTATTGCATTCAGTGTAACATATTCACAGGTTCCAGGGTTAGGCATGGGCATCTTTGAGGGCCATTATTCTCCCTACCACATTATTTGCCTAGCATCTTTCATTACATTGTCCATCTATTTACTTACTGATTTCTAATGACATCCAAATCAGTTACAACATTTTATGTAAGCATTGTTTTTATTTTTATGTTATTCCACTAGTCTATTTTTCTACTCATGAATTATGGCACATGAGTTTATTTTTGCAACTTTAAGCTCAATAACATGTTTTAAGATTTCCTCAACTTTCTTTTTGCGCTTCTTCAGAAGTTGACTCTTTTGGCCCTTTGGTCTTCTATACACATTTTAGAAATGCTTTGTTGAGGGCTAAGAGGAATGCTAAGATTTTGATAGGAATTTCATTGAATTTTGAGTATATTGGCATGCTACAATGGTTAGTGCTTTATACATGAAAATAATATATCCCTTCCTCTTTTCCTAGTATCATGAGATGTTTGTTAGGCAGACATGAATATTGAGTTGTATCAAATGTGGTTTTCTGCATTATTGTGGTGGTGATGTGATTTAGCTCCTTTAATTAGTTAATGTAAGGAATTACATTTGTAGATTGCTCTAACTATTGAAACAAGCTTGAATTTCTGGAATAAGCCCAATGTGATATTTATTCAACAAATATTCATTGAGTATACCTAGTATGTAACATGCTTTAAGAATACACCAGTGAACCAAACAGAAATATCTGACATTACAGAACTTAACATTCCAGTATTTGGAGACAGACGATAAAAAAGTGAACATGTATATTTACAGTTTGTCAAGGAATGATAAATGAAGACTCTTAAAGTAGATGGGGAATTGGGAGTGAAGTCTGTAATTTAAATAGGGTGGGCAGGAAAGCTTCACAGAGAATGGGACATTTAAGAATAGACTTGAAGGACAGGCAAGAGCAATCTCTATGTTTATATGGGAGAAAAGGTTCCAGGCAGATGCAGTAACAATGGCAAATATCCTGAAGTAGGATCATGCTGGAGTTTTTGTGGAGCAGCAAGGAGGCTAGTGTGACTGCCACAGAATCACCCAAGGGAAGATGAGAAGATCAGACCAGACCAGCACTTGGGCATCTAATGGGAAAAGTTTCTCAAGCCATCATAAAAATTTCACTTTTACTATAAATACTACGAGAAACCATGGGATGTTTTACAGTAAGAAAGGTGGCATAATATGTTACATGTTTTAAACAAACTCTATAGCTTCTGAGTTGAAATAGATTGTAGGGGCTCATGGCAGAAGCAGAGGGAACATTTAGGAGACTACTGTAAAGAATATCATGAAAAGAACAAACAACGCTATGTAACATGCTTAAATGGACTGAAGAAGATGTATAAAATCAAAATGATGTTACCTTCACACCTTGAATCAGTACGATAAACCCCCCTCCCCAATCACAAAAGAAAAACTAAACACAAAAACCAGGCTTTGGTTGCTCAGACAATTTTACAGGTGAGTTCTAGCAAACATGCAAAGAACGTTTAATTGCACTGTTACAGAAATTCTTCTGGAGACAAGAAAATAAGACACATCACCCAACCAATTTCATAATAACAATGTCAATGTATAATAACAGAAAAAGTGGATCTCCAAAGAAATAAATTTATTTGGAAATAAACAAGGATTATAATCTGAGATATTTGTGCTATGATCAATCATAGGTGCATCCCAAGAGGTTGAGGTAAGGAAAATATGTAAAGACAAAAAGAAGTCCATGCAAGCTGTTTTGAAACAAACATCATTGGTCACAGGGTCTGATGCAGGAGCTGGTGTTAACTTACTGGCAGAAACAGCCATTGCTAGGCAAGTGTTCTTGTGAGGGTGGCTTATCTGAAATGCTGCAGTCTTGAGGAATTTTTTATGATAGGTCCTATTATAGAGACACCTACAGGATGAGCTGGACAAACAGAGTGTGCTGGGTGGGCAGAAATTTCTTGTGAGTTTATAGAAAGTCCTTGTGATAGTGCTTATCGTGGACAGACACACAAGATCCCCTTTTTCATGACCCGGCTCCACTTTGCTTTGGGTCTGATGTAAGTGACTTTGCCTTGTCATTGGCAACTTTCACTGTAGTATAATCTGCACATCAAAGTTACCTAACAATAGTACAAAGAAAGAAAATTAAAGGTATATCTCTTTCAAAAATATAAACCCCAAAATTGTTAGGAAATTGTAGTGAGTATAAAAGATAATTCATTATAATAAACATCTCAAGCTTCACAGAATTCTGACCTTTGCTACACTCTCATCCACAATCTTTTCTCCTAGTAAATGGCAGCTCCTTCTGTTAAGTTGCTGAGGCTTCTTATTGCTTTTTTCTTCAAATAACAGTCAGAACTGAACAACTGTAATCATCCTAGTCCATACAATTGTTATATTTTCATTTAAAGAAGATCAATGTGTGATTCTTTTTTTATATATTTCTGGACAATTCTTTATATTTTAATAGTAGTCAGAATTTGATCAGGAAAACAGAAGACATCCTATGTATTATAATGATAAAAGTTTAATATTAATTAGGGCCTTATGCTATTATTGGAAGAGCTTGGTGAATAGATATTAGAAAAGCAGCTAGACAAAATCAGAAGAGGTCTGTTTTATATCAGAGATCTTAGCCTGACAGTCTAGAGTGTGGGCACAGAACCCAAGCTTATAGGAATTTCTGAAAGGTCTGTAAATCTTATCCAGATGGACAGTGGGAGCTCATAAAGGATTCTGCAAGCCATCACATCTGTCAAACCTGCTATGTCTAATCCTTAAGCCTGCTTTATTTGAAGACCTCCTCTTCACTCCTCATTTCCAGCTCTCATGAGTTTCTTTCATAGGCAAACCCAGACCTGGAACAATGTGCCTGAAGACTTCGGGTGACACAGTACCCAGACTTAAATAGGAGGGGAGCCATGGTGGAAGTGGCCATCCAGCACAATTTTCTTGGTCTTTACTCATAGTTTTGATTCCTTAAAAAAATTAACCACATTAAAATATGTGTTTCATAATCTACATCTAATAATACAAATATTTAAAGTCTTTTCAAGTTTGAATACGCTACCCATGTTGCTGCTACCCCCATTTTGTGTGTGTGATTTTTGTGTGTGTGTTAGAAGCTCATGACCTTTGAAACCTGCTCTTATGAGCTTGCTTTGATGATTTATTTGTCCAGAGAGGATTTTTTTTCCTACCTAGCATTTTGGACTGCTATCAACCTGAGACCACTTTGAATTAAATTCTCAGCTTGCAAATTTGGAAGCCACACAGATTGTGTGAGTTCAGGCTGAAACCTGTTTGAGAGCTGGATTCTGGCTATAAACTCCACAGGGAACATTTTCTCTCTCCACTCAGAGCTGAGACCATAGGGAAATTTATTTGCTAGCTCACTTTGAAGGTTTATTTTATTTATTTTTTAAATTTCTAGTACACGTGCTCACTGAAGGTGTAATACTTATGTGAGAATCTCAAAATCAGTTGTGTTCTTTGTATGACCCTGGTTTTGTTTCCTCCTGCTCTCTTACTTTCAGTGTGTCTCAGTATGTCTGCTCAATATGTCATCTTAAATTTCAACTGAGGGTGGATCTTCTTCCCAGCTCACTCACATGGTTCTTAGCTAGATTCAGTTTCTCTCCATTTGTAGGACTGAGGACCTCAGTTCTTCACTTAGGGTTGGCTACAGGTAATCATCAATTTCTTGTAACAGGACTTACACTGGGCCACTGACAGCATGCCAGTTGGCTTCATTCAAATGAGAGGGCAAGAGAAAGAGAGAGAGGGAGAGGGCACAAGAAGAAATTCACAGTATCTTATAATCTAATCTCAGAAGTGGCATCTCATTTCTTTTGTTCTATTCTATTCAATAGAAACAAGTACCTGGGACCAGCTTACACTATAGGAAAGAGATTATATAAGGGTATAAATACCAAGAGGTAGAGATCATCAAGAGCCATTCTGGTAGCAGCCACAATATCTTATCCAGAATATTTCTTATTCAGGCCTTCAAATGTGCTGTCTTTTCTGGTCTAATGGAAATGAACCTTCCTTCCATACAATTTCTTCTCCTAAATTGTACTCTGGCTCTCTTATCATATACAAATGTCTATGTTAGGTATTTGTGTCTGTCTTGATTCTTGGTAGGCTTTTAAACTCTGTGAATGTTGGACTGTGATGTAGACATCATTTCACCGCACACTCTGTAACCACCAAACCTTAGCAGCTTATTCAGTGAGCACATACTTGGCTCTTAATGAGTATTGCTTAAATTGATGAATTGAATTAGTATTTTACCTTCTCTGTTGCTTAGCTAAGCAGAAGAATTTGTCATTTTTTTAATTTAGTGACTGGTTCTATTAAAAGTTACCTTTGTCTATATCATTTTGTTATACTAAAGCACAAATGTGTAAGGTCAAAAAACATTCTCAAGATTTTGTTTAAACCACAGCCCTCAGTTGTGTATATTTATCTCTTGTTTTCATATGCAAGATTTCTCCTGAAATGGGCAACAATTACAAGAGTTTTTTTCCTCTTCTGAACTAAGAAAATAAATATTTAATTCACAAGTTTAGAAAAGTGAACCTGAAAAATCACAGGGCTAGGTGGGTTATGAGGCCCACTGGTACATGATAGTGTTGAATGTGGATTAGAATGAACTCCGTGGATTAGAATCTCAGACCATAGGCAAACATTTACTTGTTTTAGAATAAGCACATTTGAGTCTGCAATAAGTATTACTATTTTTAAGTTGAAAATGTAATTGGTTTCTAATAATAACCATATTGGCTAGCATTATTTCAATCGTGTTTAATGTTTTCCAATGTCATTTCATGTCAGATATCTCTCTTGATTCTTAGTAACAATTTGGACAAGACAGCAAATGCTATTGTCCAAGTTTTCTAAAGAAGAATCTGAAGTGAAATGACATCAAGAGACCTATCAAGACCTGTATCCAGGAAAAGGTAAATCTGAGCTGAAATTGTAGCCCTTGTAAATTACCTACGTGACATACCAGATAGTGTTCATGATCCATTCAGTACTCTGTTCTAAAAATGAGACAATATCCATTTATTCACTTGTTCATTTATTTAGTGCTTGTTCAGCCCTTACTGCATATTCCAGGCACTATTCTGACTGTGGCAGGAGTGAACAAACAGGCATGGTTCTTACTTGCATGTAATTACAGTCTTATAGTGAAAACAAGTGTTAAACAACAAAATCTCCCAATTATTTTAAAATTATAAACTTGATTCGATACTATGTGGCCATATAATTGTTCCTAATTTGGTTGGAGAAGGGAGGCAGTTAGGGAAGCCTTCCCTGAGTTAGTGCCATTTAACCTGAATTATGATAGATGATAAGTAATTTGTCAGGGGAAAAATACTCCAGGAATAAAGAACAGGTACAAAGGTCAGGTTCTGGGAAGAGCTTGTCTTGGTCCAGGAGCTAAAAAATGTTAGAGTGGCTGGATCTGGGAAAGAGACAAAGAGTTATTAAATGAGGCAGCAGGCTTCAGCAGGTGCCACATTGCTCAGGGCCTTGTAGGCCATGCTAAGGATTTGGGATGTTAATGTCAGTACAAACAATTGAGTCGTAAGCAGAAAGTAAAAGCATGATTCCATCAAATGTTATTCTCTAAACAGTAATTTTATAAATACAGGTTAAATGTGTGTGGTCCCAGCTACTCAGGAGGTCCCAGCTACTCAGTATTCCTTTTCAACAAATATTAGGTGCCTACTATTAGCCAGGTACAGCCCTTAGCTACTTTGAATGAAGCATATATTACAAACTGGCAGAATTTCTTAAACAAAGAATCTAAAGTTGTTTATACACCATAATCTCGGTATTTTATAAATTTCTTGAAATTATTTTTATGTACACTGCTTTGCAGAATTTTAACTGGCTTTGAAATAAACAATGACAATAGTCCTCCATGTTACTAGTTTCAAATTTTCCCAATACCTACTAAGACATTACTTAATCCACAGATTTACTGTCAATAGTTTGTATCAAATTGTGATAACATATTTGAAGTTAATATTTCAAATTAAAGCAAAATCACAAATTTATACTTTATATTATGAATGAGATTCACAAAAGGAGCATGATAATATATTCTGTTGTCATCACATACAAAATAATAACATATAGAGTATGAATCAATAATTTTTCAAATACAAAGCTATTACAATTAGGAATACAAAGAAATCATAATTAGGAATACTTCTACAATATTAACACACAATAGTGGTAACACTTGCAAAATGATGGCGGTGGTTTTTTTTTTTCTTTTTTTTCCCCGACAGAGTCTTGCTCTTGTTGCCCAGGCTGGAGTGCAATGGCGTGATTTTGGCTCACTGTAAACTCCACCTCCTGGGTTCAAGCGATTCTCCTGCCTCAGCCTCCCTAGTAGCTGGTATTACAGGTGCCTGCCACCACACCCAGCTAATTTTTGTATTTTTAGTAGAGATGGGGGTTTCACCATGTTGGCCAGCCTGGTCCCGAACTCCTGACCTTAGGTGATCCACCAGCATCGGCCTCCCAAAGTGCTGGGATTACAGGTGTGAGCCACTGCGTCCAGCCAGTGGTGGGTCTCATATCTCAATGTGGACTTTTACTAACTCCCGATGCCTCATTTTCCTCATCAGTTGAAAGGAATGAATGAAAGATTTGTGTTTTTCATATTACCAGGTAGATGATAAGGAGATTTTAATTTTCTTTTTTTTTAACTTTTATTTTAAGTTTAGGGGCATTTGTTACATAGGTAGACTGGTGTCACAGGGGGTTATTGTACAGATCATTTCATCACCCAGGTATTAAACCTAGTACCCAATAGTTATCTTTTCTGCTTCTCTTCCTTTTCTCACCCTCCACCCTCAAGTAGACCCCAGTGTCTGTTTTATTCTTTGTGTTCATGAGTTCTCATCATTTAGCTCCCACTTATAACTGAGAGTATGCTGTATTTGGTTTTCTGTTCCTGCATTAGTTTGCTAAGGATAATAGAAGGTCCATCCATGTTCCAGCAAAAGACATGATATCATTTTTTAATGGCGGCATAGTATTCCATGGTGTATATGTACAGCCTGCATATAAACTGTGGGCTAAAGACCTTCACCAGAGCAGTCTGACAGAACCTCTCTGGAAGACTTCTCCTAGGCTGTAATCCTCAGTCTCTTGTTCTCAGACCCCTAAATAAATCTAACTTTAATTTCTTAAAAGCTTAATTTTTTTCTTTAGTTGACACCAAAAATCTCCCCAGCCAGATCCACAAACTTTTTCGGTATTTTTCCTATTTTTTATATCATTCCAGGCAAGCGTTTTCTAATTCTCCCATCAGAATATGACTTTGGTGCGTTTTCCTCAGCCTCCACTGATGATTTTTTCTCATTATCCTTAAAGCCCTTTCCAGTAGACTTCTTAAGCTCTTTCAAGTTTTCAGTCTCCTTAAGGACCATTCAGTGTTTACTGTCAGTTCCCAGAATGCTTTTACAGGTTTTGCTATCATTTTCCTTGAAGTCTGTTCACTTTTCACTAACAGTCTTTGTGAAATCCTTCTGGCTTCTATCCATTGTCTGATTCCAAAGCCAATGCCACATAGTTTAAGTTTATATTATATTAGAGTGACATCTTATTCCACGTACCACAAACCACCTCAAAACTTAGCAGCTTAAAACAACAAACTTAAAAAAAATTGTGGACTTGTATTAGCGCAAGCAGGGCTTAGCTACATGATTCTGCTCCATGTGGTATTAACTGTAGCCATCTGTGGTATTCAGCTGGCAGCTGGGTAGTCTGGAGAGTTGAAGGTGGCTTCAGTGATGTGCCTGTTTTATTAGTGGATTGGATGAAATGTTGTGGTAAGGTGGGCCTCTCTTGCTCTCCGTGTAGTTTGAGAGCCTGTCTACATGATCTATTCAGCAGCAATATGGTTTGGATGTGTCCCCACCCAAATCTCATCTTGAATTGTAGCTCCCATAATTTCCGTGTCTTGTGGGAGGGATCCAACGGGAGATAACTGAATCACAGGAGTATTTCCCCCATACTGTTCTCGTGGTCTTGAATAAGTCTCACAAGAGCTGATGATTTTATAAGGGGGTTCCCCTTTCACTTAGCTCTCATTCTGTCTTGTCTGCCATCATGTAGAGATGTGCCTTTTGCCTTCCACCATGATTGTGAGGCCTCCCCATCCACCTGGAAATGTGAGTCCATTAAGTGTCTTTTTCTTCATAAATCACTCAGTCTCAGGTATGTCTTTATCAGCAGCATGAAAACAGACTAATACAGTACATTGGTACTGGTAGAGTGGGGTGCTGTTGTAAAGATAACCCAAAAATGTGGAAGCGACTTTGGAACTGGGTAACAGGCAGGGGTTGAAACAGTTTGGAGGGCTCAGAAAACGACAGGAAAATGTGGGAAAGTTTGGAACTTCCTAGAGACTTGTTGAATGGCTTTGACTAAAATGTCAAATAATGATATAGACAATGAAATCCAGGCTGAGATGGTCTCAGATGGAGATGAGGAACTCAATGGGAACTGGAGTAAAGGTGTCTCTTGCTATCGAGAGAGACTGGCAGCATTTTGTCCCTGCCCTAGAGATTTGTGGAACTTTGAACTTGAGGGAGATGAGTTAGGGTATCTGGCAGAAGAAATTTCTAAGCAGCAAATCATTCAAGAGTGACTTGGGTGTGTTAAAAGCACTCAGTTTTAACAGGAAAACAGAGCATAAACGTTCAGAAAATTTGTAGCATGACACTGTGATAGAAAAGAAAAATCCATTTTCTGAGGAGAAATTCAAGCTGGCTGCAGAAATTTGCATAAGTAACAAGGAGCCAAATGTTAATCGCTAAGTCTTCAGGCCATGTCAGAGATCTTTGTGGCAGCCCCTTCCATCACACACCCAGAGGCCTAGGAGGAAAAAATGGTTTCATAGGCTGGGCCCAGGGCCCCTCTGCTGTTTGCCTGTGTACAGCCTAGGGACTTGGTGCTCTGTGTCCCAGCTGCTCCAGCCACAGCTAAAAGGGGTCAAGGTACAGCTCAGGCCATGGCTTCAGAGGGTGCAAGCCTCAAGCTTTGGCAGCTTCCATGTGGTGTTGAGCCTGTGGATTCACGGAAGTCCAGAATCGAGGTATGGGAACCTCCACCTAGATTTCAGAGAATGTATGGAAATGCCTGGATCTCCAGACAGAAGTTTGCTGCAGGGGTGAGGTCTTCATGGAGAACCTCTGCTAAGGCAGTGGGGAATGGAAATGTGGGGTTGAAGCCCCCAACACAGAGTCCCCACTAGGGTACTGCCTAGTGGAGCTATGAGAAGAGGGCTGCTGTCCTCCAGACCCCGGAATGGTAGATCCACCGACAGCTTGCACTGTGTGCCTGGAAAAGCTGCATACAATGCCAGCCTGTGAAAGCAACCGGGAGGAAGGCTCTCCCCTGCAAAACCACAGGGGTGGAGCTGCCTGAGACCATGGGAACCCACCACTTGCATGAGTATGACCTGGATGTGAGACATAGAGTCAAAGGAGATCATTTTGGAGCTTTAAGATTTGACTGTCCCACTGGATTTCGGACTTGTTTGGAGCCTTTAGTCCCTTTGTTTTGGGTAAATTTTACCATTTGGAACGGCTGCATTTACCCAATGCCTGTACTCCTATCTTATCTAGAAAATAACTAAATTGCTTTTGATTTTACAGGTTTATATGTGGAAGAGACTTGCCCTGTCTCAGGTGAGACTTTGGACTGCCAACTTTTGAGTTAATGCTGAAGTGAGTTAAGACTTTTGGGGACTATTGGGAAGGCATGATTGGTTTTGAAATGTGAGGACATGAGATTTGGGAGGTGCCAGAGGCAGAATGAGGTGGTTTGGCTGTGTCCTTTCCCAAATCTCATCTTGAATTGTAGCTCCCATAATTCCCATGTGTTGTGGAGGGACCTGGTGAGAGATAATTGAATGATGGGGTGGCTCCCCCATACTGTTCTTATGGTCGTGAATAAGTCTCATGAGAGCTGATGACTTTACAAGGGGCTTCCCCTTTCACTCAGCTCTCATTGTCTCTTGTCTGCTCCCATGTAATGCATACTTTTCACCTTCTGCCATGATTGTGAGGCCTCCCCATCCACATGGAACTGTGATTCCATGAAACTCTTTTTATTCATAAATTACCCGGTCTTGGATATGTCTTTATCAGCAGCATGAAAATGGACTAATGCAAGCAGAATAAGCAGAATTCTTCGATACTGACTCAGCACCCACACACGTTGGTTCCAAGATGTAGAAATGGAAGCTTCAAGGCTTTTAACATCTGGACATCAAAACTGGAAGTTTTACTTTCACTGTATTTTATTGGTCAAAGCAGTCAAAGAGCCCACCCAGGTTCAAGGAGAAAGAATATGTCCCCACGTTTTCAACGGGATGGTGCCACAAAATTTCTAGTCATCTTAATTCACCACGGATAGAAATATGAAGAGCTCATTTGTTATGTTATTTGTGAATGCAGACTAAAGATATTTGTTGGTTTATATAGTAGTGGGAAAATGAGAACTTTTAAAATATTCAACTTTTAGCCCTTGACATGCAAAATGAGTTCATTACATGGTAAGGATGAGGGAGAAAGAAAAGATCTGAAAAAGTAGAAGAGTGATGGATTCAGAAAGTATAGGATGATTGTCAGTGTGATTGTTTTATCTAGCCACATATAGCTGTGTGGTATCAAGATGTAGAAGGCAGAGAGTAGGATTTATCAGGATTGTTGTTTGGAAGAGTGAGTACAATCATTACGAGGGAGCAAGGTATTGATCATGGAATATAAAGTGGGAAAAGAGGTAAGGTAAGAAGGATATCAGTAAAGTGAATGACAGCATAAATATGGTAGAACCATTGGATTGGTGGCTCTGGAGGAATTGAATAATTATTAGACTTGAAGCATTAGATGGTGCATTAGTGAGGGCATCTCCAACTAAGTCTACCATCAAGTCATGGTGATTTATTATCTCAAATATATGACAAATTTATCTACTTATTTCCAAAACTCCCATATCTAGTTTAAGTAATCAAATTTCTTGCCTTAGCAAGCATGTTGCTTTCTAATTGACTCACCTGTATCCAATTTGAATTCCTTAAAATCCATTCTATACATTGTAACCATAGTGATATTTACAAATGTGAAATCTGGTCAAATCATTCTTCTGCTTAGTAGTCTTGGATTTCTCATTCTCTTAGGAAGCATCTTCCACTACTTATTTCAGCATTATCTGCACAATGCTTCCCCTCACTTCCTCACAATGTGGTTTCAGGCACAACTCCCAAGGCCCCACTCTGGCCTCGGGGAGCAGATTGTTCCCCCTGCAGGAAAACCTTTGTTCTCCACTCAGTTAACTGCTGTTTACCCTTTAGATCTCAGCTTCAGTGTTGCTTTCTTAGGGGAAACTTCTCTGACTCACATCAAATCCCTCTCTTATAGTAATTTTCATTGTATTTCAGAGTAATTTTTATGGTTGCAATTTTACATTTGTGTGATTGTTTGATTAATCTCTGTCTCCTCCACGAAAACTCCAAGATGCAGGAACTATATCTTACTGGCATTCAGCACAATACCTGGCACATAGGTGTTCAAAAAATACTAATAGGGTAAATAAATGAATTAATTTTATGCTTTTATTTTAATATTTTCATGGTATTAATATTTCTCTGTATGTGATATTTTGTATGTACCTATTTTCTTTTAATTTGAAGATTTATAGTTTAGTTATGTGCTGTATAAATTATATTTAGTTCTTTAATTTTTGTGTTATTTCCAAGGGTGCTCTCCATTGACTCTTTTAATATAGTTCCACTTTACCCCTTAAACCCACTTTCCTCTCCCACCTTCGTCATCCAACTTTATTTGATTTTGTTATTTTTAATTTTTCTAATAATGACCTTTATCTTTTAAAATAATATTTAATCACCCATAACATAATTTGTTGATTCTCTCCCACTGTGAAAGTTGAATGGACCAGAATATATTTCTACTATCTTTCTCTTCTTATTTTTGTTATGAATATAATTAGTCTTTATACAGTTATGGTTTGTAACATTTGCATTCTGTTCTTTAACCGCAAACCCCAGAACATTTTGATATTAGGCTTCAGAATGCTCACTTGTATCATGTTATCTCTATTCATTTTTAGTGGATAGTTTTCTTTTTTAAGTTTTTCTGATAGAGATGGGGTCTTGCTATGTTGCCCAGGCTGGTCTTATCTTGAACTCCTGGGCTCAAGTGATTCTCCTGCCTTGGCCTTTCAAAGTGTTGGGACTGTAGGTGTTAGCCCCTGCGCCTGGCCTCTAATAGTTGTCTTCATTAAAGCCTCATGGGGACTCTATTTTTTTTTTTTTTTGTGGGTTGTTTATTTTGTGTTTGTGAAGTCCGGTAAATTCAGTTGCATCTGCCTTGATGTGGTCATACTATAACACATTTTTTCTGGATAAAGATAAGCCCTTTAACCATTAGATTCAATGTTTTCTTCATTTCAGAAAAGTTTTCTTTTATCTTTGAATTTTTTAACCAGATATTGTGAGCTCTTTCACACTAATTTCTCATTTGTTGGACCTGACTTTAATGTTACATTTCACCTTCTTGTGTTTTCTATTTCGTTTTGCTCAGGATATATTTAAGCCTGTCATTTATATTCTTATCTGTGTTTTTAGCAGCATTATTCTCTCCACTTCCCACTTTTTTTCCTGCTTTTATTGATCTTCATTTCTTTCATGGTTGTCTTTACTCATTACATCCTGAATTTTGCCAGATTATTTTTTATCACTTTATTTTGTATTTATTTTCAATTATGTCTTCTAAATATCATTTCAGAGAGAAAACATTTTAGAGAAGGCATATTTTTAAAAAACATAGAAAATTTGATCCTGTTTTTTACTGCTTCATGGTATAATTTGTATGTTCTGTACCTTATGTAATTTTCCCTTTTTCTTCTAGTATTTTTATAAAGGTCATCAAGTTTTATTTTTGTAATACAATTATTATAAATAATTATATAATATTATTAGTCTTTGAATATTCTAGATACTTGTGAAAGGATATTGTGGAGGAGGAGCTGGGGGTAGTAAGTATGATGGAAGGCAGACGAGTTTTGGAATCTTGTCTCCAAAACACTCTCATCTGTTAGAATGACTCCTAGGCTATAGGATTGACTATGGCTTAGAGTGGATTCATAGTTGTTAATTTCATCATGTGACTTGTGACTTATCCTTTTCTTTTCATAATAGAATGAAAATTGCCATCTGTCTGGCTTCTTCCCCATCTTTTTGCCTTCTTTCATTACACCACACACGTGTCCTAATTATTCCAAAGGTGATACATTTGCATGTTTCCCTTTAAACTCCTTTCCCTCTGTCACTCTGTGGAGGGTTCACATGCTGCAATATTTCTGTTCCAAGTAAAGATCACAGGTTTTGATCCTCAGTCCTCAGTATACACACCTCTTTTAGGGATTTCTGGGCTTCTTGACTAGCTCAAGCTCTTCAGAGGCATGCACTTTATCTTGGTGTTCAGTCTTGACTGGTTTAAACTTTTGATGTCCAGAAGGTTTTCTTCATGTGTTGTTGTGTGGAATTGTAAATATTTTCTAGCTTTTGTAAGGTTGTGGCTCATATTTATATTTCTCCTGGTTTGAAAGAAGAGAGAGAAAGAAGTATGTCAAATTGAGACTCTTAGATTGGAAATCTGAATTTATTTACACGATTGAGATTGATCTAGAGTTTTATTTTTTCTGCTGTAACTGAAATTTGGATTCAAGATTATATGTGTTTTGTGAATATGTTTGGTAACATTGTGACTTTTCTATAATTTAGGGAAGTTTGATGTAGGAGAAAGAGAAAAAATTTTTGAGAGAATCCTAAATTCATATATGGCCTAACCTTTTAATATCTATGTAATTTTAGATAATAAATAATTTGTTTGAGATTATGTGGCTCTAACAACACCTGCTTCACAGTGTAATTATGAGGATTTCATAGAATTTGTATAGTGAGCATTAGTTTTGATGTTACTTTAAACCTCTTTGCCTTATACATTCTATTTTTTCCATGGAACATTATATGATTTCATGTCCACATATTAATCTCATACTTTCAATTACATTTTATGTTTAAATTGAATATTATGGTAATCGTTATGTAAATGATTAAAAATTTAAAGGGACAACATTTAATGTTGCTCTGGAATTCACCTTTAGTCATAAAATAAAGATTTAAAGTATCATCTGTAGACAATGGCAAAAGCCCTTTTTTGTCATAAGAAAATCAAATATGCTTTATTTCACCCAATTAACATGGCTATCCCGGGAAAACCAAAATGACCATAGGCGGTAATTCCCCAGGCCGTGTGATCTCAGTCTGGCATTCTCGGATCTCCAAGGCATCACTTTGGCCACTACCCTCTGGGGCTGTGATTAGCAGCTCTCTTCCTGTTTTATGCAGCTCTGTGTGTATGTCTGCAGTGATGCCGTACTGGATCTGGTTCATCTTGTGAGAACTATACCTATCTGAATTTTTGATGATGCTCTTTTCTTAGTTCCCTTGGCAAAACAGGTAGGTGAGGGATAGAAATAAAATCTATACTTAGTAAATCGGTGAGCCAAGGTCTGTGACTGGCAATGAGTGAATTACATTCTCCTCAGTTGGGTGCAATGTCTGCCTTCTGTGTGGCCATTTGCTGTTGCCACTAGAGAAGGAGGATGCAGCAGGGATCAGGCACCGTGGAGAAAAGTCGCCGTGTGTAGGCAGCTAAGAATGTAGGAAAATGAACATCTCGGCTCCCAAAGGACGAGAATAAAGCTGTAGAAGAATGTCAGGGAGGAATCTGAGTTGATCGTATGACTATTCATCCTTCTTCCCACATTTTCCCGACTGTTTAGCCCTACTTTTCTTCGCGTTGGGTCTCATTTTCCTTCCTGTGTGGCCTGTGCCTTATGGTCAGCGCGGACGTCCATCAGTCTATCAAATGCCTAGAAACCTTTCGCCCTTTGTCACCTTCTGTGTCACCCAGCATTCCCCTTCTCAGCCCTTTTCATTCTCATGGTGGAATCCTTTTGGTTTGATTTCAAGGGTCCAGCACTGTTGATGTCACAACAGAGTGGCATGGAAAGTTTCTGAAAATTTTGTCATCTAACCTCTCGTGGGGACTTTTAATTAATTCAGCTTTTGACAACTCCATCACATTCATTATATTATCCATTCATTCATTCATTAATACATTTGACATTTATAATGTGTGCCAACAATGTGCCAGGTCAAAACTGCCCACTTACAATGTAGAACATTTCTGTAAATTTTATTTCAATTTTCTTGTATTTCTTCTCCTTTATTCTACCATCCCACTTGATCTTCTGCCACAGAAGTTCTCTTCTCTCTCTCTTTGTTCTCTCTTCTCCTCCTTTATTCTTGATACCTGCTTCTGTGTTGGCTCCTCGAGGCCAGCACTTGTCCTCCTACCTCTGTGATGTTCTGTCTAGTTTATTGATTCCTTTTCCTACTTTACATAATCAATGTGGATAGTTTCTATAGTTGGGTCTTTGCTTTTTAATCTTTTTTTCCTGTGTATTATTTCCTTCAGGGACCTTATGCACTCTTACACATCCGTCTATTATTTTTATATGGATTACTATACAATTACATGTTGAATTTGTACTTTTCCCCCATATATCCTGTCATATGTTTTCACCTGAGCATCTCAATATCTAATACTCTTATTTGCTTAAAATACACGTGATTATTTTCTCCACCCTGACATATTTTATGTTCAACTTTCTAATTTCTAAAAATGGACCTACCATTGTCCTATTTATTCTTGCTTAAATCTTGATATTTTCTTTGAGTTCATGCTCCTTCGTATTCACTCCAGCTGTGATAAGTCACCAATCCTTTGGGTTTTTACTTACCAGTATTTCTATTTCTGTTTCTATAGCCTTAAAGCTGGAACTGTGTAGTCCCAGTTCCTCTGTGTAGCCCCCCAAGTCTGCTCTATTTCAATCTTCTCTTAAGGGAACTCCTTCCCTCCGTTTTTCTTTTCCTCCATTTGATACATCACACTTATAGATGGGGCATCTTCCCTAATTACTGGCTTCATCCTCAATTCCCGGGACCCATACCTTCACTGGCTTCCTAAATTTATTTAATAATTCTCATATACCTTTGAGAAGTTTCTAATGATAGGCAACAAATGAATATTGACTACCTTTCTTATTTTCCTTTATTCACCAAAATGATTTTTAGGATGTAGACAATCTGTATGCTTCAACATACACCAAACTTACCATTTTTGAAATATTTTACAATCTACTTGAAAAGACTTCTTTAGACCCTATATTCATGTATTGTAATATTTATCCTCTTTTATGGCTATACTCAAATGCCACATCACTATAGTGCCTTCCCTCATCACTGTAGCTATCTCTTTTCACTCTACTTATATTGTAGAGGATTTGTTACACTTCTTGAACTGCTGATCTCAAGCGATTTGCTTGCTTTGGCCTCCCAAAGTGCTGGGCTGACAGGCGTGAGCCACTGCACCTGGCCTGATTTGTTCCACTTCTACTGTATGCATCACACATGCCTGATGCATATTTTAATGCACGTTGGATAAGGATCGGCTTTGTACGACTTCAGTCTTTCTTGATGTGTGACACCCACTTCTATTTTGGCTCCACTTTAACAAAATGAATAAGTGAGAAGGTAATACTGGAAACAGAACATAACTGTGACTAGGAATTTGGTCTTGACTCGCCATTTAATTTTCTGATGTGCATGACTGTTTTCTTCACATGTGAAATTTAACATGAGGTTGAAACTGGAGAATTTTATATTTTTCATGAAAAAGGCAATTTGGGAGAAAAGTCCATTTTCCTGAGGATAAGGTATTGTATGGTTTGACTGCTTTGCCTTGGCTGGTCAACACATTTGTACACCTGGATAGGCACAGTTTTCAGAAATCCTTTCAAGCATCTACCAATTCTCCTGTCTACAAGTTTACCTTCCTCCCATTTCTCATTCCTAATGACAAGGGAAATATCCAGTGTTATCTGAAGTGGTCATAAAAGACATTTTTTTTCTTTTTATGTGAGGAATTGAAACTTATGGCTTTAGATTATGGGGCTTACCATCAAGGAAAGGGCGTAGCGTGGTCAGAGGACAAAACTTCTTCCTGCATTTCTCAGGAAGTCTTTGATTAGTGTGTCCACCTAGGAGCAATTTTTTTTGGGGGGGGCACTGGGAAATATACTTAAGTGATTAAATCCAAGTGTAGACATGAGAGCTTTACCTAAAGCCAGGTCTAATTACCATACCTGAGAATCAGGGAGTATTTAAAATTTGAGAAATAATTTTCTATACTTGAAAGTCACTTATGTAGGTAGGCCTCAGATTATAATAAATAACATTTATTGTGCTATACTATGTGGTAGGCATGAGGTTAAGTATTTTTACCTATATTATATCACTTATTTCTTACAAATGGAGCAAGGGAGCAAGCAAACAAGGGAGGTATTATTATCCCTATTTTATGTATTTATGTATTTATTTTTGATTTCTATTCTTTTGGTTTTTTTGTTGTTTTTTATTGATGTATCATAGTTGTACATGTTTTGGGGTACATGTGATATTTTTGATACATGTATACAATGTGTAATGATCAAATCAGAGTAATTTGGATATTCATCACCTTGAATATTTATCTTTTCTTTGTGTTGGGAACATTATAATTTTTCTCTGCTAGCTATTTTAGAATATATAATAAATTATTGTTCCCTACGATTTCTCCATTGTATAATTGAATACTAAAATTTATTATGTCTATCTACATATCCCCAGTTCAATAACTATAATTTCTCTGCTGTGCAATCAAATACTAGAACTTCTTCCTTCGAACGCTATATCCCTAATTCAATAACAAGTAAACTGAAGCTCAGCATGGTCTAGGAACTTTGTTACGTTAACACAGCAAGTGAGTGTTGCAGCCTGGATCCAAAAATCAGGCCTGGTCGACCTCAAAGTCCAGATTATTGACCTTTCTACCATAATGTATGGAGGTAAGTTTGTGAATTTATTCAAAAATCAGGCCTGGTCAACCTCAAAGTCCAAATTATTAACCTTTCTACCATAATGTATGGAGCTAAGTTTGTGAATTTTCATAGTTTTAGGATTTGAAGATAAAAGAGGTGAAAATTTGGAAATGGTTTCTGGACTTTTGAATTTTGGCAAACAGCTATGTGATAAGTCCACCCTGCAGACCCACAACTTTTGGAAATAACTCTACTGTGATCTTCAGTAGCAGAAGCTGCTCCTGGGGTGGTAGAACACAAGGAAAACACACACTAGTAAAAATTTCATGTGCCTTCTTTGTTCTGTACATGTGTTTCTCTTGATTAGTATATGGTAGTATCCTCAAATCATAGTAACAAGTATACTTTTTCCAGTGAATTGCATGTGTATATTATTGTATAGTATAAAAGGCAATATTTCCATTTATTATCATCTGTGCTTTTCAAAGAAACTCTGTGAGTCCAACAGGGCGATAATAGAAGCAACTGCCCTTTCTCTCCCCCTTTAAATGCAACCCAATGTCACAGTCCGTAGCATCCCCAGATGAGTGTATTAAAGGTGAGAAATTCCCAAAGTCAAACTCAGTAGCATCCTTGAATGAGTGTATTAAAGGTGATAAATTTATTTTATTTATGTTCTTTTTAACCTGTGTTCTCAGAAACAGAGACTACTGTATTTCATCCTACCTTAGTCTTGCTTAGCAGTTTCTCTTCTCCTTTGAGGCTCTTTTATTTTTAAATCATTGTTCATATCTTCTAATCTCCCCTTTCTCCCATTCTTCCCATATTTTTAATCTTTTTTTAACTTTATCTCTGTTCTACTTTTTCTGTATTTCAAATTGATCCATAGACTTTAGAAAAATGAGTTGAATGCTGGCTGTAGGCTGTCTTATCCCCAGCAAGAAACATGTTGTAAAGTCTTAGTACCTTCCCACTGGAAGATCATTAGTCATGGCTACTATGTTTTTAAATGAGAATTGTTTTAATTATGCATTTTAAAATTATTGGAAAACATGAGGGAGAGGAATGAACCATAAGTAATAAAGATTATTGACTTGAAGTTAAGACCTTACTATGATCTGGGATTATTAGTCTTACTTGTCAATCAAGAACTATCCACTTTCTATTCGTTTGTGGGTATCTAATATGGTTATATACACAGAAGTAATGATAATTGATATGAAAAGGTCTCCTCCTGTTATATCAATTTAGGTATTTTTCACACATTGTATACCTCATTCTTCTCCTATTCAATTTTCACTAATTCCTAAAGGGTCAGGTCAATGTCCTTGGCATAACCTCCTCCACCTGTTCTTAATGGCAATCGTCTCTTCTGCCCTCCAATATCTATAACACTTTTTTCTTTAAAACTCTTTGAATGTTTATCTTAATACTCATTTGATATATATTGTATACCACATATGATTGTTTGTTATATGTACAATACATGTTTTTTCAACTTTTTTTGGTTCTTTCTATTTACAGGAATTAGAGAAAGAACAAATCAGTGTGAAGGAGAATTGTCAGTAAAATTACAAGAAAAGATTGAGATCATAATTGACCTTTGAGGATAATAAAATTTAAAGACCAAAAGGATGGACTTCACAGAAACATGACCTTAGGTTGTTTTTGCAGTTGTAGTAACTGGTTATATGACCAACAAAATATGAAGAATGGGTACAAATTCTGATAGTAATGATCAGTCACTTTGCAAATATAAAGTTACTATTTACTACTGTATTGTACAGGTTCAATAATCTTTGTGTACACATTTTATGTATTTATTGTCAGGCTGCTATATAATTCAGTATTTATAATAGATACTATGTATAGCAATCTATGGTTAGTTTTGGTCTTAACCAGGAAAAATCACTCTTTTGAGTTTTGCTGTTTTTACTAGATTATTTTTACTGGATGATTGCTCATATTATTTGATTATTATTGCAATTTGTCTTTCTGGAATAGGAAGCAAGAGGCCTGAATTCTGGTTCCTATTCTATCAATTGTGTGAATTCTGGAAACTCA
Organism: Homo sapiens; assembly: GCF_000001405.40. Taxonomy (NCBI): domain Eukaryota; kingdom Metazoa; phylum Chordata; class Mammalia; order Primates; family Hominidae; genus Homo; species Homo sapiens. The sequence continues at coordinate 688,539 of NC_000001.11, read as the reverse complement.
GTTTACTTTTCTGGGCCTCATGGTTTTCATCTGAATGATGACCAACTTGGATAAAATGGTCTTTATATAATTTCGTAGGCATTTCCCTTCCCAAGGGCTTGAGTCTTTTTCAACAATTATAGAGTTTTCCGGTCCCTCTTCCCAGTGCCTCAGCACCTTGCTATTCATGTTCATCTGATCAGTTGTTTGCATGCTGACTTACATTACCCTGATGGGCAGTACCTGTGGCTGTTTCTGCTCCCTCACCCAGTCCATAGGCTTCTGGTTGTAAAAAGTGTGCATCTTGAGACTGTGGACAGTTAGCTCCAGAGGTGACAGTATAATCACTTCACGTAGAAGAGGATAGAGAGAGACTCATGCCAGTGGTGGTGAGCAAGTATTAGAGATATGATGTGTGCCTCTGTGAGTTTTGGGGTCTAAGATAAATTATGGCACTAGGAAGATGGTCCTTTGTGTCAGAAGAACTGGAGTTGTTGGTGCAAAAAAGTATGATGTCAGCATAGCAGTTTTATTTGTACCTCAGCAACTTCTAAAATAATCTCTATTAAGTGTTTTCAGGAACTACTTTCTACTATAGGAAAATGATTGAGGTGAGTATCCATCTGGACACAGAGAAATATAACACTGTTTTCTGCTCACCCTCCACTTCACATATAAATACAATATGTGTTAAAGGACTAAATTTCTAGTGTCACAGTTTGTACTTTATAGTTTGAAGTCAATAAGAAAGCTCATATACCTTCCTAAAAGTCACTTGTTAATGTTTGATATTAATCTAATTTTATCATAAATTAAAAGTATAAAACTACAAATTTCTTAAAGATAAAATATCCGAATGGATTCAGTCAAATTAAGCATGATAATATCAAATATCAGAATAGGTTACCATGCAGGAGGTACTGAGTACTTAAAAGGGTGGGGAATGCAATGAACATAAAAGCTGGTACCAAGGGGAGGAGGAGACAGTGATGAATTAAAACATTATCTTAACTAATCCAAGTGCTGGTCTTCAATACTTTCATGTGTATAGACAAAGAGAAACTGCAGAGATTTCTCACAACCTCTGTGGCCATTTTATGCATGTATCTTAGCAGAAACACTGGTGAAATCCCTCCAAAACATATTTATTAGGCATGGAAAAAGCCTTACATGACAGGTGGCATAGGCTCCTTATGAAATCATTGCAGGATGGGAAGCCATTTAGGGCTTCGTAATTGTGAAAGATTGTATAGAAACTGAGGCACTTAAATAGCAGTAAGCATGAGAAAATGTGGTAGATAATGGTGGTGATTCTATTTCTTGTGAAAGTCCACTTACTCTAGTCTGCTACAGTTGTGGGCTTTCCGATTTCACATACCCCAGTCTCTATATTCTCTCAATCCACAGCCTACCTCAACTAAGTCTGTCCCAGGCACCTCTTACTGCAGTGATAATCCATCTGTTAATCATGTTTTCCTCTTATGTCTACTTTCTGTCAGAGAATTGTGGGTGCAAACTGGGAAGGGAAGGAAATTATAAGAATATGTATAAGTACAAATGGAATATGTTGGAAATGAGGAATAGTTAATATCACAGGTCATTTAAACACCTGATGAATTTCATGGATAGTCAGGAATCTTGTTCTTACCTAATCTGTTAATTTTAGATCAGACATTACACTGAAAGTATTGATGATGGGTTTAAATCAGGTTGCAGCTCACATGTTGTGATAATATTATGTTGATTTTTTGTTTTTAATATGTGAGGAACAGAATAACTGTATACTATTTATTCATAGTGACATTGCAATATTGATTTTAGTACATATTATTATCTTCATAATCACAATTTCCTCCCCATTTTCTTAGTTCTCATAATTTTAGCCACAGCCCAGTTGGCTGGACCAATGGATGGAGAGAATCACTCAGTGGTATCTGAGTTTTTGTTTCTGGGACTCACTCATTCATGGGAGATCCAGCTCCTCCTCCTAGTGTTTTCCTCTGTGCTCTATGTGGCAAGCATTACTGGAAACATCCTCATTGTGTTTTCTGTGACCACTGACCCTCACTTACACTCCCCCATGTACTTTCTACTGGCCAGTCTCTCCTTCATTGACTTAGGAGCCTGCTCTGTCACTTCTCCCAAGATGATTTATGACCTGTTCAGAAAGCGCAAAGTCATCTCCTTTGGAGGCTGCATCGCTCAAATCTTCTTCATCCACGTCGTTGGTGGTGTGGAGATGGTGCTGCTCATAGCCATGGCCTTTGACAGATATGTGGCCCTATGTAAGCCCCTCCACTATCTGACCATTATGAGCCCAAGAATGTGCCTTTCATTTCTGGCTGTTGCCTGGACCCTTGGTGTCAGTCACTCCCTGTTCCAACTGGCATTTCTTGTTAATTTAGCCTTCTGTGGCCCTAATGTGTTGGACAGCTTCTACTGTGACCTTCCTCGGCTTCTCAGACTAGCCTGTACCGACACCTACAGATTGCAGTTCATGGTCACTGTTAACAGTGGGTTTATCTGTGTGGGTACTTTCTTCATACTTCTAATCTCCTACGTCTTCATCCTGTTTACTGTTTGGAAACATTCCTCAGGTGGTTCATCCAAGGCCCTTTCCACTCTTTCAGCTCACAGCACAGTGGTCCTTTTGTTCTTTGGTCCACCCATGTTTGTGTATACACGGCCACACCCTAATTCACAGATGGACAAGTTTCTGGCTATTTTTGATGCAGTTCTCACTCCTTTTCTGAATCCAGTTGTCTATACATTCAGGAATAAGGAGATGAAGGCAGCAATAAAGAGAGTATGCAAACAGCTAGTGATTTACAAGAGGATCTCATAAATGATATAATAAGCCCTTCTCATTAAACATGATATGGCTTTATGTTTCTTTCTTTGATATTTTAGATTCAGGAACTATGAGACATTATGTATTGATTTGAATGTTATTAGACCTGTAACATAATTCTTATCTGATGAATATATGATGAATATATTCCTTGTTCAAAATGAGTCATAAATTCAACACATCTCTACATCTATATTATGCCCATTTAATTTCTTTCAGCAATGTTTTGTAGTTTTTGGTGAACAGGTACTTTATGCATATGTACTTTATATTTATCTCTAAGTTTTATATTTCTGATGCCCTTTTAAGTGACATTTTTATTTCAATTTACAATTGTTTATTCTTAGCTTATGGGCACATAATAGATCTTTGTTTGACATTATATCCTGTAAACTTGCAAAACTTATAAGTTCCATCAGTTTTTTATAGGTTATGTAGGATTTTCTTTATAGATGATTATGTTGTCAGTGAATAAAGACATTTGCTTTTAAAATTCTAGTATGAATTCACTATATTCATTTTGTTGAATGCTGAGTAGAATTAGTTAGAGTAGACATCTTTGACTTGTTCCTGTTATGAAATATATTAAATATTTCATCATTAAGTATAATGTTAGCTATAATTTTTTTCATAGGTACTCTTTAACAGGCTGAGAAAGTTTTCTGTATTCACAGTTTGCTGAAAATTTCTTTTATCTTTAGTCAGGAATGGATCTTGGATTTTGTAAAGCTTTTTCGTTTCAGAATCAGGGTAATGCTGGCCCTTTAGAATGAGTTGGGAAGCATCTGCTCTTCTTAAATTTTCTGCCATAATTTTGTAGAATTCATATAATTTTTTTCTTTAAAAAGGGAAGTACTTAAGTATTTTTTCCCATAAGTTACCCATAAGTAAATCTAAAGGAAAGTGGGAAACTTTGATACGCATTGGTTGCCCCCTGGTGGAGATTTCTGGGTTCTTGATTATTTTAACACTGGAGATAGAATCTGGTGGAATGACGTCAATGCTACCGTGATTAAGAGGTGTGTAGGAAATGCTTCATGTAAAAGAGAAAATAGTCTTTATGAGAATCTGCCTGGTGGAAAGGAGTTGGTGCAACAATAACAATATAAATTAGTGAAAAATTTTAAATTGACAAATAATAATTGTATCTATTTATGGGGTACAATGTAATGTTTTGATACATGTTTAAATTGTGGAAAGATTAGGTCTATCTTATTGACATACATATCTTTTTTGTGGTGAAAACATTTAAAATCTACTCTGTTAGTCATTTTGAAACATACAATACCTTGTTATTTATTACAGTCACCATTCTGTGCAATAGTTCACTGAAACTTTGTCTAACTGAAACTTTGAACCCTTTTATCAACATCTACCTTTTCCATGTCTACCCCCAACTACTAGCCTCTGATAATCACCATTCCATTCTCTACTTCTATGAATTCAACTTTTTTAGATTCCACATATCAGTGAGATCATGTGATATTTGTCTTTTCGTGCCTGGCTTATTTCACTTAGCGTGATATCTTCTGGGTTAATTCATGTTGTCACATATATCAGGTTTTCCTTCCTATTAAGGCTGAGTAGTATTCCATTGTATATATACACTACATTTTCTTCATCCATTTGTCAGTTGATAGACACCTGTGTTGATTTCATATTTGGGTATTGTGAATAATGCTGCAATGAACATGAGCCTGGAGATATCTCTTCAGCATATTGACTTAAATTCCTTTGGATATATACAAGGAAGTGGGATTGCTGGATCATATAGTAATTCTAGTTTTAGTTTTTTGAGTAACTTTTATCTATTTTTCATAATAGTATTAATTTACATTTCCACCAACAGTGTACGAGGGTTCCCTTTTCTCTGTATCCTCTTCAACACTTGTTATCTTTTATCATTTTGATAGTAGCCATTCTAACAGGTATGAAGTGGCATCTCACTGTCATTTTAATTTGCATTTCCCTGATAATTAGGATGACAAACTTTTTTTATGTTAGTCATTTGTATTTTTTTTGAGAAATGTCTATTTAGGACCTTGCCCATTTTTTGACTTGGTTATTTGTTTTCTTGATATTGAGTTGAGTCCCTTATATATTTGGAGATTAGCCTTTCATCAGATGTATGCTCTGCAAATATTTTCTCACAACTTGTAGGTTGTCTCTTCACCATATTGTTTCCTTTGCTGTGCAGAAGCTTTTTAGTTTGATGCAATCCCATATATTTTTGCTTTTGTTGCCTGTGCTTTGGGGGTGATATCCAAGAAATCTTTGACCAAACCAACATTGTGGAACTTTTCCCCTATGTTTTCATCTAGTAGTTTTACAGTTTTATGTTTAAACCTTTAATCCATTTTGAATTGATTTTTGTGTATGGTGTGAGATAAGGATACACACCATACACATTCGTGTTCTTCTGCATGTGGATATCTAGTTTTCTTAACACCATTTATTGAAACAAATGTCTATTCTTCATTACGTTTTCTGGGCACCTTTGTCAAAAATTTATTGGTCATAAATGCATGAGTTTATTTCTGGGCTCCTTATTCTGTTCCCCTGGTCAATGTGTCTGTTTTTGTGCAAGTGTCATATTGTTTTGATTACTATGGTTTTGTGATACGTACTTGTTTTGGGGGGGATCGATTTTTATTTGGGTTTCTCACAGTGGTTAGAGAACAACCACAGCACAGGAAATGCCTCACCAAGATTGCCCAGAAAACTGACCAGCTGCATCTTATTGCTTAAAAATACACATATTCACAATAACTGACAAATGGTGATGTGCCTCACACAGGAATGTGTTCACATTTGCAATGCTGTGTACAGACTTCACTTCGTTCAACATAGATTTTGGTTTAATGGAATTCAAATGCGGATGCTTGTTCACAGCCTTGGATTTGTCTGTTTTTGGAGAGATACAACCTCCATGAGTATATCTGCATGAAAACCACAGACAATGAAGGTATTTCTTCATTGATTTATTTATTCTTTTGACTGTAGTAACAAACCCTGGATGACACCCTTCCTTTTAATTCACCTGGAAACCAGACTCAATCAAATCTCCCTGGTCCCCTCACTATTCCTTCAAATTCCCTATTTCTATCTCTTCCTGAGGAGGGTAACCTCCTGTAGCAGGGGTCAGACTGTGACTTGGGAATCAAGCTTAGGTCTGCAGGTTGCCTGTTCATCTTCTTGTAAAATATTGTAGGACACTGCAGTGAATCCAACAGTTAACACTCAGAGCAGTTCCCTGCTCTAACTCAGGAAAGAGACTTCAGAGGGTCAGGATTCATCCATTTGATCAGTTAACTGAGAAGGATTCATTTTGGTAAAACTTGTTCAGCTTTGAGACACTTCAGTGAGTTGTTTGAGATTTTTTTTTAAATTATATTTTAAGTTCTGGGGTACATATGCAGAACATGCAGGATTGTTACATAGGTATACACGTGCCATGGTGGTTTGCTGCACCCATCAACCCATCATCTACATTAGGTATTTAACCCAATGCTAACCTTCCCCCAGCCCCTACCCCCAGACAGGCCCCGGTGTGTTGTGTTCCCCTCCCTCTGTCCATGTGTTCTCATTGTTCAACTCTCATTTATGAGTGAGAACATCGGGTGTTTGGTTTTCTGTTCTTGGATTAGTTTGCTGAGAATGATGGTTTCCAGCTTAATCCATGTCCCTGAAAAGGATATGAACTCATCCTTCTTTATGGCTGCATAGTATTCCATGGTGTATATATGCCACATTTTCTTTATGCAGTCTATCACTGAATGGGCATTTTGGTTGGTTCCAAGTCTTTGCTATTGTGAACAGTGCCACAATAAACATATGTGTGCATGTGTCTTTATAGTAGAATGATTTATAATCCTTTGGATATATACCCAGTAATGCAATTACTGGGTCAAATCATATTTCTAGTTCTAGAACCTTGAGGAATCACCACACTGTCTTCCACAATGGTTGAACTAATTTACACTCCCACCAACAGTGTAAAAGCATTCTTATTTCTCCACATCCTTTCCAGCATCTGTTGTTTCCTGACTTTTTAATGATCGCCATTCTATCTGGCGTGAGATGGTATCTCATTGTGGTATTGATATGCATTTCTCTGATGACCAGTGATGATGAGCTTTTTTTCATATGTTTGTTGGCTGCATAAATGTCTTCTTTAGAGAAATGTCAGTTCATATCCTTCACCCACTGATGGGTTTGTTTGTTATTTTCTTGTAAATTGTTTAAGTTCTTTGTAGATTCTGGATATTAGCCCTTTGTCAGATGGATAGATTGCAAAAATTTTCACCCATTCTGTAGGTTGCCTGTTCACTCTGATGATAGTTTCTTTTGCTGTGCAGGAGCTCTTTAGTTTAATTAGATCCCATTTGTCAATTTTGGCTTTTGTTGCCATTGCTTTTGGTGTTTTAGTCATGAAGTTTTTGTCCATGCCTATGTACTGAATGGTATTGCCTAGGTTTTCTTCTAGGGTTTTTTATGGTTTTAGATCTTATGTTTAAGTCTTTAATACATCGTGAGTTAATTTTTGTGTAAAGTGTAAGAAAGGGATCCAGTTTCAGTTTTCTGCATATGGCTAGCCGGTTTTCCCAACACCATTTATTAAAAAGGGAATCGTTTCCCCATTGCTTGTTTTTGTCAGGTTTGTCAAAGATCAGATAGTTGTAGATGTGTGGTGTTATTTCTGAGGCCTCTGTTCTGTTCCATTGGTCTACATATCTGTTTTGGTACCAGTACCATGCTGTTTTGGTTACTGAAGACTTGTAGTATAGTTCGAAGTCAGACAGCGTGATGCCTCCAGATTTGTTCTACTTGCTTAGGACTGTCCTAGCTCTGCGGGCTCATTTTTGGTTCCATATGAAATTTAAAGTAGTTTTTTCCAATTCTGTGAACAAAGTCAGTGGTAGCTTGATGGGGATAGCATTGAGTCTATAAAAACTTTGGGCAGTATGTCCATTTTCATGATATTGATTCTTCCTATCCATGAGCATGGAATGTTTTTCCATTTGTTTGTGTCCTCTCTTATTTCCTTGAGCAGTGGTTTGTAGTTCTCCTTGAAGAGGTCCTTCACATCCCTTGTAAGTTGGATTCCTAGGTATTTTATTCTCTTAGTAGCAATTGTGAATGGGAGAGTTCACTCATGATTTGGCTCTCTGTTTGTCTGTTTTTTGCATATAGGAATGCTTGATTTTTGCACATTGATTTTGTATCCTGAGACTTTTCTGAAGTTGCTTATTAGCTTAAGAAGATTTTGGGCTGAGACCATGGGGTTTTCTAAATACACAATCATGTCATCTGCAAACAGAGACAATTTCTTTCTCTTGCCTGATTGCCCTGGCCAGAACTTCCAATACTACGTTGAATAGGAGTGGTGAGATAGGGCATCCTTGTCTTGTGCTGGTTTTCAAAGGGAATGCTTCCAGTTTTTCACCATTCAGTATTGGCTGTGGGTTTTTCATAAATAGGTATTATTATTTTGAGATATGTTCCATCAGTACCTAGTTTATTGAGAGTTTTTAGCATGAAGGGCTGTTGAATTTTTTCGAAGGCCTTTTCTGCATCTATTGAGAGAAGCATGTGGTTTTTGCCATTGGTTCTATTTATATGATGAATTATGTTTATTGATTTGCGTATGTTGAACTAGCCTTGTATCCCAGGGATGAAGCTGACTTGATTGTGGTGGACAAGCTTTTGATATGCTGCTGGATTTGGTTTGCCAGTATTTTATTGAGGATTTTTGCATCGATGTTCATCAGGGATATTGGCTTGAAATTTTCTTTTTTTTTGTTGTGTCTCTGCCAAATTTTGGTACCAGAATTATTCTGGCCTCATAAAATGAGTTAGGGAGGATTCCCTCTTTTTCTGTTGTTTGGAATAGTTTCAGAAGGAATGGTACCAGCTCCTCTTTGTACCTCTGGTAGAATTCGGCTGTGAATCCATCTGGTCCTGGACTGTTTTTTGGTTGGTAGGCTATTAATTCTGCCACAATTTCAGACCTTGTTATTGGTCTATTCAGGGATTCAACTTCTTCCTGGTTTAGTCTTGGGAGGGTGTATGTGTCCAGGAATTTGTCCATTTCTTCTAGATTTTCTAGTTTGTGTAGAGGTGTTTATAGTATTCTCTGATAGTAGTTTGTATTTCTGTGGGATCAGTGGTGGTATCTCCTTTATCATTTTTTATTGCATCTGTTTGATTCTTCTCTGTTTTCTTCTTTATGAGTCTGGCTAGTGGTCTATCTATTTTATTGATATTTTCAAAAAACCAGCTCCTGGATTCATTGATTTTTTTTGAAGGTTTTTTTGTGTCTCTATCTCCTTCAGTTCTGCTCTGATCTTAGTTATTTATTGTCCTCTGCTAGCTTTTTGTATGCTCCTGCCTCTTGAGTTCTTCTAATTGAGATGTTAGGGTGTCAATTTTAGATCTTTCCTGCTTTCTCTTGTGGGCATTTAGTGCTATAAATTTCCCTCTACACACTGCTATAATTGTGTACCAGAGATTCTGGTATGTTATGTCTTTGTTCTCATTGGTTTCAAATAACTTATTTATTTCTGCCTTAATATCTTTATTTACCCAGTAGTTGTTCAGGAGCAGGTTGTTCAGTTTACATGTAGTTGTGTGGGTTTGAGTCAGTTTCTTAATCCTGAGTTCTAATTTAATTGCACTGCGATCTGAGAGACTGTTATGATTCCCATTTTTTTTTGCATTTGCTGAGGAGTGTTTTACTTCCAAATATGTGGTCAATTTTAGAATAAGTGCAATGTGGTGCTGAGAAGAATGTATATTCTGTTGATTTGGGGTGGAGAGTTCTGTAGCTGTCTATTGGATCCACTTGGTCCAGAGCTGAGTTCAAGTCCTGGATATCCTTGTTAACTTTCTGTTTCGTTGATCTGTCTAGTATTGACAGTGGGATGTTAAAGTCTCCCACTATTATTGTGTGAGGGTCTAAGTCTCTTTTTAAGTCTCTAAGAGCTTACTTTATGCATCTGGGTGCTCCTGTATTGGGTGCATATATATTTAGGATAATTAGCTCTTCTTGTTGCATTGATCCTTTTACCATTATGCAATGCCCTTATTTGTCTCTTTTGATCTTTGTTGGTTTAAAGTCTGTTTTATCAGAGACTAGGATTGCGACCCCTGCTTTTTTTTGCCTTCCATTTGCTTGGTAAGTATTCCTCCATCCCTTTATTTTGAGCCTATTTGTGTCTTTGCACGTGAGATGGGTCTCCTGAATACAGAACACTGATGGGTCTTGACTCTTTAGCCAATTTGCCAGTCTGTGTTTTTTAATTGGAGCATTTAGCCCATTTACATTTAAGGTTGATATTGTTATGTGTGAATTTGATCCTGTCATTACGATGCTAGCTGGTTATTTTGCTGTTAGTTAATGCAGTTTCTTCATAGTGTCAATTGTCTTTACAATTTGGTATGTTTTTGCAGTGGCTGATACCAGTTGTTCCTTTCCATGTTTAGTGCTTCCTTCAGGAGCTCCTTTAAGGCAGGCCTGGTGGTGACAAAATCTCTCAGCATTTGCTTGTCTGTAAAGATTTTATTTCTCCTTCACTTATGAAGCTTAGTTTGGCTGGATATGAAATCCTGGGTGGAAAATTCTTTTCTTTAAGAATGTTGAATATTGGCCCCCATTCTCTTCTGGCTTGTAGAATTTCTGCTGATAGATCTGCTGTTAGTCTGATGGGCTTCCCTTTGTGGGTAACCTGACCTTTCTCTCTGGCTGCCCTTAACATTTTTTCCTTCATTTCAACCTTGCTCAATCTGATGACTATGTGTCTTGGGGTTGCTTTTCTTGAGGAGTGTCTTTGTGATGTTCTCCGTATTTCTGAATTTGAATATTGGCCTGCCTTGCTAGGTTAGGGAAGTTCTCCTGGATAATATCCTGAAGAGTGTTTTCTAACTTGGTTCCATTCTCCCCATCACTTTCAGGTACAGCAATCAAATGTAGATTTGGTCGTTTCACATAGTCCCATATTTCTTGGAGGCTTTGTTCATTTCTTTTCATTCTTTTTTCTCTAATCTTGTCTTCTTGATTTATTTCATTAAGTTGATATTCAGTCTCTGATATCTTTCTTCCGCTTGATCGAATCAGTGCTTGATCCTTGTGCATGCTGCATGAAGTTCTCATGGCATGTTTTTCAGCTCCATCAGGTCATTTATGTTCTTCTCTAAACTGGTTATTCTAGTTAGCAATTGGTCTAGCCTTTTTTCCAGGTCCTTAGCTTCCTTACATTGGGTTAGGACATGCTCCTTTAGCTTGGAGGAGTTTGTTATTACCTACCTTCTGAAACCTACTTCTCTCAATTCATCAAACTCATTCTCCATCCAGTTTTCTTTTGTTCCCTTGCTGGTGAGGAGTTGTGATCCTTTGGAGGAGAAGAGGCGTTCTGGTTTTTGGAATTTTCAGCCTTTTTGCTCTGGTTTCTCTCCATCTTCATGGATTTATCTACCTGTGGTTTCTGATGTTGGTAACCTTCTGATGAGGTCACTGAGTGGCTGTCCTTTTTGTTGATGTTGATGCTATTCCTTTTTGTTTGTTAGTTTTCCTTCTAACAGTCAGGCCCCTCTGCTGCAGGTCTGTTGGTGTTTGCCCTAGGTCTACTCTAGACCCTGTTTGCCTGGGCATCACCAGCGGAGGCTGGAGAACAGCAAAGATTGCTGCCTGTTTCTTCCTCTGGAAGTTTTGTCCAAGAGGGGCACCCACCAGATGCCAGCCAGAGCTCTCCTGTATGAGGTGCCTGTTGGCACCTACTGGGAGGTGTCTCCCAGTCAGGATACACGGGGGTTAGGGACCCACTTGAGGAGGCAGTCTGACCCTTATCAGAGCTCGAATACTGTGCAGGGAGATCTGCTGCTCTCTTCAGAGCCATCAGGCTTTTCAAAGATGCTTTAAGTCTGCTGAAGCTGTGCCCACAGGCGCCCTTTCCCCTAGGTGGTCTGTTCCAGGGAGATGGGGGTTTTATCTATAGGTCTCTGACTGGGGCTGCTGCCCTTTTTTCAGAGATGCCTTGCCCAGAGAGGAGAAATCTAGAGAGGCAGTCTGGCTGCTGTGGCCTTGCTGAGTTGTGGTGGGCTCCACCCAGTTCAAACTTTCTGGTGGCTTTGTTTACACTGTGGGGGTAAAACTGCCTACTCAAGCCTTGGCAATGTGGAAGCCCCTCCCGCCACCAAGCTCGAGTGTCCTAGGTCAACCTCAGACTGCTGTGCAAGAATTTCAAGCCAGTGGATCTTAGCTTGCTGGGCTCTGTATGGGTGGGACCCGCCGAGCCAGACCACTTGGCTCCCTGGCTTCAGCCCCCTTTCCAGGAGAGAGAATGGTTCTGTCTTGTTGGCATTCCAGTTGCCATTGTGGCATGAAAAAAAAAAAAAAACTCCTGCAGCTAGCTCGGTGTCTGCCCAAACAGCTGCCTAGTTTTGTGCTTGAAACCTAGGGCCTTGGTGGCAGAGGCACTGGAGGGAATCTCCTGGTCTGTGGATTGTGAAGACCGTGAGAAAAGCATAGTTTCTGGGTGGAGTGCACCGTTCCTCATGGTACAGTCCCTCGGGGCTTCCCTTGGCTAGGGGAGGGAATTCCCCCAACCCCTTGCACTTCCCGGGTGAGGCGACACCCCATTCTGCTTTGGCTCACCCTCCGTGCGCTGCACCCACTGTCCAACCAGTCCCAGTGAGATGAACCAGGTACCTCAGTTGGAAATGCAGAAATCACCTGCATTCTGCATTGATCTCACTGGGAGCTGCAGACTGGAGCTGTTCCTATTTGGCCATGTTGCCAGCAAATTCTGAGATTTTTTTTAAAAGTGCAAAGAAAGACATCTGAGGGGTGCTGACATATTCGGGTCACCTCAAGCCACATGCCAGCTTGCTTGCCCCTGTTGGATTCAGCAGAGGGAGATAGGCCTTGCCATACCTGTGGTGTCTGCCAAAGCTTCCTCCTGGCAATTCTTGGGAGTGCTGATACCTGGGCCACAGTTAGTCCAAGTTTATCACTGAAGATCCTATCAAAGTTTTGTCTGAAATTCCACTTTTGCCTTTTGTCCTAAGTGGTTGTGGACATCTCCAGGGGCTGATACCAAGGACTAGGAACAGCTGAGGGAGGCAGAAAGGTTCAGAGTACATCTCTATTTACAGGGAACAGAACACCGGCCTCTGAGAGTCCATGGAGCAATGGGAAAATTGCAGTGATTACTCATCACTGTGAAACTTCTACTTTGAATACAGTATCTTCTGGCAAGCATAGGGGACTGCAGTCGACAATGCTGCTGAATATACCTGAGTACATAGTAAGACATTTGTTTGGTAAACAGTCAATGCATACAATAAATTACCTTGAGAGGGCCATCTGTGCTCCAGATGTGAGAGTTCATGTGAATAGAATGGCCGCAATTCAAAGAATCTTCACAGGAAAACAGGGCTCAGAGCTCATCCACAATGGACAGACAGGGAGGGAAACAGGTGGAGGTTAGTTCACCACTTCCTCATAAGAAGGTAATAAATAGTTTGGTGAAATAAAATGGTAGCACTGAGTAATTGCGGGCTTCTGGATAGGCAGGCAGGTTGATTTCATGTTGCTACTGCTGGACTTGAGGGCTGGCTTGGCTGTGGTGGCAGACACAGCAGCAGCTCAGGATGATGGTGATGGTCCACGCGAGCCAGAACCACCAATGTTCATAGTAGTAGTTACAACACTGAGACTGCCCATAGCAGTGTCCTGTTGTGTCACAGATGTAGCTTTGATTGTTGGTACACACACAGGCTTCCTTATCCTGTGGGGGTTCAGCCCTGGCTGACACAGGGCTGGGCAGTGCCTAGAGGTGCAAGAGCTCCATGCCACCCAGGAGTCTTCCCTCCATACTCCTGCTCCTCCGACCCAGCGCGGGCACCTCCCTCCACCCTTGCTGCACTTCTCCTCTACCCTCTTCTTCCTTCTTTTGTTCTTTTCCTGTAATACGTTTTGAAGTCAGATTGTGAGGCCTTCAGCTTTGTTCTTATTGCTCAAGAGTGCTTTAGTTATTCAGGGTCCTTTGTGGTTCCATATAAATTTTCAAATTGTTTTTTCTATTTCTGTGAAGAATGACATTGAAATTTTGATAAATGTTGCATTAAACCTATAAATCGCTTTGGGCAGTAAGGACATTTTAAGAATATTAATTCTTCCTACCCATGAACATAAAATATCTTTCCATGTATTTGTGTCATCTACAATTTTTCATCAATGTTTTATAGTGTTCAGAATACAGATCTTTCACCTCCTTGGTTAAATGTACTCCTAAGTACAATCCTAAATGTGCTCCTAAACAAAAAAAATACAGTTTTTTTGATGCTACTGTGAATGAGATTGATTTCTTTATTTTTGTCATATAGTTTGTTGTGAGTGTAAAGAAACTACTGAGTTTTGTACATTGATTTTGAATTCTGCAATTTTATTGAATTCATTTATCATTTCTAATAGCTTTTTGGTGGAGTTTTTAGGGTTTCCTATATATAATATGTCATCAAACAGAGACAATTTTACTTCTTCCTTTTCAATTTGAATATCTTTTATTTCTTTATTTGGCTTAATTGCTCTGGCTAGGACTTCCAGAAATAAGTTGAATAGAAGTAGTGAGAATAAATATCCTTGTCTTGTTCTTGATCTTAGCAGAAAAGATTTCACTTTTTCATTGTTGGGTATGATGTGAGCTGTGAGCTTGTTATATATGTCCTGTTTTGTGTTAAGGTACATGCCTTCTACGCCCAATTTGTTGAGAGGTTTTGTCATGAGAGGATTTTGAATTTAGTCAAATGCTTTTTCTGCATATATAGAGATAGCTATTTTTTTATCCTTCATTCTGTTAATGTGGTTTATCACATTTGATTTGTGTTTGCTGAAACATCTGGAGGATAAATCCACTTTATCATGGTAAATGTTCTCCTAATATGTTGTTAAATTCTGTTTGCTAGTACTTATTTTGAGGACTTTTGTATCTATGTTCATCAGGGATATTGGTTGGCCCATACTTTTCTTATAGTGTCCTTGTTTGCCTTTTTATTTTTATTTTTATTTATTTATTTTTTAAATTATACTTTAAGTTTTAGGGTACATGTGCACAACGTGCAGGTTAGTTACATATGTATACATGTGCCATGCTGGTGTGCTGCACCCATTAACTCATCATTTAACATTAGGTGTATCTCCTAATGCTATCCCTCCCCCCTCCCCCCACCCCACAACAGGCCCCAGTGCTAATATCTGGAATCTACAATGAACCCAAACAAATTTACAAGAAAAAAACAAACAACCCCATCAAAAAGTGGGCAAAGGATATGAACAGACACTTCTCAAAAGAAGACATCTATGCAGCCAAAAAACACATGAAAAAATGCTCATCATCACTGGCCATCAGAGAAGTGCAAATCAAAACCACAATGAGATACCATCTCACACCAGTTAGAATGGCCATCATTAAAAAGTCAGGAAACAACAGGTGCTGGAGAGGATGTGGAGAAATAGGAACATTTTTACACTGTTGGTGGGACTGTAAACTAGTTCAACCATTGTGGAAGTCAGTGTGGCGATTTCTTAGGGATCTAGAACTAGAAATACCATTTGACCCAGCCATCCCATTACTGGGTATATACCCAAAGGATTATAAATCATGCTGCTATAAAGACACATGCACACGTATGTTTATTGCAGCACTATTCACAATAGCAAAGACTTGGAACCAATCCAAATGTCCAACAATGATAGACTGGATTAAGAAAATGTGGCACATATACACCATGGAATACTATGCAGCCATAAAAAATGATGAGTTCATGTCCTTTGTAGGGACATGGATGAAGCTGGAAACCATCATTCTCAGCAAACTATCACA
Source organism: Homo sapiens (assembly GCF_000001405.40). Lineage (NCBI taxonomy): Eukaryota > Metazoa > Chordata > Mammalia > Primates > Hominidae > Homo > Homo sapiens. Next base: position 672,828 of record NC_000001.11, on the reverse strand, counting down.
AGGACAAAAAACCAAACAGTGCATGTTCTCACTCATAGGTGGGAATTGGACAATGAGAACACATGGACACAGGAAGGGGAACATCACTTTAAAAAAAAAACAATAATGCTGATCTTTTAAAATGAGTTTGGAAATACTCTTTCTCCTTCAAGTTTTTGGAAGAATTTCAGAAGGATTGTATTATTATTTTTTAAAATGTTAGAATTCAGCAATGAAGTTTTCTGGTCCTGGGATGTTCTTTGATGGGAGATGTTTTATTATTGATATACTCTCCATACTCAGTATTGTTCTGTTCAGATTTTATCTTTCTTCTTGACTTTCTCTAGGTAAGTTGCATTTTTCTAGAAATTTATCTGCTTTTTCTAGGTTATCCAATTTGTTGGCTTGTAATTGTTTATAGTGGCCTCTTATGATCCTCTATATTTCTGTGGTATTAGTTGCAATATTTCCTCTTTCATTTCTGATTTTATTGCTTTGAGTATTCTCTCGTTTTTCTAGTCTAGCTAATGGTTTGTCAGTTTTGTTTATCTTTTCAAAGAACAAATTCTTAGTTTCATTGATCTGTTCTATTTTCTTTCACAGTCTTTTTGTATTTGAAGGACTTGTATTTGTTAACTGGCTCAAGCCTGGAAATTTGTTGAGGTGCTATGAGTCTCTATTGCTCTCATTTCTCTTCACTAGACATAGAAATTTTCTGATTACACGAATCAAATAAGACTAATAAGCTTCCCAGGGATGAATCCCACTTAAGCATGGTGAATTTTTTTGCTGTGTTTTCTTAAAAATAATATTTGCTAATATTTGGCTGAGGGTTTTTCCATCTAAGTTCATCAGGAGTATTGGTCTGCAATTTATTTTTATTATAGTGTCCTTCTCTGGTTTTGGTATCAGGGTAATGCTGGTTTTGAAAAATGAATTTGGAAGTATTCCTCTTCTTCATGTTTCTGGAAGCGTTTGAGAAGGATTGGTGTTAGTTATCTAAGTGTTTGTTAGAATCCAGCCACTGAGCCATTCAATCCTGGGTCTTTCTTTTATGAGAGACCTTTCATTGGTGATTTAATTTCCTTATTCACGATTTGTTCTAAATTTTGAATTCTTCATGATTCAGTTTTGGTACGAGTTTATCAATTTCTTCTAGGTTATCTAATTTGCTGGTGAATAATTAATTATAGTAGTATGTTATGATTTTTTAACTTCTGTGGTATCAGTTTTAATGTCTCTTCTTTCATTTCTGAGTTTGTTTTCTTTTTTCTTAGTCTATGTAAGAATTTGTTAATTTTGTTTATCTTTTCAAAAAACAATTCTTATTTTTATTGAAATTTTCAGTTTCTATTATATTATTTCTGCTCTGATCTTTGTTATTTGTTTCCTTCTGCTATCTTTGGGCTTGTATTGTTCTCTAATTTTCTCGCTCCTTTAGGCATAATATTAGGTTGCTTATTTGAGATCTTTTTTTCTTTTTTGATGTAGGCATTTATTGCTATAAGTGTCCCTCTTATAACTGCTTTTGTTGCATCCCATATGTTTTAGTATGTTATGTTTCCATTTTCATGCTACCTGATTTTAGAATATATTTCAAAGCATGGTGTACAGTGCTTTTAAAAAGAGGCTATATATAGGTATATATAAAAACAATACACACATTGTATATAAACTATGGCATGCTTGTAAAGAAAAGAGAACATAAAGTGTCTGAGGAAATAATTAGAAGAACAAGAGGATGCAAAGGGGTCTGTCAAAGATTCAGTGAAATGAGGGTTTTTGGATATTCACAGCTAATAGATTAATGCATTAGGAATGAGCAAAAAAATTGATGGTAGTCAAACAGAGGGAGGGAGGTAGATTTTGAATGATTCAAAGCAGGAGTGTTTTGAAGATAAACAGAATAACTAAAAAGAAAGACTCAGATGAAAAGCCTAGATTTAAAGCATTTGAATCAAGAGGTGGTAATCTAGGAATTAGGTTGATTTCTTTTTTTTTTAATTTGTGTAGCTTTTTATTTTATTTTTTATTATACTTTAAGTTTTAGGGTACATGTGCACAAAGTGCAGGTTTGTTACATATGTATACATGTGCCATGTTGGTGTGCTGCACCCAGAAGACTGGTTAATTTCAATAACCTAAAAATCCACAAGGTGGGAGCGTTTCACTGAAGACAGTTGTTAGAGAAACGTTAGAACCAACTTCCTTTTTTTCTCTGTCCCTTCTTCTCTGCTTTCTTCTTTTCTCCTCCTCCTCCTCCTCCCTTTACTCTCCTTCTTCTCTCTCTGTTTTTCTAATCATGAAAACAAACGAAAAAAACTATGAGCAAGAGCACAGAAAAAAGACTAGCGAAGACTGCAGTTATTGAAAGTATCAGATACAGAAAATAAAATAACTATATTTAGTATGTTTAAAGTAAAACAAAAAATTAAAAATATCATAATGGAACAGGAAACTCTAGAGAATGGCCAAGAAGATTAAAAGAAAACAAATAGAATGTCCATAGAGAATAACATAATTGAAATTTAAACCCAAATGAATGGTTTTAACAGAATATTAGTATGTTAGAAGCAGTTGAAGAGTGAACTAGTAAACTGTAATATAGGTCAGAAGGGGCTATCCAAAATGAACACAGGAATAAGGAAATGGAAAATAAGAAACATGTAGTTAGGAGACATGGAAGACAGAGGGGGAAATGCTAAAAAGTTTTAAAGAGTGTTTCAGAAGGAGAGAAAGGAGATCATGAATCAGTGTATATATTTTTTAAATTTTATTTTATGTTCTGGGATACACGTGCAGAAAGTGTAGGTTTGATACATAGGTAAATGTGTGCCATGGTGGTTTGCTGCACCCATCAACCCATCACCTAGGTATGAGGCCCTGCATGCATTAGCTATTTGTCCTGATGGTCTCCTACCCCTGTCCCCCTGAGAGGCCCTGGTGTGTGTTGTTCCCCTCCATGTACCCACGTGTTTGTCTTGATGGTCTCCTACCCCCCGTCCCCCTGAGAGGCCCTGGTGTGTGTTGTTCCCCTCCATGTACCCACGTGTTTGTCCTGATGGTCTCCTACCCCCCGTCCCCCTGAGAGGCCCTGGTGTGTGTTGTTCCCCTCCATGTATCCACGTGTTTGTCCTGATGGTCTCCTACCCCCTGTCCCCCTGAGAGGCCCTGGTGTGTGTTGTTCCCCTCCATGTATCCACGTGTTTGTCCTGATGGTCTCCTACCCCCTGTCCCCCTGAGAGGCCCTGGTGTGTGTTGTTCCCCTCCATGTATCCACGTGTTTGTCCTGATGGTCTCCTACCCCCCGTCCCCCTGAGAGGCCCTGGTGTGTGTTGTTCCCCTCCATGTACCCACGTGTTTGTCCTGATGGTCTCCTACCCCCCGTCCCCCTGAGAGGCCCTGGTATGTGTTGTTCCCCTCCATGTACTCACGTGTTTGTCCTGATGGTCTCCTACCCCCTGTCCCGCTGAGAGGCCCTGGTGTGTGTTGTTCCCCTCCATGTATCCACGTGTTTGTCCTGATGGTCTCCTACCCCCCGTCCCCCTGAGAGGCCCTGGTGTGTGTTGTTCCCCTCCATGTACCCACGTGTTTGTCCTGATGGTCTCCTACCCCCCGTCCCCCTGAGAGGCCCTGGTGTGTGTTGTTCCCCTCCATGTACTCACGTGTTTGTCCTGATGGTCTCCTACCCCCCGTCCCCCTGAGAGGCCCTGGTGTGTGTTGTTCCCCTCCATGTACCCACGTGTTTGTCCTGATGGTCTCCTACCCCCCGTCCCCCTGAGAGGCCCTGGTGTGTGTTGTTCCCCTCCATGTATCCACGTGTTTGTCCTGATGGTCTCCTACCCCCCGTCCCCCTGAGAGGCCCTGGTGTGTGTTGCTCCCCTCCATGTACCCACGTGTTTGTCCTGATGGTCTCCTACCCCCTGTCCCGCTGAGAGGTCCTGGTGTGTGTTGTTCCCCTCCATGTATCCACGTGTTTGTCCTGATGGTCTCCTACCCCTGTCCCCCTGAGAGGCCCTGGTGTGTGTTGTTCCCCTCCATGTACCCACGTGTTTGTCCTGATGGTCTCCTACCCCCTGTCCCCCTGAGAGGCCCTGGTGTGTGTTGTTCCCCTCCATGTATCCACGTGTTTGTCCTGATGGTCTCCTACCCCCTGTCCCGCTGAGAGGTCCTGGTGTGTGGTGTTCCCCTCCATGTATCCACGTGTTTGTCCTGATGGTCTCCTACCCCCTGTCCCCCTGAGAGGCCCTGGTGTGTGTTGTTCCCCTCCATGTATCCACGTGTTTGTCCTGATGGTCTCCTACCCCTGTCCCCCTGAGAGGCCCTGGTGTGTGTTGTTCCCCTCCATGTATCCATGTGTTTGTCCTGATGGTCTCCTACCCCTGTCCCCCTGAGAGGCCCTGGTGTGTGTTGTTCCCCTCCATGTATCCACGTGTTTGTCCTGATGGTCTCCTACCCCTGTCCCCCTGAGAGGCCCTGGTGTGTGTTGTTCCCCTCCATGTATCCACGTGTTTGCTCTCATTGTTCAACTCCCTCTTACGACTGAGAACATGTGGTGTTTGGTTTTCTGTTCCTGTGTTAGTTTGCTGAGGGTGATGGCTTCCAGCTTCATCCATGTCCCTGCAAAGAACGTGATCTCATTTATTTTAACGGCTGCATAGTATTCCATGGTGAATATATATCACATTTTCTTTATCCAATATATCATTGATGGGCATTTGGGTTGATTCCATGTATTTTCTATCATAAATAGTGCTGCAATAAACATATGTGTGCATGTATATGTATGTGTGTGTGTATATATATGTAGTTATAATATGTATATATATGTGTATATATATGTGTGTATATATATACACATATATATACATTTACCTATATAATATATGTATATATGTATATATATATGTGTATATATATGTATATATATGTATGTATATGTATATATATATTTTTTTGAGATGGAGTTTTGCTCTTGTTGCCCAGGCTGGAGTGCAATGGTATGATCTTGGCTCACTTTGACCTCTGCCTCCTGGGTTCCAGCGATTCTCCTGCCTCAGCCTCCAAAGTAGCTGGTATTACAGGTGTGCACCACTATACCTGGCTAATTTTTGTATTTTTAGTAGAGATGGAGTTTCCCCATGTTGGCTAGGCTGGTCTCAAACTCCTGTCCTCAGGTGATCCACCCGCCTTGGCCTCCCAAAGTGCTGGGATTACAGGTGTGAGCCACTGCACCCAGCCCTGTGCATGTATCTTTATAATAGAGTGATTTATATTCCTTTGGGCATATATCCAGTAAAGGGATTGCTGGGGCAAATGGCATTTCTGGTTCTAGATCTTTGAGGAATTTTCACACTGCCTTCCACAGTGAATGAACTAATTTACATTCCCACAAACAGTGTAGAAACATTCCTATTTCTCCACAGCCTTACCAGCAACTGTTGTTTCTGGAGTTTTTGATAATCACCATTAAGACTGGTTTGAGATAGTATCTCATTGTGGTTTTGAGTTGCATTTCTCTAATGATCAGTGATTTGAGCTTTTTTTCATATGTTTGTTGGCCACATCCATGTCTTCTTTTGAGGATTGTCTGTTCATGTCCTTTGGCCAATTTTTGATGGTTTTTTTTTTCTTGTAAATTTAAGTTCTCCATAGGAGCAGGTGCTCTAATTGCTTGGAGGTCTGCCTATGTGTGGAGATGAGAGGGCCTCACTGCACTATAATCTCAGCACAGGAAGGTTGGGGAAGCTCAGGCTGCTGATCCAGTCAAGTGGGTACTCCACATACCTGGAAATCTGCCTGGCCATAGACTGGAGAGGGCCCCACTGCACCACAACCTATGTTTACAAACGGTGGGGTAGCTCAGGATGCTGGTCCAGGTAGACAGGTGCTCCAATGCCTGAATTTCTGCCTGGGGGTGAAGCAGAGAAAGCCCTGCTGTATCACATTCTCAGGGGAACAGGCTGGGGCACCCAGCAATGACACCTGCAGACTGGTTGTAGGTCTCCAAGCTGGCCCTGGCTGCAAGTTTCATCACCTGGGAGAAATTACAGCTGTAGCAGCTTTTCTGTTGCCCCGAGGCTGCGATGGGGGAAAGCACAATTCCAGCACATACTGCTGAGGTGTTTCCCACAATATGGCTGTGAAGGTCCCTACCAAGCCCCAAAGCAGTTGTTCCAATCTTTGGCCTGAGACTAAAATGCCTGTGCAGGCATTCTGCTGGGTCACAAAAAGAAAAAAAAAAAGCTGACTTTGCATGCATCCAGATTGAAAATGGCATCTTGCTCTTACTTCCTGGTCTGGGAAAATGTCTGCAGCTGTTCCCAGTGTCTTTGCTTCACAGCATCTCCAAGCCTCTCCCCATGTTGACTCCAGGCCTTGGGAGAAACAAAATGCAACAACTTGGCTGGGGTTGCTCAGATTCACAGTGAAAATGTCAGTTACAGAGGGAGGCTCTCTGCCTCTCTCACATACTAGGACTTCGCTCACTTTTATAAGCTGGTTGCTGTCATGTTGACTGTTTGCTCACATTCTCCTTCTTGGGATCTATGATGTCCTTCATGATTCTGGTGGATTCCCATTTTCCTTCTTGACGTAGAGCTCACAGAGTTGACCTTTGTGCACTCTCTTGCTATTTCTAAGTGGCCGAGGCACACTAAAAGCCTCTAATTTATCATCTCGGGAAAAAAAACAAAACAGGGAAGTTTGCTTTTGCAAATTGTTGTTTGTGGGGGTCTGTCCTGCAGACCCCAGCTGCACGAGGGATGAATAATGTACTCAGACACCAATTATTCAGTGAAAGAGCCGCTAGGGGGCTGGGCCGTGCACAGAAAGAGTTCTGGCAGCCACGAGCCCTGACTAGCTAGCCCTGCCAGCATTTATTGAAAAAACATTAAATGACAGGGGCTTTTAGTCAACACAAATAGAGGGTAATTAACCTGGTCACCCTCCCCCGAGAGAGAGCCATCCTGCCTGTGAATGATCAAAGGTTGGCTTCAGGACCACATGAGTAAACAAGTTATTTAGATAAACTCCCTTACATTCCTTTGCACCTACTTTAAGCTGTTTACTCAAGGAAGGATTAGGCCGCCTTCATTCAGATCTATTACTGAAGCTATACAACACCCCCAGCCTTCCATGAAGGTTTGTGTCGATTTCTTAAAACTATCTTTAAAATTTTTCCCACCAGCCTGACTGAACTCCCACAGTTGTTGCTACTTTTTGAAATTGAAATACTTCTAGGAAGACTGATTAAGAACAATATAGAGAAAAGACATATTTTTCAAACTCCTGATGAAGAAGAAACATCCGTATTAATATATAGCTAATAAAAAGATAAGAGATGTTGTGGGAAACTTCATACAAGGGTGCCCACTCTCAGAACTTCTATTCAACATAGTACTGGATGTCCTAGCCAGAGCAATTAGGCAAAAGAAAGAAATAAAAGGCATGAAAATTGGAAAGGAAGAAGTTAAATTGTTTCTGTTTGCAGTTGACATGATCTTATATATAGAAAACACCAATAACTCTGCCAAAAAATTTAGAATTCATAAATGAATTTAGTAAAGTTGCAGGATACAATGTGAACATACAAAATTCAGTAGCATTTCTACACATCAACAACAAACTATACAAAAAAAGAAATCAAGAAAACAATCCTATTTATAATAGCAACAAAAAATACTTAGATGTAAATTTAAACAAAGAGGTGAATGATCTTTACACTGAAAACTACAAAACATTGATGAAAGCGATTGAAGAAGCCACAAATAAATGGAAAGATATCTCATGTTCATGGATTGGAAAAAGTAATATGTTTGAAATGTCCATACTATCCAAAGTGATGTACATATTGAATGCAATCTCTATCAAAATTCCTATGACATTTTCCCACAGAAATAGAAAAACAACTCTCAAATCTGTATGGAATCACAAAAAACTCTGAAAAGCCAAAATAATCTTGATCAAAAAAAGCAAGGCAGGAGATATCACATTACCTGACTTCAAATTATACTACATAGCTATAGCAATCGAAACACCATGGTACTGGCATAAACGCAGACACATAGACCAATTACACAGAATAAAGAGCCCATAAATAAATCTACATATTATAGTCAATTGACTTTCAACAAAGGTGCCAGGAACACACATGGGGAAAGAACAGTCTCTTCAAAAAATGGTGTTGAGAAAACTGAATGTCCACAAGATTGATATTAGGCCCTTATTTCATACCATATAAAAATATAAACTCAAAATAAGTTAGACTTAAATGTAAGACCTAGCACTATAGAACTCCTAGAAGAAAACAGGGGAATAACTCCAAGACATTGGTCTGGGCAATAATATTTTATGATATGACTCTAAAGCACAGGCAAGAAAAGCAACAAAACACAAATGGAATAGCATCAACCTAAAAAGCTTCTGCACAGCAAAAGAAAGTCAACAGAGTGAAGTGATAACCTACAAAATGGGAGAAATTATCTGCAAACTATACATTTGATAAGAGGCTAATGTCCAAAATATCTTAGGAACTCAAACAACACAATAATAAGAAAACAAGGAACCCTAATGAAAAATTGACAAAGGATCTAAATAGACATTTCTCAAAAGAAGACATACAAATGGCCAACAGATATATAAAAATGCTAATTATCACTGATCATCAGAGAAATGCATATTAAAACTACAATAAAATGCCATTTCACATCCGTTAGAATGGCTGTTACAGAAAAGGCAGACGATACCAAGTGTTGGAGAGGATGTGGAGAAAAGGAAAACCTTGTAATTGTTGAGAATGTAAACTATTTCAGCCATTGTAAAAGACAGTATAAATGATTCTGTAAAAATAGAATTACCATATGATTCAGTAATGCTATTTCTGGGCATATATTAAAAAGATATCAAATCAGTGTGTCAATGAGTTATCTGTACTCCCATATTTATTGTAGCATTATTCACAACAGCCAAGATGTGGAATTAACTTAAGTATCCATCGACACATGAGTGGATGAAGAAAATGTGGTACACATACACAATAGAATAGTATACAACCTTAAAAAATAAAAAAAGTATCATTTGTGACAACATGAATGAACCGGGAGGACATTATACTGAGTAAAATAATCCAGGCACAGAAAGCCAGATACTGCATAATCTCACTTGTATGTGGAGGTCTAAGAAGGCTGAACACATAGAAGTACAGAGTAGAATGATGGTTACCAGGAGGATTGGGTAGATGTTGGTCAAAGGGTACAAAATTGCATTGTACAGGAGGAATGAATTCAACAGATCTATTGTGCAATATGGTGACTATAGTGGATAACAATGTATTGTTTTTAAATTTAATTTTTGTGGGTACATAGCAGGTGTATACATTTATGAGGTACATGAAATATTTTGGTACAGGCATGCAATGTACAATAAGTACATAATGGAAAATTGGATATTCATCCCCTCAAGCATTTATTATTTGTGTTATAAACAATCCAATTATACTCTTTCAGTTATTTTTAAATGTATAATTGAATTTTAGACTGCAATCCCCCTGTTGTGCTATCAAATACTAGGTCTTATTAAATCTTTCTTTTTTTGTACCCATTAACCATCCCCCACCTCTCCCAACCCCCACTACCCTTCACAGCCTCTGGTATACTTCCTTCTACTCTCTATCTCCATGAGTTCAGTTGTTTGCTTTTTGGATTCCACATATAAGTGATAACACATAGTATTTGTCTTTTTGTGCCTGGCTTATTTCACTTAACATAATGACCTCCAGTTTCATCTATGTTGTTGCAAATGACAGGGTCTCATTCCTTTTTATGGCTGAATAATACTTCATTGTATATAAGTACCACATTTTCTTTATTCATTCATCTGTTGATGGACACTTAGGTTGACTCCATAACTTCGCTATTGTAAATAGTGCTGCAACAAATACGGGAGTGCAGATATCTCTTCGATATACTGATTTCTTTTTTGGGGGGTATATATGCAGCAGTGGGATTGCTGGACCACATGGTAGCTCTATTTTTACTTTTTTGAGGAGCCTTCAAACTGTTCTCCATAGGGGATGTACTTGTATTCTTCAAAATTGCTAAGAGTAGATTTTTAAGTGTTCTCATAAAAAAAGATAAGCATGTAAGGTAATGCATATGTTAGCTTAACATGGCTATTTTACAATGAATATATATTTCAAAACATATAATTTTATTTATCTGATAAAATAAATATAAAATATGAAACTTTATATTAATAAATTTGACAATCATAAGGAATGGTCAAGTTCCTATGAAAAATACCTACTTTTATGAAATGATCAGAAAAAAACTAGAAAAACTGAGTAGTTTTTTTTTCATTGTAGAAATTTTATTTAGAAAATTTTTTTTTCCTGTAGAAAGAACTCCAGGGCTAGGTGGATGCAATATTTAATAAAGAAATATTACCAAATATTTAATAAAGAAATAATGCCAATGTTACATGAATATTTTTAGAGAATTGGGAAGACATAACACTTTCCAACTTGTTTTATATGGTGGTACCTCCATGATAGTAAAACCATACAGGGATATTAAAAGAAATGAAATTACAGACTAATATACTACATAATAATTCTAAACAAAAATGTTTGCAAATATAATCCAACAATATACTCCAAAGAAAAATACATCGTGACTAAGTGCAGTAATTTCAAGAATGTATGGTTTAAAATTAGAAAACCAAACAATGAAATTAACCACATTAACTGAATAAAAGAACAAAATATGGTTATTTCAATAGCTGTGGGAAAAGCACTTGTTCACATTTGAAACTATTTGTAATAATAACAAACTAGGAATAGAAGAGAACTGATGTAAATATCTTAATATATACACAAAAACTACTCTCAACATTATAAATAATCATGACATATTAAACAGTTTCATTGTAACATGAGGAACAAGGTACACATGTCCAGCTCAACACTTTATTCATCATTAAAATAATACTGTGCAGTAAAATTAACAAGGAAAATTTTAAAAAGAACACAAAAGAAAACTACAAATCCTTATCCCTGATCAACACAGATGTAAAAATACTCAACAAAATTCTAGCAAACTGAAGCTAACAACACATCAAAAAGATAATTCATCATGATCAAGTGGGCTTTATTCCAGGGGTGCTTGAATGGTTCAAAATAGACAAATCAATAAACATGATTCACCACATAAATGGAACTGAGAACAAAAACCCTATGATCATCTCATTAGATGCAGAATAAGCATTTGATAAAATCCAACATCTGTTTATGATAAAAACCCTCAACAATATAGGTATAGATGGAGTATACCTCAAAAAATGAGTCATCTATGACAAAGCCACAGCCAACATCATCCTGGATGGGCAAAAGTTAGAAGTGTTGCTTCTAGAAACTGGAAAAAAGCAAGGATGTTCACCTTCATCATTCCTATTCAATACAGTACTGGAAGTGCTAGCCAGAACTATCAGAAAGGAGAAAGAAATAAAAGGTATACAAATTAGAAAAGAAGTCAAATGATCTCTGCTCACTGATGACATGACTGTAGGCCTAGAAAACCCTAAAGTCTTCAGAAGACTCCTAGACTTGATACACGACTTCAGTAAAGTCTTGGGATAAACAAGCCACAAAAATCAGTTGTATTTCTATACACCAAATACATTCAAGCTGTTTGAATGTTTGTTGAGATTAATTTGTTGAGAACCAAATTAAGAACTCAACTGAATTTACAATAGCCATGAAAAATACCTAGGAATGCATAACTATATAAATGAAAGATCTCTACAAGGAGAACTACAAAATACTAATGAAAGAAATTATAGATGACATAAACAAATGGAAAAACATCCCATGCTCACGGATTAGAAAAATCAATAGCTAAAGTGACCATATCACCCATACAATCTATAGAGTTAATGCAATTCCCATCAAATTACCAACGTTATTTCTCACAAAATTAAAAAAAAATCCTAAAGTTCACATGGAGCCAAAAAAAGATCCCTAATAGCCAAAGCACTTCTAAGCAAAAAACAAAGCAAAACAAAACAAAGCCCCCAGAGCAAAAGACAAATATGGTTCCTACAAATGAAGACCAATGGTAATGCTTATCTGTTCGTGGTAGAAGTGTAAATTGGTAGGATTGTTAAAAAAAATAGTGTAGCATTTCATGGTAATGTTGAATAACTCAATAATTTTACTTTTAAATATATACCCCAGAGGATATCTTGCACATATGAACCAGGTGATTTACAAAAGAATGTTCATAGCAGCATTGTTTGTAATAGTTAAAAACTGGAAAAATTTCAAGTGTTCATCAACAATAGATCTGAGGAATGAAGTCCGACATATTCATGTAGTGGAATATCATATAGCAATACGAATGGATGAATTACACCAACATTCAACAAGGTTGTAATATGCAAACTTATTATTGAATCAAGGTGAAAGTACCTTCTGATAAAGGTGAAAGAACTTCTACAAAATAATTTCATTTATATAAGTTTCAAAGAACCAAACTAAATAATGCATCACTTGAGAACCATTAAAGTCTATTAAAAAACACATACAATGCAATGGAAGGACAGTGGTCATATCCAGCAGGAAATAAAGGAGAACACAATTGGCAAGGAGCACCCAATGGGCGTCTAAGGCACTAGTAAAGTTCTATTTTGTTTCCAATCCTCCAAGACATCTAGTTTTTTTATTTTTCTGAGACATGGTGGCCCAGGCTGGAGTACAATAGTGTGATCTTGGCTCACTGCAACCTGTGTCCTGGGCTTAAGTGATCCTCCCACCTCGGCCTCCCAAAGTACTGGGATTACAGGTGTGAGCCACCATGGCCGGCAAATGTTCTATTTCATATCCTGTATGGTGGACACATAGATGTTCTCTTTTTTATTATTCCTTGAACACTAAGTATATGTTTTTTTATATTCTCTGTGGAATACCTCCTTATTTCTCAGTCAATTCAGGATACCTCCTTACCCCCATCCCCTTTTTACTTTTCGTCATGTCATATAGTTTCTGAAATATAGAAAAGCTTACATATTATCCTGTCATCAAAGCGGCATGGAGGCATTTGGTAGAATAAATATTATTTGTTGATTATTCATCCTTTCCTTTCACTTTACAGAGTCAATCAAACACCAGGTCATGTTAATTTTACTGTCACGCACATATCTTGAATTTGCCTCCTTATCTCTATTTCCACTATTCAGTTCAGACCTTGATAATCACTCATCTGCATTGTAGTTGCATTTTTCTAATTATTCTGTTTCTAGTCTTGTTCTAAAATCTTTTTTCCTCCCACAATGCAGCTAGAGTGGTCAATTTAAAGCATCATCTATCTCAAGAACAAAAAACCAAACACCGCATGTTTTCACTCATAGGTGGGACTTGAACAATGAGAACACTTGGACACAGGAAGGGGAACATCACACACCGCGGCCTGTTGTGGGGTGGGGGGAGAGGGGAGGGATAGCATTAGGAGATATACCTAATGTAAATGATGAGTTAATGGGTGCAGCACACCAACACGGCACATGTATACATATGTAACCTGCACGTTGTGCACATGTACCCTAGAACTTAAAGTATAATAAAAATAAATATTAAAAAAAGAAGCATCATCTTTATTAAAACATTTAACGGTCCTACTATTCCTTATGCTATAAATTTCTTATAATTTAATAAATATTTTTCCGTAATTGTGACTCTCTTCTATAGCTCTTGTTACTCCCGATATTCTTCTAATTATCAGGCAGCAGTACAAAGCTGCTTACACCTCTTTACACATCTCTTTATTTTAGGCCTCCTTGCATTTGCTCATGCTGTTCCTTTTTGTTTGAAAAACTTACACATTTCTTCATTTGGTTAATCCTTGCACACTTTCAAGATTCATTTGAGGCCTCATTGACTTTGGAAACCTTCCCTGTAATCTTGTATTATTAATTTATCTTAGTTTTCACTTATTAGCTCTTATTAGATTACTGTCCTTACGTGTGTAACTCTCCCACTAGACAGTAAGCTTTTGGACGGCAGAGATGATGTCTCATTCATCTTTGCATCTTTAGCGCCCAGCCTGGTTTCTGGTTTCCTATAGTCACTCAGTGTTGAGCTAAACCATATTTTTGGAGCAATGACTTGACAATGCAGTATCATGATGGAACTATCACAGATGGACAGAATGAGTCTCTTGATTCCTACATTTATTTTTCTATTGATATAGCTGATTTAAAAAGAAACCTGTTAATTATATAATCATGTAATTACCCTGACATAACATCAAACTCCATAAATTACTTTCCATCTCTGCCTCTCTCTCTTTCTATATATATAACATATACATGTTACAAAAATGCACAGGGAATAAATATGAGCAAAATGGTAAGAAGTGCAGGTCCTAGGTCAGATTTCTTGCATTTAGTTGCAGGCTACACCAACTTTAGAGAAAAGATTTAGTGAAAAATAAAAATGAATCATTAATACACCACTTGGCACAGATAAGTTATTCAGTAAACATTAACATATGTGCATTTATGTTTAACCATGGGTTTAAGTGATTATCCAGAAATCTCCCTCTCTTTGACTATGTTTGAATATTAGATACTTCTTAATTTATCTTTGCTCTGAATTTGTTTTTTTTCACTCGTTGTATACTCATGGACCATTTTATGTGTTTCAGGAATTGATATTTTATTTAAAAACTGTTACTATAGAAAATTAACTTTTGGATAGTCCTGTTCAGACTAAAACTATCATTTGTAAGATCTGTATTACTGCAATCATTGGTGTTAATACTTTGCATTAATTAAAATTTTTTATGGACATATAATAAGTATTTCTCCCACCTTGATTTTTGTGGCTATCATTTTATTCATTCCATTGCTTTTTTCTCCCAGTTTGCTATGAGGAAGTTGATAAGTACGTAGGCAAAACGATAGATTGTTTTGGCAGCTTCAGTGTATTTAAGTGCCTGTGATGAGGCTATGGTTTATTTTTCTAATGTAGAATTCATAATGTAGAATAAATTTTAAAAACATAAATTTTATTCCTGCACATTGTGCACATGTACCCTAGAACTTAAAGTATGATAAAAATATACATATATAACAAATTAAAAACATAAATTTCTTTGCACAGCTTTTTCTTCCTGCTATTTTTATTCAATGATTATTTGCTTCCCTTGTTATTTAAGAGCTGACTTTTGGCTTCATGGCCAAAAATAAAATTCTTAGTAGGAGAAAGTAAATGTGATTTACTGATGAAGATGCCACCCCCAAGTGACCCATTAACCACTTTCCCTGCGTTACCCTGGGACAACCAAAGTGATTCCAGGAGACAATTCCCATGACAAGTGATTTCTGGCTGGCAATGCCAGGTCTCTGAAGTTCCACTTGGCCACTGCCCAAGAACAATTAGTGCCGTTAGTTAACTACCTTTACTATGACAGCATTTTGTGTAACTCTTTGCACAGGGGAGTTTTATGCAACAGACAGAAACTTTCTGAGTTGTTCTGATTGCCTGAAGATGCCCTGTTTTAGAGGAGCAAAATTTTCCCTGTTTACTGTGTTTCAGTGTTAAAAATATGAATGCATTGTCAGGATTAGCTCTGGCAATGGTAGTTAAATGCAGATATCCAGACAAAGGAGGTTATAGATTGGAGACTTTGTGCTACTTGATAATGAAGCCTTGGTTTTGATTTTATTTATTTTTAAGTTGAAAAACAAAACACACACACACACAATACAAAACATGGCACAAAACAAACTTATAGTTTGATTTTTGTAAACATCCCTGTAATCATCACATAAGTCAAGATATAGGACTTTGCCAGCCCTGAAGCATGTGACTCTCCTCAGTTGCAGCCACCTTTCTCCTGAAAAGTGACGATAAACGTGACTGTTCCAGTAGAGGCGTCCTTGCATTTTCACGGCTGTGTCCTTCCTGCATGCATTCCAAGACACTATGATTTAGTCTTGCCCATTTGTTTTCATTTGTCGTGTTTTTAAAATCCCTTCTAACATACAGGTTTCTTTTCAAAGTTTTCTTTCCCATACAATATATTTGTTGAAAAATTTGGGATTTTTGTCACTTGGTGTCCACACTGTGAATTTTGCTGGTTAGACTCTCAGTGAAGATCGACATTTTCACTATCCTTTGCGTTTTATCCAAATGACAGTTGAATCCAGAGGTTTGACTAGGACACGTGCTTGGTTCTATTTTTGGTAAGATTGTAGGTGATGGTGTGTTCATTCACCAGGAGGTTTAATTATGGCTTTTATCTTAGCACCTACTACTACTTTCTACTAACACCTGTTAATACAAAGAAAGTTAATATTTTCTACTAGCACCTGTTAATCCTCAATATGTACATGTAGGATATGTATAGACACACGTGTGTCTATGCATATAATATATAATATGTACATATTATATATTTTTTAAGAGAAGGAAAGAGCATGTGAGAGAGCACATTGTATATTTATGTTGATAATACTGATTCTAATGTAACTCAGTGGGCTGCTTCTTTCCTTGTCTTATTCCATATCTGTATCTCTGTCCTTTCACAGTGAGAATCTGGGGTTCTAGCAATACAAATATATTAATATTTACTCATTGGCTTAATCTTACAATGCACATACATTTGTTTCAGAATTGTTATATTTATACTAATATAAAAAGAAAAAATCCTATCATGAAGATTTAATAATTTTTTGCAGATATTTTATTTTTTCAAGCAATAGTATGTAGTCAAAGTATGTTCAAAAGTCAATTTGAAATAAGAGAACAGTCAAAAATTAATCAGATTAATTATTATTTTCCCCTTAAGTTTGATTATGTCATTCATTCATTTGAAATATATTTGGATTCACTTGTTTCTCATTGCATTCGGTTTTAGAGTCTTGTAATAACTTATCTTTGCTTGCTTAATATCACACTTTGAGAGTGTAAAAGATTAACTTAATTAAAAATGTACAATTATGCACAAAAGCATTCACAGAGCAATATCCCATTCTCCCATATTTCTTTCACCAAATTCCCCTCTAATTCTTTATAGATAATACATGTTTTCAGATTCTGGTACATTTTGGCTACATTTGTTTGTTTCATGCTTGTATTTTTGTTGTATTATCTAAGAATGCATTGCCAATCCACAGCAATGTTTTATTTCCATGTTTTCTTCTAAGCATGTATGGTTTTCACTCGTATATTTACATTATTGATCCAATCTAGATTTTGTATATAATGTGAGGTAGGGGTCCAGCTTCATTTTTTTTGCATATGAATATTCAGTATTCCCAGCACTTTTTGTTGAAAAAGCTATTATTCCCCACTGAATAATGTTGGCTCCCTTGTAAAAAAAAGTCAGCTGAATAGAGATGTTTTGCTTAGTCTATGTAAAAGTATATTAATTTTATTGATATTTTAAAAGAACCAACTTTTAGTTTTGTTGATCTCTGTATAATTTTTTAATTCTCAATTTCATTTATCTCTGCTCTAATCTTTATTTCCTTCCTTCTGCTAGCTCTGGATTTTGTTTGCTCTTCCTTTTATGGTTTATTGAGTAAAGTTTGGTTATTGATTTGACATGTTTCTTTTTTAAAATGTAGGTGTTACAACTCTGAGCACTGCTTTTGATATATCACACCCATCTTGTTATATCTTTGTTTTCAATCGTCTCTAAACATTTTCTAATTTCCCTCATGATTTGTTCTTTGATTCATTGGTTGGTAAATACTGTGTTGTTTAATTTCCAAATATTTGTAAATTTTCTAGTTTTTCTTTTGTTATTGATATCTTATTTCATTCCATTGTGGTCAGTGAAGATACTTTGCATGATTTCAATCTTTTTAAGTTTATTGAGCTTATCTTATGGCCTAACATATCATCTGTGCTGGAGAATGTTCCATGTTCACTTGAGAAGAATGTGTATTCTGCAGTTTTTGAGAGAAGTGTTATCTATAGTTATTGCTTATAGTTTTATTCAAATCCTCTAATTCCTCCCTTGATATTTGCTCTGGGTGTTTTGTCCTTTATTAAAGTTGGGTTTTAAAATGCCCAACAATTTTCGTGGAATTGTCTGTCTCTCCCTTTAATTCTCTCAATGGTTACATTATATATTTTGGAGCCCTGTTAGTTGGTGTACATATATTTATAATTGTTATATCTTCTTGTTTAATTTTGAAATCAATATATACTGTTCTTTGTATTTTGTAACAGTTTTTGACTTAAAGTCTATTTTGTCTGATATAAGTATATTTGCCTCAGATCTCCTTTGGTTATTACTTACATGGAATATTTTCTCCCATCCTTTCATTTCAACTCATTGTGTATTTTGATCTAAAGTGAGTATCTTGTGGACAATATAGTTGGATCATTTTTTAAAAATCCATTCTGTCAATCTCTTTCTTTGGATTGGAGAGTTTAATTCATTTGTATTTAATGTAATTACTGATAAAGAGGGGCTTACTCCTACCATTTTGCTTTTGTTTTCTGTATGTCTTATACCTCCTTTGTTCCTAATTTCCTCAATTATCGCCTTCTTTTGTGTTTAGTTGCTATTTTGTAGCATATCACTGTGTTTACCCTCTGCTTTCCTTTTCTGTATTTTCAAAAGATATTAACTTAGTGGTTACCATGGGGATTTACAATTAACATTCTTAATTTGGAACAATTTAGAGTAAATTGAAACAACTTCAATAGTATACAAAATCTCTATTATTATTTAGTTTCCTATGAATTTCTTTATGTTGGTAATTTCACAAACCACATCTTTATACATCATGCTTCATTAACATAGATTTATAGTCATTATTTTACACATTTGTTTTAAAACATATAGAATATTTAAAAAGACTTACAAAAAATATGATAATTGCTTTTATATTTACCTATGTAGTTATCTTTACTGGAGTTATTTCTTTATGTGGTTTTGAGTTACTTTCTAGTGTTTTTTAGTTTGTATCTGAAGGAGTCTTTTTTTTTAAAAGTGTATCTTGAAGTACAGCCTACCAAACATGAACTTTTAAAGCTTGCTTGCTTTTCTTTCTTTCTTTTCTTTCTTTTTCTTTCTTTCTTTCTTTCTTTCTTTCTTTCTTTCTTTCTTTCTTTCTTTCTTTCTTTCTTT
The DNA here is from genome assembly GCF_000001405.40 of Homo sapiens. NCBI lineage: Eukaryota > Metazoa > Chordata > Mammalia > Primates > Hominidae > Homo > Homo sapiens. The sequence continues at coordinate 653,704 of NC_000001.11, read as the reverse complement.
CTCTTTCTTTCTTTCTTTCTTTTTCTTTCTCTCCCTTTCTTTCTCTCTCTTCTTTCTTTCTTTCTCTTTCTCTCTCTCTTTTTTTTTTAATCTGGGAATGTGTAATTTATCCTTAATACTTGAAGGGGCATCTTCCAAGTTACAGAATTTTTGGTTGACAGTGTTTTTTTCTTTCAGAACTTTAAAATGTCATTCTAAGCTCTTCTGGCACCCATGGTTTATAATGAGCTCTCTGCTGTCAAACTTACTGAGAATCCTTTGTAAATGATGCATTGCCTTTTTCCTAAGCTCTTCTGGCATCCATGGATTATAATGCACTATCTGCTGTCAAACTTATTGAGGATCCTTTGTAAATGACGCGTTGCCTTTCTCTTGCTGCTTTCAAACATTCGCTTTGCCTTTTGACAATTTGAAACATAGTGTGTCTTGGTGTGAATATCTTTGTATATTTCCTTGATGAAGTGCACTGAGCTTTTTGAATGTATATATTTGTTTTTAGTGAAATTTGGGAAGCTTTCAAACACATTTCTTCAAATAGTCTTCCTGCCCCTCACTCCCCACCAGGATTCTGTATGTAGGCATTCTTGATGTTGTTACACAGGTCTTTAGGCTCTATTCTTTTTTGTTGTCATTCTTTCATTTTCCTGCTCTTCAGACTGAATCATTTCACTTGATCTATCAAGTTCACTGATTCTTTTTTCCAGCTGCTCAAATCTTCTATTGGAACCCTAAGTAAAAAGTAACTTTTTAATTAGTTATTGTACTTTTCAGCCTCAGAATTTTTTTGTACCTTTTAAAAAATTCATATTTCTTATTTATTTATATGTCATTCTCTTGGGTTTCTTTAGCTCTTTAAGTTTATTTAAGACAGTTATATAAAGTTTTTGTCTAATATTTCCAATATCTGCTTACTCAGGGAGAGTCTCATTTATTTCTTCTGTAAATGGGCCATAGTTTTGTGTTTATTTGCATGCTTCTTAATTTTTGTTGAAAACTGGACATTTTGGATATTATAATGTGTTTATTCTGGAAACCAAATTTTTCCCTTCTTCAAGGTTATTTTTGTTACCCACTGTGGGATGTAGTTTTTATTTGTTTAGTAACTTTTGTAAACTGGTTTTGTAATATCTGCATTCTTTTTTATGTTTGATGTTTGAAGGCGGCTCGGTTCCTTTAGCTTGTGTTCATTTAGCATTTAGTGATTTAAAAATGATTTCCTTGACTGCAAGGAGCCAAAAAAGAAAAAAATATGAAAAACATCTCCCAGACTTTGCTTACTGACTCTGTATTGGGGCTCCCTCAACACTTAGCGGAGCCATATATAATTCTGCCTTAGCCTTCATTTTTTCTTGCTGTGAGCCTAGGAATTACTAAAGGTGAGTTATTAGTGTCTTCTCAGGCCTTTTCTGAGCATGTGTCCCACCTTGGCCATGCTTATGGATTTCCAAATTTTTCATTGTATGTAAGCACTTTTGAGTATTCGAATTTCCCAAAGGAACTTTCTCTCCTGCTTTTTCCTCAAGTTTTCAGTACAGTATATCTTGCCTCAATTGTAATATTTTGCCTCAAATGGCTGAGGGTTGTTAATTTGCCTTTGGATGATCTGATTTCTAAAGGTTTGGTGGAATTCTCTGTGAAAACATCTAAACCTAGTGTTTGTGTGTGTGTTATAATTCCATGACAACTGTATTTCTCTATGGAAATTGCTCACATAAGTGCTGTACTTCTTTTTTTTTTTTTTTTTGAAGTCAATTGTGGTGAATTGTATTTTTCTGGAAAATTACCCATTCCCTCTAGCTTTCAATGTTTTTCATAGATGTGAACAACATTGTTTTTAATGATTTTTTATTTGCTGATTATCAATAGTTATTTCTCTCACCATTCCTTATTCATTTTTGTGCTTTCTCTTTTTTTATTCATGATTAAAAGATCTAATTTTTTGTCAACTTTGTTGATTTGTTTAAAGAACAAGATTTTTGGTTTACTGATTTGATCTGTTTTTTGGCTTCTTATTTTATTAATTTTCACTTTTTTCTACTATGGGTTCTTTCTTGTACTTTCTGCTTACTCTTTTAGATACTTTTTACATTTTTCAGCTGATAATTTAATTCCTACACTTTTATTAATAAATGTGTTAAGGCTATAGATTTTCCTCTGATCACTGCTTTAACTATATCCCATATACAGATGCTCCTTGATGTATGATGAAGTTATGTCCCAACAAACCCCCGTAAACTGAAAATATCATAAGTTAAAAATGCATTTAGCACACCAAAAATTATAGGTTAGCCTAGCTTACTTTGAACATGCTCAGAACATTTAGATTAGACTTCATTGGTCAAAATAATCTAACAAAATGTCTAAATAAAGTATTGAATAACTGATATTTATTAAATATGGTACTGAAAATAAGAAACAGAATGGTTGTATGGGTACTCATCATTAATGTACATAGCTGAAATTACACAGGGCCTGAAGAATTTTTGAAGCATTGAGCTAAAGTTAATTGCTGAATGATGGGACTAATACTTTGACACAGTCAGTGTCTGTCTCTTCCGATGATGAGGGTTGAGAATAGCTGGTAGAAAGTATTGATGCTTGTTGATGGTAGGCAGGAATTATGTTCTTCAGGAAGATATCAATAATATTGATATCAGGAAGATATCAATAATGTCACAGATTATGCTTCATACTTGTCTTCCTGAGTCTTCTTTATCCCGAACACCCTGAGTTTTCGAATGGTTGACATGCCAGCTGGCTTTCTGCAGATGTACTTCTCGTGTGTAAATTTCCTTCTCTGTGAGGTATTCATATTGAACATGACCTCCAAGTGTGTTTGGGTCTGTGCAGAAGACAATAGGACTGCGATTTCTGATGACTAAAACCTGGCTTGTATGTTACTGTGATCAGACCCTGAGACTGCGTTAGCAAGTTTTATAGCATCTGAGTCGCTCTGTTGGAGGAAAGTGCATGTGATGGGCATTTGCTTGCTTCCCCACCAGATTCTCTACCTTCACCCTTCCTGCAATATTCCCTAGGAAGCTGACTTCTGCTGAATGCAACACTCAGGTTCTCTGCTTCCTAGATCCTAGTTGAGTTTGGTCCATGGGAGGCCTTGGCAGAAATTTTGAGAGTAAGAGCAAATAATTACTTAACCATTAGAAAAAAATAACATGAATGTGTCCTTCTATCCATGGCCTCAGTTCCTGTTGGGGAGCCTCGGTGCCAATCCCTCGGTGCATTACCATTTCTAATTAGTTCCTGTTTTAGTCTGCTTTTGCGTGTGTGTGTGTGTGTGTGTGTGTGTGTGTGTGTGTGTGTTGTTATAAAGGAATACCAGAGGCTGAATAATTTTAAAGAAGAGAGGTTTATTTGGTTCACAGTTCTGAAGGTGTGCAAGAAGCATGGTGCCACCATTTGCTTCTGGTGAGGGCTTTAGTCTGTTTCCACTCATGGCAGAAGGGGAAGGGAAGCTGGCATGTGCAGAGATCACGTGGCAAGAGAGAGGGGTTTGTACCAGGCTCTTGTTAACAACCAGCTCTTGTGGGAATTAAGAGAGCTAGAACTAGGTAGGCACGGTGGCTTACGCCTGTAATCCCAGCACTTTGGGAGGCCGAGGCAGGTGGATCACCTGAGGTCAGGAGTTTGAGACCAGCCTGGCCAACATGGTGAAACCCCGTCTCTACTAAAAATACCAAAAATTAGCTGGGCATAGTGGTGGGTACCTGTAATCCTAGCTACTCTGGAGGCTGACACAGGAGAATGGGTTGAACCCGTGAGGTGGATGTTGCAGTGAGCCAAGATCGCACCACTACATTCCAACCTGGGCAGCAAGAGTGAAACTACATCTCAAAAAGAAAAAAAGAGCGAGCAAGAACTCACTTGGATGGCACCAAGACATTCGTGAGAGGTCCACACTCAGGACCAAAACACCTCCCATTAGGCCCCACCTCCAACAATGGGGATCACATTTCAACATGAGTTTGGAGTGGTCAAATATCCAAACCCTAGCAGTTCCCTTAACCCTGGAAAGAGACCCTTCATTAAACTCTTTCTGCTTAATCCTTTGAGAGTGCAACAATTTCCTGCTAGGACCCTGACGGATAGAGGGACCATACAGATCACTAAAATGCTGAGGAATTTTTCAAATGAACTGCACCCAACAGACCTCCCTGATTCTGAATATATCAAACTTTTATTTTTTATTTTATTTTATTTTATTTTTTGAGACGGAATCTCGCCCTGTCACCCAGGCTGGAGTGCAGTGGTGCGATCTCGGCTCCCTGCAACCTCCACCTCCTGGGTTCAAGCGATTCTCCTGCCTTAGCCTCCCGAGTAGCTGGGACTACAGGCATCCACCAGCAGGCCCGGCTAATTTTTTATTTTTAGTAGAGATGGGGTTTCACCATGTTGACCGGGCTGGTCTTCAACTCCTGACTTCATGATCCACCCACCTTGGCTTCCCTAAGTGCTTGGATTACAGGCGTGAGCCGCTGCACCCAGCCAAACTTAAAAAAAAACCCCAAATAGTACTTTGAACTTCACCCGCAGGGAGTTATTCAAATTGGTTGTCAGCCAGTTATTTCAGGTTGTTGAGATCATCTGGCTCTTGATTTTATTAATCATCTTAGCCTTCCCTTTCAACAATTTGCCGACTTTGTGCAAATTTTATTAATATGTGATCTCTGTCTTTATCCATGGAGAGGCAGTATAGTATCATGAGGAAAAATAGACTTTGGAGTAGGCAGAAATTAGGTTTGAATTACTAGCCACGAGGCTTTGGGAACATTACTTAAACTCTATAAGCTTCAATTTCTTTATCTATAAGGTATAGATACCTTACCTTTATCTATACCTTATAGATACCTTTATCTATAAGGTATAGATCTTTATCTATAAAACCTGAAAGTTTTGGCATGAGTTTAGTAAAACTGTCTGTGAAGCCCTTGTGGACTGCTTGGTCCATGTAGGCATTTGATAAACGGTGGCTTTATATAGAGTAGGGAAATGCAAGCTATCTCAAAAAGAAATCAGGGAAATAAGAATGCCATCTGAAATCTGTCATATGAGAATGAAAGGAGCATAGACAGGTTTTGAGTGTGGGGTGAGGAGTAGGGGAGGGGAGGAGATAAGTGAACTGCCCCTCAGACTTCCAGGGAGGAGAAAAATGATGTCACTGGGAACTGCAGTCATTTGAAAAGATAGCAATCAAGCATTTCTTTCAGAGCCCTGTTCATCTTTCAGTGGCTTTGCTTCTCCAGATGCTTTTGCTCCTTCAATTATCTCTGCCTTCTCCCACCTCCTCTCCAACCATCTCTTCCCTTCCTTAATTCACAATTTTTCTCCCTCTTTTCAAGGCATAGTGCTTTGATTTATAAATTAGTTCTATGTTTCTGTTTTCTAATTTATTAGTTTCTGCTTTCTTATTTATTTATTTTGAGATGGAGTGTCACTCTGTTGCCCCAGTTGGAGTGCAGTGGCATGATCTTGGCTCACTGCAACCTCTGCCTCTCAGGTTCAAGAGATTCTCCTGCCTCAGCCTCCCAAGTAGCTGGAATTACAGGAGTGCGCAACCAAGCCTGGCTAGTTTTTGTATTTGTAGGAGAGACAAGATTTCACCATGTTGGCCAGGCTGGTCTGGAACTCCTGACCTCAGGTGATCTGCCTGCCTCAGCCTCCCAAAGTGCTGGGATTACAGATGTGAGTCACCGTGCCTAGCCTGCTTTCATATTTATTAACACATTATTTCCACTTTCCTAAGGATAGTTGTTGTTCAACCTTTACTAGCTTTTTTGTTGTTCATACTTAATACATTTATTTTTATTGTGCTATAGCTATTTCCCACATGTGATTTTTTTTTTTTTTTTTTGAGATAGGATCTTGCTCTGTTGCTGAGGCTGGAGTGCAGTGATATGATCATGGCTTGCTGAAGCCCTGAACTCCTGAGGTTGGGTGATTCTCCCACCTTAGCCTCCCAAGTAGATGGGATTACAAGAAGTACCACTATACCTGGCTATTTAAAATTTTTTTTTGGCGTGTGTGGAGATGGAGTCTCCCTATGTTGTCCAGGCTGGTTGCGAACTCCTGGTCTCAAGTGATCCTGCCACCTTGGCATCTCAAAATGCTGGGATTACACATGTGTAATATTTTTATTGTCACTATTTTCCACATATTCTGGAAATTTTATTTGGATTTCTTTTTTTTTTTTTTTTTTGACAGAGTCTTGCTGTGTCACCTAGGCTGGAGTGCAGTGGTGCAATCTCAGCTCACTGCAACCTCCACCTTCTGGGTTCAAGGAATTCTCCTGCCTCAGCCTCCTAAGTAGCTGGGATTACAGGCATGCGCCACCAGGCCCAGCTAATTTTTGTATTTTTAGTAGAGACAGGGTGTCGCCATGTTGACGAGGCTGGTCTTGAACTCCTGACCTCAAGTGACCTGCCCACCTTGGCCTCCCAAAGTACTGGAATTACAGGCATGAGCCACTGTACCCGGCCTGGATTTCTTTTTGACATAGAATTATTTAAGAGAAAGCTTTTAAATTTCCATGCTGTAATTTCTAGTTTTGTCGTGTCATAATCAGAGAATATAATCTGTAGCATTTCTACATTCTCTACTTTGCTTAGATGTTTTTAGGGTGGGGTGTGTAATATGTACTGAATTTTGTAAACATTTTATGGACATACAAATTTCAATGTTTACTTTTTTAGGCTATAGGCTTTGCTACATAATCTTTGTGTATTTTTTGGTCCTCATATAGATTTTTTAATTACCTTTTTGCTGTGATAGAGATTAGAAGGGTAAATTAATGTCTCATTTACCATCATTTTTCTTTCTGTATCTCTTTTCATTTCCTGATGCTTTGGCTTTATGAAATCTTTATGTATAAAAATTGTGCACACATATCTTTATGCACAGTGTTTTGGATTTTACCCTTCATAATGAGCTTTTTTCTCTCCTTTGAATTTGACCTGGCCTGGTGTTAACAGCCCAGGTGTAAAATTCCAGTGAGAAAGAAGTCTGATGAGGAGTCAGTAGGATCTTTGTGTTGCTGAGAACTGCTCAGTAACACGGACAGCTCCCTGCACTCCAGGAAACATCCTGATTCAGTGTCTTGAGTATTGTGAAGCACAGTTAGAGCAGAAACATGGAGAATCACCTTAAAATGGCAAATTGGCTTCTGGTCTTGCATAAGACTTCATTGAGGCCTAATGGGCTATGCAGGTCTACTGTCCAAAGTACAGAGGTTATTCCCAGTGTCTTTAATATTACTGTCCCTTTAGGCAAGAGTATCCTTATGATAAGGGAGACTGAATTAAGCTATTTTGGCTGAGGTATATTTTTATAAATTCATCCAATTAGCTTCCCTTGTTGTAGTTTTGGCTCACCAAACATTGTTCTGATTATAATTTAGCATCCCATATAATTTCATCTGCAGGGAGAGTCTGTACTAGGCATGGCAATGCTTACATGTCAGCCCGTGTGACTGCAAGAGTCTCAGTATAATTTGATAACATGGCACTCAGATTCTAGACATTATTCTCTGTGTGCTTAGTGAGTGTGATGACATAACCTTCAGAAAGATTCATCCTTTCTCACATATTGATAAATCAACTTTTACATCTACAAAGTTGAGAGCCAGAAATTAAAACCTGATTGATTCACTAAGGCATCCCTATGACGGCAGTCTTCCAACTAGCTCCATTCTGGGGCACTCTGACATCATTATACACTTTCCAATGAAAGCAGGGAGTGTATGTGATTAAAGGGAGAGCCCTGTGGCACTCCTGAAAAATCTCCCCTCCCAGTTCACAGTGACTTATTAACCAACACTCATGATCATGTGAAACTCTAGAACTGGATCTGGGTGCCTGGCAGGATGACATGGTGTGAGGCTCAAGCAGCACTGTGGGAATTCAAGCATCTGTTTATTTCTGAGAGACAAAGTGTAAAGCAAAATAATATCTTTTAACAAATGTTTGTATTTGACTAAAAAGGAAGCAAGCACTTAATTTATGAATTTGCTAATTGCTCTTCTGAGCTGAGAATATCTGTGTTGAATATTAGTCATTATCCATATTTGGCACAGAATAATCCCGAGGGCTAAATGACATTGTTCCTACAGTGGGCACCTGAAGACTGGCTATAAAAGCAATCCTGGCCAGGGGCGGTGGCTCACGCCTGTAATCCCAGCACTTTGGGAGGCCAACGTGGGTGGATCATGAGGTCAGGAGTTTGAGACCAGCGTGGCCAACATAGTGAAACCTCATCTCTACTAAAAATATAAAAAAATTATCTAGGCACGGTGGCAGACACCTGTAATCCCAGCTACTTGGGCGGCTGAGGCAGGAGAATCACTTGAACCTGGGAGGCAGAAGTTGCAGTGAGTCAAGATTGCGCTAATGCACTCCAGCCCAGGCGACAGTGTGAGACTCTGTCCAAAAAAAAAAAAAGAAGAAAAAAAGAGAAAGGAAAAAAAAAGGAAAAATAAATAAATAAGTAAATAAATAAATACATAAAAGCAACCCTCACACTACTGAGGCTATTGACAGTGGCACTTTGCTCTTCTGTTAGAACCTTGGGAAAATGTTTTCCCCCTGAATACAGTATAATAAACTTGGTTCTTATTTCTCTTTCTCTCCCCCTCCTTTTTTCTTCCCTCCCCACTACCACATGCACACACACAAATAGACAGATTTGTTTATATTTGACTTTCTAAAAACCTGTTACTAGAAAGGCACATTAATACATTTCTCCTGTGCTGATAGTAATCAGGCAACTCTGGTTTCTATCGGAGGCAATTTCTTACGTATTAAATGCCAGAAAAAGGGCATCCCTCCGTTTTTGTAGAGAGCCTTTCTTTATGAAGACTAATGACCACATTAGTTAGTCAGTCAGTCAATAATACTTACCAAATGTCAGTAGAGCCGAAGTGAACACCAACAGAAAATCACATTTTACAAATGCAATTTACCTGGTATCCTAACATGCCATGTCATAATAATTATTGAGGCTTTTCTTCTCTGCTGCATTGGTCTAATGAAAGTGGCTAGAAAAATATGGGTGCCCATGTAGCCTCCTGGAAGCACCTGTATGACTTTTCTAGAAGCGAGGTTCCTGGATAAAGATGAATTTTTAAAAGCTGGAATGAATGAGCAGCAATAGCAGAAGGAGAAAAGTGAGTGAGGGCTCTCCAAGAAGCCATCTGGCAGGCTAAGGGTTCTGAGGGAAGCTCTGGTTTCAGAAGCAACTCAGGAATTACTTCTGTCATATTAGGATGGGATGGTAGGAGATTGGGAACTCTAGGGACTAGAAGTCATTTAATTTCCTGTCTACAATCCTTAGAAGAGGTTTTGAGACTTGCAACCTAGGACCTTAACTAATCATCTTCCCTCAGCATTGATAGAATTCTTTATTATACATGTTAATATCAGATTAGTCAGGATGGGCTGGATTATGCTGTGTTAACAGCCATTCTCTAAATCTCTGTGGCTCAACAGGGAGCTCTGCCTGTCATGGTCACTTGGGACCCAGGCTTTGGGTATAAGGCTACAGCACATGGAAAACGTATGAATGTCTCTCAGATTCTTAAAGCTTCTGCTGGAAGTGACATGTCATTCTGCTCACAGTTCATTGGCTAAATGAGTCACGTGGCTCTCTCTAACTTCAAGGATGGTATGAAATTGCAATCCTACCATGTCTCTAGAAGGAGAACCAGCCCTAATCACAATGCTACATGTTTATAGCTTGCCTCATAGAGTTTACTGTATTCTCCTGGTATAATTTTCTTACATGCTCAACTGGAGAGGAAGCTCTTAAATAGAAAAAAATCACAGTAAATTTCCTTTAAAAGATCTATTTTACAACTCTGGCATGATGGAGCACAATGGAGTCCTTAGTAATGGACTCCATCTCTTCCATCAGATAAAATGTTGAGAACTGAAGTTAAAATTTGAATAATGAAACCAAAGGAAAAAAAAATTAAATGAATTTTAAGACAATTGAGATAAGAACAACTGTGGCATCAGCATAATTCAATTTAATAATGTATTAAATATTTTGCAGAAAAGTGAAAACAAATTGATAGCCAAATCAATGCAGCATTAAGCCACCATGTGGTCTAATTTCTTGCTGAATTGACAAAACAAAACACTAGTTTAGTTATATAAACATGGCTGATGTTTATACAAACAACAGAATTTGCCGGTAGCATTATCACTGGAAAATAAGATGTGTACTTAATTCTTGTATGTTCTGAGCCCATCTAGGAAGAACATAAAAGACGAAGAACAAAGCAATCACAGGATGTTATCATGAAAATATCACCTTTGGCTGGAGTAAAGTTTTGGCTAAATGTGGCACTAGTATTTATTACAGCTCACCTTTTTATAATGAAGGGCTATGGACTGAACATTCTTATTATTTCCCATTTTCTTACCACTCTATCCCAACACACATGCACATGCATGCACACACGCACACACACTGGCACCCACACCCATGCATGTGGGACACACAGAGCAGTCCAGGCAATTTCAATTGTTGGCAGCTTTGCTTTTATTAGGTATTAGTCTACCAACTTGCTTTCTCTTTAGAGAGACTAAGTGAAACCAAACTCATTTCCACCCAGTTATCCTGCTGGAACCTGTAACAGTTACTGTAATGTTAAAAGCAGTAAAACAAAATAAAAACCAGTCAGTTCACTTACTCCCGAAGTCCGCAGTTTGGTGTTCAGCTTTAAAACGTGCTCTGGGCGTCCTGTGGTGGCTACCAGAGGCTTTGGTGAGTCATTGTCAACCCAGTAGCTAGAGAAGTGCTGGAATGCCCCTGTTAAATACAGAGCCAGTTTGTCCTTCAGAATGGCTGCTTGAACGAATTTACTGCTCAACTCGAAAGGCCATTTTTTATAACCCACTGCAGTTGTGCTTCATGTGTTTCTCCACCTATCCTGTAAAGTGTATTGTGAAATTAATTTTGTAGATTTCCTCACACTGCAGTGACTAGGGAAATCACCCATTCATTATTATCTAATGAGGAGAAAGTGGAAACATCTAGAAGCACTGCTCCCATCCTCCTCCCCAGCCCACACAGACACCTACCTCAGGCCCTCCCTGTCCCAGGTGAGCAGAGGGCCCCACCTTCGGAGGTTGCCTCCCTTCCACCTTCACCAATCCTATGACCAGATTATCCCCAAGGAAATGTCAATCTCCAGGCAGCAAGGGAATCATATAAAGATAAGATCATTGAGAGATTTTTTTCCTCCGTGATTGGCAGTTTATATTTTCTTGGGTCTACAAATCTGACAGCATTTATTAAATTTTCTAGTTTGATACTGACCTCTGTCTGATGCTGGGCTGTCACCATGCCCAAGACTGAGGGGACCCACAGTCTAGCTAGAAGGCATGGATCAATTCCAACTGCCCTACCCCTAGCCTGTGTGCAGGAGAAAGCTCTCAGGCTCTGGCAGAGGAGTCCCAGGGGAAGGATGCATGATCTTCCACTGTGCCTCCCAGCCATGCTGAGCAGCAAAGCAGACCATGAGCAGGTCTCCCTTAAATTCATTTGCTTGATTTGTCCTTGAGTGTCCTTGGATGGGTTTGTTCCCTCCTTGTCCAGTATGTCTTGGTCATCCTGATTCCTGGGCTTGGCTCCCAGGTTGATTCTTTCCCTGACACAAAACAGGCACTATGGGCAAAGACACCTGCAGCCTTGGAGAGACCAGTGATGCTGGATGTTTCCTGTTAGCACTCAGGAAAGCTCAGAGCCTTTGATGAGCATCTTTTGATCCATTAGTTAAAACCACGCTGGGTTCTTTATAGTGGTTAGTTAGCTCTGGGCTATGGGATTGTGGAAGACATTTATTTCTTCTTTGGATTCACCTGGATTTTCTGCAACGGACATGTATCGATAAAATACATGGTGCTTTTCAGAAATTGCCCCATCATCATGTTGCTGTTGTTGTTATTGATATTGTTGTTTCTGATGGATAGAGATCTAGGCCTGACACTCCAAGCAGTGTGAACAGCATTTACCTTGATAAGCATTCTTACATCTTAACCCTCGGGAATTTTAAATAGAAGTGTTCCGTGTGATTAAATTAACAGGTTTAGAGATGGGTGTCCTGGTTATTTCCTTTGTTCTCCTCCTGGTAGCTGCCTGCACTCACAGCGTGTTGGGAATGGTGATTATAAATGTAACCATGCTCTCTTCTTGTAAGTGGAGAGCCCAGGTACCTCTTATCCAGCATGTGACCCTCTTTCTACCTCAGGATAGTCATACTCTTAGGCTTCCTAGATTTATTCAGGGCCAAAGGAGTGGTCAAGGTCCTTTTTGTTTTGCCCTATTCCCTTTGGAAAACATTTAGTTTATGCCCATGTTACAGATTGCAAAATACAGGCACATATTCTCACTAATGTGGTCTGCATGTCCCTTTGCAAGGACATGCAATGTGACTTCACTACTCCTTTCATCAAGAAAAGGAGCCTCTTGGTCAGGCACGGTGGCTCACGCCTGTAATCCCAGCACTTTGGGAGGCCAAGGCAGGCAGATCACGAGGTCAGGAGATGGAGACCATCCTGCCTAACACAGTGAAACACAGTCTCTACCAAAAAATACAAAAAAAAAAAAAAATTAGCCAGGCGTGGTGGTAGGTGCCTGTAGTCTCAGCTACTTGGGAGCCTGAGGCAGGGGAATGGCGTGAACCCAGGAGGCAGAGCTTGCAGTGAGCCTAGATCGCGCCACTGCACTCCAGCCTGGGCAACAGAGCAAGATTCTGACTCAAAAAAAAAAAAAAGAAAAAGAAAAGAAAAGGAGCCTCTTTGCCTCTTTACCCTAATCTGGGCAAGCCTTGCAACCTGATTTGCCAAAAAAATATGAAGGAAGCAATGTGATGTGATTTTCCAGGCTAGAATGTAAGAAGCCTTGGAGCTTCTGCATTTACTGTCTTCAGATGCTGCCTGAAACCACTGTAAGAAGCTCTAACCTACTGGAGGATAAGGGGTGAGCCCAAGAGCATCAAGGCTCCCATCAACAGCCAGTCCTGTGAGTGAGGCCATCTTGGACCTGCCAGCTCAGTAAACCCTTTTGCTGAACACAGCCCAAGGAAGGAACCCTTGCAAAATGAAATCATGTGGTCAGTTTGCAGGGTGGTTATTACACAGCAGTAGATGATTGAAAAGGCCCAGTGTCTTCCTGGGGACTGAAGCACCCACCTCCTGTTCATGTTGATACACGGTGAGCAGAATATGGATGTGGGAGTGGTGTTGGTTGCAGGTGAGGTAGAGAAGCACTGAACAGAGCACAAAGACCTGATGTTCCAGGGTCGGGAGTTTAGACTTGATCCTAACAGCGGCCATAGGCGGATTTAGGCAAGAGAGTAACGTGGTCAGATTTTCATTTTAGAAAGTTACTCTGACATCCATGTGGAGAATGAACTTGAAGGTCACAAGGCTGATGGAGCCAGGAAGACCATTTGGGAGGTGATCGTAGTAATCTACTTAAGAGTTCATTACGAGCTGGGGAATGGGGAGGTGTTAGAGAAGAGAAAATGGATTTGAAGAGCTGAGGGATGTTAAAAAGGCAAAACTGGGCCAGGGATGGTGGCTCACGCCTGTAATCCCAGCACTTTGGGAGGCCAAGGTGGGCAGATCATGAGGTCAAGAGATTGAGATCATCTGGGCCAATATGGTGAAATCCCCTCTCTACTAAAAATACAAAAATTATCTGGATGTAGTGGCACACACCTATAATCCCAGCTACTTGGGAAGCTGAGGCAGGAGAATCGCTTGAACCCAGGCAGTGGAGGTTGCAGTGAGCTGAGATTGCACCACCGCACACCAGCCTGGTGACAGAGCAAGACTCCGTCTAAAAAAAAAAAAACAACGGAAAATTGTTGGGACTTGTAATTAATTGGGTGAGGAAACTGAGTGGCAAATGGTCTCAGCTCTACACATGGAGAGCCCTGGGGACATAGGGAGAGCACATTTGGAAGGAAAGATGATGATTTTAGTTCTTAAAATTTTGTTTGTGGAGGAGGCATTCAGACAGAGAATTCTGTTGGGCAGTTTTATGTAGAGAACTACATCTAAAGAGGTCAGAAGTGAACTTCAATAAAATTGAGGTGACCAATGATCATCAGTTTTAAAGAGGACATATTTTCTTTTTCTGTTAAAGGGAACACACCTATGAGTCAGAAAGCCAGACATTTATTTTTTCTCGCCAAAGGTTATTGTACAACCTACGGAAGAGAGTGTAAACACTGGTCTTTAAGATGAATTGTAAAGCTCTAAAGAGAATAAGAAAAATTGTGTTTCATGATTTATGATGGATAACATTTTAGAGTTGATTTCATAAGAGAATTCATTAAGCCAATAGACAACCATGGCATTTTAACTGTAGTGTTTAAGTATCTTTAGCTCTGATTTTTTAATTAGCAGAAGCAAATAAAGAGAGCTTCATTTTAACCATGAGAAATCTCTCTTCTGTATTTCATGTGACTAAATTTGTCCAGATGCTGAAGTTCAAATAATCACAGTGATTGCCAACATAATGGTTAATTTTCTGAGAAGTAAGTTCATGCTTTGCCACAGTTTGCTCCCCTGTAAGATCAGACAGAAAAATAAGAATAAAACCGACTAATAGCTATTGATTGCTTCTGGAACAGCTATCAATATAAAGAGCCAGACAAAACACATAATAAAGAATTGTGTTAGTGCCAGAGAGACTTTAGAGATCATTTTCCCATCTCTTTACCTTCTCCTACTTCTTTCTGTCCCTCCACCCCACCAGCTCTGATACAGACACACAGGATATTAGTAAAGGATAGTATTTGTTGAGAGCCTTTTGCATGTCAGGCACTGCTTCTAAACGTTGTATAATACCAGCTCATTCAATCTTCAAATCAATGCTATACAGTAGGTACTCTTCTTCTTTTTTTTTAAAAAAATTTTACAGCTGAGGGACTGAGGTATGGAGAGGTTAGGTAACTTGTTCAAGGACACCAAGCCAGTCAGGCTGCCACTGGACCTAAGACAAGGTAACCTGGCTCTGAGACCAACCCCACAGAGAAGTATGTGGATGCTGACAACACTGTAGGAAGTTACAAGGAGCAAAAGAATAGCAGCCTCAGCCCTGAATTCCACTGTAAGCTTCCCTCTAATCTTCCCTGCCTCACTCTCAATCGAATAAAGAGCTGATCAGGAAGCAACTATGCACGGTCTTCCCCTCCACACCTCCAGCCCCAGCTCCCTTCCCCAGACTCAGTGCCAGCCTGTGCCAGCCCCCAAGATGGCAGTGTGGAGCCATGCACTAGGTCTGCCGCGCACCCAGCAGTCGGCTGTGGGTTCTTTGTATCTGTCAGAGTCCTGGCAGGAAATGGTTTCATTCTCAAAGGGTTAACTAGGAAGAATTTAGTGAAGGGTCAGTTTACAAGGTTCAGGAACTAACGGAAAATGGTGAAGCACCCAGGGACTGGCACTGGAGCTTCCCCACAGGAGCTGAGGCCAGAGAAGTATACATCCATTGTTGTCTTAAAGAGTGGTTAACTATCTATTTGCTCTTACTTTCAACATTTCTGCTGGGGCCTTGCATTGAGCAAACTCAACTGTAATCTAGAGAGCAGGGACTCCTGAGTGGCACATTCAGTGGGAGTCAGCTTCCTAGGGAATCATTTATTTATTTATTATTTATTTATCAGAGTCTCACTCTGTAGCCCAGGCTGGAGTGCAGTGGTGCGATCTTGGCTCACTGCAACCTCTGCCTCCCGGGTCTCTGTTCAAGCAATTCTCCTGCCTCAGCCTCCTGAGTAGCTGGGATTACAGGCACGTGCCCCCATGCCCAGCTAATTTTTGTATTTTTAGTAGAGACGGGGTTTCGCCATGTTGGCCAAGCTGGTCTTGAACTCCTGACCTTGTGATCTGACTGCCTCAGACTCCCAAATTGCTGGGCTTACAGGCATGAGCCACTGAGCCCTGCCTTCCTAGGGAATCTTGTAGGAAAGACAAAGGTAGAGAATCTGTCTGATGGCGGAAGCAAATGAATGCCCATCACATGCACTTTCCTCCAACAGAGCAACTCGGATGCTATGAAACAATGCTAAGTCAGTCTCAGTGTCTGTTGCAGTAATATTGTACATACTGTAGGTCTTAATCATAGGAAATTACATGCCCATTGCCCTGTGCATGGACCGGAGCGCACTTATGGGGGGCCGGTAGTCCTCCTTTCAGACATCTTTTTTTTCTCTGCCCCAACAAGTGGCCTTTCCATAGAAGACTGCCCAGAGAACCCTATGGCAACCCTACCCTCTTATTCCACTTTATTTTTCTTCAAAGTGTTTATTACTCCCTGTTGTTATGTTAGACTCTATATTTCTGTATTTGCTGTCCTCCAACTTGAAAAGAACCTCTGAGAGGGGAGGGACTTTCCTGGTCACATTCACTTGTCCCAGCACCTGCGATGGTGCCTGACATATCTCAGGGGCTCCTTAAATATTTATTGCTAGACAATGGGTATCATGGCTCAGCCTCCTCTGGGGTTATGAGGCTGGAGGAAAGAAACTTTAGCATGAGTGCAGTGAGAGTAAAAGAATTCAGCAGCTCTAATCA
Source organism: Homo sapiens (assembly GCF_000001405.40). Taxonomy (NCBI): domain Eukaryota; kingdom Metazoa; phylum Chordata; class Mammalia; order Primates; family Hominidae; genus Homo; species Homo sapiens. The sequence goes on along the minus strand of NC_000001.11, from coordinate 637,106 downwards.
GGGAATGAATCTGGTGTGTAATAGGATCTCAAGGCTTGACTCCTAGTCTAAGACCATTTCTGGAGTTTGCTGACTTGATCCCCATCCTTCATCATTAGCACTTTGCAGGGAAGGAGCTGAGCGTGGATCTTGACTCTGAATTGGCTGGGGCATGCAAAATTGGGGGCACGCTTGGTGTTGCCCAGGCTCAGCTCTGCCTAGACACACGTGAGGGCCAAGATCTGGTTTGTGTTTCATGAGCTCTCCCAGGATGAAGACCCAGCCAGGCTGTCTGAAGAAGGGGTGTTCTTGAGTAGGAGGGAAGGACTGCTCCAATACGAAAAATCTAACAATAGCATAGTCCTTAAGAGCTTGAGCTTTGAAGAGGGAGAACAGACCCATTTAAGGCATGAAAAATAAAGGAAACTCTTGAGTCCCTCCAAGGAAAATTCCAGCCACCTGGCTAGCCTCAAGAAGTAGATGAGCACCCTGATAAGTAAGAAGGTAATAATAGCTTAAAACAATAGTCAAGAAAATTAGAGCCACAAACTAATCTTAAATGACGAGTTAATGGGTGCAGCACACCAACATGGTACATGTATACATACGTAACAGACCTGCACGTTGTGCACATGTACCCTAAAACTTAAAGTATAATTAAAAAAAAAAAGAAAATTAGAGCCACAAAATGTTTGTTTCCCTATAGAAACTAGAGATAACATCTTAACATATGTCCCTGAGTTGTTTTGTAGAAACCCAGACCCCGCTAAATGGAAAATACCACCTGTTGGCTCGTAGATCTCAGATAAGGAGGAACTGAGGACTGAACACTCACAACTGTTCTTTGTTCTAAATTTCTTCCTGAGGGACCTGGAGGAAGTCACACCCACAGGCCAGAGCAGAACATTCCTTTCTGCTGACCCCAAGTTTGTAGCCAAAACTTAACCAATCACAAATCAGAAAATCTTTGGGTTTTTGTTTGTTTGTTTGAGACAGAGTCTCACTCTGCTGCCCAGGCTGGAGTGCAGTGGCACGATCTCAGCTCACTGAACCCTCTGCCTCCCACGTTCAAACGATTCTCATGCTTCAGCCTCCTGAGTAGCTGGGATTACAGGTGCACACCACCATGCCCAGATAATTTTTGTATTTTTAGTAGAGATGGTGTTTTGCCATGTTGGTCTGGCTGGTCTCAAACTCCTGGCCTCAAGTTATCCACCCACCTTGGCCTCCCAAAGCGCTGAGATTACAGGTGTGAACCACTGCACCTGGTCTCAAATCAGAAAATCTTTGAATTCATCTAATGGTCACCTATCCTGTGGGCCCTCACTTTGAGATATTTTGCCTTTTTTGGCCAAACCAATATGTAGCCTCCATGTATTGTATGACCTTGCCTGCAACCTCTGCCTTCCCACCTTTAAAAACCCTTACACATAAGCCATCAGGGAGATTAGGCCTTAAGGATTAGCTGCCTGATACTCCTTGCTTGCTGCCTGCAATAAATTCCTCAACTTCTGTCTCAGCAATGCCGATATCAGTGCTTGACTTTGATAGGCTGGGTGGGTGGACCCAAATTTGGTTTGGTGACCTTTTGAGCTTAGATTCAAAATTCTAGTTTTGTCACTCTGCAGTTTTGTGATCTTGAGCAAGTTACTTAACCTCTCTGAGCCTTGTTTGTCATGTGTAATGAAAAGAGCTATACTTACCTTGTGAGGTAGTCCTCAGGATTCAATGAGATAATAAGTACTCACTAAACAAAACTCGTTATTACAAAAGAATCACTTTGTCTCTGAAGTGGGCAATTCAACCCATTTCTAGGAGATTTTAAACATGATTTTAGATATTTGGTGTGATTTTGTGAATGGGTTTATCATTAATAGCTTTCATGCTCCAGAATTTTCTTGAATAATAGGTTTTTGCAAAGTGCATTCCATGGAATACTCATTTGGGTGATGTTAATAGACATCACTCAAAAGCTGGGTGAATATTACAATGTTTACTTCATCTGTAACAAGCTGAGTAGCTACAGTACATATCTAAGAGGGGGCTCTAATTCTCAATATTTTCCAAATTTATTAGATCACAGACTTTTCTTTTAGTGAAGTGCTTAATGAAACTTAAGTTCTGTGAAAAGTACTTTGAGAAATATTGCTTTAAAAAGAAAAAGATTGAGCCCTGTATCAGGGGAAATATCTAATATTTTAACCTCGAAGTACTCTGAGGCTTGTAGGAGGGTAAAATAGAGACCCAGTAAAATTGTAATAAGCAGTGCTTGAATTATTTGGTTTCGGTTGTTTTCTATTAGACTATGGTGAGCTCAGGTGATTGATACCCCTGATGCGAGTAATACGGATGTGTTTAGGAGTGGGACTTCTAGGGGATTTAGCGGGGTGATGCCTGTTGGGGGCCAGTGTCCCCCTAGTTGGGGGGTGGGAGCTAGGCTGGAGTGGTAAAAGGCTCAGAAAAATCCTGCGAAGAAAAAAACTTCTGAGGTAATAAATAGGATTATCCCGTATCGAAGGCCTTTCTGGACAGGTGGTGTGTGGTGGCCTTGGTATGTGCTTTCTCGTGTTACATCGCGCCATCATTGGTATATGGTTAGTGTGTTGGTTAGTAGGCCTAGTATGAGGAGGGTTGTGGAGTGGAAGTGAAATCACATGGCTAGGCCGGAGGTCATTAGGAGGGCTGAGAGGGCCCCTGTTAGGGGCCATGGGCTGGGTTTTACTATATGATAGGCATGTGATTGGTGGGTCATTATGTGTTGTCGTGCAGGTAGAGGCTTACTAGAAGTGTAAAAACGTAGGCTTGGATTAAGGCGACAGCGATTTCTAGGATAGTCAGTAGAATTAGAATTGTGAAGATGATAAGTGTAGAGGGAAGGTTAATAGTTGATATTGCTAGTGTGGCGCTTCCAATTAGGTGCATGAGTAGGTGGCCTGCAGTAATGTTAGCGGTTAGGCGTACGGCCAGGGCTATTGGTTGAATGAGTAGGCTGATGGTTTCGATAATAACTAGTATAGGGATAAGGGGTGTAGGTGTGCCTTGTGGTAAGAAGTGGGCTAGGGCATTTTTAATCTTAGAGCGAAAGCCTATAATCACTGCGCCCGCTCATAAGGGGATGGCCATGGCTAGGTTTATAGATAGTTGGGTGGTTGGTGTAAATGAGTGAGGCAGGAGTCCGAGGAGGTTAGTTGTGGCAATAAAAATGATTAAGGATACTAGTATAAGAGATCAGGTTCGTCCCTTAGTGTTGTGTATGGCTATCATTTGTTTTGAGGTTAGTTGGATTAGTCATTGTTGGGTGGTAATTAGTCGGTTGTTGATGAGATATTTGGAGGTGGGGATCAATAGAGGGGGAAATAGAATGATCAGTACTGCGGCGGGTAGGCCTAGGATTGTGGGGGCAATGAATGAAGTGAACAGATTTTCGTTCATTTTGGTTCTCAGGGTTTGTTATAGTTTTTTATTTTTATGGGCTTTGGTGAGGGAGGTAGGTGGTAATTTGTATTTAATATTTTTAGTTGGGTGATGAGGAATAGTGTAAGGAGTATGGGGGTAATTATGGTGGGTCATACGGTAGTATTTAGTTGGGGCATTTCACTGTAAAGAGGTGTTGGTTCTCTTAATCTTTAACTTAAAAGGTTAATGCTAAGTTAGCTTTACAGTGGGCTCTAGAGGGGGTAGAGGGGGTGCTATAGGGTAAATACGGGCCCTATTTCAAAGATTTTTAGGGGAATTAATTCTAGGACGATGGGCATAAAACTGGTTTGCTCCACAGATTTCAGAGCATTGGCCGTAGTATACCCCTGGTCGTGTAGCAGTGAAAGTGGTTTGGTTTAGACGTCCGGGAATTGCATCTGTTTTTAAGCCTAATGTGGGGACAGCTCATGAGTGTAAGACGTCTTGTGATGTAATTATTATACGAATGGGGGCTTCAACCGGGAGTACTACTCGATTGTCAACGTCAAGGAGTCGCAGGTCGCCTGGTTCTAGGAATAATGGGGGAAGTATGTAGGAGTTGAAGATTAGTCCGCCGTAGTCGGTGTATTCGTAGGTTCAGTACCATTGATGGCCAATTGATTTGATGGTAAAGGAGGGATCGTTGACCTCGTCTGTTATGTAAAGGATGCGTAGGGATGGGAGGGCGATAAGGACTAGGATGATGGCGGGCAGGATAGTTCAGACGGTTTCTATTTCCTGAGCGTCTGAGATGTTAGTATTAGTTAGTTTTGTTGTGAGTGTTAGGAAAAGGGCGTACAGGACTAGGAAGCAGATAAGGAAAATGATTATGAGGGCGTGATCATGAAAGATGATAAGCTCTTCTATGATAGGGGAAGTAGCGTCTTGTAGACCTACTTGCGCTGCATGTGCCATTAAGATATATAGGATTTAGCCTATAATTTAACTTTGACAAAGTTATGAAATGGTTTTTCTAATATCTTTTTGAAAAAGTCATGGAGGCCATGGGGTTGGCTTGAAACCAGCTTTGGGGGGTTCGATTCCTTCCTTTTTTGTCTAGATTTTATGTATACGGGTTCTTCGAATGTGTGGTAGGGTGGGGGGCATCCATATAGTCACTCCAGGTTTATGGAGGGTTCTTCTACTATTAGGACTTTTCGCTTCGAAGCGAAGGCTTCTCAAATTATGAAAATTATTAATATTACTGCTGTTAGAGAAATGAATGAGCCTACAGATGATAGGATATTTCATGTGGTGTATGCATCGGGATAGTCCGAGTAACGTCGGGGCATTCCGGATAGGCCGAGAAAGTGTTGTGGGAAGAAAGTTAGATTTACGCCGATGAATATGATAGCGAAATGGATTTTGGCGTAGGTTTGGTCTAGGGTGTAGCCTGAGAATAGGGGAAATCAGTGAATGAAGCCTCCTATGATGGCAAATACAGCTCCTATTGATAGGACATAGTGGAAGTGGGCTACAACGTAGTACGTGTCGTGTAGTACGATGTCTAGTGATGAGTTTGCTAATACAATGCCAGTCAGGCCACCTACGGTGAAAAGAAAAATAAATCCTAGGGCTCAGAGCACTGCAGCAGATCATTTCATATTGCTTCCGTGGAGTGTGGCGAGTCAGCTAAATACTTTGACGCCGGTGGGGATAGCGATGATTATGGTAGCGGAGGTGAAATATGCTCGTGTGTCTACGTCTATTCCTACTGTAAATATATGGTGTGCTCACACGATAAACCCTAGGAAGCCAATTGATATCATAGCTCAGACCATACCTATGTATCCAAATGGTTCTTTTTTTCCCGGAGTAGTAAGTTACAATATGGGAGATTATTCCGAAGCCTGGTAGGATGAGAATATAAACTTCAGGGTGACCGAAAAATCAGAATAGGTGTTGGTATAGAATGGGGTCTCCTCCTCCGGCTGGGTCGAAGAAGGTGGTGTTGAGGTTACGGTCTGTTAGTAGTATAGTGATGCCAGCGGCTAGGACTGGGAGAGATAGGAGAAGTAAGACTGCTGTGATTAGGACGGATCAGACGAAAAGGGGCGTTTGGTATTGGGTTATGGCAGGGGGTTTTATATTAATAATTGTTGTGATGAAATTGATGGCTCCTAAGATAGAGGAGATACCTGCTAGGTGTAAGGAGAAGATGGTTAGGTCTACGGAGGCTCCAGGGTGGGAGTAGTTCCCTGCCAAGGGAGGGTAGACTGTTCAACCTGTTCCTGCGCCGGCCTCCACTATAGCAGATGCAAGCAGGAGTAGGAGAGAGGGGGGTAAGAGTCAGAAGCTTATGTTGTTTATGCGGGGAAACGCCATATCGGGGGCACCGATTATTAGGGGAACTAGTCAGTTGCCAAAGCCTCCGATTATGATGGGTATTACTATGAAGAAGATTATTACAAATGCATGGGCTGTGACGATAACGTTGTAGATGTGGTCGTTACCTAGAAGGTTGCCTGGCTGGCCCAGTTCGGCTCGAATAAGGAGGCTTAGAGCTGTGCCTAGGACTCCAGCTCATGCGCCGAATAATAGGTATAGTGTTCCAATGTCTTTGTGGTTTGTAGAGAATAGTCAACGGTCGGCGAACATCAGTGGGGGTGAGGTAAAATGGCTGAGTGAAGCATTGGACTGTAAATCTAAAGACAGGGGTTAAGCCTCTTTTTACCAGCTCTGAGGTGATTTTCATATTGAATTGCAAATTCGAAGAAGCAGCTTCAAACCTGCCGGGGCTTCTCCCGCCTTTTTTCCCGGCGGCGGGAGAAGTAGATTGAAGCCAGTTGATTAGGGTGCTTAGCTGTTAACTAAGTGTTTGTGGGTTTAAGTCCCATTGGTCTAGTAAGGGCTTAGCTTAATTAAAGTGGCTGATTTGCGTTCAGTTGATGCAGAGTGGGGTTTTGCAGTCCTTAGCTGTTGCAGAAATTAAGTATTGCAACTTACTGAGGGCTTTGAAGGCTCTTGGTCTGTATTTAACCTAAATTTCTATAAGATTATTAGCATAAAAGGGGAGATAGGTAGGAGCAGTGTGGTAAGGGCGATGAGTGTGGGGAGGAATGGGGTGGGTTTTGTGTGTTCAAACTGTCATTTTATTTTTACGTTGTTAGATATAGGGAGTAGTGTGATTGAGGTGGAGTAGATTAGGCGCAGGTAGAAGTAGAGGTTAAGGAGGGTGATGATGGCTATGATGGTGGGGATGATGAGGCTATTGTTTTTTGTGAATTCTTCGATAATGGCCCATTTGGGCAAAAAGCCGGTTAGCGGGGGCAGGCCTCCTAGGGAGAGGAGGGTGGATGGAATTAAGGGTGTTAGTCATGTTAGCTTGTTTCAGGTGCGAGATAGTAGTAGGGTTGTGGTGCTGGAGTTTAAGTTGAGTAGTAGGAATGCGGTAGTAGTTAGGATAATATAAATAGTTAAATTAAGAATGGTTATGTTAGGGTTGTACGGTAGAACTGCTGTTATTCATCCTATGTGGGTAATTGAGGAGTATGCTAAGATTTTGCGTAGTTGGGTTTGGTTTAATCCACCTCAACTGCCTGCCATGATGGATAAGATTGAAAGAGTGAGGAGAAGGCTTACGTTTAATGAGGGAGAAATTTGGTATATGATTGAGATGGGGGCTAGTTTTTGTCATGTGAGAAGGAGCAGGCCGGATGTCAGAGGGGTGCCTTGGGTAACCTCTGGGACTCAGAAGTGAAAGGGGGCTATTCCTAGTTTTATTGCTATAGCCATTATGATTATTAATGATGAGTATTGATTGGTGGTATTGGTTATGGTTCATTGTCCGGAGAGTATATTGTTGAAGAGGATAGCTATTAGAAGGATTATGGATGCGGTTGCTTGCGTGAGGAAATACTTGATGGCAGCTTCTGTGGAACGAGGGTTTATTTTTTTGGTTAGAACTGGAATAAAAGCTAGCATGTTTATTTCTAGGCCTACTCAGGTAAAAAATCAGTGCGAGCTTAGCGCTGTGATGAGTGTGCCTGCAAAGATGGTAGAGTAGATGACGGGTTGGGCCAGGGGATTAATTAGTACGGGAAGGATATAACCAACATTTTCGGGGTATGGGCCCGATAGCTTATTTAGCTGACCTTACTTTAGGATGGGGTGTGATAGGTGGCACGGAGAATTTTGGATTCTCAGGGATGGGTTCGATTCTCATAGTCCTAGAAATAAGGGGATTTAAACTCCTATTATTTACTCTATCAAAGTAACTCTTTTATCAGACATATTTCTTAGGTTTGAGGGGGAATGCTGGAGATTGTAATGGGTATGGAGACATATCATATAAGTAATGCTAGGGTGAGTGGTAGGAAGTTTTTTCATAGGAGGTGTATGAGTTGGTCGTAGCGGAATCGGGGGTATGCTGTTCGAATTCATAAGAACAGGGAGGTCAGAAGTAGGGTCTTGGTGACAAAATATGTTGTGTAGAGTTCAGGGGAGAGTGCGTTATATGTTGTTCCTAGGAAGATTGTAGTGGTGAGGGTGTTTATTATAATAATGTTTGTGTATTCGGCTATGAAGAATAGGGCGAAGGGGCCTGCGGCGTATTCGATGTTGAAGCCTGAGACTAGTTCGGACTCCCTTTGACCTTGCTGAAGGTCAAATCTAATATATTAAACAAAAAAGTCCCACTGAAGAAAATCATCTTATTGTTCATAGACCTTAGTTTAGGTATTGGGGCCAAAGGATGGATGACCATTTCAAACGATCCAGGCTAAGCCAGGAGGAGAGCTCAAAGTCTGATCTGGTGAGTAAGTTGTGAAGGGAATGTGATGAAAAAGTACACTTCTATTGCAAAGAAATCATGAGCTAGGTTTATACGCTATGCTGTGAATGGCCAATAGATTATAAATTCAACAGTCTCCCTGTCACAGCTATGGTAATGACGACTGTTTAGGCCTTAGGGGAGCTTTAGGGAGAGGCAATTTCATACTTAAGTCACACTGACTTAAAAAGTGAAATATTTGAAATCATTGTTGAAATCACGTGGAGGTCGTCAGCAAGCGGATGAGGTTGGAATGCCTATCATTTTCCTCAAGCTCATGTCCTCTCATTTTCTTATTTGAAAATCTATTTGGCTCAGAAAGGACACCTAGGGTTAGTCAAAAATCACCTCCTGATGTTCCTTTTAAAGGAAGCTTCCAAGTTATTTGAATAGCTTCCAAGTTATTCATCGAGAAACAAAGCAAATTCAAAGATTATGTCCGTAGGCACAAACTGGATTTTAAGAAATCCTGGCTGCATAAACAATTGTCTTATAGAAAAGAATTTCTGTTCCTCTTTTCCCTCCCCTTGTCAATCCTATTTGTTTCAGACCTGGGTTCAAACACTAGCTGTAGAGGCTATAAGCTATTGGAAGCACATTTGAGCCTGAAATAAACTGAACCTCTTTTGCCTTGGTTTTCTCACTTGTAAATGGGAATTTTTGTGCCTACCTCAAAGGTACGTTGCAAGGATCGAGGGACAGAGCGTGCAGCAAGTGGCCAATGAATAGAAGTCTGGTTTTCTGAGCATCCTTGCAGCTGCAGGCTTCAGTCTACCAGAGAATGTGAGGTGTTATTCTTCTAGGGCAGTGGTTAGAAAAGAAAATGAAAGTAGCAGTACTCTTTTCCTAATGCAACCATAGATGATCAGAATTTGTAATCCATAAGGTAGAAGCTGCTGTGCCTGAAGAAATAGAAAGTGGGCAGAGGTGGAGGGGCAAGGTAGGGAGTGGAGTGGAAGGTAGGGAGAGTTTGATCCTAGCCTGCACTGCTCCTCAGAGGTACTTTAGCCTCTTTGGAACAGTATTAGAAAATCATGGTTCTATCAACTCATGTCTGAAAATCAATTGCTATTTCAGAGCAGGAGGTGACCAATCTTGGAAATAAGGAAGGGAGAGAGGCAGCCAAGCCAGCAGCTCCTAGGATTAGTCACTGCCTGGAGCCAGCTCTTGGAAGTTCCCCAGGAGCTGTCCAGTCTTATGTCATGTCTAGTCAGCAGAGTCCCAAAGAAGCTTGTCATTCTCTAGGCATTTGTGCTTACATTCTGATGGGCCTAATAGCAGGGAGATGACATGGAGCCCAGGCAGAACTGCTGAGATTTCTACTGGTCATGACCTCCATCTTCTCCTTCACACCTTTCCTACCTTTCTTTTTTCATGCATTCAACAGACATTTATTACCCAATAAGTGCCAGGTAGTAAGCGAGGACCTGGGGAGAGCAGATGAGTAAGACACCGTCTCTGTCTCTCAGGAGCTCTCAGATTCTTAGGGACACATGTACATCCTAATAAACACAGTGCATCTCATGAATGTGTAAGTTTAAGTTATTGATATAGGCACACACAGACAGAGGGACTTCGTTCCCTGCAGGTTCTGTAGTATTTCGTGCCCACTCCCCTTTCTTCCCTTGCTGCTCACATCATCCTGCCTTCAAGGAATCTGGGGGGATGGTAGACTGAAAGTGGCCCTTTCTGCATAATTCTTCTTGAAAATAAACATTTGCTCTCTTCTTAGAGGCTGACTATACTGAGAGCTACCACTCCTTGGCTGCTTATTAGCCATTGGGTTATTGCTAAGCCCTTTACATATGTTATATCATTTAATTGTATTGAATCTTCACCATAACACTTCAATGGAAATATTTTTCCAAATAAGGAAAGGTGAGACTCAAAGTAGTTGTATTAGTCTGCATTGCTATGAAGAACTACCTGAAACCGGGTAACTTATAAAGAAAAGAGGTGGGCCGGGCGCGGTGGCTCATGCCTATAATCCTAGCACTTTGGGAGGCCGAGGTGGGCAGACCACGAGGTCGGGAGTTAGAGACCAGCCTGGCCAACATGGTGAAACCCCGTGTCTACTAAACACACACACACACACACACACACACACACACACACACACCTGTAATCCTAGCTACTCAGGAGGCTGAGGCAGGAGGATTGCTTGAACCCTGGAGGTGGAGGTTGCATTGAGCCAAGATCACACCACTGCACTCCAGCCTGAGTGACAGAGCGAGACTCCATCTCAAAAAAAAAAAAAAAAAAAAGAAAGATGTTTAATTGACTCTATGTTCCACAGGCCATACAGGAAGCATGGCTTGGGAGCATGGCTGTACTCCAGCCTAGGCGACAGAGTGAGACTCTGTCTCAAAAAAAAAAAAAAAAAATCCCCATATCCCCATTCACTGTCCTTTTCTCTAGAAAATACCCCATTTCATATAACTGTCTAAACAATGGTTTAAGGTCTACACAAGATTGTGAAGTGAACCTGCAGGATTAGGAGGGTAAGGATTCCCACCTAGGTGGGCTCACTTGCTCTGCCATACCTGGGTAGGATCCCAGCCTGCTTCTGTGATTGTCAGGAGGCACCAAAAAGGCTACCCTAGGTTTTCTGTCATTCGGCCCAAACATTTCCTCTGCTGGGCAAATGTGGAAAAGAGGCATTAAGCTGGTGCTCCCACAACTGAAAGGAAAGCAATTCTCTTTCTGTTGTGGTTCCTTCCTCTTTGGACTCTTTTCTTCCATTCCAGCCTATCCCCTTCTTGGAAAAGCTGTTCTACCAATAGCAGGGAAGAAACAGCGCCGTGTACCTGATACGCTACCGTGGGCACAGGCGATCAGACCAGGGATAGACACCTGAACTGATCTGGGCAGATGCCCTCTTCTGGCCATTGAGAATTGACAGCATCAGACATCTAGAACATAATAGTATTTTTAAATTCTGCAGGGACATCCACCAGGCTGAGGGGGACCAATTTTGTTTTAAAAATGTATCCTGAACTTGGCCAGGCATGGTGGCTCATGCCTGTAATCACAGCACTTTGAGAGGCCAAGGTGGGCGGATCACTTGAGGTCAGGAGTTTGAGACCAGTCTGGCCAACGTGGTAAAATCCTGTGTCTATTAAAAAATACAAAAATTAGCCAGGCGTGGTGGTGTGTACCTGTAATCCCAGCTGCTGGGAAGGCTGAGGCAGGAGAATTGCTTGGACCAGGGAGGTGGAGGTTGCAGTGAGGTGAGATCATGCCACTGCATTCCAGCCTGGCCAACAAGAGCAAAATTCCATCTCAAAAAAAAAAGTATCCCAAACTTGGAAGTAAAAATAGGATGACTGCACGTCTTTCTAATGCCATACTGGAAGGTTGCCTAACAAACCACCAAAGCTTTTTTTAACTCTCTAAGGGAAGGTACTTTTGTTTGACTTACTATTTACTATTGATTAGGGCCCAGACTCTGCCAAGTTACATGTTAATTTTTGTCTGGTAGAGATACAAATGATTTTTGTCCTGTAAAAAGATTTTATTGCTCCACAGGACATTAATGAGTGAGGTTTCCAAATTAGCAAACTTATGTCAGCATGCTGTTTCTGATGGTCTATCCAAATCTTTCTCCTTCCAATTCTCTTTTCAAACAGCTTTACCATCCTCTGGTTCTTTCTTTTGTGAAGTAAACAGATCTTTATACACACTCCCTATAGACTTATATAAGAATCATGTTTTCACTTTTTGAAAATGATGCTTTGACAATTCCACTGAACAGGCTGGGGAAAATTTTATGAGAATTGTTGGATCCTGCTCAGAAGCAAAAAGATAAAACCAGGCTATCCTCTATCATGGCTGATCTGGGGTTCATTCCCAGAAATGAGGGTCTTGGATCAGGGTCAAATATGTGGGTGGGGTGGGCTCAATTGCTGAGATACCCATCTCATGAGGAAGGATGGGACCCATATTATGGGAAACAAAACAGGAAGAATGAGAGTGAAAAGATTAATCCTTTCACTAAATTGGGAAAACAGGAGAAAGTGTTGTTGGATAAAGAAGGAACTTTAGCACAATGAGCAGAGACAAGACGGTAAATGTTCCTTATCCAGTAATCTCTGATGAAAGGCCAGTGCTCACATCATTAGTAATGTCCAGAAATGATAATATCAGTAGTAGCAATACTCACAATGTAAATAAGTAGCTCTCATGTTTTGATTGCCAATAGTGCTAGCAACCTTACATGTATCACTCTTTACCCCAGCCCTGTTAATTGGTACTATGATGAAGAAAGAGACTCAAAGAAAATAAATGACTCACTCGCGTATTTTTACACAGCTAGAATTGCTACAGAAAGGATTAAAGCCAAGTCTATCCAAATCCACTGTCTATGTCCCTCCCTCCCTCCCTCCCTCCCTTCCTTCCTTCCTTCCTTCCTTGCTCCTTCCTTCCCTCCCTTTCTGCCTCCCTCCCTTTCTGCCTCCCTCCCTCCCTATCTCAAACATCTATTGAGTGTCTACCATGTGCCAGGCACTGTGTCAGGCTCTTGGGATACAGCAATAAGCCAAGTCCTTGCTTTCAGGGAGTTTACATTCCAGTGAGAGGGTCACAGAAACAAATGTATCTCTATGGCAGCAAGTGCTATGAAGAAAATCAGCTTCATTTTTATTGTTTCATGCCCATCATGCAGGTTTCCCACAGTCCATCATCCCCACTCCACCCCCCACCCAATGTAGTGCTTTCCTCTGTCCTGGAGAATCGGAAAGACTTCACAGCAACATCTGCAGTCCCTTTGTTTCAGTGACTTTGGCACAGAGAAGTGGACACGGTGGCAGACAAAGCTGCTGGAAGCTGTCAGGCTACTGGCAGCCAAAAGCTTAATCACACATTCCAAAGACAGTGTGTGTGTGATGTTGCATCTCTGGCCCTGGAAGGGAGATAGAGGTCACCTTCTTGGGAGTCAGAGTTGGCCCCTCAGCTCCCAGGGGTTCAGCTGAGCAGCTTCAGAGGGCTGACTGCAGAGACCAGGAAGGGGCCATTCACTCTGATGGGAATTGGGAATCATTGATGCTCGAGCAACAGCTGAGTTAAAATTCATGCTAAGAAATCAGCATTCACATGTGTACATATTTAAGTCAGGATCTCAGTGAAGAGGGCATGACAGCAGTGAAAAGAGGTGCCAGACCTGAAGTAGGCTACCTTATGGTTGCTGCTTCACCTGTTGCTCTACACACACACACACACACACACACACACGATTCCAGAAGATAGTGGGACAGTAGCAATTTGAAGGCTCTGCCAGAAAAGCATTTGCTTAAAGTGTTGGGAATTTTTTGTTGGATTGTTGTTTCATTCATAGGGCTTCTAAATTTCACTTTTGCATTTTAACCATTTCAAGGAATTCCCCCTGATTTTGAGTGTGAATGGGTACAAAAGACCAGGGGTTGTTAACCAAAAGCCTGGAACATTCAGGTGAACGGCTGTTCTGCAGGGAAGGAGGGAAACAGCAGGGTGAGATGGATGGTCAACCTTCAAAGGCCTTACACAGTCCTGGCCAGGATAATCTTCGCCTCTCCCTTCTGCTGGGGAAAAGTCTGGATTGCTAAGACCAGGGTCTCTATAGTGGCATCTCCAACACTCAGGCCGAGCTTCATGGCTGGGTTCCTGTTTTTTCATTTGCTCATGCCCCTCAGTGGTATCATCTGACTCAGCTCCTTTCCCTCCTGTTGGGCCAGTACTTACAGTGGGTCTCCTGATGAAGCTGAGGTCATGGGTTCATGAGCCCAATTATCACCATGCTGACCGCACCACTAACCTGGCTCCGTGTAGTTGCAAACTTGGCTGCACATTGGAATTCCTAGGGAGAGTTTTAAACATCCCAACGACCAGGCTGCAATGAAATAAGACCGATGAAATCAGGATCTCAGGGGTGGAATGGGACTGGTAATTTACAGAATCTCTCCAGCTGATTCCATATTCAGACAAGTTAGAGCACCAATGCCCTCAGTCCTGAGAGTGAGGGCTGGTCTCATGAATCCATTCACACAGATGGAAGTCCATCCTCACAGCGGTCAGGCCTCACACAACATCGGGCATGTTGGTAGGCATATGCCTAAGTTTCTGTGCAATGAATGCATGCCTTACTGGTGATGCATCAATAGCAAGGCATTCAGGGGAGAGAGTACCCTGCCTCAGTGCCTAGCATGAGACATACATCCAGGACCATGTTTTTATTCCCATCTTATGGATGAGAAAACTGAGGTTCAGAAAGGGTAGGCAAAATCCCCTAGCTCACCTGGCTGGAAGGGGGCAGAACTTCCCTGTACGTGCTGAGAACACCACTGTTCGAGCAGAGGGGAAACCTCTGCAAATTTCACTCTGTGTTCAGTGGGTGACTTGCCAAAATGACTTGCCAAAGCCCTTTAGGGCCAATAAATTAGAGTGTTTGCATCAAATTTCCATGCACAAGAGCCAACTCAAAACCTTAGATCCAATTCCATTGGTTCCCATAGCTCTGAAGTGGAGAGATGCTAGTAATAAATCCTACAGGCTGATGGCAGGACTTTGATATATAATATTAACTCTGATCTTGGTGGTGGTCTGACTCAAGACAGAGGGAATATTAAAAGCAGTAGTAATCCTTCTAAAAGTTCCATGCGCTTCTGCCCAGATATCCAGGGTTTCTGGCTGAATTAGCCTGCAGAAGCAATTGTGCAGATTAGGTGATGTTGAACCACGAGAAAGTGTCTTCCCACTTAGCAAATCAAGGGTCCATGGGATGGAGAGAAAGGAGGGAATAGAGTTTGTCACTTGGGCTGTACTGACCCCAGTGGTGATGTCTTCCCTTTGATGGGTGGTGTTGGGACAGCAAGGCAGTCATCATTTAGCCCACTAGTGCTAAGGCGGAAGGCATCCGCAGTGCATGGTCTGGCATCCCCAGGCAAAGACAAGAGGATGGGCCCTGCAGAGTGTTTTGGGTTAGAAACAAGCTGAGTGAACTGAGTGTTTCTTCAGGGAGCGCACTAAAGATGAGCCGACAAATCCACGACAGTGGGGAGTGAGGTGAGGCAGGGACACAAATCCACAGCTGACTCACCCAGCACATTCCCACCTCCTCAGCATAGAAAACCACAGGGACAAACTGACCAGAAGGCCATTCATCCATGGGTCTATCCCGTGCCTTGATCAGTCTTCCTAAATCCCACCTTTGCCAAAGTCACTCCAGTCTGTGAATTTTCCATGGCTTCCTGATGCATATGGAAAGACGTTCAGACTCCCAATCTGAGGTCCAATGCTCTCCAGAATTCCATCTTTCCCTACCTTCCTGGAATGATTTCCCATTGACTTGCCATCTACCTGGACAAGCTGGAATGGCTGCTTTGGCTGTCTTCTGAAAATGCCCTGAGGTGTCTCTGCCCCAGGCCTGTCTCCTGTGCCCCCAGAGCTGCCCAGGCCCCTGCTTCCTACAGAGACCAGCTCACAGTCTTCTTGTCAGTGGTCATCTAACAGTGGTCTTGTAAAAGCAGAGCAAGTTCCAATCTTATTTATAGCATTCAGCAGTTTTTTTTTTTTTTAGAGCTGGTGTCTTGCTCTGTTGCCCAAGTTTGAGTGCAATGGCTCAATCACAGCTTCACTGCAGCCTTGAACTCCTGGGCCCTAGTGATCCTCCTCTTTCAGCCTCCTGAGTAGCTGGGACCACAGGTATGCACCACCATGCCCACCTAAACACAGTCTACCTTTATGTGTGTGTGTCCATCCATCACCAGATGCTCACGGAAGGTAGGGCAGAAACATTTTGAAAAATAATTTTTACCTTTGAAGAGTAATCTTAATGATAACCTAGCAGGTGCTCAGATACATCGGGTCGATTCACTTCCTATGGCTGTGTAACAAATTACCACAAACTTGGTGATTTAGAGCAATGCCCATTTATTATCTCAGGGTTTCTATAGGTCAGAAGTTTGGGTGTTGCATGGCTGGATTGTCTGTTTAGGATCTCACAGGGTTGAGATCGGGGTAGCCAGGGTTGCTTCTCATCTGGGGCTCCAAGTCCTCTTTGCAAGCTCACTGGTTGTCAGTAGAATTCAGTTCCTGTGGTTGTAGGACTGAGGTCCCCATATTCTTCTTGCTGTTTGTCAGTCTGGGGTGCTCCCAGCAACTCAAGGCCACTCTCAGGTTGTTGACACAGGGTGCCAACATCTATCTTCAAAACCAGTAGGAGGATTTCTCTTGCACTGAATCTCTTTTGCATCTCTGACATTCTCAGTCTCTGACCTCTAGATCCAGATTTAAAGGGTTCACTTGATTCTGTCAGACCCACTCAGGACAATTATTTTGTTGTGCGTCCCTTTTTCTGGGAAGTGGGTCTACCACTTCTATCACGTTCTTAAAAGGGTCTGGGAATGTTCACCCATCACAGACATCCACACCAGGCCAGTTAAGTCAGAACTGCTGGAGATTCCACATTCTCCTGGGCAGCCTGGGTGGAGAACCACCTATGTGGAAGGAACACTGGGCTCCAAAGATAAGGGGCCTTGCATTTTATTTCATTACCAGTGTCTATTGGCTCTGAGACCTTACAGAAATCACTCAACTTCTCAGGGCCTCATTTGCAAACACGGATGATAATAGTAAGCTCCATCTCTCACGGTTGTTAGGAGGATTAAAAGTGTATAAAGATGCTCTGCAAGCTCTGAAGTATTAGCCAACCGTCTAGTCAGTGTGAAGAGACACTGAAAAGTGAGGTGGGACACAGCATTTTAAGTGAAAAAGAAGGGAGAAGCTTATCTTTATCAAAGTTAAATATTAGATACTGAGTACTTTGTAAAGTCTGTTGCTGCTGGGGATCAGGCAAATTGTTATAACCTTCCTGGAAGGCAATTTCCCATAATTATCAGCAGTTTACAGAATATCCAAGCCATTTGACCCTAAGATAATGTTTCTAGGGATTTCTCTTAAGGATTTAATCAAGGACACATACACAGATTATAGCAGTTCAAAATTGGAACCCATCTATTTAACAATAAGGGATTGTTTAATTACACATGAAATATTATTTAAACGTGAACATTATATTGCCTTTAAATATTTGACATGGAAAGAAGCTTAAAACTCAGTCCTATTTCCTTATCAATGTTCTATCAACAAGGGGCAGGAGGTGTCACCTCCTTGGGAATCAGAGTTGGCCCCTCAGGTAGGTGTTTGGAGCTTCCTGGTAGGGGCTGGGGACAAAGTGTGGATGGGGCACCTGCTGGACCTGTGGCGAGATCATCAGGGGTTGCTATTGGTCTCAGCAAGGGAGTGAGGCTGACCAGTTCTCAGCTGCATTTCAGAGAAGGATGAAATGCCCTAATCAGAAGTCAGCTCCCCTCATGACCCTGGAGGGAATTCTGCCCACTCACAGACTCTTTCTTATTCTGGGCCTCTGCTGTTATCTGGGTATAGCTCCCTGTCACAGTCAGTTTGGGGACTGATCCTCCAGGAAAGTCCTGGGACCTCTCGGCAGGCTGAGTGCTTCTCCTTTGTGACTCCCCTGCCATGGCGGTTGTGCCCCTTCTTACCTTCTACAGACACGACTTTTCATGGGCCTCTTCCTTTCTCCCCACCGGTAAATCACCACCCTTCAAAGGCAGGAACTGTCTCTATTTCATCTTAGTATCCTACGGGCCTGGCCCAGAGTAGATGCTCCAAAAAACTTGTCCTGAACTGAATGGGCGTGAAGCTGGGGCCTGTTGCACTGTGTTGTTGTGGGGCGGGGTGACTTCCAACCACACTGGGAGCCATCTCCCTCTCTCATTCCGAGGGAAGAGTCCACAGCACAGATGGGCGCAACCCAATGTCAGGAGCTGACACTGTGATCAAAGAAAATCATTTCCATTGCTCCTGTAGACGAAAAGAGTCAAACTCAGTAAAATATTTGAAGAGATGTATTCTGAGCCAAATATGAGTGACCACGGCCCTTGCCATAGCCCTCAGGAGGTCCTGAGAACATGTGTCCAAGGTGGTCGGGGTACAGCTTGGTTTTATGCATTTTAGAAAGGCATGAGACATCGATCAAGTACATTTAAGAAATACACTGGTTTGGTCCAGAAAGGTGGGACCAAAGCAGGAGGAGAGGGGCGCTTCCAGGCTATAGGTAAATTTCAGTGAGTTTGTCTAAAGACCTGGGATCCATAGAAAGGGAATTTTCAAGTTAAGATAAAAGATGGTGGAGACCAAGGTTCTTTTGAAGTCTTATAGAGGCTGTCCTCAGAGACAATAGATGGCAAATGTTTCCTATTCAGATCTTTAAAAGGTGCTAGACTTGGCCAGGCACGGTGGCTCACGCCTGTAATCCCAGCACTTTGGGAGGCCCAGGTGGGTGTGGATCACAAGGGCAGGAGTTTGAGACCATCCTGGCCAATGTGGTGAAACCTCATTTCTACTAAAAATATAAAAATTAGCTGTGTGTGGTCGTGGGCGTCTGTAGTCCCAGCTACTCAGGAGGCTGAAGCAGGAGAATCGCTTGAACCCGGGAGGCAGAGGTTGCAGTGAGCCGAGATCATGTCACTGCACTCCAGCCTGGGCGACAGAGTGAGACTCCGTCTCAAACAAAAAAAAAACAAAGTGCTAGACTTTCAGTTAATCTCTTTAGGATTGGGAGGGCCTGGAAGAAAAATATCTAGCTATGTTAATAGAGATTCTTTACAGATACAAATTTTCCCCCACAAAGGACAGCTTTGCAGGGCCATTTCAAGATATGGACAAAAAAGCCTATGTTTTGGGGTAAAATATTTTGATTTTCTTCCTTGTCTCATAATGTTATGACAGAGTCAGTTTGGAAAGTAAGTCACAATATATAGGGTTAAATAAAATCCATCTGATGAGAATTTATGGTTTGTAGGACATCACTCCCCAGACCCTTTAGATAGGGAATTTGGGTAAGATAAAAAAAAAAATCAGAGCTTAGTCTTCACTTGCAAGAGTGCCCCTGTGTTCCTCCACTCTCCATCCCCAAGCTGGGCTGGGATTTCTTGAGCCAGATGAGTTGAAGATGCTGCAAAGTTAAAATGGCCTTGCCTTCCTGTGCAGTCAGATGGAGCACCCCCTTCCCTCATCTGGGCCTGCTGAGTAGGGTCTCACTGATCCCCGCACTGTGTGTCCCTTAGACCTTTCCTGAGACCCAGCCCTTCCCCCGGTGGAAGGGAGAATTATTTGAAAAGTGTGGGTTTTGGTGTCAGACAGACTGGGACCCAGGTCTAGGCTACTGAACCAGTGAGCTGTGTGGCTTTGTGCATGCTATTTAGACACTCTGAGTTTTAATTTCCTAATTTCTAATTGCCAGACAGGTTGGTTGGGAGGAACAGCTTAGATTGACCTATGAAAGCATTTGTAGACTCGGAAGTGTTCTCATGGCACTTTGGATGAAATCGTTCCTGCTGCTTCAAACTACTGTGTGATGAGTTTCCAAAAATCATTGCCTGTGATCTGCAGGCTCGTTGTATGTCACAGATCACCAGATGTGCTTCCATTCCATGCTTGCTTCTGCAGTCCTGTTCTAAGCTCTGGCCTAATATTCTTCCCGCCCACGGAGCTCTTGCCACTGCCTCACCGCAGAGACTGGAACCCTGTCCTTTAACTCCCAGCTCAGAGTGTAGGGAAGTGTTTCTCAAAGTATTCTCTGTGTTATCTGCTTCCAAATTGCCTGGATATTGGTTAAAAACCAAACCTCTGGTTCCCCTTCCAGACTGAAGGATGAGAATTGGCTGTGGGAATGAGTGGGAATCTACGCTGTTGTGAAGTTCCCCACAGGGATCTCCTGCATCTTAAGGCTCAAAGGCCATGGACCTAGCCCCTGGATACTGGGCATAGGCATCTCAGATGCTGTCTGTTTCTTCACTTCCCTGACTGGCCTGGGCTCTGGGGTTGGGCCCTTCTCATTTCTGGATTTGTGATACTTGTCTTGTATCCCCTTTTATCATAGTGTGCTTTTGCTTACAAGTGAACAAAAACCCAATCCAAAGTGATTTAAACAAAAAGAGCACTTATTGTAAAAGTTCAGAATAAACTGCCTTCAGGCATGGCTTGATCCAGGGGCGCACACTGTGTTACCAGGAGGCAGTTTCTCTCTGCCTCCTCACTTGGCTACATTTTTCTCTCACTTGTGCATCCTGAGCCATTCACAGAGCTCAGGAGGATGAGTGTTCTGATGGAGCAGGGTATGCTGGTGGTTAGTGCCATCAAAAACAGAATGAGATAATGATATGGCTCAGATGACTGGAGGAGCACCAGGGTTCTTGGTCTAGCACACACTTGGATAAAATGACACAGACACACCTGGAGTGGTTTTAAGGAGCGAAAAGTTTAATATACAAGAAAGAAGGAAGGAAGAAGAAAACAGCTCCCCAGTACAGAGACAGAGGGAGAGGGGATTTGAACAGAGAGAAAACCCCGGTGGGGAGAAGGGATGTGGGGGGAGGGCGTGTGTGTGGTGTAATCAGCTAGTTATATGAGGAGGCTGGAGGAGGCGGTGCTGGCTTGCATAGGGCTCAGAGGATTGGTTTGACCAGGCAGGTCATTCACATAGCCTGCGAAAAAGCTGGCCCTCACAGTCTAGCCTTTTAAGATGCAAATGCAGGGCGCCATGATGTTCTACACACGTGGGGATATGTGGGGGCGGCCATGTTGCCAGCCACCTGTTGGGGCAAGGAAGAAACCTGGAATCTCCATGTTTGGGTGGACTCAGTTTCCAGTGGCCTGCGTTTGCATATCAAAGCTTGCCAGTGACTCTTAGAGCTGGCGCTCTCCTGTTAGACAAGAAAGGTTTCTGGATCTGCTTTAAAAGAAACAAAAACTTCCCAAGGACCTCTTTTCCTCTCTATCTGCCTAAAATAATTTCTTAATAACTCCTATAACAATAAGGGGGTGGTCCATTCCCACATGTAAATTGAGGCTTTTCCCAGAAATAGGGTGAATAGATGCTGAGTTACCCCAGTCAGCAAATGTCCATTTATCTCATTTGTGAACTCTGGACTCTGCACAGAGACTGTGGTGACACAGGCTGTCCTGTGACCCTGTGGCTGGGTCAGCTCCTGTGTCTGCGACAGGATGCCCTGAGTCCCCATGGATTCCTCAACCCCACACCCTGTCCTACTCTTAGCCAAGTCAGCCATGCCCCTCTGAGGGCTACGCTGCTTCAATAGGCCTGGCTTCCTAAGTACCTTTCATTATCACCCAGGCTCATACCCAGAAGCAAAGCAGAAATTTCTTTTGAGATCCAGGGTGGGAAATGGTCAGTTGAATTGAGTTGCAACCGAAGGTGAGGAAACGTCTTTTATGAAAACCCATTTCCCTCTGTCGGAGGTGATTTCAGTCACATTTTCCAAGCTCAGGATAATTTACCCCCTACCAGGGTGCACTGCAGAAGGTCTGGCTGGAAGGCCCTGAGCACAGGAGTTGATTGCTAGCTGCTAAGAGGCTGCGCTTTGTTCCTGAAGGAGAAAGCTGCAGGTTAAGAGAACATTCCCCACCTTGCCAGGGGTGACAAAGCAGGGGACTGCTTGAGGGCTGACACTGGAGTTAGAGATAATGAAAGGAGAGGAGGAAGAAGAAGCCAGGGCCTGGCTCAGCATCTCACCGCATTGGTGGGGAGAGGAGCTGCTCACCTTCTCGCACCTGTTGTTGGGCTGAGACAGATTTTCAGAGAGCAATGCCTCCTGGACAGAGGCTCTTCCCCACAGGGCAAATGTAATTAGATGAGAGAAAAACAAAGCTCTGAAACCCTAATTAGGTGCCAAGCCCTCAGGCTTTATACATCTAAACAGCTAAGGAACAGAGGATAAGATTCTCCAGTCGGCACTCCCTTGCCAGTCCTGGCTGAGCTAATGGTGAAGTGAGAGCTGTGCCACAGATCCCATGGTTGGCTTTTTGTTGTTGTTATTTCAGATGGAGTTTCACTCGCCACCCAGGCTGGAGTGCAGTGGTGCAATCTTGGCTCACCACAATCTCCGCCTCCTGGGTTCAAGTGATTCTCCAGCCTCAGCCTCCCGAGTAGCTGGGACTACCAGCGCCCGCCACCATGCCTGGCTAATATTTTGTGTTTTTAATAGAGACGGGGTTTCACCATGTTGACCAGGCTGGTCTTGAACTCCTGACCTCAGGTGACCTGCCCACCTCAGCCTCCCAAAGTGCTGGGATTACAGGCGTGAGCCACTGCACCTGGCCCCGTGGTTGGCTTTTACTCCTTCCATTCTGCCACCCTGAAGCTGATCCTCTGGAATTTGCTTGTTTTTGGTGTGTCCAGAAATGAAGGTCTATCAGTTCTTGAAATTGGGTTGTTTTAAGTAACTGATGTGCTGGGATGACAGTGAAGAAGACAAGATAGGGATTCCTCTTCCTAAACTTTAGGGCCTGAAGGGACTCCTCATTGACAGCAGATGGGATTTTTAATTTCACTCTGGGATGGAGGAAGTGGAGAGGTGATCCAGGCTGGATTGAAATCTCTCAAGCCTGGGAGATTTTGCCCAAAGACTTTTGACATGGGAACAGTAGAAACATTGGGAAAATTGGACTTTCAGGTCAGCATTCTGGGTATTTCCCCAGTCTTCCCAGGGTGGGATCATCTGGCCCCAGTTATGGGAATAAGACCACATAAATAGAAGATGACTTGGGAAGTCATCTTCCCAAGGTGTCAGGGAGGAGGTGGAGGACCACTGTTCTGATCAGCCTCCTTCAACCTCACAGTGGGGTTGGTCTCAGATGGTGCCCAGGAACCTGCCAGCAGTGGCACTTTGATGGCACCAAGATCGTGGGTGCAGGGACCCAGATTTGCTTCCTACTCATGTCTCCCTACCCACTGAAAAATGGAATATCAGTGAGGAATATCTTAGAGGGCTGCCTTTGCTCCTTTTGCCAGAGAACCAATATTGGTTATTAACAATTGGGCCACATCTGGTGTGCAGAAAAATGAATATTTTAATAGTGCTTCATAGGATATCGTAGCATCTTATAAAAAGTGGCCCATCAAATTATTGATTCAATCATTTAAAATGCATTAGCAGAGGATGCCTATCAGACTAAGACATCCATGTTTCTGATCCAGTGAAAAGGGTCCAGGTAAGGAACACATATGAAGCCTCTTGGCATCCTTGTGTGAGCACGGTGCATGACGTGGCCATCAGTATCATTGTTTTCTTTGAGTTTTTGCTTGAGTGTTGAGATGTGTGAGGGATAGAAGATCCTTGTTTGCTTCTAGTCCTGACCTACACTGTCCATTAGGGAAATAATTTGTTTTCTTGAACCCATTATATGAATAATTTTGTTTTTAATCAATAGAAACAAATGGTCTTTATTTAACTAACAGAAAAAATTCCAATGAGGCCAGGCCACATAGGGGTTTCTGTAAATGTCATATCATTTCTCTTCTGTCCCCTCAGCTAAGAGTATAAAAAGTTCAGGCGACCTCCAGGGGCTTTTGCCTACTTAAATAGTATTACTTAGAGATGAGCTAGTACTTGGTTTTAAAAGTAATTTTTTTTTTCTTTTTTGAGACGGAGTTTCGCTCTGGTCGCCCAGTCTGGAGTGCAATGGCACAATCTCAGCTCGCTGCAAGCTCCACCTCCCGGGTTCAAGAGATTCTCCTGCCTCAGCCTCCCAAGTAGCTGGGATTACAGGTGCCTGCCACCATGCCTGGCTAATTTTTGTATTTTTAGTAGAGACGGGGTTTCACCATGTTGGGCAGGCTGGTTTCAAACTCCTGACCTCAGGTGATCCGCCTGACTGAGCCTCCCAAAGTGTTGTGATTACAGGCGTTAGCCACTGCTCCTGGCCCTAAAAGTAGCAGTTCTAAGCTTTGTACTTACGACACCAAAAACATACAGACTGACATCTAAGTAATTAAGTCAATCATTAAGATATTTAGTTATGTCATGCAAAATAATAATCTCCAAGGAGTTCTTAAAGAATTCAGTAGTTTGATGTTATTGCCAGCACAGCCTTTACTGAGTCCTCTTATAAATCTTAAAGAAAAATTTAAGATTTTTAATTTTTAAAGATTTAAAAATTTTTAATTAAATTTTTTTTTTAGGGCTGGACTCTTGGTCTGTCGTCCAGGATAGAGGGCAGGGATGCCATCACTACTCACTATAACCTCAAACTCCTGGGCTCAAGCAATCCTCCCACCTCAGCCTCCGGAGTAGCTGGGACTACAGGCATGCCCCACCACATTCGGCTAATTTTTAAAATTTTTTTGTAGAGACAGGGTCTCACTATATTGTCCAGGCTGCTCTCAAAATCCTGGCCTAAAGTGATCCTCCTGCCTCAGCCTCCTGAGTAGCTGGGTTAGATCCTGGCAAATGAAAGGGCCCCAGCTTTGAACTACCTTTGGGGACGATCTCACTGCACACGGGTTCTCACACAGCACACCCCGTCACACACATGAACTCACACTGAGAACATATGAACACTACACACATGTTCTCACACAGCACACGCCCCGTCACACCCATGAACTCACACCGAGAACACAACATCACACACAGGGACTCACGCACAGAGGACATGTGAACACTACACACACGTTCTCACACAGCACACCCCGTCACACCCATGAACTCACACCGAGAACACAACATCACACACAGGGACTCACGCACAGAGGACATGTGGACACTACACACACGTTCTCACACAGCACACCCCGTCACACCCATGAACTCACACCGAGAACACAACATCACACACAGGGACTCATGCACAGAGGACATGTGGACACTACACACACGTTCTCACACAGCACACACCCCGTCACACCCATGAACTCACACCGAGAACACAACATCACACACGGGGACTCACGCACAGAGGACATGTGGACACTACACACACGTTCTCACACAGCACACACCCCGTCACACCCATGAACTCACACCGAGAACACAACATCACACACGGGGACTCACGCACAGAGGACATGTGGACACTACACACACGTTCTCACACAGCACACACCCCGTCACACCCATGAACTCACACCGAGAACACAACATCACACACGGGGACTCACGCACAGAGGACATGTGGACACTACACACACGTTCTCACACAGCACACACCCCGTCACACCCATGAACTCACACCGAGAACACAACATCACACACAGGGACTCACGCACAGAGGACATGTGGACACTACACACACGTTCTCACACAGCACACACCCCGTCACACCCATGAACTCACACCGAGAACACAACATCACACACGGGGACTCACGCACAGAGGACATGTGGACACTACACACACGTTCTCACACAGCACACACCCCGTCACACCCATGAACTCACACCGAGAACACAACATCACACACGGGGACTCACGCACAGAGGACATGTGAACACTACACACACGTTCTCACACAGCACACCCCGTCACACCCATGAACTCACACCAAGAACACAACATCACACACAGGGACTCACGCACAGAGGACATGTGGACACTACACACACGTTCTCACACAGCACACACCCCATCACACCCATGAACTCACACCGAGAACACAACATCACACACAGGGACTCACGCACAGAGGACATGTGGACACTACACACATGTTCTCACACAGAACACACCCTGTCACACCCACACCCCCACATGCGTAGACACACACATCCTTACTCTGCGCGCATCCCTGGCCTGGTGGACGGAAGATCGAGCGCTCTGGGTGGACTTACGGCCACAGGACGGGGGCAGAGTCGGCAGGGAGGCCCCTCCGAGGCCCAGTGGGCCCTGCGCTGGCCCCGGCCGCAGACGCCCACCTGCTGCTGTGCTGGCTGCGGCGTGTGCCCCGGGCTCTGCGGCTGACCTGGCCTCCACGTCTCACCCATGAAGCAGGCATGAAAGGCTGGCCAGGTTGGCTAAATGGGACCACAGCAGAAGCATGAGCCCCAGAATGTGCACGAAGGAAGAGAGAGCCGGGGGAGGTGGCGGGCTGGGTGTGCAGAGTGGGCCTGAGCTCCGGCCTCCTCCCTGGA
The DNA here is from genome assembly GCF_000001405.40 of Homo sapiens. Lineage (NCBI taxonomy): Eukaryota > Metazoa > Chordata > Mammalia > Primates > Hominidae > Homo > Homo sapiens. The sequence goes on along the minus strand of NC_000001.11, from coordinate 610,917 downwards.
CGCCCTCCCGTGGCCGCAGCCATCCCCGCACCCACTGGTGTGGCCTGACCCCTCACCCTGAGCCCACCCTTCGCGGCCACTAGGGAACCTCAGGAGAGGCCGCCGCGGTGGGGTGGGCGGATTCCCCCGGAGCAGGCCCAGGCCCCTGCTCCTGAGCTCTCCTGCAGCGCCGCCTGCTGGCCACAGAGAGCCCACGTGCGCCGGCCGCCAGGCCTGGGCATCTCCCCTCCTGCAGCGCCGCCTGCTGGCCACAGAGAACCCGCGTGCGCCGGCCGCCAGGCCTGGGCATCTCCTCTCCTGCAGCGCCGCCTGCTGGCCACAGAGAACCCGCGTGCGCCGGCCGCCAGGCCTGGGCATCTCCTCTCCTGCAGCACCGCCTGCTGGCCACAGAGAACCCGCGTGCGCCGGCCGCCTGGCCTGGGCATCTCCTCTCCTGCAGCGCCGCCTGCTGGCCACAGAGAACCCGCGTGCGCCGGCCGCCAGGCCTGGGCATCTCCTCTCCTGCAGCACCGCCTGCTGGCCACAGAGAACCCGCGTGCGCCGGCCGCCTGGCCTGGGCATCTCCTCTCCTGCAGCGCCGCCTGCTGGCCACAGAGAACCCGCGTGCGCCGGCCGCCAGGCCTGGGCATCTCCTCTCCTGCAGCGCCGCCTGCTGGCCACAGAGAACCCGCGTGCGCCGGCCGCCAGGCCTGGGCATCTCCTCTCCTGCAGCGCCGCCTGCTGGCCACAGAGAACCCGCGTGCGCCGGCCGCCAGGCCTGGGCATCTCCTCTCCTGCAGCGCCGCCTGCTGGCCACAGAGAACCCGCGTGTGCCGCCAGGCCTGGGCATCTCCTCTCCTGCAGCGCCGCCTGCTGGCCACAGAGAACCCGCGTGCGCCGGCCGCCAGGCCTGGGCATCTCCTCTCCTGCAGCGCCGCCTGCTGGCCACAGAGAACCCGCGTGCGCCGGCCGCCAGGCCTGGGCATCTCCTCTCCTGCAGCACCGCCTGCTGGCCACAGAGAACCCGCGTGCGCCGGCCGCCTGGCCTGGGCATCTCCTCTCCTGCAGCGCCGCCTGCTGGCCACAGAGAACCCGCGTGCGCCGGCCGCCAGGCCTGGGCATCTCCTCTCCTGCAGCGCCGCCTGCTGGCCACAGAGAACCCGCGTGCGCCGGCCGCCAGGCCTGGGCATCTCCTCTCCTGCAGCGCCGCCTGCTGGCCACAGAGAACCCGCGTGCGCCGGCCGCCAGGCCTGGGCATCTCCTCTCCTGCAGCGCCGCCTGCTGGCCACAGAGAACCCGCGTGTGCCGCCAGGCCTGGGCATCTCCTCTCCTGCAGCGCCGCCTGCTGGCCACAGAGAACCCGCGTGCGCCGGCCGCCAGGCCTGGGCATCTCCTCTCCTGCAGCGCCGCCTGCTGGCCACAGAGAACCCGCGTGCGCCGGCCGCCTGGCCTGGGCATCTCCTCTCCTGCAGCGCCGCCTGCTGGCCACAGAGAACCCGCGTGCGCCGGCCGCCAGGCCTGGGCATCTCCTCTCCTGCAGCGCCGCCTGCTGGCCACAGAGAACCCGCGTGTGCCGGCCGCCAGGCCTGGGCATCTCCCCGGGCCCTAGTTCCCCCCCTCACCTAAGGGGAGGGACTCCCGTCTTTCCATCCACCCCCTCCTTGCCTCTGCAGAGCTCCAGGGAAGGCTGGCACCCGCTCACTGCATTTAGACTCCATCAGGTTCAGACAGTGGGTCAGGGTACAAGGCTTCAGCGGCCAGGGATGTGGCCTCTAATTTGTAGAGAGAAAGAAGGACAGAGGCAAAGGTTTGGGCCCAGGGACTGGGCTCCGTTTCCAGAATCACTCTTGGAGCTGGTGAGCAGAGGGCTGGACACTGCCCTCCATGACCAGCACTGCCCTCCACCCTAGCTCACTCCCCTAGCTGGCCCAGGGGTTCAGGCTTTCCTTTCATAAAGTGGGGTCCAGGAAAGGCAAAACCTCCTCCCCTGGGCCACACGAACCGTGGTGCACAGGCTCCCACTAGGTGGGCCAGTCAGCTCATCCCATGGACACACCAGGGGCATCGAGAAAGGAATAGCGACCTGAACCCCATACCCGAAGGGTGGCCCTCAGGACCCCCAAGGCAGGGAACAGGCTGCAGAGGGTTTGGGGGAGCATCTTGGTACATAGAAAACAAACACTCTGGGAAGCCGCTGTGAGTGTGTGTGGCTCTCAGGCCTGTTCTGTCCTGGGTGCGCTGCGTTCCCCAGGCGGCACCATCTCTCTGCCTCTGTACCCTTGAATTCCCTCTGCCTGCACCCGGTCCCCACCCACCTCCTGCTCAGCCCCACAAGCCCTTCCAGACCACTGCTGGGGCATTCCTGGGCCCCCTCGGTTCTTGGTGACTACCATGCAGTTCTCTATGGAAACTGACTCTCACTGAAAACAAGTGTAACCGTCTACCTAAGACACTCACACAGAGTTCTCAGCCAGGTCTCCAGGACAATCAGACGCAACTTGTCATTCTCACTCATCCCATCACCCGACTAGCTTCTCAGCCCAGCCCCGGGGGAGGTTTTCCCCTTACTTGAAATGCCTCTTGGATTTGAAAAATCCCAGCGTTCACCCCTGGTGCCGACACTTGCCTCTGTAACCTTCTGCCTGCTGCTTTGCTCTCATCCAGACCGGTTGGCACTTGGCCCCCTCTGGCCAGCTGGTTCCCCAGAGACAACCATCTTGCCCACCTTGTGGAAGGCCCCATGGCCTGCCTCACCCCTCACTCCCATTTCACAGCTCTCGTGGTGCTCTACAAGAAAAATCTGCTTTATAGATGAGGAAAGGCCCTTGGGGCAGACAAGACAGTCCCTGTTTGACATAATTCCTTTATCTCTTCTCCCCCAGCTCTGCTGCCCCCTGCCCCATACACGTGATGGAGCAGAAAACGTGCTGTGTGAACCTGTGACTTCAGGGCCTGTTGACGTGGTCGTGCTTGCATACTCTCTGGTGAGGGGTGGGGAGAGGGGGTGGGAGACGGGTAGAAATAGATGAAGTAGATGATGGGTGGATTGCTGGCTAGATAGATGATAGATAGGGATAGGTGGTATATGGGTGATAGGTAACAGGTGATGGATAGATGATAGAAATAGATGATGGATAGATACTTGATAGGCAAATTAGATAATAGATAGCAATAGATGAACTAGATGATAGATGGAAAGGTAGGTAGGTAGATATATGATAGATGGTTGATAGATAAAAATAGATGAAATAGATGGCATGGTTAGATAGGTGGGTAGGTAGATAGATGACAGATAGAAAGACAATAGACCACTGGGGGCTGAGCCTGGCCTGAGCCAGAAAGGTGAGAAGGGGACAGTGGTGAGGACCCCACAGGTCCCTGCTCTCACCCCTATTAGCCCCAGTGTTTGGCCTGAGCTCTGACTGACAGCTCCCTCTTTCCGAGATGAGACTCAAGAGGAGGAAGAGGGGACTTCCTAAGGACAGGGATTCTTGGTGTCTCCTTGGGGGTGGTAGACACTGCCTGCCTCGCCTGCTGTGGCCTCTCTGCACACAACCAACGACCCCTAAAGGGCTCCATGGGCACCCATGCTGCCCCCATCAGCTGACACCCCCTGTGCAAAGATTCTCCTCCTCCTCTTCCTCCTGCCTTTCTGTCCCCTCATCCTCCTCTTTATGGAATTAACTTCCCTTGGTCAACATCTTCCTGCTTCACTCACTTCCCTAAACTCCTCCCTATCCCTTCTCAATCTGCAAGAAAAATGTAGAAGGAATATGGTAAAGGAAAGCTTTGAGCCCATATTTGGGTCCAATGCCGACACCACATGCCCCAAAGCCCCCTTGAGAGCATCCACGTCCGTGTAGTTGAGTATTGCCCGAGCTGGAGTGAGATTTGCCTCTCTACGGAGCTGCCTTCCTGCAGTTCAAGAGCACTGTCTCTTTTCTGGGCCTCCTGCCTGGTGCAAGGGCCCCAGCTGAGCCTCCTCCAGCTCTGACCTCTGGTGGTTCCGGGCTGCCCCAGAGGGTCTTGCCCAGGCTCTGACACTTGGCATGGTCTGGGAGCTCCAGCAGCCACAGCCCAGCCCTGGGGAGGCTTTGTGGTCTCTGAGGGGGCAGGTGCACTCCCCCAACTCCATGTTTTTCCCTCCAACTCTAAGCCTTTTTCTTCCTCTGCTATTACCCAGGCACCCTACCCTGTCAACAACACTGGCCTTCAAGACCCTTTGTAGCATAACTCCCACCTATAACTCCCACCTGAAGCCAGCCCTTCCCACCTCTGCGCCTCTGATGCCCAGGACAGCTCTGACCATGGGCAGCTCTGACCCAGGACAGCTCTGACCTTGGGCAGCCCTGATCTGGGGCAGCTCTGACCTCGAGTAGCTGTGACCCTGGGCAGCTCTGACTCTGGGTAGTCGTGACCCTGGGGAACTCTCAGCACGGGGGTTGCATGCTCCTGTTTAGACAGCTGCTGTCCCCCAAGCTGGCTCACTATCCCATGTTGGAGTGCACTGTTCGGGGCTGCCTGCCTGGATTGATGCAGGGAAACTTGGTTCCAGCCCACCTCCTCCTGCGGAGGCTGAGTCAGGGGCTCTTCCCTCGGCCAGGCTGAAAGGCAGCAGTTGGTCCCCCTGTGAGGTCTTCCACATGGCCTGGGAGAGTCTCCCCATCTCTTCAGGCAGAAGGGAGGACAGTCCATAATGTTCCTTCCAGTCCTCTGACTTGTCATTTTTCTACCCCAAATCTTGCACTTTACCCCCATAGAGAGCTCCTGAAGGGGGAATTTTAACTGGCAAAACTCAGAACTCCATCCAAACACAACCGAAACCATCCTGGGTGGCTTAGAGGTGGCTGCCTCCCAGACAAGTCCATAGCCCCACAGAAACGTCTGGTCCTTCACCTGCCAGAGCTCAGGCTTTTTGGTTGAAGCCGGAGACAGGCCCAGCTCAGAGTGTGCCCCGGTTTATCCTGAACACCGACTTGGTGCGGTGTGTGTGACAGACCAGCGAAGCGGGTCTTGCTGCCTGTCCTGTGGTTGGCCCTTGGCTCCCAGCCTCGAGTCCTACCCTTAGGCCAGGTCAGAGCAGGTTCAGCAGCAGGACTGGCTAGGCACCACCCAGGCTCATGAGGTGGCTTTGTGGGGAGGAAATGAGGTTTTTTTTTTTCTCTTGTAAAGTTGCTTGTTGTTAATTTAAAATTTTAATTTCATTTCTGAATTAACATTCAGCAAAACTGCTATTTTTCGGTGTACAGTTCTATGAGTTTAACACATTTATAGATTCATGTAGCAACACTGTGGATACAGAACAGTTACATCACCCCCAGAACTCCGTTCACAGTCACGCTCCCCCACCCAGCCCCGGCAGCTCTCCCTGTGGTTTGTCTTTTGCAGAGGAAATCCCGCAGCTGGCGGCACTTGGAGACCGGCTCCTCGCCGAGCCGACCGCGCGTGCGCGGCTCCCTCCTCGTCCGTGCTGAGCGCCGCGTGGGGTTCCGCGTGGAGGCGCCTGTGCCGCTGAAGCGTGTTTGGGTTGCTTCCAGGGTTGTTGGATAGAGCTGTTTGTGCATTTGCGTTGTAGGTTTTTGTGTGAACATAAGCTTTTGTTTCTCTCGGGTACATACCCAGAAGTGCAATTGCTGAGTCATGTGGGAAGCGTGTGCCCAACTTTACAGGAAAACGCCACAGGCCGCCCCTTCGCTTTGCGCTCCCGCTAATCGGGAATGAGTGCCTGCTGCTCCGCGTTCTTGCGGGCACCCAGCATTTTCCGTGCTTACATTTCAGCCATCCCGGAATGAATGAAAAGCGTTTCCTAGTGGCTGTAATTTGCATCTCCCTGGTGGCTGATGGAAGCTTATTTCCCATCCATATCCCTTGCTTGGTGACGCATCTGTTCAAATCCTTCCCCGGTTTGTAACTGGATTATTTGGTGTTTTTACTGTTGGATTTTGAGAGTTCTTTATGTATTCTAGATACAATTCCTTTGCCAGATATGAGATTCACAAATATTTTCTCCAACTCTATGTCTTGTGTTTTCATTCTCTCAACAGTGACTTTTGCAGCATTCATAGGGATTTTATGTTTTCTTCTCAAAGTTTTATAAACCACTATATTTAAAATTTTAATTTAAAAACTATAAACCTATTATAGTTTTTAAATTAAACTGTAAACCTCTTATATAGATTTTCTGTTTAAACTTATGATTCCTTTTAAGTTAATTATTATGTAAGTTGTGAGGGTTGGGTCAAGGCATTCCTTTGCTTAAAATCCCCAGCTTTTCATTTCTCTCAGACAGAAGTCTTGACCTGCAGGGTCAGGCTCCCCTGCTCTCTGAGCTCGCCCTCCCCACGCAGCGCTAGCCCCTGGACTATTCTCACCACTCAGGCCTTGGCCTCCATACCCGCTTGGCACCCACCAAAGGGTCCGGGGACCCCTCCACAGGGCAGCGTTCTGTCTGTGAGGTGAAGCGGGAGCAGAGGGCCAGGCAGAGCCAGGCTGGGACCCAATCTCTGCTTCAGGCTGGTCTTTTTTTTTTTTTTTTTTGAGACGGAGTCTCGCTGTCGCCCAGGCTGGAGTGCAGTGGCACCATCTCGGCTCACTGCAAGCACCGCCTCCCGGGTTCACGCCATTCTCCTGCCTCAGCCTTGCGCGTAGCTGGGACTACAGGTGCCTGCCACCATGCCTGGCTAATTTTTTGTATTTTTAGTAGAGACGGGGTTTCACCGTGTTAGCCAGGATGGTCTTGATGTCCTGACCTTGTGATCTGCCCGCCTCGGCCTCCCAAAGTGCTGGGATTACAGGCGTGAGACACCGCACCTGGCCAGGCTGGTCTTTTTTGCCAGAGTTAGTGTTGTATTGAGGGACATGGAGGGAGAAAAGGGGGTCAGTTAGGGGCAAGTTTACTTGTGCAGGTAACCAGGGTGAGGGCTCGAGGGGAGAAGAGAGATAAGGAGGGCAGAGCTCAGCCAAGTTGGCCTGATGACATGACCAGAATGTGATCACTAGATCCCCTGCCTGGAGGCCCAAGTGTGGCCCCAGGTCTGGATAGTTGCAGCCACTGTGGGGAAGCTTCAGTTTGGGAGCCACAGAAACCAAGAATATTGTCTGGGAAGCTGATGTGCAGAGAGGAGAATGGAGCGGATGGAGGTGCGGTGGGGGAGAGAGACAAAGAGACAGAGAGGAGAGTAAAAGCCTGTTGCTGGCTCCACTATGTTGGGCTTGTCAGCCCAGCTTCTTCTTGTCCCATCCATAAAATGGGCTGGTGTCGCCCATCCTGGTTAGGAGGCACAAGGAAGTGTTGCGCTGTGTGCTCGGCCCAGCTGACTCAGCAGCTCTCCAACCTTGGGGACTCTCCAGACAGGTGTGTGCAGGTGAGGTGCTGGACCAAGGAAGGGCAGGTGGAGGACATGGCTGAGGGGAGCTCTGTGAGCTGAGCTGCCTGCTTCGAGGGTGCCCTTGAGGCCCAGGACTGACCCCTGGAGGGAGAGGCTTCCTTCCTTCTGTTGGGGCTCAGAAAACAACGCCCCAAAATGAAGTCCTCAGCAGCAGCCTCAGAAGCAAAAGTTGTCTCTGACCTTCTCCTGCCCTCCTGTCTCTCAGTCTCATTCTCCCTGAAGGCGCTGTAGAAACCAGACTCTCTTTTTCCCCAAGGCCGGTCACAGAAATCAGAACCCCTTCTCCCCAAAGCTGGTCAGAAAACCTAAAAATATTACTCAGTTTTCTGTCTACCTTTCTATATAAGAGCTGACTAGAGAGAAATGATCCAACATCCCTTGTTTGACTGTAGGTCATGAGACTGTCATTCCAGAGAGGGCCCTGCCCCACGTCCAGAGAAGAAAATGCTCAGAGATGAAGACAAATCTAGACAGACCTTGCTGGGTTCCCACTCAGTCTATTCACATTAGATCAAGCCCTTTGTGTCCAATCCTTTTTTTAGAGGACTGTTCATACGTTATTAAACCTAAACATAAAAATGGACAATTTCCCCCATCGTTGGGTCTTCGTTCTAAAGGTTCTTATATGTACACATCACATAAATTTGCATACCGTTTCTCCTATTAATCCATCTGTCTCATGTCAGTGACTTCTCAGCAAACCTTTAGGGGCCAAGGGGCCCCACACTCTCCAGCGGCAGGCACAATGGGCCTGGGGTGCAGTTGTGGACACTCGGACCCTCCTTGGAGCTGGTTTAGCTGTGCTGTGTGCTTGTGGGAATGGATTGCCATGATTTCTGGGCTCTAATAAATTGTGCTTCAATCGACTCTTGAGGAGTTAATGAGAGGCCTCACTTCAGACCATAAACACCCTCCCTGTGTGGGATAGAAACACACATCGTCACAGCCAGGAGGTCAGTCGGGTGAGGGTCTGCTTTGCTTACAAGGTCCAGAAACCCAGCAGAAAACCCTCGAGGCCACATCAGTGAAGAGTAACTTATTTCAGCAACATTTCCATGTGTGACACAAGACACACATTTCCTGCATCCACCTTTAAAGTCAAGAAGTTGAAGCTGAATAAAGCCAGCAGGCAGCGAAAATCACCTGCACTCAGTTCAGTTGTGGCAGGAAAGGGAAAGAGCCATGAAGAAAGGAGAGGGGGATGGAGAGGGAGAAAGGAGAGGGGGATGGAGAGGAGAAAGGAGAGGGGGCTAGAGAGGAGAAAGGAGAGGGAGATGGAGAGGGGGATGGAGAGGGGGATGGAGAGGAGAAAGGAGAGGGGGATGGAGGGGGGATGGAGAGAAGAAAGGAGAGGAGGGTGGAGAGCGACAGCTGCAGAGGGAGGCAGGGAGGCTGGCTGGGCGTGGACAGCTGCAGAGGGAGGCAGGGGAGGCCGGCATGGACGCTGCAGAGGGGACACAGCCACTCTGGGAACAGCAGCCAGTGGCGGATCTGCCTGGAATGCTGTTCCCTCCTGTCCAGGATGGGCCTGTCTCTGCAGACAGGGGCCCTCCCCTTCCTGGCCTGGCTGTGCACAGCCTATGTGCATGGTGGAAGCTCTGCAGAGGCCGTTCTGCTCCAGAGTGGGGCATAGCCTCGGGCGAGGTTCACAGCTTGGGGGGCTGGTCCTGCCCTGTCCCACATGTGGCTGTGTGGGCAGCATGGATCTTCTTCCGCGGTGACCCTGTGTGCCCACCCCCGCCAACTTATGCCTGCTTCCCAAGGCCATGGGCCTCACCCTCAGACTTCACTTTTGTGTATATGGAAAGACACAATTATCGGGACAGAAACAGATCAGTATTTGCCAGTGGGTGAGTGAGGGGAGAGGAGTTTACTACCGAGGGGCCGAACTGGGGCCATTTTTGAGGGATGAAAGTCTTCTGTGTGGCTCTACAGAGTTGGGTACGTGATGCTGTGTTTGTCAAACCCCACAGGACTGGACCTCACTGTGGGAACAACAAGATCAACAAGAGGAGCAAGAACAACATCAAGAGTCAGGGCCCGGGGGTCCTGACGGGTACAGGATGGGTACAGACCCACACAGGAATCCCAGAGTGTGTTCCACAGCAGGACACGCCTGCGCTGAAAGAGTGGGCAGAAAGGAGCTGACCTGGGTAAGTCCAAAAACAGTGTTTTGATTAGATTCTGGAAAGAATCAAATAACTCTGCATATCTAAGCACTAAACTCCAATTGGTAAAATTGTTTCCCACAGCAATACATGTTAGCAACTTTGAAACTACTTTTATATATACTAAGGTTTCACAAATAAGTCAATACAGTAGTAAGAGTCAGGGTTCTCACAGCTGGATAAGGAAGTCATGGAAAAGCCAGCGGGGACCCTGAGGTCCATATATAATATATATTATACATGTATACAGATCAGAATGGACCCTAAGGTGGTCAGTTATAGACAGATATGCCAGCAGGAACTCATGTTTACATGATACATATATACAGATCAGAATGGACCCTGAGGACCATATATAATATATATTATACATATATACAGATCAGAATGGACCCTAAGGTGGTCGGTTATAGACAGATATGCCAGCAGGAACTCATGTTTACATGATACATATATACAGATCAGAATGGACCCTGAGGTCCATATATAATATATATTATACATATATGCAGATCAGAATGGACCCTGAGGTCCATATATAATATATATTATACATATATACAGATCAGAATGGACCCTGAGGTGGTCAGTTATAGTCAGATATGCCAGCAGGAACTCATGTTTACATGATACATATATACAGATCAGAATGGACCCTGAGGTGGTCGGTTATAGTCAGATATGCCAGCAGGAACTCGTGTTTACATGATACATATATACAGATCAGAATGGACCCTGAGGAGGTCGGTTACAGTCAGATATGCCAGCAGGAACTCGTGTTTACATGATACTTATATACAGATCGGAATGAACCCTGAGGTGGTCAGTTATAGTCAGATATGCCAGTAGGAAATCATGTTTACATGATACATATATACAGATCGGAATGGACCCTGAGGTGGTCGGTTACAGTCAGATATGCCAGTAGGAAGTCGTGTTTACATGATACATATATACAGATCAGAATGGACCCTGAGGTGGTCAGTTATAGTCAGATATGCCAGCAGGAACTCATGTTTACATAATACATATATACAGATAGGTTAAATATATACACACACACGTGCGTGTACATACATGGCTTAGCACACACATCTGTAGATCCTGGGTTTGTCCTTTGAGAGGGGACACCCCAGTAGCAGCAAGCACATTCCATGCCCAGATGTTAGTTTCTAAATTTCATCTTCAATAAAAGGAGCCAAGTCTCCCTGGAGAAATGGCTGATAATTGGGATGTGGGAGAGAAAATACAAGATGAACCTGGAGCATCTTGTAGTCCCAGGAAGTAAGAAAATGCTCAAAAATAAAATTTTTAAAAAGCTGTGGACATTTCAAAAGGGCATGGAACCCAAAATGTAAGAGCTCCCAGTGGCCACAGCTACAATGATTTGAGTGCACACACACTCACACAGACATACACACACACACACACACAAATCGGATTATGCCCCAAAGAATAAAATGAATGTCCATGGATTTGTAAGCATATAAATAAATTATTGAATAAATTAAAACTGAAAGGGTAGCCAGGCGAGGTGGCGAGCGCCTGTAGTCCCAGCTACTCGGGAGGCTGAGGCAGGAGAATGGTGTGAGCCCGGGAGGTGGAGCTTGCAGTGAGCCAAGATCACGCCAATGCACTCCAGCTGGGGTGACAGAGCAAGACTCTGTCTCAAAAACAAAACAAAACAAAACAAAACAAAAAACTGAAAGGGACAGGCCTTTCTTGGAACAAATTCCAAACAAGAAATGTGGAGTAAATAGGGAAAATCACCATCAGGCTGGGCACAGTGGCTCGTGCCTGTAATCTCAACACTTCGGGAGGCTGAGGCAGGTGGATCACCTGAGGTCAGGAGTTCGAGACCAGCCTAGCCAACATTGTGAAACCCTGTCTCTACAAAAAAATACAAAATTAGCTGGGCCTGGTGACACATGCCTGTAATCTCAGCTACTTGGGAGGCTGAGGCAGGAGAATCGCTTGAACCCGGGAGGTTGCAGTGAGCTGAGATTGTGCCACTGCACTCCAGCCTGGGCAATGAGAGCAAAACTCTGTCTCAAAAAAAGAAAGAAAGAAAGAAAAGAAAAGAAAAAAAAGAAAATCACCATCAGTGCTGCAGGCAAGCTCCCCTGAGGAATGCTAAAATTCCTGTGCAAAGTTTAAGGAGAAAGAAGATATTTGTATAGTCTCAAAGTGTCTCCCCTAAATGTTCAGTAATTACCACGGTGCCCAAATTCTTTGATGCTCCTTCCTGTAGGAGTTGGAGCTCATGCTGGACTTCATGACTCACTCTTAACCAGCAGGACATGGAGAGGAAAACAGTCACTCTCCCGTGGGGAGACCTGGCAGGCCTCACCTTGGCCGTGTGATCAAGGTCCAGACCACCAGTGATGAGGCATGTTGACATCGTGGCCCCTGAGAGCACGTGATGAGAAGAGCGCCGCCCCCCCCCCCGCCGTGTTCTTCCGCAAACGCACAGTTCCAATGTAATCAGAGAGAACATCACACACACACCAATTGAGGGGCGTCTTGCAGAATACCTGAGCAGCACTCTGCAAAGCTGTCAAGGCGGTGAAGCGAAGACAGGCCAGGAAAGGGTCACAGGTGCAGGGGACTAAGGAGGCGTGAGGGCCAGTGCAGCCTGGGGTCCTGGACGTGAGCTGCTGAGACGGCACCCGCGTGAGTGTCGCAGTTTCCACACCGTGAGCTGCTGAGACGGCACCCGCGTGAGTGTCGCAGTTTCCACACCGTGAGCTGCTGAGACGGCACCCGTGTGAGTGTCGCAGTTTCCACACCGTGAGCTGCTGAGACGGCACCCGCGTGAGTGTCGCAGTTTCCACACCGTGAGCTGCTGAGACGGCACCCGCGTGAGTGTCGCAGTTTCCACACCGTGAGCTGCTGAGACGGCACCCGCGTGAGTGTCGCAGTTTCCACACCGTGAGCTGCTGAGACGGCACCCGCGTGAGTGTCGCAGTTTCCACACCGTGAGCTGCTGAGACGGCACCCGCGTGAGTGTCGCAGTTTCCACACCGTGAGCTGCTGAGACGGCACCCGCGTGAGTGTCGCAGTTTCCACACCGTGAGCTGCTGAGACGGCACCCGCGTGAGTGTCGCAGTTTCCACACCGTGAGCTGCTGAGACGGCACCCGCGTGAGTGTCGCAGTTTCCACACCGTGAGCTGCTGAGACGGCACCCGCGTGAGTGTCGCAGTTTCCACACCGTGAGCTGCTGAGACGGCACCCGCGTGAGTGTCGCAGTTTCCACACCGTGAGCTGCTGAGACGGCACCCGCGTGAGTGTCGCAGTTTCCACACCGTGAGCTGCTGAGACGGCACCCGCGTGAGTGTCGCAGTTTCCACACCGTGAGCTGCTGAGACGGCACCCGCGTGAGTGTCGCAGTTTCCACACCGTGAGCTGCTGAGACGGCACCCGCGTGAGTGTCGCAGTTTCCACACCGTGAGCTGCTGAGACGGCACCCGCGTGAGTGTCGCAGTTTCCACACCGTGAGCTGCTGAGATGGCACCCGCGTGAGTGTCGCAGTTTCCACACCGTGAGCTGCTGAGATGGCACCCGTGTGAGTGTCGCAGTTTCTACACGTGCCTCATTGCGTGTAAGATGCTCAAGTGAGAGGAAGCTGGTGAACGGGTCTGTGGGAAGTTGCAGTACTGTCTTTGCAACTCTTCTGGACATCTTTTTTTTTTTTTTAAATAAAACATTTTTAACGTGAAAATATGCAGAGCACGGTGGCTCGCACCTGTAATCCCAGCACTTTGGGAGGCCGAGGCAGGTGGATCATGAGGTCAGGAGTTCAAGACCAGCCTAGCCAACATGGTGAAACCCCATCTCTACTAAGAATACAAAAATTAGCTGGGCGTGGTGATGGGCATCTGTAATCCCAGCTACTCGGGAGGCTGAGGCAGGAGAATCACTTGAACCCGGGAGGCAGAGGTTGCAGTGAGCCGAGATCGCGCCCCTGCACTCCAGCCTGGGTGACAGAGCAAGACTCCATCTCAAAAAAAATAAAGGAAATATGCGTCGTTGGATGCTGTATGACAATCAAGCTACTTATAACAAACAAAATTGAGAATGAAGGTAAATTAAAAATAATTTATAGTCTTTAAAAAGCAGGAACTACAAAATTTACATTTCTGAAAATGGCAGAAAAATCCCACATGGCTGTATATGTATGTGTGAGATTGTGTATGAATGAGCGCATGCATATATTTTTGTGTGTTTGGATTATATGTGTGACGGTGTGCATGAGTGTGTATATGATTTGGGGGTATGTGTGAGTGTGTATGACTGTGTATGAGTGTGTATTTGTGTGTGTGAGTGTGTACATGTATACACTAGTGTGCGTATGATTTGAGGGTATGAATGTGAATGTGTACATATGTATTTATGATCTGAGTGTGTATGAGTGTGAATGTGAACATGTGTGTGTGAGTGGGTATATGATTTGGGTGTGTGCAAGTATGAATATGTATTGTGTGCATTAATGTGTATATTATTTTGGGCTGTGTATGAGTGTGAATGTGAACATGTGTGCACGAGTGTATATATGATCTGGGTGTGTATGAGTGAGCATGAGTGAACATGTGTGCATGAATGTGAGTATGATTTGGGTGTGTATGAGTGTGAATGTGTGCACGAGTGTATATATGATCTGGGTGTGTATGAGTGAGCATGAATGTGAACATGTGTGCATGAATGTGAGTATGATTTGGGTGTGTATGAGTGTGAATGTGTGCACGAGTGTACAATCGGTGTGTATGAGTGAGCATGAATGTGAACATGTGTGCACGAGTGTATATATGATCTGGGTGTGTAGGAGTGAGCATGAATGTGTATGCACAAGTGTGTGTATGTGTGTATGATCTGGGTGTGTAGGAGTGTGAATACGAACACGTATGCGCAAGTATGTATATGATCTGTGTATGTATGAGTGAGTGTGAATGTGTGCATAAGTGTGTGTATGATCTGGGTATGAGTGATTGTGAATGTGAGCATGTGTGCACGAGTGTGTATATGATCTGGGTGTGTGGGAGTGAGCATGAATGTGTATGCACAAGTGTGTGTATGTGTGTATGATCTGGGTGTGTAGGAGTGTGAATATGAACACGTGTGCACAAATGTGTATATGATCCGAGTATGTAGGAGTGAGTGTGAATGTGAACATGTTTGCACGTGTGTATATGATATGGGTGCATGTGTGGGTGTGTTTGTGCAGGTGCACTGGGAGCTTTCAGCATTGAGTCTGTGTGGCATCCAGGCTTTTCTGGATGATGTAGAATCAAACCCCATAATTAATTCCAGTAACTTAGAAATTTTCACTTATGAATACTAAATTCTCCTCACCTAGCAACTGACTGAGCAGGTTGAACAGCACCCTTCGCCGTTCTCCTGCAGAACCCCGTGGAATGGCCCTGCTTTCTCAGAGTGCTCCTAGCGGTGATGAGGGAGCCCAGCTCATTGCGGTTCGTGCAGAAGGCTGTGTGCCATCTCCGGGACTGCACGGAAAGGCGGAGGCTCAGACGTGGGATCTGAGCTCAGTGGGCCCTTTAAGGACCGCTGCCTCCTTTCCTCCCTTTGGCACTCAGCATCGACTTACGATGGCTCCCAGTCACAGTCCTTGTCACTGCCTGGCATTACACAGGGCCACAGTCCCTTAACTGAAACACTTGGGACCAGTTGCATTTTGGAATTCGGAATGTTTCTTGATTTCAGAGAGAGAAGAGGGGATGGACTGTTGGGCAGCCCTGATTAACCCTGCAGCGTCTTGGCTCTAGAGGGGCCTACACGGCCGGGAGCGTCTCGGCTCTAGAGAGGGGCCTGCACTGCCGGGAGCATCTCGGCTCTAGAGAGGGGTCTGCACTGCTGGGAAGCCTACACAGCTGGGAGCGTCTCGGCTCTAGAGCCACAGCTGATGCATGGCAACGATGAGCTCTCCTGCTTAGTGCTGATGTGCCTCAGCCCCTAACCCCACTGGTGTCCAGATGAGGACCTTGAGGCTCAGAGAAGCTAGGTCAAGGTGAACACCAGTGTTGAGTTTCAGCCCCAGGTCTACCTGATGCTGCCTCCACATTGACTGAGTTGGCCTGGTCCATTGTGAGGGCAGGTAGAGCCAGGGCCGAGGTGGGGATGCCAAGGTCCCATGCCGCAAAGATGGGTGGGACGGCACAGGAGCCAGTCATCATCCCCAAAGACACAGCTCCGAATACCTCATCCTGAAATCCCAAAGATCAAAATCCCAAAAGTATAAATCTGGAAAAAATAATGTCGATGTTATTTATTTACATTTTTAAAAGGTATGTATTTGAGAAACATAAAAACACAACAGAACATTTCATAGGCCACTTTACACAATAAAATAGGCAACGATAACAGGTATTTTTGCATAAACACTGAGGTAACTAATGACGGTGGCATGGGTGTAGCAGTTATAAGAAGACAGACCATAAAGAAATAAGTCAAAAGAGAAACGTGTACACGTATATCACTACGGTTACTAATTGTGTGCACCTAGCCCTATAGCTGTGGTCATCTGAAATATCAGGGATTTTAGACTTGAGGGATTTTGATCTTTAGGGATTTCAACATTCCACATTATGGTGCTTGGGATTGTGTCTTTCAGGATTATGATCCAAACTCAGCTGGGCCTCCCCTACCTGCCCCAGGATTGTGGAGTGAGAACGTTGCAGCAGGGGAGAACAACGCAGCAAAGCACAGCAGGGGAACCGGAAATGCTCACCCTTTGACAGGGTACTTTTAGTTCTGGGGCCTTATCTTAAGGATATTCCAACATATACAAAAAGATTCATGCACAGAGATATTTACTTTAGTATTATTTACCATAGGAAAAAAGTTGGAAACAATACATTTTATGTTCTGTAAAATGAAAGAACAGTTAAATAAATCATGGCTCTAAGACGACTCCAGGGCTGTGTACGGAAGTTCAGGGACTGAATCAGTTGAGGCTGTTCCACCTGAGCCTAAGCTTCCTCTGCTGTATGTCAGGAATCAGGTGGGGGCCAAGCGAGATCACCACAGTGCAGGCCAGTGTGCAGGGCACAGGTGGGCGCCAGGGAGGGGACGCCGCACAGCCCCATGCTCTCGCCAAAAACGTGCAGCACAATTTGGAAGAAAACATTTCCATCTGTTAATAAAGAGCAACGGCCTCTGGTCATAAGTGACACATGACCCTTTGCCTGAGTCTTTTTAAATTTTTCCATATGTTCCATATTTTCTACACCAAATGTAAGCTACTTTCATAATCACAAAAACTTAATGGAAAGAGGAGGAGGAGGACGGGGGTGGGGAGTAGTAGCCATGGGTTCGAGCCCTTCCTCTCCGCATGACTTGGATAACACGGTATATTCACACAGCTATTTCCCCATCTATGAACTTCTGAGGTGCTTTTATTAGTTGATGTCTGGGACCCCTAGGAGCTCTCTTTATACCTCATGATATCAAATGCCCACCTTTCCAGCTCCTCTTGGCCTCCTGCCCTTCCTGGAGGGAGATGCGCTCCCTGGAGCTGCTGACTAGGTGGAAGCAGACTGGCTCCTTCAGTGGGTAGGCCAGCCTGCCTGTCTCCCTAGCCCAGTCCCACCGTGCTGGCCTCAGTGGTGGAGGCAGGCGTGGAGCCTTGGAGGAACCACTCCTCCCCAGCCGCCACCAACATTTGTGGCACTGAGAAGCACCCGTGCTATTCCGGACAGGGATGGGGTTGGACACCCATGCATAGGGGACCCTACACCCCCAGGCTTGGCTCTGGGCTAAACAGCAGGTGTGGATTTGGGCCTAGGCCTCAGAGAAGCCATCAGCTAGGGCAGAATTCCCATGTGGGCAGGATGTTATTTAGGAATTCCAGGGCTTTCTGTATTCCAGATTTCCTGTATTGTGCATATGTGCGTGCACGTATGTGCCCTCAGCCATGATGTAAAGTGTTTTTCTGGCTGGGGTTGCATCACACAGTTTGGAAGCCACTGCTCTGCAGATTCTGAGGACCACCTCCCTTATTTCTCACCAAATTCCCATTTCTTCTGTTTTTGTTCCACCCAATGCAAAAAGCATACTGCCTTCTCTTCTGCATTGGTGGGCAGCGGGTCCTGCAGCTCAGGTTTCTCCAGCGAGGGCCCTGAACGTGAGCCTGGTGGCGTGGGCAGGGGGCTGACTCCATGTGGGCCAAAGGCAACCTATCCAGCTCTTCAGAATGGCTTTTCTCTCCTCCCTATAAAACATATTTTCTCTCCTCCCTATAAAGCATATTTTTGTATTAGGGTGTTTGTTAAAATGAAAACATGAGATCATTGATGCATAACGAGAAGCCGTGCCATTACTTCCCAGGCCCTGTGCAAGGTGCAAATTGGCGTGTTAGTGGCTGTTTGCATCTTTTCAGTTCCTTTCATCTTTTCTCCTTATCCTGCCCTTTATATGGTTTCTGCTTTAAGTCAAACATTGTGAGTGGATTGATGGACATATGTGTGTGTGAGCGTGTGTGCACAGATGCATGAGAACTGCAGAGAGAGATGGGAGGTAACCAGGGGGATCACTGTTCTCTTCTTCCCAAACATTAGCGTTAGGCTGTTCCGCTTCTGTTCTTGAGAGGGCACCCACCTTACTGCTTGGGAGCCTGGAAATGGCCCCACTGAAGCAGCTCTGAGGCCCTGGGCACCCTTTTCCTGGTTGTGGCCAGCTGAGTTGTGCATGGTCCTCCCCGTGAGATGTGCTTGGAGCATCTGCTGGTAGCAGAGCCTCAGTTCCTCTCCTGCGTTCTTTCGCTACAGGTGTTAGACCTCCTGCCCACCTGTGACCTGTTTACTGCCAGGGATAGACCTGTGGCCAGTGTGGAAAGCGAGATGCTTTGTCCATACAGCCTGCGGGGCTCAGCCTTCCCGGGGTTGCCCACAGCTAGGCTGGGCCAGGACCCCCAAGCCTGGGAACTTACACCTTTCTCACCTGCTTTCCTAAAGGTGGTTTTCCTTTGTGATCTCTCTCCCTGAACGGCTAAACCACACTCTGAATAGAAAACTGTCTTGAAAACTGCTTTGCACGTACATCTGATAAGGTCCTCTGGAGGGCGACCTCCACTGTCTAGTGGGCGAGGATTGTTCAGCTGCCTTGGCTGTGTCACCGAGCTGCCAAGGGCGGACTGTACCCTGGGCTCACCAGCATGCAAAGATATTTTATTCATTTATTTATTCCATAAATATATATTTATATTATTTATATTTAGAGCCAGTGTATCTCTCTGTCGCTCAGGCTGGAGTGCAGTGGCACGATCTCACTGCAGCCTCAAGCTCCCGGGCTCAAGGAATCCTCCTACTTTGTCCTCCCAAACAAAAATATTTTTAAGGAGCCCACTAGGAGAGTGCTGAGTTTAAAATCTAAGTTCTTGTTTCTTTTTTCTTTTTTATTGATGCATAATAGATGTACATAGTTTCAGGGTACATGTGATAGTTTAATGCATTCATATAATTGTGAAAATCAAATCAGCCTACTTGGAATATCTATCGCCTTAAATATTTGTTTTTGCTTTATGCTAGAACCGTTCCGATTCTTCTCTTCTAGCTATTTTGAAATATACAGTAGGCAATTGTCAACTATGATCTATGTAACACTAGGTCTTATTCCTTCTTTTTTTTTTTTTTTTTTGAGACAGAGTCTCACTCTGTCGCTCAGGCTGGAGTGCAGTGGCGGGATCTCGGCTCACTGCAAGCTCCGCCTCCCGGGTTCACGCCATTCTCCTGCCTCAGCCTCCCAAGTAGCTGGGACTACAGGCGCCCACCACCATGCCCAGCTAATTTTTTGTATTTTTAGTAGAGACGGGGTTTCACCGTGTTAGCCAGGATGGTCTCGATCTTCTGACCTCGTGATCCGCCCACCTCGGCCTCCCAAAGTGCTGGGATTACAGGCGTGAGCCACCGCACCCGGCCCGTCTTATTCCTTCTATCAAACCACGTATTTGTACCCTTTAATCAACTTCTCTTTCTCCCCCTCTCCCCGCTACATTTCCCCACCTCTGGTAACCAGGCGTCTACCCTCTATCTTCACGAGAGCTACTTTTTTAGTAGGTGGGTGAGAACATTCAATGTTTGTCTTTCTGTGCTTGGCTTATTTCACTTAACATAATGATCCCTAGTTCCGTCTTGTACAAATAACAGGCTGTCATTCCTCTGTATGGCTGAAGAATATTCCACTGTGTATACACACCACGTTCTGTTTATCCATCATCCGCTGATGAACTCAGAGGCTGATTCCGTATTTTGGCGATTGTGAGTAGTCCCGCAGTAAACATGAGAGTGCAGATGTCTTTACGATATATTGATTTTGTTTCTTTTGACTATATGCCCAGTTAGTGAAATTACTGGATCATACAGCAGTTTTACTTTTAGGTGTTTTTTGTTTGTTTGTTTGTTTTTGGAGATGGAGTCTTGCTCTGTCACTAGGCTGGTGTGCAGTGGTGTGATCTTGGCTCACTGCAACCTCTGCCTCCCGGGTTCCTGTGTTTAAGCGATTCCCCTGCCTCAGCCTCCCGAGTAGCTGGGATTTATAGGTGCGCACCACCACGCCCAGCTAATTTTTTGTATTTTAGTAGAGACGGGATTTCACCATGTTGGCCAGGATGGTCTCGATCTCCTGACCTTGTGATCCGCCCGCCTCCACCTCCCAAAGTGCTGGGATTACAGGTGTGAGACACCGCGCCCGGCCAACTTTTATTTATTTATTTTTTAAGGTGGAGTCTTGCTCTGTCACCCAGGCTGGAGTGCAATGGTGCGCTCTCCGCTCACCGCAATCTCCACCTCCTGTGTTCCAGTGATTCTCCTGCCTCAGTCTCCCAAGTAGCTGGGATTACAGGGTCGCACCACCACGCCTGGCTAATTTTTTATATTTTTAGTAGAGATGGGGTTTCATCATGTTGGCCAGGCTGGTCTCAAACTCCTGACCTTGTGATCCCCCTGCTTTGGCCTCCCAAAGTGCTGGGACCACAGGCGTGAGCCACCGGGCCCAGCCCCTTTTAGTTTTTTGAGGAGCCTCCATCTGTTTTCCATAGTGGTTGTACTAATCAATGTTCCCACAACAGTGTGTGAGGGTCCCCCTTTCTCCACATCCTCGCCAGCATCCCTTATTCCCTGCGTTTTTGACGAAAGCCATTTTAACTGAGGTGAGAGAAGACCTCATTGCAGTTTTTTATTTGCGTTTCTCTGATGATTAGTGATGTTGAGCATTTTTTCATGTACCTGCTGGCCATTTGTACATCTTTTGAGAAATGTCTACTCAGGTCTCTTGCCCATTTTAAAATTCGATTAATTGTTTGCTATTGTTTGAGCTCCTGGTTATGAATCCCTTGTCAGGTGGGTAGCTTGCAAGTATTTTCTCCCATTCTGTGGGTTGTCTCTTCAGTTTGTTGACTTTTTCCTTTGATCTGCAGAGGGTTCTTAGCTTGGTGTGATTTCACTTGTCTGTTTTTGCTTTGGTTGCCTGTGCTTTTGGGGTCCTACTGAAAAAGTCTTTGCTGAGAACAATGTCCTGGAGCACTTCCCTAATGTTTTCTTCCAGTAGTTTTATACTTTCAGGTCTCAGTTTTACCTTTAATCCATTTTTATTTGATTTCTGTGTATGGTAAGAGAGATGGGTCTAGTTTCATTCTTCTGCATATCTTTATCTAGTTTCCCCTGCACCACTTATGGAAGAGACCGTCCTTTCGCTCGTATGTTGTTGGTGCCTTTGCTGAAGATGAGCTGGCTGTAAATGTGTGGATTTATATCTGGGTTCTCTATTCTGTTCCACTGGTCTATGTGTCTGTTTTACGTGATTACCAGGCTGATAGGTTGGCTCATGCCTGTAATCCCAGTACCTTTGGAGGCCCAGGTGGGAGGATCACTTGAAGCCAGGACTTCAAAACCAGCCTTGGCAACAAAGCAGGACCCCATCTCTACAATGTTTTAAAAAATTATTTGGTGCAGTGGCACACACCTGTAGTCCCAACTACGCAGGAGGCTGAGGTGGGAGGATCCTTTGAGCCTAGGAGTTTGAGGCTGCTGTGAGCTGTGATTGTGCTACTGCACTCCAACCTGGTTGACAGAGCAAGGCCCTGTCTCTTAAAAAAAAAAAAAAAACTATTGCAAGAGGAGAGAGAGAGACTGAATTCAACTCTCAATACAACAGAGACAAGTGGGGATAGCCAATGAGCAGGGTGAGGGAGGTGATGAAAAGTTGTTGAAAGGAGCTTGGTTAGTTAGCAAGGGTGGGGAAGATTCTCACTAAGGACCTTAGCAGCATTCCTTGCTAGCACTGAGCTCAGCAGGCCAAGGATGAGGCTTCATCAAGGAGAAGGCTCAAAGGAGCCTGAATGGAGTTTGGTCAAGGAGAGCGTCTTTGTCATCCTTGCAATGACTCATTTTATAGGTAATTAAGTAGGGGGTTCAGACAGGTCAAAGAACTTACCAAAAAGAGGAAATTGTGTCCATGTGGCTGGTGGCTCACCCCAGGAACTGACAGTGGCTTACTCTCAGAAACTCAGAGTGTGCGTGTCTCTTTGAATCCGTATCTGTGTGTGGGTGGGTGTGTCTGTCTGTGTGCGTGCCTCAATCTTTTCTGAATTTCTCTCCCAATCCCCGTCTCTCTTTCCTCGGGTCGGTGTTTCCCTCCTGCTGGCCTCTGGCCAGCTATTTCTGGAAGTGTCAGCTGCTCTGTCTTCCTGCCCCTGTCTCCACCATCACGTCTGTGTCTGACTCCCTTTCTTTCCCATACAAAACCCCTAATGCAAGTCCTACTGTTTCTGTAACTGGCCACTGCCTATAACAAATCTTTGCTTAGGTTGTGTTTCTTTGTAGAATAGACTGATGTACTGTGTGCTTGATTTTTACAAGATGAGCACAATACCTTATCTTTCTTCTTTATTAAAAAAAAGGAAAAATCCAAACACAAGATTAATATCTCGTCATGGACTGTGCCCCGCTCGAGCCTCTCCACAGGCAGCCGGAAGGAAAGTGGAGGGAGCTGCTCCTTTCCGTAGCCGGGGTGCCCACCCCAACCAGGCTGCCTCTGCCACCCAAGACAGAGGTTCTCTGATAATAATTTGTGGGGCTTGTTTCCAGAGACCACACCTGAAGCTGCCAACTCCCCGGAGGGAAGGTCCTGATTAATGGCCGATGAATTTCTCCTTAAGGCCCTGAAACTGCCTACTCAGAACCAAGCCAGTTTTTCCTGCCTGTCCTGTTTGGGCAGGCAGAGGAGGCAGCTAGAAACCCATTATGCAGGGGATGGGGGTAAGTGGAGGAGGGAGGGGTCGGGAGAGGAGTGGGGAGGAGGAGGAGGGAAACAGGAGACCCCAGGCTTTGGCTATGACGGGGTCAGCCTTTCTACACCATTCCGGGATGCTGGTGTCCACCACTGCTGCCTGGGCACGGGGAACAGAGAATCTGCCTGGTGGGAGCAGACAAGAGGTTCGAGGACCAGAGCTCATCCTCTTCGGTGTGTGCCTGGGAGGAGGTGTAGGTGCAGCCAGTGGGGTATGATTAAAAAGAAGGGACGCGAGTTTAGGGGACAGCCGCCCACGTGCACCAGCTCTCCGTGTGCCACAATCTTGCCTGTCAGGGACCAGGATCCCACTTCACAGTTAGCAAATAGCAGCTCAGGGACATTAAGCAACTCGCCCAGCATCCCACCAGCAGACAGTCTCACCTTCAGGGTCGTCTGTGTCTGTTAAAGTCGAGTCTAGTTTCGGGTCTCAGAGCACCTCCCTAAAGCTTCCGTAAACCAAGAATAAAATTCTAAGCCCCACAGCCGATTGCGTGGACCCCGCCTCTGGGCCAAAGGGATTCCAGAGAAACCTGAAGAACTAGTTCAGGCCGTGATGAGGAGGAGTGGGGGCTGGACAGGCCTCATTGTACCCTCCTCCCTTTGGAATTTGGGCAGAACTGACCAGAACCAACATTAAAACAGAGATCTGAAGACTGACAAGGCTCTCTAGCAATAAGATACCAAATTCCAACCTGACTCCAGTGCAGCATCACATGACAGACAGAGGCCGTGAAATCAATATTTTACCTCAAAATATATTTCTTTGACATACTTTGAAATGGCCCTGCCAAGCTGTCTCTTGTGGGGGACATTTACATTCTGTAGAGAATCCCTTCCCTTTCCAGGTCTTTCTCTGATCCTGAAGACATTGGCTGAGAGTCTAGCACCTTCTATGGGTCTGAACAGGAAACATTTGCCATCTATTTTCTCTAAGGGTGGCCACCTATGAAACTTCATCTACATAATAAGAACCTTGGTCTCCACAGTCTCTTATCTTAACTCAGACTCTCCTTTCTATTGATAGCAGGTCTGTAGATAATAATTCTTTCAATCAATTGACAATCAGAAAATCTTTGAATCTATCTATGACCTGTAAGCCCCATTACTTTGAATTTTCCTCCTTCCAGACCAAACCAATGCACAACTCCTACGTACTGATGGTGGTCTTACGTTTCCCTAAGTTTCTGCCGACTAAACTGTGCACACGTTCTCAGGACCTCCTGAAGCTGCGTCACAGGCGCTGATCAAAGAACACAACCAAGGTGAGTGTCAATCATTTCAAGAAATCTATTTGCAAGGTTAAGGACACACCTGAGAAAAGAACAGAGAACCACAGGAAAAACTGTGGTCCGTGCTTTTCCCAAAGATTGTCTGGGGGCCTCAGTAAGTAAAGGGGAAAAGTGCGGGTATTGGGGAAAGGGGAAGAAGTGGAAAAAATGGGTGTGGGTAAATCAGAGGCAAATGGTTGCATTCTTCTGTCTTTGGTCAGTGTTCACTGAATACACATTTTACATGCGAGGGAGGTAGAGGCAGGGATGTAGCTTTTTTATCTTTGTGTAATAGCTATCTTATTTAGGAACCAGATGGGAAGCAGGTTTGCATAAGCCAGTTCCCAGCTTGGCTTTTCCCTTTGGCTTAGTGAGTCTGGGGTCCCAGGATTTATTTTCCGTTCTCACAGGTTGTGGTCCTCACATTTGGCTCAAAATATTCAAAATTTTTTCCAGAGTTTGGCCTTTTCTTCAGCACTGGGAATTGTGATCCAAAGCTTTTCCTGATGAGGCACAAAGTTGGAGAAACAAAACGCAAACTAAGCAACAATGAAACAGAACAGAGTGAATCTGCTGTAGCTCAAGAGAGGACGTAGCTGCCCCCACCCCGCATCCCCGGGCTCGGGTTTGCCTTGCTGACCTCTGCTGCCACCTGGTGCCGCACAGAGAAACTGAGGAGAAACCACATCAGTCTCCTTCAGCCTCAGCTTCACATCTGTGGGTCAAGCAACCCTTTCAGAAGCTGAATAATGTGGGAAAGCTTTCCTCTCAGGAAAATGCACACATCCAACTTTGAGAAGATGCCCTTGGGGGCGCTTCAAGGATC